>NC_000016.10:87663236-88304513 GCF_000001405.40 Homo sapiens | reverse complement strand
GGTGAGTCTGTCACCAAAAGTCAAAATGCCCTCCCCACAGCTCTCTCCGCTCTTGGAGAGAGAGGTCTGGATGGAGGCCTGGCCCCTGCAGATTCCTCTGTCCTGGCCCTTCTCAGTTTCCCATCTTCAGACAGTTCCAGGCTGTTGTACTGGCCGTGCAGACTCGCCTGCAACAGGGTGGGAGGAGCCCACAGTGCGATGGGGACGTGTGTGCATTCCATCGCCCTGGTGTCACTGGTGTGGGGGCGGCCGGGCTGCAGCGCTGGGCTGTCGGGGCATCCGTGACCTCCCAGATAAGATAAAGGGCTGTGAATCCATGGTCTCCCTTCCCAAGCCTCTCCCCACTCCTAGGATGAGTTTTCCAGAGGGGTCCTATGTGAAGGTTGCAAACTGCTTGCAAAGGCCAGCAAGTCCTCCTCCCAGAACAAGCCTCCTCTGAGCACACTCTGGTCTGCATAACAGCCCAGGAGCTGCGGAGTTGCCCCATTACCTCTGGAAAGCTGCCTCACTTCTCAGCAGCTCCTTGCAAAAGCACCTCTTCAAGAGGAAGCAGGAGCAGCCCCCAGACCTCATCAGCAACTTTCATTAAGAGCGATGACACTGAGTGAGTGGCACTGAGTGTGTGGCACTGAGTGTGGCCTGTGTGGGTGCTTTGCATCATATCTCCTTCAATCTGCACAACCTCCTGATGAGAGGAAGATAATTGTCATTCCCACTCTCCAGATGAGGAGCCCACCCCTTAGCAGGCAGGTTCAGGATTTCAGGGGGAGTCAAACATGTTCTGAAGAGGATGCTGGGCCTGCCTGTAAGAGGCTCATGGCTTGGCTGGGAGGACAAGGTAGGAAGAGAGTGGAGGCACCGCCGGAGCCATCAGCCCCACTGGAAGGTGGAGGTGGAGCTGGACCCCATGCCCTCGGGAGGGCTTCTCCAACTCTGCGGTTCTGAGATTTTCTTCTGAGATGCCTCCAAGAAGCACAAGTAGAATGTTCCTCCCGGCAGTGGAGTTCCATGGGAGCCAGGGCCAGGTGCTGCTGCAGGCTGTGGTGGGCCCTTGGAGGGGCTGAGGGGCTCTGGAAAGCTGGGCACAAGGAAGTGGGCAGGGATCCCGGCTGGAAAGGCCCACTGGAAAGAACAGCGCTGGCGAGGGTGCAGAGCAGAAATCACACGTGTCCACGTCCCCAGCCAACGGGGCCCAGGAGAACTTATGCAATGATACATGGGATGAAGTGAATTGTTACCTTGATTTCACTTTAATTAATTAATAAATGATCACCATGGCTGGCGGCTGCATGCTGGAGGGTACAGCTCTGGATTGCTCCGACAATGACAGGCTGCAAACACCAAATCCTCAGACACAACTTCACACTTTCCTATCAGGCCCAGAGCTCACAGCAGGGATTAACAGACAGACACCAGGGGAGTAGGGAACCTGTCCTTCAGCCGTCAGATTGGAGTTCAACCCTAAGGGACCCAACCTCTGAAAGGCAAATGCTCCACACTGGCACCCGGGACAGGAGTGTTCAGGGGCCTGCAGGAGGCTGGCACTGCTGAGTTCCACGCCCTTCCCACACATCTGTTTTTCTGCAGCATCTGGGATTGCCAAGCCTCCCCTTTTCGGCAGCCCCACAGCTGGCCAGGGCAGAGGGGTTCTGTAGTGGTGGCCCCACCCTGGCCCCTACAGCACATTGCTGAACTGGGAGGTAGATGAGAGTGAGGCGAGGGTAGACACCTGAGGTTCCTGGAAAGCAGACAGATGCAGGGCCCTACAGAGCAGCCAGCAGGGACAGGGGCCTCGGAGTCCAAGCAGAAAGTGAGCCTCCGGCAGGGAGCAGATGCTGGTCCTTCCTCCCAACGTCTGTTCACTCTTGGCCAGCAAGCATCTGTGGAGCGCCTTCTGTACACAGCCTGACCCTGTATCTCCACCACCAGGGCAATGGAGAACCTTTCTCAACCACAGGTCCAGACGAGCCCAGGCAGCTGTGAGCCCAGGGAGGTGGCCGGAACACGTTCTCCTTTTCATGGAGAAGCCGAGGAACGGAGTGCTGGAAGTCAGGCAGGGTGGGCCGCGCTTCCGGGCCAAAGGAAGCAGCCACTGAAACAGATTTTTAAGACACACAGAGCACCAAATATAAATATATCCACTCTTAAAAAAGGAATGAATTTTATCTTGAGTGAGACTCCATTGGCCAGACTCAGAGATGAAGCATTTTTATCATTAATATCATCTGGGCTTGTGTGGAATTGTTTCATAAGAGGCTGATTCCCAGCACTCCGACAGCAGCGGGAACAGCGGGTCAGACGGCAGGTAACCACCGCCCCTGCAGCTCCTCCGTCCTCCCTGGCGTCGGTTACCCCCCGAGTCTCCCACTACCCAGGAAGAACAGGGCCACTGTCCTGACCGAGAGCCCAGCTGTTCTCAGCAGCATCTGCTCTGCACAGGGCTGCCTGGCAACGAACTGCCCGTGAGCCAGGCTCAGCCCTGCCATGGTGGAGCTCAGGGCTTCCCTGAGCCTCAGCTTCCCTGTCTTTATAGTGAGCACAACAATGTATATGTAACAAGGATTGGGGGAGGAGGGCCTGCAGTTGCTGGTGAACTAGGAATTGGGTAACAGTCATCAGGACTGTCACCCTGATAGTTACCCCCTCCTGCCTGCAGCCTGGGATGCTGAGCCCCGAGTGGAGATCTGAGGAGGGGGCTCAGGTGGCAGGGGCAGAAAGGTGAGGCCTGTTTCTCAGTAACCCACAAAAAGGATGTACACAGAGACAGAAGGGACAAGAGAGCTGGGCGGAGACAAAGCTGGCCCTGCCCCATACCAGTGGTGCCCACAGGGACGGCATCTCATGACCACTCCCAGCAGGCTCCTCAACAGCTCCTGGGAATTCCTGGACGTGGCTACAAATGGTGACCTGCCCAAACGCTCAGGAGATGCCTGTGTCCCCTACTCGCCTGACGGTGCCCTGGAGAGGCTGTTCGGGTGAGCGTCTGCCTCTGCATCCCACTGTTCACTGAGTACAAGAGAGGGTTCTCTTCCAAATAATCATCGCTTAGAGAAGCGTGGCCACTGGGTGCGGTGGCTCACACCTGTAATCCCAGCACTTTGGGAGGCCGAGGCTGGTGGATCACGAGGTCAGGAGATTGAGACCATCCTGGCTAACATGGTGAGACCCCGTCTCTACTAAAAATACAAAAAATTAGCCAGGCGTGGTAGCGGGCACCTGTAGTCCCAGCTACTCGGGAGGATGAGGCAGGAGAATGGTGTGAACCTGGGAGGTGAAGCTTGCAGTGAGCTGAGATGGCGCCACTGCACTCTAGCCCAGGTGACAGAGCGAGACTCCATCTCAAAAAAAAAAGAAAAGTGTGGCCACTGTGCGTCGGAGTTATCTTCCATCCTCTCACGTACAAAGCACGCTCCCAACGGCTTTAGTTCTTTTCTTTTCTTTCTTTTTTTTTGAGACAGTCTCGCTCTGTTGCCCAGGCTGGAGTGCAATGGCATGATTTCAGCTCACTGCAACCTCTGCCTCACAGGTTCAATGGATTCTCCTGCCTCAGCCTCCCGAGTAGCTGGGATTACAGGCACCTGCCCCCACGATTGGCTAATTTGTGTATTTTCAGTAGAGACGCGGTTTCACCATGTTGGCCAGGCTGGTCTCCAACTCCTGACCTCAGGTGATCCAACCGCCTTGGCCTCCCAAAGTTCTGGGATCACATGCGTGAGCCACCGCACCCGGCCTCTAACAGCTTAGCTCTGAGAACGGGCTCTTAGAGTGAGACAACCAGCTTGGAAGAGGCTGGAGTCATCATGGAGCTCCCCAGGGGCTGGGTGGGTGAAGAAGGCGGCCCACTCACGACTCACTTGTTCATTATTCCAAGGGGAATCACGTGCTCTATGCAAGTGTTAGACACAATGGTGTGCCAACCTCTGAGGCTCCCTTTGTATACAAGAAATGGAGCCACCGAGAGAAGCGCTCCCTGCTGCTAGGTGGTGGGTTTCTGGCTTAGGATAGAGTATGGCAGCACCGAGCATGGCGCCTGTGAGCAGTGTCGGGGCCCTGGGGGATGCTGCACCCGTCACACGCAGGTTTTCACTCTAGAGAGGAAGAAAAGATATCGAATATCCGAGGACCTGGACTGAAGATGATAAGATGATGCAGGGTGACAGGCTCAGAGGGGTGGAGGCTGACTTTAAACTTGGGTCTCCCGACTGTAAATCCAGCCTCCATCCATGGCCACCTCCCACCCTCACCACCCGGGCAGGACTGTTGCGAACTGCAGTGGCTGTGCCTCCAGCAACCCAGTGGCTCTGGGAGTAGAATCAACTTTGTTGAAATCAAAGTGACTTTGACCAAGAGAAGATGCCCCACTGCAGAGTTGGGAGAAATTCCAGTTTCCTTTTCCCAGGTCAGGCAATCAAGGGACAATGGTGTAAGCCAGTCAGGCCGAGCAGGGCCCTTCTCCCGTTCCTTCCTCATCCGCAAATGCCATTGCGTCCCCCTAGCCGTGCCGTGCGCTGCCTCCATCACAGCAGGCTCCCCGGGGAGAGACCTGGCAGAGGGGCCGTGGTGATGCCACCACACAAAGAAAAGGTCGTCCTCAAACAAGCGCCCTGCAATGCTGCCATTGCACCGGGGCAGTGCTGGCCTCAGAGGGAAACTCCAGCCAGAGTGGCTGGAACCCCCATGGAGAAGTCCATCCTGCTCAGGGTCAGGCAACTCCTGGGCCTGAGTCCCCTGTCTTGCCCAGGGAAGTGGATGAGAGCCAGTGGGGCCCCTGTGGCAGAGGCAGAGCCCACCCAAATCCCTGAAGACCTCCCAGCAGCTCATCCAGGTGGGGCAGGGATTGGCACTCAGCTGGAGTGGGATCACAGCGACCTGACCCCCAGCCACCGCCCCAGAACAGAGACTGCCACCGCCCACACCGCACGGCAAAGCTTCCCTGGGTTCAGCTATGACTCCCAGAAGCCACAGCCCCATGCCTCAAGATGAGCCCTTGTTAGATCATCAAAGCTGTGCTCCTTCCTGTCTGGCTCCTGGAGCAGCCTGGCTGGTTCCCTTTCACTCGGCTCCTTCCTCCAAAGAACAGTGCTGCCGGCACCTGGAGCCTCTGCCCTCCGGCCTCTCCGAAGCCCTCTCCTGCTGCAAGCTGCTTCCTCCAAGAAGCCCTCTCCTGCTGCAAGCTGCTTCCTTCAGGAAGCCCTCTCCTGCTGCAAGCTGCCTCCTTCAGGAAGCCCTCGCCTGCTGCAAGCTGCCTCCTCCAGGAAGCCTACCCCGCCGCAAGCTGCCTCCTCCAGGAAGCCCTCCCCACCCCAAGCTGCCTCCTCCAGGAAGCCCTCCCCACCCAAGCTGCCTCCTCCAGGAAGCCCTCCCCACCCCAAGCTGCCTCCTCCAGGAAGCCCTCCCCACCCCAAGCTGCCTCCTCCAGGAAGCCCTCCCTGCCCCCCATTGGCTTGCAGGCCTTTCTCCTGACCTCCACCCTACACTCATCTGTGTGGGGCTCTGGAGGTGCAGGGTGACAGGCTCAGGCTGGCCTAGGTTCCCCGGGCAAGCGTCTGCTGTGTGTCTGCTCCCCCAGGTCTCAGAGAGCTCACCACCAAACCTTCTGTGAGGGGATTTTACACAGAAGAGGGATCACCCCTCAGAGGGAAAAATGGGGCCAGCTGGGTGGACCCTACAGGGATGTGGATTTTGGCTTCAAAGATGGAAGGAATTTCTAGCAGACCTATCTATTTAAGGATGGAATGCACGTCTGCTTGCTCCTGTCTCGGGAGGTGCCCGTGGGATCTGGAGAGCCAGTGAGGAGTGGGGAGAGGAAGGTGGGAGGTGTGACCTTCCAGAACATTGCCTCCCTCCGTGTCCCAGGGCCAAATCTCTCTGGCACATAACCAAGAGCTCAGAAATGTCTAAATCTGAAATATTTTAAGAGTAAGAATCGTCAGCAGCTCCATGTCCTCTCCACGCCTCAGGAGACTTTCCTAATGTGAAAAGCTTAAAACAACTGAAGACATTTTGAGTTTCGCCTTCCAGGGTCTCAGCCTGGGCTGTCTGGACTGGTGGCTGCTCCCAGCCTTGCCCCAGATTGAACAGGCTTCTCTTGGAACTCAGTGAACAAGCAGCAACTTGGCGGCACTGGCCCTGCATGTGTCATCCGCCCTTTCCCGGAGACTCCCTTGTGCACAGCTCCTCGAGGCAGAAGGAGCCCCCAGCAAACACGCTCGAGGCATGTTCTTGGTCCGGGAAGCCCTGACCAGGGGTGCCGCTGCCTATGGGAGTGGACAGCACAGCCCAGAGGCCCCTTCTCCAAAGCCGCTGATGAAAGAGTCCTGGGGACCAAGCCTGGTGCCCCCAGACCCCACCTCACCCCATGGGCTGTGGCAGGGGGTGGGGGACTGTCAAGAGGATGGCGGGGTTACATCTGCAATTCTGGTCTTAAGGCCCTTGTGCCATTCATAAACTGAAAAGATGAAGAAGGACTTGATTTCTGGGGACAAGACCTGTGGGACAATTGCAGGAATCGACTCGCCCTGCTCGTAACATAAAGATATTGGGGAACCTCCTTCCTCAAGCTGGGAGCACAGGCAAAGGATGGCAGTTGTCACCTCCCAGGGACTCCTGGGGACAAAAGCCACACCGGCACCTGTAGTGCCCTCAATAATGTACCCTAAAGAGGTCAGGTCCTAATCCTTGGACCCTGCAAACGTGTCCTTGTTTGGAGAAGGGGCCACAGGACTAAGTGAAGGTTCTGGAGACGAGATGATCCTGGACCACCTGGGTGGGCCCTGAATGCAATCACAGATGTCCTCATAAGAGGGAGGCAGAGGGGGCTCCGGCCCACAGAGAGGAGAGGGTGCGTGGGGACAGAGCAGAGAGAGATGAAGATGCCGGCCCTGGAGACTGGAGTGAGCTGCCACACTCCCATCCCACGGAGGGGTCTTTGCAGGAGGTCAGGCATGCAGGGCTCATGGCAACAGCTTCCGTTTCCCACTTGCCGTGTGCCGTGGGCTGTGAGAGACTCAGCGGCAGTGAGGCAGGCCGGACACCTCCAGGCCACGTGTGGGCAGATGCAGGTGCTTTGCAGGTAAGCCTATGACAGAGTGCAAAAAAACAAAAAAAGTGCATGGAGAGAAGCCAAGGAAAGCGGACGTGGAGGGTGGCTGAGCCTTGTCATGCACGCACCCGTCTTTGACTCATCCCTGGCGGGACCCTGCTGAGCAACGGAACCTCTTTGATCATACCTGAAGCCAGCCCCCCGCCATTAGCTTTGTAGCCATCAGCACAGCCGAGAGACCACTCAGACGCCTGCCCCGTCCCAATCTCCCATCGCCACTGAGCCGCCTCTGAGCTGCATGTTGCTGGGCTGGACGGAATGCAGGTTTCGAGGCTAGAGCCGAAAGCAGCCCCTGCGTGGCGACACTGTTTTGGTGCCTGCCGCTGGCTGCTTACTGGATGTCTGCTCCAGATCTCTCCTGGAGCAATGGCTTTTCCAGCGTTTGGGAGACGAGGACCCACTGAGAGACAGTTTGAACGCATTGCTCAGTGGCCAACATCAGTCTGTGTGGCTTCTGATCCAGCCTGCACCGAAATGGCCCTGCTTCAAAACAGCTGCATCCAACGTGCTGCACCAGGGCTGTCCTTCTGCCTGGTGTGCCTGTCCCTCCCCTCGGTGGGGTGTGGGTGCGTGAGTGTGTGCGTGGTATGTGTGAGCATGTGTGTGCACTACCATGTGTGTGAGAGCATGTGTGCATGTGTGTGTGCATGTATGTGCACCTGTGTATGTGTGTGTGGGTGGAGCATGGGCGAATGTGTGAGAGCATGGGTCTGCACATGTGAGTGTGCACGAGTGTGCATGAGTGTGTGAGCATGTCTGTGCATGTGTGTATGCGTATGTGAGTGTGCATGAGTGTGAGCATGTCTGTGAGTGTGCATGTGTGTGCATATGCGCACCTGTGTGTGAGCACGTGAGTGTGCATATATGTGTGTATGTGCACCTGTGTGTGTGTGGGGAGGGTGAGCTTGTCTGTGAGTGTGCACATATGTGTGTTTGTGCACTGTGTGTGGGGGGGAGGGTGAGCATGTCTGTGAGTGTGCATGTATGTGTGTGAGCATGGGTGTGCACATATGTGTCTGTATGTGCACCTGTGTATGTGTGCATGAGCATGTGTGTGTGAGTGTGTGTGTCATTCCCCCACCCCCACGCAGCTGGAGCCTGTCTCTCATGTTCCGCCCACCTTGCCATCCCCAGTGGGGACAGAAGCTGGGATCCTATGAGGATGTCCCCGCCAGGCTGGCCCCTTCCCAGGCATCTGGAGTCTGGACACAGAAGCCCCACCCTATGGCCTTGGGGCTGTTGCAATGCATCAGGGTCTGTCAGGGCCACTCTCGGGGAAATTCCTGTCGCAGGAAGGGATCTGAAAGGAGGGGGCCCTGCAAAGGCGCAGCCGGGCGGGCTCGCTTCCACCCTTCAGGGGCAATATCCTCTGCAGAGCCGAGAGCCCGAGGGGGGACGCTTATCAAAGCCAGGCGCTGCCCCAGGGATGGCGCGACATCCAAGCCCTTTCTCTATTGACAGTCAAACATCTCACAGGGGCAGAGGTGCCAGCTGCCTTCCATATTTCTGGGGCGACAGAACGCAGGTTGAGACCTCAGACATATGTTATCTGTGTTGATGAGAGTGTCTGTCATTCCACGCAGAGAGCAGATGGTGTTCCCAGCACATCTTCACCAGATCTGTTCCAGAGAGAGGGATCTTCTAGAACTCAGCCATCCTCGCACTGCTAAGCACAGTGATGGGTGAACAGCTTGGTCCTGCCCAGCATCTCCCGGGGGCCTGGCCCATGTATGTCTTTGTGTGCACCGAGTGTAGGCCGTAGTATCAATGTGTACAGTTGTACAGCTCAATGACAGATCAGCGCTTTCAGATAGCCCTCTAATCAAAACCCACAAACACCAGAATGGCCACAACCCAACTCCTCAGCAGGGGCTCAGCTACAGCCGTTGACGCCCTCTCCAGACCCTGAGCCCTGCCACATCCTGGGGGCCCAAGATGACGTCCTCCCCATACCCTGAGCCCTGCCACATCCTGGGGGCCCGAGATGACGTCCTCCCCAGACCCTGAGCCCTGCCACGTCCTGGGGGCCCGAGATGACGTCCTCCCCAGACCCTGAGCCCTGCCACGTCCTGGGGGCCCGAGATGACGTACTCCCCAGACCCTGAGCCCTGCCACGTCCTGGGGGCCCGAGATGACGTCCTCCCCAGACCCTGAGCCCTGCCACGTCCTGGGGGCCCGAGATGACGTCCTCCCCAGACCCTGAGCCCTGCCACGTCCTGGGGGCCCGAGATGACGTCCTCCCCAGACCCTGAGCCCTGCCACGTCCTGGGGGCCCGAGATGACGTCCTCCCCAGACCCTGAGCCCTGCCACGTCCTGGGGGCCTGAGATGACGTCCTCCCCAGACCCTGAGCCCTGCCACATCCTGGGGGCCCGAGATGACATACTCCCCAGACCCTGAGCCCTGCCACGTCCTGGGGGCTAGAGATGACATCCTCCCCAGACCCTGAGCCCTGCCACGTCCTGAGGGCTCGAGAGGCTCTTGCTAGTCATTGTGCCATGGATGCCCCAACAGCACAGGCCGTGCTTGGTGTAAATCATTCTTTGGTTATTACAGAGACCTGGCATTTACCCTAAAAACTCATCCCGGTCTTCTCTCCGATGGCCCCGGCATTATGAGGGCTGCGTGGGCACCTCACTCATTTCTTCACCCCTTGCTCTTCCATTTCATCGGCTGCATTTGCTCAGCCACGATCTACAAAGAAAGCAGAGACCCAGGCTTTTAGCCGCTTCCCAGTCGTGGGAAGCAAGCAGGTGTGTTGGTTTTTAGCGCTTGGACTCAAGGATACTCAGGGTTAAAGAGGCAATTTCCACGTGGAAAAAGCTCCTCAGATGAGATGGCCTCTTTCTTCAAAGAATGAGTGGCTCTTAATGCAGGGTTGTATTTTCTTGCCTGTGTCTTTGAGTAGCCTGGGAGCCCAGAGGGCAGGAGGCAGGAACCCAGCAAAGTGCCATGTGGATTTGAACAAGGGAGTTTGCACAATGATGTGGAAGGCCAAGTTTATGCGCCCTAAACCACTGAGGAGACAGTAAGACAGCACTAGGCAGGTATTTGTGGAAGGAAGTAAGGAAGGAGCGGGTGCTTAGATGGTGTGTTAGAAGTGCACAGGGCAGGAGGTAGGATGGCACGAGCCTACCTTGGGCAGTGGTTTGGCATGGCGGCACACTGGTTCTGCACAGTTGGTTCTGATTGGCATCTTGGTCTAAAGACAGTTTCAGCTGATCTTTGTCACTGGTCCCATGTGTTTCTGCCACAAGCAACTTTTGGCCACAAAGGAATTTGAGCCAGAGCTTTCCTGGGTGACCATAGGAAGATAACCCTCACATCCAACAAAGGCCACTGACTCCTCTCTTGAGGCACTGGGGGCTCTAGGGGAGACCCCGTGCACAGTCCTGGCACTCGGAGCTGGGCAGAGAGCACACAGATGCTTATCTTGGTTCAGAGTAAAGGCCGTCTCGTGGTCTTCACACCGTTCCCTCCACCTGTGTCACGTGAACCCCACTTAGCCTGCTTGTGCCTTAGGAGAGAGACCGAAGGCTAAGAGAAACCTTTCCCGATCAGCTACCCATAGCCCCCTCCATGCCCCACAATTCCCACCCACAGTCCCAGTCCTCATGCACCCATCCTAATTGGACACTGTAGACTTATTTGAAGGTTAATTATTTATTTAGTGCTGGTCTCCCTATAGGATCACAGAAGAGTCTCAGAAGAGGTGACATTAAGGTTAAGAGGGAAAATACACCCCCCAATGAAGCTTTGAAGGGAATATTCTAGAAAGAAGAAATGGCCAGTACAGACCCCTTCAGGTGGGAGAACTTTCTAGACAAAGCCCAGAATCTTGGCAGGTGATGGATCATCATTTCCCTTTCCATTTAGTAAATAAGTCCACCCATTCATCTATCTACCTACCCATCCATTCACCTACCCACTCATTCACTCATTCATCCATCCACCTATCTATCCATTTACCACGTACCGATTTAACCATCCATCCATCCATCCACCCAGTCAATTATTCATCCACCTAACTATCCATTCATCCACCATGTACTCATTTAACCATCCATCCATCCATCCATCCATCCATCCATCCATCCAATTACCCATCCATCCATTCACTCACGTGTCCACCCATCCATCCACCCATCTTCCTGTCCATCTACCCATTCATCCATTCATCCACCCATCTACCTATCCATCCATCTACCCATCCATTCATCCATCCATCCACCCATGTATTCATCCACTTGTCTACCTATTGATCCATCCATCAGTCTATCCATGCATCTATTCGTGCACCCATCCACCCATCCATCCATCCACCCACCATCCACAGGCCTCAGTTTGTTCAGGAGAATAGAAGGGAAGTAAATTTATGTTTCTGGCTGCTGGTAGAGGCCATGCCATTGATCTCAATCTTTCTGTGTGAAGGATGAGGAAGACCCCAGGGCCTCCCCAAGGGCATTTAGGTGGAAACTGTCAGGATCGTGCTCCTCAGAGAGACTGTCTAGCGGACCAGTGTCCGATAAAGGATCCAGACAGGGGGATTTAAAGTTCCTGGTGAGCTGGATGGAAATCAAATTCTGTTAGAGGTTTTTTTTTTTTTTTTTTTTTGATAACACAGGGTGGAGACAGCTAACATATGGGGAAAGTGACTCAGGGCAGAGTCTGGAGAGCCTACGAGTGAGCAAGTAATGAGCACAGTTTGCCCAGAGCAGGAGGCGCTTCACAATGGGCAGACTTTTCCAGTCAAGGCCACCGAGGCCTGGCTGGCCACCATCACCCCAGAAGATTCCAGCTCCAAATTCCAGCCCACCCACCCGACTTAGCTGTACGAGGCTTCACTCAACCCGTTTTCTGACCCTTCCCCACGTGCGTCACACATGTCACCACAATGCTTTCCAGTGAAGCATCTTCACACATGTTGGTCCCCGGACCCCACTGGGGCCCTGGTGAGGTGGGTTTATCAGTCTCAATTCATAGATGGGAGGGTGGAGGCCTATAGATGCAAAATTACTGGTCCGAGTTTACAACAGGGACTCACACTCAGGCCCTGCTACCCAATGTCCCGGCTCCTGTGGCCTTGGCTCACCTGGGCCACCCTGCCCCAGTTGGAAATGCATGGTCCTCGGTGCTGGGGACCCAAGCATCGGCTGCTGTCTGGTCAAGGCCCCTGCTGGGACCACGCACACCAGGCAGCTCAGTGCTATGCAGCACCCACCCACTGCAGGTGACTCCAGGGCCCCTTCTGGCTCCCCCTCTGCCTCTGGAAGTCCCCTTTGCTCCATTCTCCAGGCCCCACATGGCACCCCCTTGCCTTAATTGTGACCCGCATATCCAGATCCACTTCATGTTCTCCAGACTCCTGGGACCTGACACCAAAGCCTCGGTCCCCAAAACTGTCCTACCACAGAATATGTGCCTCATACCTTCGGCTCCAGCCCCTTCCCTGGGCAGCCAGCAGCCATCAAGGCTGAGCCCCAGAGGCCCTGCCTTCTTAGAAGGAAGGACACAAAACAGAGGGGTCTGAAGGCACCACATCAGCTCGCCAGGGAGGACGGACCTGGGTGGTTCTTCTCTCCCCAGAAGGGAGACTGAGGCCCAGGAGGACTTAAAGGCACTCCCAGGACACCCAGACGCAGGGAGGATCCAATATGGCGGCTCCATTTCCTTTCTGCTGATATTCACCGAGACCACCAGCAGCCATGAGAAGTGCTTCCGCACGGGGCTCCCTCAAGGTCAAGGGCTATGAAGGGGGGCGTCTGCATGGGGTGTAAGACGGATACACAAGTGGGAGAGTCTCTAACTAGGGAGGCAAGTCCAGTTCCTGACTGTTCCTTATTACCTGGAAGACATCAGGCAAGCCGCGTGCTGAGCCCCGGTGTCTTCATCTGTAAAACAAGATGATGGCTGCCCGATGCGAAGAGACGAGGTTCTGCCTCCCCGGCAGCAGGACTTGGCGAAGGACAGAAGTTTATGAACGCGTCTTATTGAGGGGAAAGTGGGCTGGGAGGCTAAAGCTGCTTCTACGTCCGATAGCTCAGGATTCTGGTCAAAATTCAGCAAGTGCCCTTCATGCATCAAACAAGTGTGTGTAGTGGGGACCAATGTGCAGCAGCCGAGCCCCTGGAGTCCCTGCTGGGCAGACACCAAGCTCCTACAGAAAAGTCTGAACAGGAAGCTCATGGTTTCTGCCCACTGGTGCTTCTGGAGAAATCTCAGGGTCCAGGTGGGTCTGAGGAGCCAAGAGGGGAGTGGGGAGCCCGGACTGCCCCATCTATGTGGGTTAGCATCCCTTGGCCTGCTTGGCTCCAGGTGTGTCTCCCAGAGGGAAGCAGAGGTGCCGGACGGACACACACCTGGAGCCCATCCAGTCACTCAGCGAGACTTCCCAGATACCCCATGTGGCAGGAGCTGCCCTGGACATCAGGCAGAGAGCACTGGCCAAGGCTGACGCGCTCCGATCTGGTTTTGTGGGGAAACGTGGGTTTAAACCCACACAGGAATGGCAGGCAGAGGGATCCCTGGAAAGATGCTGTCCTGAAGGTGGGGGTGGCCTGATGTCCACTAGGTCATTTGCAATCAGGGTCATGAACAAGTGGGCACCTCCTAGATGTGACTTCATTCACTCATTCGTTCAGCAGACATGTATTGAAAACCTCCAGCATGTGCCACTGTGGTGACCACAAAATTGGGCAGAACCAGATTGGGCAGAGCTTCTGCTGTAGTTGAGGTTGGGGGGTGGTGGGGATGAATAGATGGGACCCAATATCGGTAATTCTACTTAATGCAGAATGCTCGGTACTAGGATTGTTCAGACTCTCAACATTTATTTACATAGAATTGTATATAAAGGAATAGAGCCTCAGATAGAACTTTCAGGAATGCCTCAGAAAGGAAGAGACTAACATCTCGAATTGTGTGAACCTGAACATGGCTCTGAACTGTCATGGCCCAACTGTGACAGGGATAACAGATCTGCTTAAGGAGGGGACGTCACCTGCCATGCTGGAAACAGACTTTCGAAAGGCTCCCAACACCCACTCCTTTTCTGCCAAAAACCTCCCTTTTTCTGTCCCTTTATGGAGGCAGCTTATGAGGAAGTGAGAAGTCCAAGAGACAACTTTGAGATCAAGGGCACCGGAAATTTTGCCTTTCATCTGAAAGTCCATCAGCTGCACAGGAAATCTGCAGCCAGGCAGATGCCGCGACAGTGGTGCAGCGTACATATTAGCTCCTGCTGGCGTGCTAAGCCGCGGTGCATGGCTCCCGGCACTCTAAGTGCCTCACTGCTCTCAGAGGGACTGAGCTACAGACAGCTCACCCACGATGTCCATCGCTGCTGTCTGAGCTCTGAGGGAGCGGCTCACAGTTGTGACTTGGGAACAAACATCTTTCCCAAGTAGTGCCCAGACAGAGTGTCTCCTGTGTGCTCTGACACAGCCTCAGGCTCCAGACAATGTCCATCAGCCTAAATAAGAGGCTGAGTCTTCTTGGCCCGTGAAAGCTATTTTCTGGTTAGGCAATGTTGCAAGGGATTCCCTCCTCACTCCACAAACATACAACAGACACACACTTGGGACATAAGTGTGCATATCTGGTCCATAAATCCTACCATGCGCATCTGCCAGTTTCTGCATTTCTAACATCTGTTACCAGGACCTTAAGGCACGAAGACCAAGAGAGCTTAGGAACACATTCACTCCTACGCACCCTCTCTCTGTAGTCAGACTACCTTGGGAACGATCCCAGCTCCACCACTCACAAGTGACTTCATTTCTCTCTCTCTCAGCTTCTTCATTTGTAAAATGAGTGAAATAACACTCATTGCTCATGGAGTGGTGATGGGAGATTAAATGAGCTAATTTAGGTGAAGCACTCAGCATAGTACTTACTTAACAGAGAACAAACACTCAATAACTCGCAGTCACAGATCGGTGTAATTGTGTTATTTTAATCATCATCATCATATCATCATCACCCTTGTCATAATAATCATCATCATCATCACCATCATCATGATCATCACCATCACCATCATCACCATCATCACCCTCATCAACACCCTCATCAACACCCTCATCATCATCATCGCCATCACCATCATCCTCATCACCATCATCATCACCATCACCCTCACCATCATCACCATCACTGTTGCCATTATCACCTTCATCATCATCATCACCCTCATCATCACCACCATCACCATCATCAACCTAATCATCATCAACACCCTCATCATCATCATCATTGCCATCACCATCATCCTCAACACCACCGTCATCACCATCACTGTTACCATCATCACCCTCATCACTATCAACATCCTCATCATCATCACCCTCATCACCACCATCATCACCATCACTGTTATCATTATCACCCTCATCATCGTCATTATCATCACCACCACCATCATCACCACCACTGTACTATAACTGTAGAGTCACCAAGAACACTGGATGTATGGAGTGTCTGCTTTATGCTCTTTGTCATTAAATGACTTTCTGGTACTGTTGCCCTTAGTGCTTCTGTTACAAGTGCTCTCTCTCTCTCTCTCCTGTGAAACTCTGGTCACAGGCTTTTACTTTTATTTGTCATCCTTTTATATTAAAGCCCCTCTGGTACATAGCTTTTGACATAGGAAGAGCAAGAGCCTGGAAGTCAGGAGATTTGGGCTGCATACTTTTTGGACAAGCAGGTCTCAATCTTTCCATCTATGCAACAGGGGTTACATGAGACAGTATCAGGGGTCCCGTCTAGCTCCAGCATTCTAGAATTCCTCTTGGCAGAAGAGCTTGTTTTTGATTCATTGTGAATTCCTCAAACACACATAGCAGGTGTTCATCAAGTGAATGCTGAATTAATGAATAAATGTGATGAGTATAAATGTCAAGAGAGTGATGCAATAAATATCATAGAGTGTAGCCTTGATGATTGATAGATTTGGATAGGTGGATGGGTAGGAGACAATGTTCTTGGCAATAAAAATGGGGTGAACAAAGGCAAATATGATAAATAAAAAACAGGTAGGTCCTGCCATCAAGGAGCGTGAGTGACAGAGTAGAATAAACACATGTGAAAACATCCAAGTTCTCAACATGCGTGCCTCCCTGGCTCCCTCTCTCACAAAGCTACTGGGGGCATGCTCCATGAAAACAAGGGAGTAAACCAAGAAGGTGAAGGGCATGGATCTAGGAAGCAGGAGATTCAACACAAGAGCAAGGTACAGATACTCCCCGGTAAGATGGAGAAAGGAGACTCGCAAAATGTTGACTGACCACAGGGCACGGAGAACATCTAGTCCAGATTGGAGCAGCAGGAGGAAAAAGGTTTCTCCACAAAGATGAAATGGATAAATTATCTAGTGTGTTTGAAAGTCTTGGGAGGAGATTTATACAACTGGAGTGAGTTTGGGATTGAATTAATAAGTGCACAGAAAAGCAAGCAAACAAACCAGCCAATCACAACCAACCGACAAAAATCTCAAATCATTTCTAAAAAACATGTGCAATAAAGAAAAGGAAATGACAGTACTCAGTAAGCCTCAGTTATGAATTACAGCTACGTGATCACCATGAAGTCAGCGCTGGCCATAAGGCTAATGCGGCAGGGTGAAGGAAGTCTAGCCTGGAGCGTGAATGCATAATGCTTAAAACAGAACTTCAAGAAGTAGCGTCACACCAGCATTCATAGCAACATGAAGACCGGAAAGGGTACTGGGGGTGGGGGCTGGACCTGGGAGGGATGTTGTTTCTCATAACAAGCCTTATAGAACTGTTCAATGTTTTAAGGCTTTAAGTGATGTGTATTTATAATTGTGATAAAATGATCCACCAGATAAAAAGTGAGCTACAGTTTTGCCAGCATGGGATTGATAAAGAAACTGAAGTTCAAGGGTAGCAGGTGCTACAAGGTGGGGAGACTTGGAGCTGTTGTCTCCCCCTAGTGGTAGTGGGCAGTGGTGCAGCCTTTTGGAGGTGGCTGGGCTCCGCTGGTGCGGTTGTACACAACCACTGTCTACAATGCAACATGCCATATACATGTGCACCTAGAGAAACCTTTGTGCCACACATCAGGAGACTTGTGATGCTCAGAGCAGTTTCACTGTGACAGCAAAACACTGGAAACTCCTGTGTCCGTTGACAGGAGACTTGGGTAGACAAATTGTGGCACATTCACACAAGGGTGTATTATACAGCAGTGAGGATGAATGGCCATCGGCTACGGACAACAACCAAGGTGCACCTTAGAAACTGAAGATTCGGTGAAATAAAGCAAGTCACAGAACAGCATATGGCCTGGACCCTACCATGTTCAGAAAAGCTTTAAAAAGCAAGAAAAATCTAGTGTTTGGGGACACTAGTTATAGGGTAGAACTGTAAATAAAAGCAAAAGAATAAGAAAAACGGGACTTAGGCATTCCTAAGCTCATTTGAGCTGCTGTAGTCAGATGGTCTCATACACACTCCCCCTGATGTGGCTCCACCCACATCTCCTCTCCTGAGCGAGTTCCCCAGAGCTCAGTATCTGGGAGTCGAGGGCCTCAGGGGGACTCATGTGACCTGGATGGATGCAGTATTATAAGACACAGAGGCAGAGAGGGGCCAGGACAGGGCCACAGGGCAGTATCTGTCCTGTTCTGTGGGCCACGCAGCACTGGGAACATGAAAGTACTTTTCTGTTCCTTCTAAAGCTCACAGCAGCTCACCTGTCAGTCATTGGGAGCCTCTTCCCAGCCAGCCCCTGCTGAATGATGGCATCTTGTCAGCACTGAATGCAGAATGTTCCTGTCCTCCACATTCCCTCCCCCACCTGCACTGACAAAGCCCTGGCAGGGGCCCAGGCCAGGTGAGGGGCCATGTCCTCTCCCGATGGCAAGTGGCTCAGATCAGCAGCCAGAGGATGGCATGTGGGAGCTGGCTCCTGCAGATTGGCAGGAAGGTGTAAATACCCGGCGTTCAGATGGGGAGAGGATGGGGCAGGGAGAAGAGGGCACCAGCGAGCTCAGAGCAGACAGGCAGGTGCAGAAAGGCCTGGCAGCCACCTGAGTATAACGGCAGATGTCAGCAGCCAGGCCGTGGCTCTCCCAGGACTCCAAGGAGCGAATCAATCTTGTTGCACAGTTAGCTGCCGCTGAGGCCCAGGAGCCTGAATCCATTCAGGACTCTGTGGTGAACGGAGTGGGGGCTTCTTAGGAAAACAACTGGAGGGACCTGTGACTTTGAGAAACTCATCCGTCCCAGGCAGGACAGGATGCACAAAAACTCCAAAAGCCAAAGGCAGTTCCCAACAGGGGAATGTGCTCCATCCCCAGCAATGGGGCACGATGGAGGCACCGAGTGGGCTGGGACTGGGGCTCCTGGGCTAAAACACAGGTGGGTGGTTCTGAAAGGAAGGAGATGGCGATGCTCCGGGCTGTGGGTCCGATGGGGGCTGAGCAGACAATGCCAGAGTGAGCGGCCTTCACAGGGTCAGCAGGAGTCTCATGGAGGGATGAAGACATCTGTAGCTGAGGCCTTCTTGTGGCCACAGGCCAAGTGGCACGAGGGCCCCTCCCACATGGAAAGCATTTGCCACCACTGCACTGTGACGAGGGTGGCCTGGGAAGCAGCAGACAACATGGTGGCCCCTGCCAGAGGGCACTCCCAACCCCCTCACTGCCCACCACTCAGAGAGGGCCCAGGGACATCACCAGCTGGCTTGCTCTCCACCGGCCCCACGGAGGCCCTGAGCACCTCCCCACCGTGCCGACGCTTCCAGCGTGTCTGAAAGGACATTACATGGACAGACCACAGCTGTGGGCAAGAGGGTGCCAAATGGGCCACAGGTGGGCCTCGGGTCCTGGGTGCCGTGTCAGCTGCTGGAAAGGCCTCACCTCGTGACCAGGCTGACCCTGCTCTTTGTGGCCCTGCCCACGCTGGCTGTGGCAATGCCTGGAAGATTCTGCTGTGACAGTGTGGCCTCCCACACTGTCTCCCCACAGCCCCTGGCTGCCTGTCTTCGTCCACCAGGGTGACCATGGCTGCTGCACCTGCCTGATCCCCTGCACAGATGCCGAGGGTTAGAGACCGCTCAGCAGTGGGCCCTGCTCAGAACTCTCTCCTGAGGGCCTCACCTGCCCTGGCAGGAACCCTCATGTACCCAGAATAGCTCCATTGCGGGAGGCGGGGCTGATGCTGCCTGCCTACCACAGCTCTGGGGGCAGTTCTCCGGGCACACGGGCCTTTGGCCCAGATAGCAGCCCTGAGACTCCACAGTCAGTGATGGTCATGGGCACGTGTGCCTTGGGCTTCTTGGGCTGAAGCTGACGGGTATGAGGCATGTTAGGCCAGGCATGGGCAATGCGCCTCCCCCTAGCCTGGGAACCTGAGACCCGGCCCTAGGGGAACCGGCTGTGGGCTCAGAGTCGGCTGCCTGGACTCCCAAGGATGATCTCTGTTGGGAAATAACATCTCAGTGCAATCAGCACAAAACAAAATTCTTCCTGCATGAGCCTGGGACAGTGGCCTCCCAGAGTGCCAGCTGGTAGAGGACAGATGGCCCCTTTCAGCATCAGGAATCCATGTGTGGGGACCTGCGGCTCAGGCCAAGGCTGAGTCTCACTCCTCACCAAGGCCCCATCGCCCTCCTGCAGAGCTGCCAGGGGCACGGCGGAGTGTGCCTGCAGGCCGCACACCACGGAAGGCCCTTAGCACCTGCTGCTCTCCTTGGGAGGACCCACCCTGCAGAGTGTTGGTGGTGGTGAATTGTGTGTTGGTTTTTACAGGAGCCTGTTCTTTTTTTTTTTTTTTTTTTTGAGATGGGATCTCCCTCTGTCGCCCAGGCTGGAGTGCAGTGGTACAATCACAGCTCACTACAGCCTTGACCTCCTGGGCTCAAGCGATCCTCCCACCTCAGCCTCCCAAGTAGCTGGGATTACACCAGGCCTAGCTAATTTTATGTATTTATTTTTTTGTAGAGATGGGGTCTTGCTATGTTGCTCAGGCTGGTCTCAAACTCATGGGCTCAAGTCATTCTTCTTGGGATGCCCCAGGATCCCTCGGTCGAAGAGACCATCCACTTCAGGAGGCTGGGATTATAGGCGTGAGCCATTGTGCCCAGCCTGGCGTCCATTTTTATTTAGCCAGGGGCTCTGTCAGCAAACTGAGCCAAGAGATAATTGCTCAAACCTAATGGCAGCAGCAGACCTTGGGCACTCAGGGTCTACCAGCCTCCGCTGACCTCGGTCACTGGGGGTCTACCAGCCTCCGCAGACCTCGGGCACACTGGGGGTCTACCAGCCTCCACAGACCTCAGGCACACTCGGGGTCTACCAGCCTCCGCAGACCTCGGGCACACTGGGGGTCTACCAGCCTCCACAGACCTCAGGCACTCCGGACACACTGGGGGTCTACCAGCCTCCACAGACCTCGGGCACACTCGGGGTCTACCAGCCTCCACAGACCTTGGGCACACTGGGGGTCTACCAGCCTCCGCAGACCTCGGGCACACTGGGGGTCTACCAGCCTCCACAGACCTCAGGCACTCCGGACACACTGGGGGTCTACCAGCCTCTGCAGACCTTGGGCACACTGGGGGTCTACCAGCCTTCACAGACCTCGGGCACACTGGGGGTCTACCAGCCTCCGCAGACCTCGGGCAGACTCGGGGTCTACCAGCCTCCGCGTTCACAGCTGAGCTACCTTGGTGGGCCATCCGGAAAGTGGCCAGCCCTAAGAATCCGCTCCAACTCCTCACACCCCAGAGAATCATGAACGATATCCAAAGTAGGGAAAAGCCTAGAAAGTAATGTAACAGATACCCCCAACCCACCACCTAGAATTTTTTCCCAGCATTTTATTGGGAAAATTTTCAAACACACAGAAAAGTTGGAAGAATGGCGTAGCACACATCCAGTGACCCACTGCCTAGGCTCACAGTTGTTGACGTTTTACTCTTCCTGCTATTACAAATGTATTGACTTCTCCATCCCTCTCTGTTCATTCATTCGTCTTATTTTTTGATGCATTTCAAAGTAAACGGCAGGTGTCCACACACCTCCCCAACACACTTCAGGGTGTACTGCGTTAACCAGAGTTCAACATTTGTTTATGGTTGCTTTTTTTTTTTTTAGTTAAAATGTGCACATCACAAGCGTACAAGTCAATGGGTTCTGACAGAGGCGTTCCCTCGGGTGACTGAAATCCTGTCAAGGTATAGATGGTTTCCATCACCCCAGAAACGTTCCTTCCCAGTCCCCTCCCCACCCCCTAGACGACTGCTCACCACTCAGCATTTGCTCCAATAAATGTCAACGACTAAAATAAACAATTTGTGCAGCCGGGTCTTGAATAATTAGAAATGGGAAAGTGACTTTCTCCTGGGTTTGCCAACTTCTTGACCTAATGCATTGGCCAAACTCCGGAGGGAATCGCTGGGGTCCTCCTGCTCCCCGTTAAGCTAAATGTCAGGATACTCTGGATTCCTGGGGCTGCTCTGGGAGCTTGAGGGCTGCCAGGAGGTAATGCGCTCCCAGAATGCTGCACTCCCTGTGTGGACCTTAATCAGAAACAAGCCCAGACAGCTGCTTTAGGAGGGTGGAGTTTTTATAGCCGCAGTGAGTAGCTGCATCCACTCCATCGAGGTCAGGAGATGTCTCCTGCTCTGGTAACAGGGATGACCCTTTACGGGTGAGACGTGCTGACAATTGACAGTGAGGCTCTTCCCTGTGGGACTCTGCTCTGCACTGCATAAAGCTGCTTAACGGCTGAGCAGATAAGGGGCTGTGTCTGCAATCCGACGTCTCTGCAGCTGTGTGGAGGAGTCTGGCGACATCCCCCAGCTCTTATACACACTCCCCTCTGTGCATGTTGGCTCCAGATGGTCACCACTGTGTCTTCTGCAAGGTGAGCATCTGAAGGATGATTACCTCCACAGCGGGGGTCAAAAGGCCAGGGCCCAGGGCAAGGTCCAACAGGCACTGCGGGCATGATTGTTTCACAGTGACCTCAGCCTCCCCGCCACACCCAGACACACCCAGGTCCCTCTCAACACAGCACCAGGCGGCTGCCACTCATCACCCAGGGCTGACTTTTGACATAAACCCCACTTTTCACCCTGGAACACAGTGAGAACACAGGCCCAAGGTGCCTTCCGACCACCATCCACAAGGTGCACCCCTGTGGAGCCAGCACTGCCCTCTGAGCTGTGTCTCCCAAATGCCTTGAGCCTGGCTGAAGGTGTTTCCTGCCCAAAGGTGTTTCTGGCCCTTGGTCCATCCCAAGAACTGCTGGAATGTCGAGATTACATTTCCTTATCTGCCATGGACTACCCTACACTATACACCAATGCCAGCTCATACCAACCCAGGTACCAACACTGGCACAATAATGACTGATGCAATAATGTTGGCTCATTAGTACTAACTAACCCATGCACCAGCATCAGCATGATATGAACTCGTGCTCAACATCTCGCAGTACAATCCATGCACTGACCCGTGCACCAATATCC
The DNA here is from genome assembly GCF_000001405.40 of Homo sapiens. Lineage (NCBI taxonomy): Eukaryota > Metazoa > Chordata > Mammalia > Primates > Hominidae > Homo > Homo sapiens. The sequence goes on along the minus strand of NC_000016.10, from coordinate 88,281,914 downwards.
AGACACTACTGACCAAGCATCAGTGTGGCACAGCACTAACCTGTGCACTGACATCAGCACAGTACTGACCAAGCGTCAGCATGGCACAGCACCAACCTGTGTGCCAAAATTGACACAGTACTGACCAAGCATCGGTGTGGCACAGTACTAACCCATGCATGGTACTGACCAAGCGTCAGTGTGGCACAGCACTAACCCATGCACTGATATCTACATGGTACTGACCGAGTGTTGGTGTGGCACAGCACTAACCTGTGCACCGACATCAGCACAGTACTGACCAAGCATCGGTGTGGCACAGCATTAACCCACGCACCAAAATTGACACGGTACTGACCAAGCATTGGTGTGGCACAGCACTAACCTGTGAGCCAACATCGGCACAGTACTGACCAAGCGTCAGCATGGCCCAGCATTAATCTGTGCGCCAAAATTGACACGGTACTGACCAAGCATCGGTGTGGCACAGCACTAACCCATGCATGGTACTGACCAAGCGTCAGTGTGGCACAGCACTTACCCATGCACTGATATCTACATGGTACTGACTGAGCATTGGTGTGGCACAGCACTAACCTGTGCACCGACATCAGCACAGTACTGACCAAGCATCAGTGTGGCACAGCATTAACCCACGCACCAAAATGACACGGTACTGACCAAGAATCGGTGTGGCACAGCACTAACCCGTGCATGGTACTGACCAAGCGTCAGCATAGCACAGCACTAACCTGTGCACCGACATCAGCACAGTACTGACCAAGCATCAGTGTGGCACAGCATTAACCCACGCACCAAAATTGACACGGTACTGACCAAGCATTGGTGTGGCACAGCACTAACCTGTGAGCCAACATCGGCACAGTACTGACCAAGCGTCAGCATGGCCCAGCACTAATCTGTGTGCCAAAATTGACACGGTACTGACCAAGCATCGGTGTGGCACAGCACTAACCAATGCATGGTACTGACCAAGCATCAGCATAGCACAGCACTAACCCATGCACTGATATCTACATGGTACTGACTGAGTGTTGGTGTGGCACAGCGCTAACCTGTGCACCGACACCAGCACAGTACTGACCAAGCATCAGGGTGGCACAGCACCAACCTATGTGCTGACATTGGCATGGGACTGACCAAGCATCAGGGTGACACAGCACCAACACGTGCAACAAAATCAACATGGTACTGACCAAGCATCGGTGTGGCACAGCACTAACCCATGCATGGTACTGACCAAGTTTGAGTGTGGCACAACACTAACCCATGCACTGATATCTACATGGTACTGACCAAGCGTTGGTGTGGCACAGCACTAACCTGTGCACCAACATCAGCATAGTACTGATCAAGCATCAGCGTGGCACAGCACCAACCCGTGTGCTGACATCGGCATGGGACTGACCAAGCATCAGGGTGGCACAGCACCAACAAGTGCACCAAAATCAACACGGTACTGACCAAGCATTGGTGTGGCACAGCACTAACCTGTGCAAGGTACTGACTAAGCGTTGGTGTGGCACAGCACTGATCTGTGCACCAACATCAGCACAGTACTGACCAAGTGTCGGCGTAGCGCAGCACTAACTGTGCACTGATATCTACACGATACTGACTGTCACTGTGGCACAGCACTAACCGTGCACTGATATCTACACAGTACTGACTGAGCGTCAGGGTGGTGCAGTACTAACCGTGCACTGATGTCTACACAGTACTGACCAAGCGTCAGCGTGGTGCAGCACTAACCGTGCACTGATATCTACACAGTACTGACCGAGCGTCAGCATGGCACAGCACTAACCATGCACTGATATGTACACGGTACCGACTGAGTGTCGGCGTGATGCAGCACTAACCGTGCACTGATATCTACACGGTACTGACTGAGTGTCAGCATGGCACAGCACTAACCGTGCACTGATATCTACATGGTACTGACCGAGTGTCAGCGTGGCGCAGCACTAACCGTGCACTGATATCTACACGGTACTGACCGAGTGTCGGCGTGGTGCAGCACTAACTGTGCACTGATATCTACACGGTACTGACCGAGTGTCAGCATGGCACAGCACTAACCGTGCACTGATATCTACAAGGTACTGACCGAGTGTCAGCGTGGCACAGCACTAACTGTGCACTGATATCTACACGGTACTGACCGAGTGTCAGTGTGGCGCAGCACTAACCGTGCACTGATATCTACAAGGTACTGACCGAGTGTCAGTGTGGCACAGCACTAACTGTGCACTGATATCTACATGGTACTGACCGAGTGTCAGTGTGGCGCGGCACTAACCGTGCACTGATATCTACACGGTACTGACCGAGTGTCAGTGTGGTGCAGCACTAACCGTGCACTGATATCTACAAGGTACTGACCGAGTGTCAGTGTGGCACAGCACTAACTGTGCACTGATATCTACACGGTACTGACCGAGCGTCGGCGTGACACAGCACTAATCATATCTACATGGTACTGACCGAGTGTCAGTGTGGCACAGCACTAACCGTGCACTGATATCTACAAGGTACTGACTGAGCGTCAGCATGGCGTAGCACTAACCGTGCACTGATATCTACAAGGTACTGACCGAGTGTCAGCATGGCACAGCACTAACTGTGCACTGATATCTACACGGTACTGACCGAGCATCGGCGTGGCACAGCACTAACCGTGCAGTGATATCTACAAGGTACTGACCGAGTGTCAGCGTGGCGCAGCACTAACCGTGCACTGATATCTACACGGTACTGACCAAGTGTCGGCGTGGTGCAGCACTAACCGTGCAGTGATATCTACACAGTACTGACCAAGTGTCGGCATGGCGCAGCACTAACCATGCACTGATATCTACACAGTACTGACTGAGCGTTGGCGTGGTACAGCACTAATGATATCTACATGGTACTGTCCCAGTGTCAGCGTGGCACACCACTAACTGTGCACTAATGATATCTACACGCTACTGACCGAGTGTCAGCGTGGCACAGCACTAACCGTGCACTGATATCTACACGGTACTGACCGAGTGTCGGCGTGGCACAGCACTAACTGTGCACTGATATCTACAAGGTACTGACCGAGTGTCAGCGTGGCACAGCACTAACCGTGCATTAATATCTACACGGTACTGACCAAGTGTCGGCGTGGCGCAGCACTAACCGTGCACTGATATCTACGTGGTACTGACTGAGCGTCAGTGTCGCACAGCACTAACTGCACTGATATCTACATGGTACTGACCGAGCATCGGCGTGAGGCAGCACTAACCGTGCACTGATATCTACACGGTACTGACCGAGTGTCAGCGTGGCACAGCACTAATGATATCTACATGGTACTGACCAAGCGTCAGTGTGGTGCAGCACTAACTGTGCACTGATATCTACATGGTACTGACCGAGTGTCAGCGTGGCACAGCACTAATGATATCTACATGGTACTGACCGAGCGTCGGCGTGGCACAGCACTAACTGTGCACTGATATCTACAAGGTACTGACCGAGTGTCAGGGTGGCGCAGCACTAACCGTGCACTGATATCTACACGGTACTGACCAAGTGTCAGCGTGGCACAGCACTAACCGTGCACTGATATCTACGTGGTACTGACTGAGCGTCAGCGTCGCACAGCACTAACTGCACTGATATCTACATGGTACTGACCGAGCGTCGGTGTGACGCAGCACTAACCGTGCACTGATATCTACACGGTACTGACCGAGTGTCAGCGTGGCACAGCACTAATGATATCTACATGGTACTGACCAAGCGTCAGTGTGGTGCAGCACTAACTGTGCACTGATATCTACATGGTACTGACCGAGTGTCAGCGTGGCACAGCACTAATGATATCTACATGGTACTGACCGAGCGTCGGCGTGGCACAGCACTAACTGTGCACTGATATCTACAAGGTACTGACCGAGTGTCAGGGTGGCGCAGCACTAACCGTGCACTGATATCTACACGGTACTGACCAAGTGTCAGCGTGGCACAGCACTAACCGTGCACTGATATCTACGTGGTACTGACTGAGCGTCAGCGTCGCACAGCACTAACTGCACTGATATCTACATGGTACTGACCGAGCGTCGGTGTGACGCAGCACTAACCGTGCACTGATATCTACACGGTACTGACCGAGTGTCAGCGTGGCACAGCACTAATGATATCTACATGGTACTGACCAAGCGTCAGTGTGGTGCAGCACTAACCGTGCACTGATATCTACATGGTACTGACTGAGTGTCAGCGTGGCACAGCACTAACCATGCACTGCTATCTACACAGTACTGACGGAGCATCAGCGTGGTGCAGCACTAACCGTGCCCTGATATCTACACGGTACTGACCGAGTGTCGGCGTGGCGCAGCACTAACCGTGCACTGATATCTACACGGTACTGACCGAGTGTCAGCGTGGCACAGCACTAATGATATCTACATGGTACTGACCAAGCGTCAGTGTGGTGCAGCACTAACCGTGCACTGATATCTACATGGTACTGACCGAGTGTCAGCGTGGCACAGCACTAATGATATCTACACGGTACTGACTGAGCGTCAGCGTGGTGCAGCACTAACCGTGCACTGATATCTACATGGTACTGACTGAGCGTCGGCGTGGCGCAGCACTAACCATGCACTGATATCTACACGGTACTGACTGAGCGTCGGTGTGGCACAGCACTAACCGTGCACTGATATCTACACGGTACTGACTGAGCGTCGGTGTGGTGCAGCACTAACCGTGCACTGATATCTACACGGTACTGACCAAGCGTCAGCGTGGCACAGCACTAACCGTGCACTGACATCTACACAGTACAGACTGAGCATCAGTGTGGTGCAACACTAATGATATATACATGGTACTGACCAAGCGTCAGCGTGGCACAGCACTAATGATATCTACATGGTACTGACCGAGTGTTGGCGTGGCGCAGCACTAACCACGCACTGATATCTACATGGTACTGACTGAGCATAAGTGTGGCACAGCACTAATGATATCTACATGGTACTGACCGAGCGTCAGCGTGGCACAGCACTAATGATATCTACACAGTACTGACCAAGTGTCGGCGTGGCGCAGCACTAATGATATCTACCTGGTACTGACCTAGTGTCAGCGTAGGGTGGCACTAATGACATCTACAGGGTCCTGACTGAGTGTCAGCGTGGTGCAGCACTGACCCATGCACTGCTATGATTCCAGTACTAACTCGTGCACTGTCTTCATGCGATACAGCCCGTGACAATAAACATAAGGAAAAAGGCAGGACGTGACGCGAAATCAAGCTTTAAAGAGAAGAGAAAACCGCTCCTTACCCCTGTGATGCCTGGCAGTGGCGATGTGTTCACTCCAGGGTGGGGGCCGGTCTGACTGCTGGGTTCCTAGTGCAGCCGTTTGCTCTCAGCCTCCGGAGGACTCTGCAAATCACACACAGACATTTAGGCTGAGGTGCTCGGCGGGGGTGCTGGGGAAACCAGTAGGGTGCAGCCCCCCAGGGTGGGCAGTTGCCAGGCCCCGTGGAGGAGAGGGGCCAGCTTGATGGCGCTTGTCTGAAATGCACTGACTTTCCTCCCAATCCCCCCTGCTTGCTGCACCCCCACTCCATATCCAGCGAGTGTGCTTGGATGGTTTTAGCACACTCGCTTACACGCACAGGGGCCTGGCCATCCCAGGACCTGCCCATCCAGCTTTCTGTGGCCTTGACTCCTGTGCAGGGGCCTCGTTTTCTCACCCCATCCCCCACCCCCAGGATGGCATCTAAGTCTGGATCACTCTGTTTGGTCGTTGCACTGTGCCCCAGAGGGGGTGTCCACTTGCTGGCCCATGTGGAGCCTGTTGGAGGGTGCCAGGCGGCATCATGCTGGGGGAAGGACTGCAGCGCTGTGGTCCTGCCGGGGTCGCTGCCACGGCCTCCCAGGATGGACTCTGCACTTTATGGGCCTGTTCCCGTGTTTTCCAGCCCCTTGGTCTCCATCTTACAGGACTCTGTGTCTCACTTGGGCTGTGTGAGCCAGGGGCTGGGGAGACACCTTCCCCTGTTCCCCTGTGCCCCGCCTCCTGGGGGGGTCTTATCCCCTCCGCCATGCCGCAACAAGAGTCAGGACCACGCTGCCAGCCCCACACTTCCTTCCCTAACCAGGGTCCTGGGAGGCTTTGGGGTTTGGGGGAAGGAGGAAATCAGGCTCGTGACAAACACCGGTTTAGAAGCTGCATGGGATTCAGAGCCAGCAGCCTGGACACCAGCCTGGTCTTTCAGTGCCTCAGTGTACCCACTCTAGTCATGAGGAGAAAGCCGCGCCTCCCTCTCAGGGTGATGACAGAGGTGGAAGGATGCTGTGAGGGCCCGAGCCACTCCAGGCACCCTCCCGCCATCAACGCCCCGGAAGGTGGGTGGCGGCAGGAGCTGTGGCTCTGAGGGGATCTCAGGAGCACTGGATTCTTGGTGCCTTCCTCAGCACCCGTCACCCCAGCTAACTCCAGCTAACTCAGCACCCATGACTCCAAGTAACCCAGGTAGCTTCCAAAGACATGTTTTCTTGTCTCTGGTGATGTTTTACATGTAAAAGTGCAGAGCACCGGAGGCTGGGGTCTTTGCATGGTGGCTGTGCTTGCTGGGATCCACTGTTCGGCCTCCCCAGGTGCTCGCCGGCCCCTCCCCATTTTATGTAGGATCGTTCGGACTGTCAGCGAGACATAAAAAAGCAGCTGCCTGCAGAGGCCAAATGCGCGGCAGGCTCCCGTCTCCACTGTCTAATTAATTAATCGTTTCCAGGTTGCAGAGCTCGTGGGAGCATTTGTGCCCTATCTCTCCAGCCCACAGACATGGGGGTGGGGACACCCAGGCTTCCCGGAAACCCCCTCCCACACACTCACTCTGTCTTTAAGGCAACTTTGCTCCTTTTTAGTTTTTAAATCAGAGTGTTGGCATGTGTGCGAGCGAGTGTCCAAGCGTGTATACGCTGTTTGTAAAACAGCTCGGCTGTTGCCTGGGGGCCAGTGCTGCCCCATAAGCAATGTTTGCCAGTGTCCGTCTGCGAACCATGTCAGGTCCATGAGAAGGTTCTCAGGATCCTACGGCCATGAGTGAGGGCTAAGGCAATACGGCGAGTCCTCCATGAAGCTACGGTGAAAGAAGTGTCCTTTACTCTAATAACTGAATAGCAGAATTGAACTGAATTCTGTAGTTTTAAAACCTTCTTCCAAGGATAACAGAAACACAGAAAAATGAGCAAGCAAGCACACCCCCACGGCCTTTTCACACAGAGCACACGCATGTCACCAGAGCCCGATCCAGAATCAGGACACGGCCTGCCCTCCCCGGGGGCCCCGCCCGGACACCAGCCTGTCTTCTGAAGGCAGAGGGTGGGCTGATCTGTTGTGAAACTTCTATTGGTGCGGTCACACCAGAAGCATGTGACTTCATGCAACACCATGTCTATGAGACTTATATTTCTATCTTTTATTGTGGTAAAATACACATAACATAAAATTTACCACTTTAGCCATTTCTGAGTAAGCAGTTCAGTGGCATCAAACACGTTTCCGGCATTGTGCAATCACCACCACCATCCACAGAACTCTCTTCAGCTTTCCAACTGAAACTCTGTCTCCATTAAAGACTAACTTCCCAGCCCTGTGAATCTCACTGCTCTAGGGACCTCACACCATGGGTATTAGACAGTTTTTGTCTTTTTGTGTCTGGCTTATTTCATTGAGCAGAATGTCCTCAGGGTCCGTCCATGCAGTAGCATGTGTCAGAGTTTCTTAAGGCTGAATAAAAAATATTCTGGCCAGGCGCGGTGGCTCACGCCTGTAATCCCAGCACTTTGGGAGGCCGAGGCAGGCGGATCACGAGGTCAGGAGATCGAGACCATCATGGCCGATATGGTGAAACCCCGTCTCTACTAAAAATACAAAAAATTAGCCGAGCATGGTGGCAGGTGCCTGTAGTCCAGCTACACGGGAGGCTGAGGCAGGAGAATGGCGTGAACCCGGGAGGCGGAGCTTGCAGTGAGCCGAGATCGCGCCACTGCACTCCAGCCTGGGCGACAGAGCGAGACTCCGTCTCAAAAAAAAAAAAAAAAAATATTCCACAGTGTGAATACACCACATTGTATGTATCCATTCACCTGTCCACGGACACTGAATTTCTTCCACCTTTTAGCAGTTGTGAATAGTGCTGCTGTGAACATGGGTGTGCGGATGTTTCTTTGGACCTCAGCTTTCAGTTCATTTGGGTATGTACACAAAAGTGGCTGAATCATAAAGCAGATATAGTTTTAATTTTTTGAGGAACTTCCATACCGTCTTCCACAGATGCGGTGCCATTTACATTCCCACCAACCTTGCAGGAGGGTTCCAGTGTCCCTACGTCCTTGCCAACACATGTTATTTTCTGGTTTAGCTTTGTGTTTTATGGTAATTATCTTAATGGGCGTGAGGTGGTATGTCAGTGTGGTTTTGATTTGCATTTCCCAATGATTAGTGATATTGTGCGTCTTTTCATGTGCACGACTTTGTAAAATAAGTTCTATATAAAAATCCTTTGTTGGATGGATATTATTGAGGAACTACTGCAGAGTAATGTGGTTGTGAGGGACAGAACCATGACTGTTTTCCTCTGAAGGTCATTCTTTTCTAGCATAACACCACACAGGATTGCAGCAAGTGGTTTCAACTGGCAACTTCATTCATGCATCCATTCACTCACCCATCCATCTATCTATCTATCCAGCTATCCATCCACCCACTCACTCATCCAGCCATGTGCCTGCCTGTCCACCTACCCACCAGTCTATCTATCCATCCACCCATTTATCCACCGTTCATCCATCTATCCACTCGTCTATCCACACACCCACCCATTCATCCATCCGTCCACTCGTCTATCCACACACCCACCCGTTCATCCATCCGTCCACTCGTCTATCCACACACCCACCCGTTCATCCATCCGTCCACTCGTCTATCCACACACCCACCCGTTCATCCACCCGTCCACTCGTCTATCCACACACCCACCCATTCATCCATCCGTCCACTCGTCTATCCACACACCCACCTGTTCATCCATCTGCCCACTCGTCTATCCACACACCCACCCGTTCATCCACCTGTCCACTCGTCTATCCACACACCCACCCGTTCATCCATCCGTCCACTCGTCTATCCATACACCCACCCGTTCATCCATCCGTCCACTCGTCTATCCATACACCCACCCGTTCATTCATCTGTCCACTCGTCTACCCATATACCCACCTGTTCATTCATCTATCCACTCGTCCATCCATACACCAACCTGTTCATTCATCTATCCACTCATCTCTCCATACACCCACCTGTTCATTCATCTATCCACTCATCTATCCATACACCCCCCTGTTCATTCATCTATCCACTCATCTATCCATACACCCCCCTGTTCATTCATCTATCTCACCACCCAGCATACAACCATCCACACCATTTATCCACCATTCATCCATCCAGTCACCATCCATCCACCTACCCACCCATCCATCCATCTACATCAACCCACTCATTCATCCACCCATCTAACCACCCAGCATGCATACATCCTCCCACCCACCCACCCATCCATCCACCCACCCATTCGTCTATCCACATATCCATTCATTACTTCTCATCCATCCATCTACTCATCCACACATCCATTTATCCATCCATCTAACAACCCGCAATTCATCCACCCACCCATCCATCTACCCACCCACTCGTCTATCCATCCACCTACCCATTTACCCAAAATTCATCCATCTACCCACTCATCTATTCATCCATCCACCCATTTATCTATCCATCTACCCACCTATTTATCCCCAGTTCATTCATTCACCCACTCATAAATCCATCCGTCTGTCCACCCATTCAACTACCCAACCACTCATCTATCCATTCACCTACCCATTTATCCACAATTCATCCATCCACCCACTCATCTACCCATACACCCATCCATCCATCTGTCCATCCACTCACTCATTCATATATCCATCCACCCACCCATTTATCCACAATTCATCCATCTACCCAACCACCCACCATCCATCCACCCACCCCTGAGAGCCCTGCCACGTCTAGAATCTGACACTGTGCCCCAGCCCTGTCTGTTCCCAACTCTGTTGAGTTCTTGATGGTCAGTTCCTACTTAGTCTCCATTGGACCTGCCTGCTGTGGTGACTCAGCTCCCCTGCCTCACCTTCGCTCTGACCCTTTGTTGATTCCTGCATGCAGCTCTGCTCTGAGCTCCATGGGGATTCCTGCTGTTGGGGCCTGGCCCCCTGGATGCTCTAGTCTCAGACCCTGTTGGGAGCAAGCAGCGTCATCAGGCAGCTTCCTTTCCACGTGCCACACATGCCGTCCTACTGAGGCCTTCGAGACCTTTGCAGCCCAGCCCTGGAAGCCAGTCCGCCCACTGTGAACTCACACGGCTCCCCACACTTCATGCCTCTGTCTGGGCTGTTCTAGTCTAGGCCACCTTCTCACAAATCACCCTCATGGTCTGCGAAGCCGCCTCTGACCCCGGCCCCGGCCCTAACCCCCTCCCTGGGGGAAGAGCAGCTGCACATGTTGCCACATTCCCACGTACTTTGTCCAAATTCTGCACAATAGCTTTTCCGCAGGGTCTGTTATTACCAACAAAGATGATGACGGTGACTAACGTCAACACGCTCTCCGGGAAGCCAGGCCTGGGCTCGAGCATTCTGTGCAGAATCTCACTGAATCCTTTCAACAACCCTATAAGGCAGGTTCTGTTACCATCCCCCTCTTATAGAGGAGGACCCCTGAGGCTCAGAGAGGGAATGCGACTCATTCCAAGTCACACAGTGAACAACTGAGCTGAATCCCAACCCAGGCCTGTCTGATTCCAGAGCTGGGATGTGGACCGGCCGTGAATCCTCAGCCTGGATGCCAGCCCCGAGAGGGGGGACCCACACCTGAACTGTCTGTTCCTGAACTGAAAACAAGAATGAATGAATGAATAAATGATAGAATAAATGGGTGGAGGCTCAAGCCAACGGCACTGATCTCAAAGCCCAGAAGTTCTTGGCGGTTAGCCCTCCATAGAAAGCCTTGAACACCACACAGAAGTGTTCAGCGATGGGCTTTTCCTTCCCAGAGAGGAGGAATGAGAAGCAGGCAAAAGCCAAGAGAAAAACAAGAGGCAGAGGAAAGCAGCCTGGAGAATTTTCCCGTGGAGTGAGCATGATTGCTTTGGATACTTGGAATCTGGGCACAGTCTGTGAAGCATCGAGTATGGTAAAAGCCTTTGGTTTTGTATGCTGCAGACGGATGGAATGTCACTGTCTGGGAAGCTCAGGCACAGAAGCATGCACACAAATGCCCAGGGAGTCTGCATGATAAGCAGGCCCTGAGCAGCCATGTGGAGTCCGGCCTTGTCCTGAGCCTCTGGCTGTCCCCATTTTCCATACCCTCCAGGCAGCAGGTGCGAGCATCCAGGACCCTGGTGAGCTGGCCGGCCACATGGGCACACACAGCCATCAGCCCACGGTGCTGAAAGGCCCAGCTGGTTTGTGAGCAGCCAACCAGATCTCCTCCCCTTCACCCTCAACGTCCTTGGGAAGGATGGGTGGCAGGGCTGGGAGGCCGAAGGTCAAGGAGCTGGAGTCCCCTGGGCCCAGGGTGGGGAGCAGGGCCCTGGCCAGACCCTCTCTCTACCCACATGGGCTTGGGGTCATCCAGGAGGATGCATGCCAGAATTCTGGTCCATGAAGATTTGGCATTTCACTGCAGGCGCAATTTACCTCCAAGAAAAAAAAGCTACTAACGAATGCCAGTCTCCAGCTGATGATGGCTTGCCCCGTCTACAGGAGGCAGTGCTGATGTCACAACCACCTAGAAATGCAGGACGCGAACCTAGATCCTGGATGGTGGTTTCTAGAAAACACTCTGCTCTAAAGGAGCCGGGGCTCCATGGAGAAGTGGCTGAGTCCAGGGCGTGGGCAGGAGAATGACTGGGTGCACCTGGAGCATCTACGCCGGGAAGTCAGACACACTCAGAAAAGGTGGGGACACTCCTGACCACCTCAGGAGCCATCAGAAGCCACTGAGGTTGTAACTCATGGAATAGAGTAACAACTCACAGGGCCATCCTGGTGACAGAAAAACCGGCAAATGTGTGCTGGGGGGATTGGTCAGCAGTTCCCGAGAGCAGGATACCAACCAGCAGGTGCAGAAGACGTGATTTAAACAAGCGTCCCGGTAAGGATGGGTGGGAGGATGCCACACAGACATGGTGGGAGGAAGCTGGGCAGCCCAGGTGGAGGCGGGGCCCATAGTGTGTGCAGGGGTCTTAAGAGGTCCGTGTGTTTGGAAAGTCACATAGTAAGATGTTGAGAAAAGATAAAAATAAAGATGAGGATTGGGAAAAAGAAAAGAAAAAGAAAAAGAATGTGCTGCAGGGTGATATTCATCTCCTGTGGGAAACACCAGTTCTACCCACCTGCCACAGGCCCGGCCGCCAGGGTGCACCCACCTGCTGTAGGCCCGGCCGTCCGGGTGCACCCACCTGTCATAGGCCCGGCCGCCTGGGTGCACCCACCTGTCACAGGCCAAGCCGCCTGGGTGCAGTTTTTATCCCTATTTTGCAGGGAAAGAAGCTAAGGCGCAGAGAAATTATGCAGCTTGCCCCAGCCGGCCGTGGAAAGTGGAAAGACTCAAACCCAGTTCCACTGGTGTGGAGCCCAGCTCCCGCCTGCCGTGCCTGCCCCACCTTCACCTGCTCCTCATGGAAAGACTGGGCTGTGAGAAAGGGGAGGGCTGAGCAGAGGGACCCAGCATACCCAGCCCTCACCCAGGCCCTGCATGGCCCAGACCCTCCTAGGTCAACTGAAATACCATCTCTCCTCCCGGCAGCCCGTGACCTTCCATGCCCTTCCAAGGGCCTAAATGTGATGTCACTGCCCAGGCCCAGGGCTCTATGTGTCCAAGGATCCCCTCCCTCTTCAGGGGAGGCTCACAGAGGGGAGGTGACCTGCCTGGTGTCCCACAGCTCATGGGGGCCGGGCTGCACGTTTTCCACACAGAAAACATTCGATGTACTTCAAGCGAGTGTCTGGGGCACCCTCCCAGGCTTACCTCAAAAAAAATGTTATGGTGGCCCGGGCTTAGTGACTTGCTTCCAAAGAACAGAGTAGAGAAGTGTGACAAGCGTGACCTCAGCCCAGCGGCCCAGGTCAGTGTCGACAGCCACACGTCCTGCTGGCGGTGCCAACCCCCACGGGGATATGAGGCACCAAGCACTTGACCCCTGCATGTTCTTCCTGAAAACCCAGGATCTCACTCTACCCAGGAGAAAAACGCCAGGAGAACTCAAATTGAGGGACAGTCCACAAAATACTCAGCCGGTCCTCTTCAAAACTGTCAAGGTCCTCAAAAATAGGGAAATTCTGAGAAACGGTCTCAGTTGAGAGGAGGCCCTGGGGATGGAGTGTCACACGGGGTCCTGGGACAGAACACAGATGTTGGTGAAAAAACGACTGAAATCAGAACCAAGTCTGACATTTGTCTGTAGTCAGTCAATGTTGTTGATGTACAGACCAACGTCATCTTCTCAGGGTAGCCAAATGCACCACAGAGACTTAAGACACCAGCGAGGGGGAGACTGACAACGGGGCATGGGAACGCAGGGCTCATGCCACAACTGTCCTAGAAATAGAAAATTCTTCCAAAGTAAAAAGTTTACATTTAAAATATAGGGAAAAGACTTGAATAGACATTTCACCAAAGACGACATGTCAATGGCAAATAAACACATCCAAAGGAGCTCAACCTCCATGAAGAGGGGAAAAGCGCATCGAAGCCCACTGCACACCTGCTGGAATAACCCTGATCAAAACCCAGAGGATGGCAGGAGCCGGTAAGAATGTGGAGAAATCGGTTCCCTTGCTGCCGGGGGGCATGGGAAATGGCTCAGCCGCTTTGGAAAGCCAGCTGGTGCTGTTAAAAGGTGAAAGGTCGGCTTACTCAGGACCCGGCAGTGCCACCCCAAGGAATCTATGTGAGTGAAGTGAAACCTACTGGACACTCATCGCTGCATTATCCCAAACAGCCCGACCTGCAAACAGCCACGGTGTCCCTGCTGACCCCCTGCCCCCAGTACAGCCTCCTCCTGGACTTGGGTAAGTCAATCCCCCAACAGGTGCACCCTCCCCTCCATTTCCACTCAGCCCTTATCCCCCAGGGACCCACTCCACACCTGGGGGCCCTGTGTGGTGACCTCCTGCCAGGCCAGCCTGCCCCAGAGGGAGGAACACAGAATCCATTTGGAACCGAAAGGGACTCAGCTCAGCCGGGAAAAGTAGGCTCTTTATTTCCAGCCTCACTGACCACGTGCTGCTCTGTGTCCGTGGTGGACCAGCCCTGGGCATGAGATGAGCAGAGCTGGCCCCCGGACCCCTCCTCACCACGTCTGAACGGACAGCACTTCTGTGTCCAGGGGTGTGCGTCGGGCTCCCGGGCAGACAATCCCTGGGCTTTCGCGACTGGCACCGAAGTGAGGCTGGGCAAGAAGGCACTGGGCCAGATTCCTCCCTGGGGCACTTAAACGGGGCCACAGGGAAAGAATCGATGTGGTGACGGGTGGAGGCGGGGCTCCATGGCAGCCACGGTCAGGAGCAAGCCCTCGGCAGCAAGGTATAAATAAGCCAAAGTGACAGGGGCAGATGAGTGACACGGACAGACCACACGCAGAGAGTGAGGGCGCCGATGGAGGGTGCCGCCAGCCAGTGTGAGCCGCAGGGAGAAGGCAGATAGAGTGAGCTCCAGAGTCGTGACCCACGGACACCCAGGTCCTCTTGCCGGGCACCCGGAGCGCCTGGAATCCAGTTCCCGAGGACTTGGCGGGGGCTGCTGCTCCAGGGCCCCCCTGGTTATGGCTGGGATGAGTTTGCAGAGGATGCCCCCGCCACCAAGCTCACACCTATAAACACTGATCATACAAAGTGTGTCATTCTTGTCACACCAACTAAAACTGCCTTCGGAAGGCAGGGGAAAAGTACTCAGGGCACGACACTGCTCCAAGGATGGAACTCTCTGCAAGTCCAGCTGCTGAAACTGCCTTTTGTCACCTGGGACCAGTTTTATCCACAGCTGCTGAGGTCACTTGCTCCAACTCCAGAAGGAATTCTGCTCACAGCTGTCACACCGACCAGCACGTCCCAGGTCCTCAGAACTTTCCCAGCGCCAGTGAACTTTCTCAAAGAGCAATAGGTAACCTTCTCCTTTCTTGTAAAACCACCAACCTTCTACTGCTTCTCCAACCTCCACCATTTACCTGGTCGGCACGTATGCCCCAAGATGCAATCCTTTCTTCCCAAATAAAACGTTAAACTTGGAAATTCGCCTCTACATTTTTATTTTGACTTGAACATACCCCAGCAACCGTGAGACCCCGAGGACACGAGTGACCTTCCCTGCTCCTGGTTCCTTCGTGTGCACGACAGGCCGTACTGTCTCCTGGAGCCTGGGGCCTGACACCTGGAAGCTCAGCCGGAGCGGCCCCAGCAACCTCCCTGTAGCTCCAGCAGTGCCATCCCTGTGGTCAGCGTGGACCTGGCCTCCCAGTGGCCCCAAGTCCCCCCATAGCTCCAGTGGTGCTGTCCCTGCAGCGTGAACCCGGCCTCCCAGTGGCCCTGCATTCCATGGAGGGCTGGGCCCCCTGCCCTCCTGAGCCTCACAGTGGCCAGCCAGCCTCACACGCTGCTGACCCTCAGTAGTGGCCAACCCCGTGTCTGTCGGAGGGCACAGGCCACCATCCCCACGGAACTCAGGCCTGCTGCCTGGGCAGGGGCCCTCCAGGAAGCCTGGCACTTAGGGGTGGCAGCTCAAGCTTGTTGGGGGTGGGGAGCTGGCCGGGCACTCAGGGCCCGTCATGTGCAAATTTGGGCCAATCCCACCCCCTCTGGGCCTCTGTCCCCATTTACCAGAGAAAGATGGTCTCCGCTGAGCCAACCACCTTCATCTAAACCAAAGGACAGAAACCACCTCTGCTGAGCCTGGAGGCAGCCAAGGGAGTGGAGAAGCCAGCGGGGATCCCCTGGTTGGGCCACACACACCCCAGTGAGGCTGCGAGAGAGACGCGCCGCCTCCCGAGGTGCAGAGTTTCGCAGGGCACAACCCACTCCCGTCTGCTCCTGCAGCACCCTGTGACCCAGGACGGGCGGGTTTCCTGTGCCCCACTTCACAGACGGGAACATTGAGGCTGAGGGGAGCTGAGTGAGGTGTTTGCGGTCCCCAGCCACACGGTGTGGCTCTGGCTTTGCTCAGATGCCACACGCTGCACGCACTCCTTTACTGGACGCACCCGGCCCCGCCGGATACTGCCGTGCCCCCTCCCAGGACAGCAGCAGGAGCACCCAGCCCTCCTGGATGTCCCCCTGCCCCTCTGTGCCGCAGCCCTCATGACTCACTGGGAGGCCAAAAGGAAGCCCCAAGTGATTTTCTAGCAGCACCTCCCGCAGCCCTCGGGGTGAGGCTGGGCTGTTCTGCCTGCGAGTGGTGCTAGGGGAACCTCCTGAGGGGTCCCAGGAAGGCCCCTGGCCTCCTGCCTCCACACCCCTGATTTCTTGGATCCCTTTCTTGGTCAGTGAGAGCCGACCGGGTGAAGTCACCCCTGGAGGAGGAGGGAGCTGAAGCAGCCGGTGACTCACTCACACGAGACAGTGGGCGGCGGCCAGGGCAGAGCGGGACTCCCCATTGCTGGCTAAAATCCAGACAGCGCCTTGGCCTGAGGTGTCCCTGACAGGATGAGGGCGGAGTGGCAGCTGCCGAAACCTGAACTCCTCTGCCCTGCCCCCGTCCCTTGAACCCACGCATCTAGTAGGTCAGCGCCAGAGGAAATCCTCGAAGAAAATGGGCGTCTCCCTTGCTGAGCACAGAACCGCAGTCAGCCCTGTGTGCCCGCTCCCTGGATGAGGACAGGAAGGACATGGGGGAGAGGCCACGGTCACCCTCAGGAGCCCCCAGACCCACTGGAAAGCAGCGCAGTGAGCATCTGAGCAGTACCGCCTGTGCCTGGCGCGAGGGTGCGAGGCGGGGGGCCGTGTGGCCAGGCAGCCTAGGGTTGCGCCAAAGCCCAGCAGGTGTGGGACGAGCAGGACTGGACTGGGAGGGGCTCGGGGGAGCGGGGACCTGTGCTGAGCTTGAGGTGTGGCTGGGCTGGGAGGCCGGACAAAGGTGTGTCTCCTCTGGCCATGCAGGGGTCAGGCGGTGGTGCTGGGGAGGGGGATGTGGGAGGAAGATGGGGCTGGGATGAGGGGGGAGGAGGATGTGGGAGGAAGATGGGGCTGGGATGAGGGGCCAGGGCTGAGCTCAGCAGGTATTGGAAGGTGCCATGGCTCTGTGAACATGCACAGGTGGGGAGGCTGGGGTGGGGGCAGAGCAGGGGACAGTCCTGGAGCCAGCAGACAGGAGGAGGCATCTCTACAGCACCCCAGGCTTGGAGACAGGGCTGGCTCACCTCAAAGGGGGCCATGGGAGAGAGGAAGGTGGGCATCAGGGCTGGCCTGCCCCGGCCCCAGGAATACGTGGGAGTTGAGCTGCATGAGGGGTGGCCAGCCTAGGGCAGGGCAGGAGCCACGGGGCGTCCGCTCCTCTCTGTGGGTTTCGGTGTGGGAGGAGGAAGGACAAGCTCCTCCTGGAAGCAAAGGGGCCTGAGGACCCAGGAGCAGAGTGACCTTGTGGGCAGGGCCGTCCCTGAGGCCTGCCACATGCAGAGGACGTGGCCCCTGTGGCCAGCTTGGTGCCAGGAGCAGGTCCTGGGGGGTGGGGAGTAAGTCTCCCAGGGGCCGAGCTCCATGAGTACACGTGGTGTGGACACTGGGCCTGCCACAGGGAGGCTGGTGTGGGCAGGAGGCTCCCTGGGAAGTGGAGAAGCGCTTTCTGTGAGCTTGTTCCAGGGCTCTGGTCAGCCCAGCCTGGGGTCTCATGGCCACGCAGGTCAGCAGGAAGGGGAAGATGCCCCAGCAAGGAGGCAGGAAGGCGGCCTCTGCCCGGCGCATCAGTCTCGGAGGTGGGGGACCCAGGGTTTGTTCTCAGCAGGCCTCCTCTCCTCCTCTGCCTCACAGTCACCTCTGGGATGGGAGAGGCGGTGTCTGCAGGGCCCTTCCCACAAAGTCTGTCCATCTGCCCCTGCTGCTGCTGCAAGGGGCTACGGGTCCTCTGGCGACTCTGGACCCCCCGGAAAAGGGAGGCTTGAGCTGCCCACTGCACCCTTGACCCCTTCTGAGCCTCTCAGCAAAGTCCCAATCCACCCTCCTCAGGAGGTCCCAGGGATTTGCCCACATGGGCACCCCATGCCCTCAGCCAACCAACCCCACCATGGCCCACACGCCTGCCCCTCCCTCTGTCTCCTTGGGGCCCCGCACACGTTGGCACAGAACATCTCCCTGCTGGGTGACCTCTTCCCGCGAGCGGCCCAGGACAAGTGCAGCCTTCTGGGCAGACACAGGGAGCGGGCGTTCCCGATTCACAGAGGACTCACCTCGGCGTACTACAGCAGCCTGGCAGAGCCCAGCCTGCGACAAGGGCCTCATATGCATCTGTTGAGTACACCAGTGAATCCCAATCCCCTAGTTCGTTTTCTACCCCAGAGGCCCAACAACTGGGTGGGGTGGGGGAGGCATTTCGCTGGACGCCGTGGAGACGCAGTATCGTCCGGGAACCTGAGTCTCCGTAAACCCCGGGGTTGGACAGACCAGTGCCAGCAAGCTCCTTCACAGAGAGGAACTCAGACACGAATCCCTGGAGACTCCTAGTTCTCATACAGAGCTTGTTTTTTCACTTCCATTTTCAAAGTCCGGATTTTCACAGGTCTGCTTCTCCCGGGGGCCACGCCTGCATTTCTGCGAACGATCCCCAGCTGTCGCTAATGAAACGCTCCTCCACTGAGAGGGAGCCCAGCCCCACTCAAGCCGGTCAGAGCTCATCCGTAGGAGGCTGTGTGGGGGTCACGCCACCACAGGACGCAGATCTGCCCGAAGCCTGTTTTATTGCACTTAACTAATTCCCAAGATAAACCACTGGGAATTTCCATGTAAGCACTTAGGCCTCTGTTTATGAGAATCTTTGATCCACTGAGAATGTTTAGAACTCACTGAAGCATCCCTGGCCCTGCCCAGCATCAAGCCTTCCGAGATGCGTGAGGGCAGGGAAATTGTCGGCCTGTGCTTGGTCTGTGGGGACCCAGGACCCCAGGAGGGGACCCCAATAGGGAGCCTCTGCCCCCCAGGTGGTGGGGTCTCTGCTGGGACTCTGCAGGCTCCTGCCCGTGGCCAAGTTCATGGCTGTCTTTTCCAGAGCTGCCCCAGAGCCCTAGACAGCCCCATGGAAGGGCCCATCTTCCTCCAGCCGTGGAGGAAATTTGCAGCCATCCGTGACCTGCAAACTGTAGCTTATGATGGACTGCTCCCCATCCACCAAAGCCCAGCCACTTGGTTTGGAAGCCACTGCCCCAAATGGCCCCTCTCCAGTCACTGAACTGCAGTTCAAACGCCCCACCCCTCGGCTCTTTGAGCAGCCAGGCTGCCTTCTCGCTCTGGGATGGTTTCTTCAAAACCCTCTGGAGTATGTCCAGTTCTTCTGTTATTTCAGGGTGTTTTATTTCCAGCACAGATTTCCACTTCTGCTACCACCGGGATGGAAAAGGCCTCTTCCCTCAGATTCCCCCAATCCCAAGAATGCAATTCCTTCACTAATGCTGAGTGGAGACATAGTCTCTACAATCCAGAAGGCTGAGTGAGGTGGAAACGTCGGTGCAGCCTGCAGCTCACCTGGTTGTCACTCGTAGATCGGCCTCGGAAAGCTCCAGGAAGTTGGTTTGGGATGAGCCGGGCGTCCTGCACAGATGGTGGGAGGGAGAGGAGGCCGGAGCTTCAGCCAGTGCAGCGCCATGGCCCCTGTTCTGTGGTTCACTGGGGTGTGAGGCCTTCCTTGGGCTCAGAGAGGGGGCCTCCGAGTCCTCATCCACAGAAGCCCTCTGTGCCACCAGCAGGGAACAGCCAGCAAAGAGCCTTCACCCTGAAGATCCAGACGGAATTCTTGGTTTCTACAGCTGCTCCCTGCCTCTCCCCACAGCCACGGGAAGGGGAGTTAACCGAGGCAGCCCCCACCCGAGACAGACCTGCACAGGGCCAAGAACTTGCCCTGTGGTAGGGCTGGGGGAGGAGCGGCTGGTGGACTTTCTGTGTCAAAGGCAGGTGTCACTTTCAGCTCATTAATTTCACTTCTCCAGGTTCTCAATCCACCAAAATGAGCTCTTTACAAAGGCCAGGACCTGCCCTTCTAGAGGACAGGCTCATACTTCCCAAAGCTTCAGGACTTCGGGTCCTGTGGCTGCCCATCCGTCAGCAGAACTGGGTGAGGCCAGGTGTGACATCAGACAAGTCCCCCGCCTCTGGCAATTCCTCAGCGGGGGGCATGACCTACTGTGCATTCCAGGGCTGCGGCACATGTACTTACCCCTTAGCCTTGGACCACAAGCCTCCCCCAGCCCAAAATGGAATGGGGACAGCCTCTGCCACAGGGAGGGGCAGGTGGTGCCGTGTGAGGGGCGGTGGCACCCAGGGCTTTTCTCACAAGGAAAAGGAACCTCAAAGTGTTTCTCTCTGCACACTTTGCCTCCCTCAAATGCGGGCTCCTTCCTCTCCCACCCGCATCAGCAGCTGAGGCCCCAGAAGGGCCCACCTGTGTCCCGCCCACCATGCGTGAGATCGCTGATTGCCTCCTGGGATAGTGGCAGCGTGCTCGAGCCTCTCCGGACCGCATCCCAGCTGTTAGAACCAGGAAGCCCCCGTCAGGCACCAAGACCCCCAGACGCTGGCCCGGGCTCCCCATTTTCACTTGATCCTCTCCGCCGTGTTTCTGTCTTCCTGGGGCTGCAGGCGTTTTGGTCATGGCTGCATCACACCAGAGTCTGCGTCCGTGGCCACGCAGCCTCCTCCTTTTCTCCGTGTCTTAAACTTCTTTCTGTTCCCTCTTATCGGGACCTCCTGATGCCATCAGACGCCGCCCCACCATGGTTCAGAACAATCTTTCCATCTCAAGATCCTCAGTTCAATCACATCTGCAGAGACCCTTTTTTTCTGTGTAAAGTAGCATTCACAGGTCCCAGGGATTAGGATCTGATATCTCTGGGGCCAGTACAGATGGGTTTGAGATTTGATCATGGAGAAAAGAAATGACGGCATTTAGCTCTATATCCTAGTCAACACGGAGCCGCGAGCATGATTGAGAAGAACGTCAAAGATCAAGCAGTTTTGTAAAAGAGTAAAGCCCCTCCACTCTCCTAAACCCAGCCAATTTCTCAAAATTTGTGAGAGCGGCGTCCTCCCAGCAGCAAACACAAGGGACACGTGTGTGCACCCAGACCAGCACCTACCACTCTAGACAGTCCCCAGAGCGAGGCTTAGGACTGACGGCCGGAGATGCAACCGTGGCCAGGGGCCCAGAGCTCATTGAAACCTGCTCAGTCCAAGGCCTTAGGCTGAGCCTGACATCGTGTCGTATTGTGGAAACACTCGTTCCCTCATTCAGCCGAATGCTTTTTAAAGCGACTTTTTGGCTGGGCACGGTGGCTCGCGCCTGTCAACCCAGCACTTCGGGAGGCCGAGGTGGGAGGATCATTTGAGGTCAGGAGTGTGAGACCAGCCTGACCAATATGGTAAAACCCTGTCTCTACTAAAATACAAAAAAAAAAAAAAACACTAGCAGGGCGTGGTGGTGTGCGCCTGTAATCCCAGCCACTCAGGAGGCTGAGGCAGGAAAATCACGTGAACCCGGGAGGCGGAGGTTTCAGTGAGCCAAGATCTTACCACTGCACTCCAGCCTGGGTGACAGAGTGAGACTCTGTCTCGAAACAAAAAAACAAAAAAACAAAAAAAAAGTGACTTTTTATCTTTTTATTCTAAAACAGTTTTAGATGTACAGAAAAAATATGTAAATCTGTAAATGTCCGGATGGGGCTTGTGTCCTAGGAGTAAGACATCAGCTCTGCTGCTCAGATGTCCAGGAGGGTCTTCGGCGGAGCCTGCAGCCCCCCACCCCAGGGTCAGGGGTCTCTCCCTGGAGGGAGGGATCAGCGCCTGGACTTTGGGGAGGCCGCTTGGGGGCCACGGTGTGTGGAGACCCTGGGACATTGGTGTGAGTGCAGGTGGGGGTGAGACGCAGAGGAGAGGCATCTTGGGAGGAGAAAGAGCGCGGTGCCTGGGGGTGGCTGTCAGGCTGGGAGATCCTGGGGCTCATAGGGATTCTGGGGTCCCAGGGAACCCCTAAGTTTGGAGGCTGGACAGGCCCCCAGCTGCCGTGGCCCTGGAGAGTTCCCAGAGTATTTCCTGACGAAATGAACAGAAGACCACAGCCTTCTGCAGCGGAGGAGAAGCATGCGGGGCATCCACATCTACAAAGGCCCCAAAGTGGAAAAACCTGTTGTTTTTCCTGAGCAGCCCGGCTGGAAACAACGGCGGTTTTGTTTCGCAGACTCCGCAGAATCTGGCGGGCAGAGGGATGGGGGCGCGGGATGCGGCTGAGGGAAGGAGGGGGCGTCGACCCTTCCTGACCCACCGAGGACACCTCTCTGGCCCGCTTCGGGGGGGCGGGGGGTGGGTCGGCTTGCCCGGGAGGAAATCCCACTGCTTCCCACTCACAAGCCGGTGGGTGGCCGCGAGGCCTGGCCGCACGGCCTCATTCCTGCGACTTTCTTCTGCCTTGTGGCATGGCTTTTTCTTTTCCCCTAAGGAAAGTTTGCTTAAAGAGAAAGAGACACACATACCATTCTCTGGTCCTTTGAAGGGTTGAGCTAAGCTGGGTCAAGAGGAAATGGCGTGCTCAGTCACCCCTGAGAACAAAATACTCCCACGAGTTTTGGTGAGGCACGTGTGTCTTCTCAGCTCAAATCTCTACCACCCCACGGACAAGGCAGTTCAAATCCAGGCTCACCACCACCTGCTGTGTGGGTTGGGCAAGCTGTGGACATCTCTGAGCTTCGGTTCCTTGAGTGTAGAATAAGCATAACATCTGTGTAGAAGGATTACTGTGAGGGATGCTGTTTGTACACCTCCCACTGCCAGAACGCAAGTTCCATGAGGCTGGGGCTGCGTTTTCTGCATTGCTGCAAACCCTCTAAAATGTCATCCGAGTTCATCAGAACCACAAGGACCACCACCACCATCATCGTCACCCTCACCCAAACGCTCAAATCTCCAAGTGTCTAAACTCATGGGTCTGTGCCAAATGCTACCATGCTTAGCGTCCCCAAAGCTAGAGTCACCACGAAGAAGGTTCTCTCCAATATTACTGCCTTAAACTTCTAGCCCAGAACCCTCAATAAACTTGGGCACCTTTTGTGCTGGGCCTCCTTTAGCCGATGGCTCCAGGGCCCCTATCCCTGGCAGAGAAGGCCATCGGCAATGTAGGGGGTAAGCTGGGGGGGTGGGGGGGTGAGCCATTCAGCTCTGCTGAGCTGTGCTGTCTCATGGGAGTGGCCCCTCCCTTCCAGGAACCTTCCTTGAGCAAAATCCTCAAATGTCAGCAGGTGGTCTTGAAATCCCTTCCTCTGTGACACAGTAATTCAGAGATCTTAATGATGTTTCCCCAAAGTTAGAACATAGTGGCTGTTCCCTAACACACACACACACACACCCTTTCTCTGTTATGTGTCTCCCATAATTTTTCTGTTTCTCAATTATGTTTCTTTCTCTGTTATGTTTGTCTATTATTTCTTCTTTGAATTGTCAATGCCTGCTTCTACTGGTCTGTACCAGGTTCTATTGCAATCACCTCTGGTTGGGGCAAAACTGCACATTTAGCTATTTTATAAGTGTTTCCTTGTACTTCATAGAGGGCATCAGAGCCCTTGCAGCATGTGGGCACACGGGTCAGAGGATGCAGACTGAAAGGAGCTTCTGGACGCACATTCTATTCTCATTCTGGAGCCAAGGAAGTGAGAGGGGAAAAGGGAAGTGATTCTAAGCCTTTTGTGGGGTCTCATACATAACTCAGTTTCCACAAAGCTGTGCCCCAGCTCAGCCCTATGGATAGAAGCATGGTCTGGGGTTCCTTTGCTGACCAGGGTGTGTGCTTTGTCCAAGTTACTGACCTTCCCAAACCTCATCAATGCACATAAAAAGAGCACTTGCAAACAATGAATCTAGACATGGACCTTCACAAAGAAATAACTCAAAATGGATCCCAGGCCTAAATGAAAAATGAAAAACTATAAAACTCCTAGAAGATAACATAAAAGAAGATCTAGATGACCTAGGGTTTGGCAATGACTTTTTAGATCCAGCACCAAAGGCAGGATCCAGGAAAGAAATAATTGATAAGCTGGACTTCATTAAAACGAAAACTTCTGCTCTGTGAAAGATGCTGCCAAAAAATGAAAAGACAAGCCACAGACTGGGAGAAAATATTTTTGATGGAAATATCTGAGAAGAGAGGCTTGTTATCCAAAATATACAAAGAATTCCTAAAACTCAATAATTTGAAAATAAACAACCCAATTTAAAAAGTGGGCCAAAGATCTTAAATGACGCCTCACCAAAGAAGATACACAGATGGCAAATAAGCATATGAAAAGATGCTCCCGGCTGGGCACGGTGGCTCACGCCCGTAATCCCAGCACTTTGGGATGCCAAGGCAGGCAGATCACCTGAGGTCAGGAGTTGGAGACCAGCCTGGCCAACATGGCAAAACCCTTTCTCTACTAAAAATGCAAAAAAAAAAAAAAAAAAAATTAGTGGGGTATGGTGGTGCATGCCTGTAATCCCAGCTACTCAGGAGGCTGAGGCAGGAGAATCACTTGAACCTAGGAGGCGGAGGTTGCAGTGGGCTGAGATTGTGCCACTGCAGTCCAGCATGGGCAACAAGAGTGAAACTCCATCAACGAAAGAAAAGAAAAGAAAGAAAGAAAGAAAGAAAGAAAGAAAGAAAGAAAGAAAGAAAGAAAGAAAGAAGGAAAGAAAAGAAAAGAAAAGAAAGAAAGGAAGGAAAAAGGAAGGAAGAAAGGAAGGAAGGAAGAAAGAAAAGAGGCTCCTCACCACACATGTCATCAGGGAAATGCAAATTAAAATAAGCATAAGATATCGCCTCTCACCTAACAGCGTGGCTAAAACCCAGAACTCTGACAACACCAAATGCTGGGCGAGGATGTGGAGCAACAGGAACTCTCACTCATTGCTGATGGGAATGCAAAATGGTGTGGCCACTGTGGAAGACAGTTTGGTAGCTTCTTAAAAAGCTAAAACATGCTCTTACCATACCACCCAGTAATTACACTCCTTGATATTTACCCAAAGGAGTTGGAAACTTATGTTCACATAAAAACCTACACACAGACGTTTATAGCAGCTTTATTCACTGTGGCCAAAATGTGGGAGCACCCAAGATAGCCCTCCATAAGTGAATGGATAATAAACTATGGTCCATCCAGACAGTGGAGCATTATTCAGCACTAAACAGAAATGAGCTGCAAACCATGAAAGGATGTGGAGGACATGTAAGTGCATATTACTAAGTCAAAGAAGACAGTCTTAAAAAGCTACGTAGTGTGTGCTTCCAACTATGTGACATCCTGGAAAAGGCAAAACTGTGAGAGCCATCAAAAGATGAGTGGTTGCCCGGGGCTGGCAGGAGGGTGAGATGAACAGGCAGGACAGAGAGGATTTTTAGGGCGGTGAAACTACTTTGTATGATACCATAATGGTGGATAGATATTGTTAGAAATTTTTCCAAACCCACAGAATGTACACCACCAGGAATGAACCCTGATGTATGACAGAGCAGGAGCATCGCCATTTTGGACAAGTACCACCGTTTTAAAGTTCCCCATGATCAAAAACGGCCTAAATCCAACCCAAGGGGAATCAGCCTAATGGCTAATGTCAGCATGACCATAAATCACAAATGACATCTCCAACCAGAAACATGCCAACCCTAAGACAAACCCTTCCGTAACCAGAGACATGCCAGCCCAGAGGTAACCTTCCCTCCGACCAGAGACATTCCAACCCTGTAATAAACTTCTCCTCCACACAGAAACATCCTAAGGCTGTGATAAGCTCTCTCGCCCTGAACCCTTCCATACTCTTAGTCTGTAAGACAGAGCACTCCTGACTGAAATTGGCCAGAAGCCCCTCTCAGGTTTATTCTCCAAAATAAACCTGTCTCGGACTGTTGAGGCACTTTTCAGGATTCTTTCCTCTTTCTTTAACTCTTACAACGTAAACCGTGGACTTTGGTTGATAATAATGTGTCAGTGTAGGTTTATAAGCTGGAATGAATGTACCACTCTAGTGAGGGATGTTGATAATGAGAGAGGCAATGCCTGTGTGGGGGCAGAGGATATATGGGAAATCTCTGTACCTTCTGCTCAATGTTGCTGTGAACTTAAAACAGAGGTTTAGACTTTGCTCTAAAAATTAAGTTTATTAAAAATAGCACTTTCTTTATAGCTGTGTTGGGATGATATGAGATAACACAGGGAAAGCATGTAGAAAATACCTGGCACATAATTATCATTACTATTGAGTTTCCTTTCCCATAGAACCCATCTGGCTTAGCACTATATTCTAAGTGTTTGGGCATATCACTGATGCTTGATAAATGTTTGAGGAATGAATGAGAGGACCCTGCAACATATGCAGCCTGCATCTGCACATTGGCAAGAGCAACCCACAGCCCAACTGTGAATGTCTTAAATTACTTGGGCTCATTGTCCAAGATTTTTTATTTCTCCCAGCTATCGGACCCTAAGCAATTTGAGAGCACAGCCCATATCGTACATGTCTATGTATGACATAGTTGTATATTAAGAAAAGAAGCTACTGAACAATTTTACACTGAAAATGTCAAAAGATTATTGAGAGAAATTAAATAAGACCTAAATAAATGGAGAAGTATACCATGTTCATGGATTCAAACACTCAATACCATTACAATGTTAATTTTCCCCAAAATTTATCTGTAATCTCAAAGCATTTGCAATCAAAACTCTAGCTGATTTTTTTTTTTGTGGAAGTCGATAAGCTGTTTCTAAAAGTTATACAGAGATGCAAAGGGATCTAGAATAGCCTATTTATTTATTTATTTATTGAGACAGAGTTTCACTCTTGTCACCCAGGCTGGAGTGCAATGATGCAATCTTGGCTCACTGCAACCTCCGCCTCCCAGGATCAAGCAATTCTCCTGCCTCAGCCTCCGGAGTAGCTGGGATTACAGGCATGTGCCACCACGCCCGGCTAATTTTTGTACTTTTAGTAGAGACGGGGTTTCATCATATTGGCCAGGCTACTCTTGAACTCCTGACCTCGAGTGATCTGCCCACCTCGGCCTCCCCAAGTGCTGGGATTACAGGCGTGATCCACCATGCCCGGCTGCCAGATGATCTCTAAAGAGAACAACACAATTAGAGGAGCTATACTATCTGACTTTAAGACTTACTATAAATATACAATAATCAACAAAGTATTATATTGGTGTATGAATGGACAAATAGTTCAATAAAATTAGAGAATCTAGACATAGACCCCATATATACAACTGACTTTTAGTAAAGACATCATGGCAACTCACTTGGAAAAGGGAAGACTTTTTAATAAATGGTGCAGGGACAATTGGCGATCACGTGGAAGGAAATAAATCTCTACCTCTATCTCAATCTGTGCAAAACTATGAATTTGCAATGCATTGTTGCCTAAACATAGAACCTAGAGCAGTAATGTTTACAGAAGAAAACACTAGAGAATATCTTTGTGATGTTGGGATAGGCAAGTATTTATCAGACAGAAGCCAAAAGTAATAACCAGAAAAGAAAAAAGTTAAATTTGGCTTTATCAAAATTGATAATTTCTGCTCATTAAATAACACTATTAGGAAATGGAAAAAAAAAAGCTACAGACTAGGAGAAAATATTCACAATGTAGATTTGGCATGGAACTGAACATCAAATAATATAAAGAACTGCTTCAAACCAGTAAGAACAAGACAAACCACCTGTTAAAAATGGACAAAAGGGCTGGGCGCGGTGGTGCACGCCTGTAATCCCAGCACTTTGGGAGGCCGAGGTGGGAGGATTGCTTGAGGTCAGGAGTTCGAGACTACCCTGGCCAGCATGGTGAAACCCTGTCTCTACTAAAAATACAAAAATTAGCCAAGGCATGGTGGCTGGCGCCTGTGATCCCAGCTACTCAGGAGGCTGAGGCAGAAGAATTGTTTGAACCCTGGAGGCAGAGTTTGCAGTGAGCCGAGATCACTCCATTACACTGCAGCCTGGGCAACAGAATGAGACTCCATCTCCAAAAACAAAAACAACAACAACAAAAAATGGACAAAAGATTTGAACACAACCTTATGCAAGAAAATCCACAAATGGTCCCTAAGCTCAGTAAAAGGGGGTCCACATCATCAGTCATCAGGGAACTAGAAATGCAAATCCCACAGTGAGATGCAGCCTCACGCTCACTAAAAGAGCTAAAAGGAAAAAACAAGACAAGCCCAAGTGTAGGTAATGAAGCGGGACAACCAGGTCCCTCACTGATCGTCAGGGAGTTACTGTGGAAATCTCTGCGAGGGTTTCTAATAGGCAAAATGTCTTCTGCTCAGCGACCCCTCATTTCAATTCCTAGGTAGGCACATAAGAGAAATGAAACGTGGCCACAAGAAGGCATGGATAAGAATGCTGACAGCAACTTTATTCATGACAGTCAAAACCCCTCTAACATTCCAAAGATCTATTCAAATGTTAACAAGTAAGTGACCTGAAACGGTGATAATTCATTCATCCCATGGACTCTTGCTCAGTGATAAAAAGCAATGAGCCACTGAAATACACAACAGCGTAATCTCAAAAACACCATGTGAAGCAAAAAACCGGCAGATACAAAGGAACGTATGCTATAGGATTCTGCTTAAAGGAAGTTCAAGAAAAGGCAGAAATAACGCAGGCTATAGAGATTCAAAGAGTGGCTGCCTCTGGGAGATGTTGGTGGAACTGACTGGAAAAGAGATGAGAGAAATTTCTGGGGTGAAAAACGTTCTATGTCTTCATATGAGTGTTGATTATATAGGCTATACATTTGTCAAAACTCATCAAATCACACACTTAACATATGTGCTTATTACTGTAAGTTATGCTTCAGTAATACACACATACACATGCGTGTATATATACTTTATTCAAATGAAGTCATAGTCTCTATAGATATCAACATACTTAAGTATTTAGCGAAGAACTTCTGGGAATGGCATGAGAGCTGAGTGGTTATGTGAACCTTCCCGCAGATAACAACTCCAAACACTTCATAAAATGTAAACAGTGATGATTTAAATACTCTATAAAGAGATGAGAAGCCAAGAGAAGCCAGAGGAGAGGTGACTGTCAACTGCAAATGGAAGTGTTAGGAGCTGTGAGTTTGCAGCTTTCTGTCTTGACGGCACAGCCTTGGTGGAAATCACAGCCCGACAGACTCCAGGTGCCAGAGATGAGGGGCAAGACTGCCTGGGTGTGGAGTATATACATACAGGGGAGATCTTGGCAGTGAGAAAAGTTGGCTTGAAACTCCACACCCAGGGTGAGCTCTGCCCAAATCCCTGGCTGACAATTAGACTGTGCATATGCAGAGGGAGTCCCAGGCAGCCATCAATAAGCAGGGAAACGCCAGAGTGGAGCCACTTCTTGAAAGATGGAGTTGCACAGGGCAAGGTCTGTGTGCTGCTGCCTTTTTAAATGAGTGCATGCCCCAGCTGTGTGCAGCTCAAGAGGCAGACACCTGAAGCCGTAGATGCTTGAAGAGGACAGAGCCCAAAGCTGGCAGAGCTGTGGAAATTCAGGAGTACTCACTGGAAGCAAGGAAGCCACTGAGACACCGAGACCCTAAATCTGAGCATAGCCTTAGCCCAGATCCATGGCTGCCTGCCCCGTTGCACAGGTGCAGGGAAAATCTCCAGGATTCAGGCTTAAAAATCAGCAGCTGGAGCCATAAGAAGAGAGCAGGGGCCCGGCGCGGTGACTCACACATGTAATCCCAGCACTCTGGGAGGCCGAGGCAGGTGGATCACTTAAGGTCAGGAGTTTGAGACCAGCCTGGCCAACAAGGTGAAACCCTGTCTTTACTCAAAATACAAAAATTAGCCAGGTGTGGTGGTATGCACTGATAGTCCCAGCTACTCAGAAGGCTGAGACAGGAGAATTGCTTGAACCCGGGAGGTGGAGGTTGCAGTGAGCCGAGATCACGCCACTGCATTGTAACCTGGGCGACACAGCAAGTCTCCATCTCAAAAAAAAAAAAAAAAAAAAAAAAAAAAAAAAAAAAAAGACAGCAGGGACATTAGCTGCTTACCACAGAGATGGCAATGTTTGTCCTTAGAATCCAGCACATGACAGCTGTTAGAACAAAAAAAGCAACAATCTTCAGAAGAACACAACAGATTCCAGAGCTGCTGCCGACATAGCATCTACATTCTACATGTAGATTACCTGACACGTGCATGTAGACATGACACATGCAATGTCCAAATGTTAAATGACATTCAACAAAACAGGGAAGTGTGACTCGTGCTCAAGAACAAATGATTCCCAGTTAATCCAGATAATGGGTTTCACAGAGAGAGTTCAAATGAGATGTTATAAATGTGTTCAGAGACCTGAAGGAAAATGTGCTATCAAAAACCAAACAGGCCGGGCGCGGTGGCTCATGCCTGTAATCCCAGCACTTTGGGAGGCTGAGGCGGGTGGATCACCTGAGGTCAGGAATTTGAGACCAGCCTGGCCAGTAAGGTGAAACCCCGTCTCTACTGAAAATATAAAAATGAGCTGGGTGTGTTGGCAGGTGCCTGTAGTCCCAGCTACTTGGGAGGCTGAGGCAGGAGAATCGCTTGAACCCGGGAGGCAGAGTTTGCAGTGAGCCGAGATCATGCCGCTGCACTCCAGCCTGTGGGACAGAGCAATACCCCATCTCAAAACAAAAAAACCCCAAAACGGAAAAACCCCGAACAGGTAGGAAGCCTCAACAAAGTAACAGAAACTACAACAGATGCGTGATAAATCTGGAGCTCAAAAGTACCATGACTGAGATTTTAAAAACTTGCTAGTTTTTAAACAGATTGGGGTTGGAAGAAGAAAGAATCAGAGAACCTGGAAATAAGTGAAAACAAATTACTTAATTTGAAAAATGGAGAAAACATTATTGAAAAGAAAGGAATAGAACTTCAGAAACCTATGCAAAAACCGCAAGCAGTGCAGCCTATGTGGAAATGGAATTCCAGAGGCATGAGAGGGAAAGTCACTTGAAAAATACGTGAAGAAATGACATAAAACTTCCCAGATTTGGTGCAAAACATAAATTTACAGTTCTAAGAATCTCAGTGAAGCCCGGGCAGGATAAACAAATCCGTCGACAACAGAATGGATAAACAAACTGTTTTATATTCACAAAATGAAATACTATTCAGCAATAAAAATTATAAACTAGAGCTACATGTAACAGAATGAATAACTCTTCACAAAAAATATATTGAACAAAAGAAGCCTAATGCACAGGAATAACGTGATATGATTCCACTCATATAAAGTTCAAATAGGCGAGACTAACTCAAGGTGATAGAGGTGAAAATGGCAGCGCCCTTTAGTGAAGAGGAGAGGGAAGTCCCACGGAGGTGCAGTAGGAGCATCTCTGGGGTGTTGGTCTTGTTCCGTTTCCTGATCTGATTGGTGGCTTTGTTTTGTGAAAACGCTTTGCATTAGATATATACAGCTTCGCTTTTCTGCACATACATTATACTTGAATTGCAAAGTAAGAATGTTTTTAATTTTAAAAAGGGATAGACAGAGAATAATGAGAGGTAAGCGACATTTTCACTTGAGGAGCCAACTTCAACCCAAATCCTGGAGGTCGAGAAGGAACCAGCTATGCTGAAGGTCAGGGAGGAGCACTTGGCACAGGGGCCTTGGGGTGAGGAGGAGTCACACATGATCTAGAAGCAGGTCATGGGGGCTGGGTGCAGGGGCTCACGCCTGTGATCCCAGCAATGTGGGAGGCCAAGCAGGGAGAATCACTTGAGCCCAGACCAGCCAGGGCAAAATAGCAAGACCCTGTCTCTATAAAAAAATTAAAAAATTGGCCGGGCGTGGTGGCTCACGCCTGTAATCCCAGCGCTTTGGGAGGCCGAGGTGGGCGGATCACAAGGTCAGGAGATCGAGACCATCCTGGCTAACACGGTGAAATCCCGTCTCTACTAAAAATATAAAAAATTGGCCCGGCGTGGTGGCAGGCACCTGTAGTCCCAGCTACTTTGGAGGCTGAGGCAGGAGAATGGTGTGAACCAGGGAGGTGGAGCTTGCAGTGAGCCGAGATGGTGCCACTGCACTCCAGCCTGGCTGACAGAGCAAGATTCCAACTCAAAAAAAAAAAAAAAAAAAAAAAAAGAAAAAGAAAAAGAAAGAAAAAGAAAAAGAAAAAAAAATGGCAGTTGTGGTGTAGTCCCATCTTGGGAGTCCTGCTTGGGAGGCTAAAGTGGGAGGATGGCTTGAGCCCAGGAGTTCGAGACTACAGTGAGGTATGATTGTGGCCCTGCACTCCAGCCTGAGCAACAGCCTGAGACCCCATTTCTTTCTTTCTTTTTTTTTTTAAACAGAAGCTGGCTGTGGGTATTGACGGCATATTGTTATCTTACCCATAAAAGGAGTGGAGCTACTATCCAGCAGTGGCTCGGGGCACCTGGGACATGGGATACTGGATAATCCCTGTGGCTATTTCATTTGGGGCATCAGCAATGGATGTGGGGTTAAAAAGAGCGCATAGACATGTGTGTGCAGCGTGAGAGGGAGACAGCCAGGGGCCTTGCAAGACACACGGACACACAGTCACAGAGGGAGACAGACACACTGAGGAAGGTGGACAGAGAGGCCGAGGGACACAGCGGGGAGGGAAAGACTGAGGCTGAGACCATGGTGCGCACACAGAGAGATCATCCCTGCCAGACAAAGGAAAAGCTTTGAAGTGGAGAAAGGGCACCTGCCTCAGCCCGACAGCTGGCTTCTGATCCCCGCTCTGCTACTACTGGCTGACCTGTTGAAATGAGTGGCTGGACCTCCCTGTACCCGTCTCGTCATCTGCAATGTGGGGGAGTCCAGATGAATAAATGCAAAGGTTTCTAACTCCAAAGTTCCATGATGCTGAGTTCATAAACATGTTATAACACTCTCTCTTTTATTTAATGTTATAACTAGCCCATCTTCCTCTCTCATGGTACTATTATAGCATACACTCAAGTTTTATAAATTCTACACAAGTTAAAATTAGTTGGGGGGAATTGTTTTTTTGAGACAGGGGTCTCACTATCTTGCCCAGGCTGGTCTCAAGTGATCCTCCTGCCTTGGCCTCCCAAAGTGCTGGGATTACAAGCATGAGCCACTGTGCCTGGCAGTTGGGGGGAATTTTTAGAGAGTGTTGCAACTCTGAGAGAGAAACTGGACCAATATTTCAGTCCCCGAATGTCTGCTCACAGCTTTTATCAAAGACACGGATCCATTTGACCGCCTTTTTCACGCTTGGTCCTATCAGGCCTGGTTCAGCTTTGAATTTTTCTTGATAATTTCCACAGTGGTTACTAAATGCACTTCTACGTTGAAGGCAAGCTCTCTCACCCTAAGAGTGCTTTCTCTGTTCCCTTAAAAATGGCCAATTCTATTTCTCTCCTTGTGTATCCCACTGGTTGGTTCACAAGCCCCCAAAGTCAGAGACTGGTTCTCTGGCTCTCATCTGTCTCTGACCTGGCTGTGGCCTGTCTCTCCAACCCCACTGGAGCAGCCCTGTGTGGGTGGCCTCCCACTTGGTTGAGGCTGGCTGCTCTGATAGCCTTCCGTCCAGCCGCGTCACAGCTTGGGACGACCACTGAACAATGCTTATACGTTCCGAGGGTCAGCAATTTGGATGTCTGGCAGCTCAGCTGAGAAGACTCAAATCTGGACATGACCCAACCATGGGAGCTGGGTTCACCCAAGCAGTCACTCATTCATACACTCACTCACTCATTCACTCACTCACTCACTCATTCACTCATTTACTCACTCCCTCATTCACTGACTCATTCACTCACTGACTCATTCACTCACTCATTGACTCACTCACTCGCTCATTGACTCACTCATTCACTCACTCACTCACTCATTCAGTCATTCACGATTCACTCATTCACTCACTCACTCATCCACTCATTCACTCTCACTCATTCAATCAAACATTCACTCACTCACTCGTTCACTCAGTCATTCACTCACTCAGTCACTCACTCAGTCACTCATTCATTCACTCATTCACTCACTCACTCATTCACTCACTCACTCATTCCCTCACTCACTGATTCATTCACTCATTCACTCACTCATTCATTCATTCACTCATTCACTCACTTATTCACTCATTCATTCATTCACTTATTCACTCACTCACTTATTTACTGATTGACTCATTCATTCACTCACTCATTCATTCACTCACTCATTCACTCACTCATTCACTCATTCACCATTCACTCACTCATTCACTCACTCACTCATTCACTCGCTCACTCATTTACTCACTCACTCTTTCACTTGTTCCTTCACTCATTCACCATTCACTCCCTCATTCACTCACTTATTCCCTCACTCATTCACTCGCTGATTCACTCACTCATTCACTCAGTCATTCACGATTCACTCATTCACTAACTCACTCATCCACTCATTCACTCACTCATTCAATCATTCACTCACTCGTTCACTCAGTCATTCACTCACTCAGTCACTCACTCAATCACTCACTCATTCATTCACTCATTCACTCATTCACTCACTCATTGATTCACTCATTCACTCACTCATTCATTCATTCACTCATTCACTCACTTATTCACTCATTCATTCATTCACTTACTCATTCACTCACTCACTCCTTCACTGATTGACTCATTCACTCATTCACTCACTCATTCATTCACTCACTCATTCACTTGCTCATTCACTCACTCATTCACCATTCACTCACTCATTCACCATTCACTCCCTCATTCACTCATTTATTCCCTCCCTCACTCACTCACTGATTCACTCACTCATTCACTCACTCACTCACAGTCACCTCTTTACCTTTGCCCTTGCTGCTCCTGCTCCCTAAAGCGGTGGTTCTCAAAGTGTGGTCCCTGTACCTGCAGATCAGCATCACTAAAACTTGTTGAAAATGTAAATTCCTGGGCTTCACTTTGACCTACGAATAAAAAATTCTGGGTTGGTGCCAGTGATCTGTGTTTTAGCAAGCGCTCTTGGCGATTCTAATGCAGGCTGAAGTGTGAGAACGAGTGTGCCAAGACAGCCTCCTCCTACCCGTCTCCATGCCTGATTGATGCCTACAGGTCCTTCAACAAATTCTCCCCTCATCTGGGAATCCTTACTTGGCTTGCTCTGAGATGGGGTTCCTGGTCCCCCAGCTCCTTTGCTCCCCCACTATGACGCTTATCACACCTGTTTCTGCCAGTCTCCTGGGTAAAGTTTCCTGAAGATGGAACTGGTACCTGACACATCAGGTGCACAGCAAATGTTAAATACAGAAGGGATGAATAAATGAATGAAAACATGAGTAAGTGAATGAACACAGACTTTACTGAGTCTTTTCTGGTGGTAGAGTTGGGGTTATGAACATGGGCAAGGCGGAGCTCCTGCCCTTGGCTTGCTCTCAGAACATCATGGGGAGCAAAGAATAAATGAATGAGGCCCTCCAGGGGCTTGGGGCCAGAGCTGATGGCTGCATGAGGGAAGCCCTTTGAGCACTGGCTGACCTTCCTGTGTCCAATAAACTTTGCATGGCGCCCAGGCGGATGCGTCCTCTCTGCTTTTGTTGGATGAGCCAAAGCAACCATTCCAGCTGCTGAGCCAGGCAGGAGGATGTCCCCGGGCTATGTACTGCTCCAGCCCCAGTCCCTGTGGTCTGTTCGGCTGCCTTTGTCACCGGGACACACACCAGGCACGCTCAATGTCTGGACTTCAGTCATCCTTCCTCACTGGTCTTTGTTCTAGTGTCTGGTGGCTGCATGGAGAGTTCCCAGAGCAGCTCTGATCCAGAGTAAACAAACCCTGCCCACCGTGTGATCTGAAGAAATGGCCTAAAAATAGGCCGGGGAGTCTTGACTCATGAGCTCTGTAGGCAAGGGGGAGAAGGACACTTGGGGATGAGAATTCCCCTCTTCGGGATTTGGGCTTGTGGAGGATGAGGAAGGTGACCGTCACGTGGTGACTCATCTGGGAAAGCTCAGAGGCGACTGTTGCCTGTCAGCCTTGGATTTCTCCTGGGCAGCTGACCTCCCAGCCTCAGGGCTCATCTCCAGGACCCACAGAGGGAGATGACAGCAGTGAACTTCAGCCCTGCTGAGTCTCACAGCGGCTGCGGGAGGACGGTCCAGGAGGGAGAGGCCAAGAGCCTACGCATCCTCTCTCCAACTGTTCTGGAGCCAGACTCCAGCAAGCAGCAGACCATGAGAAACAGCTCTGCTCCCACAGCCTGCAGGACTGAGTCACAGCCTCCTCCTCTACTTAATCATCCTCATAGCCCGAAGTCCTTACTACATCGGTCCTAAGTTCCTCATGCTGCAGCAAGGCTGCACCAGGCTCACATGACTGTACCTCTGCTGAGACATCTTCATCAGGAAGGACTTGATCCCCTCAGAACACACCCCTTCTTTCCTCCCCTCCCTCATAGCAACATGACCCTTGATGAAGGGTCCACAGAGACCAAATGCTCCTTCCCTCGGAAACAAAATTCCTTTGCCCTACGGGTGTGTCCTGCTGCTCAGGAGTGCTGGGACTGTAGGACAAGGCCTAGTCTTCCGATGGGTCTTCTGATCAGTTCATGGTCTTCCTTTTAGCAGTGATATATTGGTGTCCCAGGGTTGTGCACTACTTCAGAGGGTCTCTTCTTGTCATTGGCACCAAGTTCCACATCTCCTGGGGACCATAAGTTTTTCTGCTTTCCTAAATCATAAACTTTCTGAGCCATGCCACTGGGCATATAATATGCACCAGTTGTCAAACTTAGGTGACTGTTTTATGCTTACCCAGCCATACCTCTGTTTAGCTACCCATCCACCCACTCATCCACTTACCCATCCACCCATCAATTCATCTATCCATCCATAAACCCATTTACCCACCCATCTACTAATCCATGCATTCATGCATCTACTAACCCATCCTTTCACTTATACATCCATCTGCCTAGACACCCACACATCCATCCATCCATCCATCCATGCATCCATCCACCCATCCAGCCATGCACCTGCCCATCCATCAATTCACTGATCCATCCATCCACGAATACATGCATCCACCCACTCATCAATGTATCCACCCACCCATCCTTCCACCCATCCATCCATCTATCCACCTATCCATCCATCCATCCATCCATCCATCCATCCATCCATCCACCCATGCATTCACCCATCCACCCATCCATCCATCCACCCATTCACCCATCCACTAACCCACTCATCCACCCATCCATCCAACCATCCACTCACCCATCCAGTCATTCATCCATCCATCCATTCACCCATCCATGTATGCATTCACCCTCCCAAACCCCCACCCACCCATCCATGCATGCATAAATGCATGTATCCACCCATCCATCCACCTACCCACCTATCTGTCCATCCACACATCCACCCATCCACCCATGCACCCATCCATCCATCCATCCATCCACCCACCCACCCATTCAGCCATCTACCTATCCATCCATCCATTCATCCATCCATGCACTCATCCATTCACCCATCCACCGATGATCCGTGCACTCACCCATACGTACATCCATCCATTCACTCATTGACTCATCCATCCATCCATCCATCCACACATACATTTATATATATATATATATATATATATATATATATATATATATGCATCCAGCCAGCCATCAGTTCACCTGTCCACTCATCCACCCATGCATCCAACCATCCATCCATGCACCCATCCATCCTTCCATCAATGCATCCACCTATTCATCTATTCACCCAATTCCTTTATCCATCCATCCTTGCATCCATCCATCTATTCATCCACCCTTCCATCCACCCATCTATCCACCCATCCACCCATTTATCCATCCATCCACCCATCTGTCCACCCATCTACCCATCCATCTACCCATCCACCCACCCATCCATCCAAACAGCACAGAGGAGGCATCTCCTCTGGACCACCTGCTAACGTACATGCAGGGACCATGGGGTTGAAGGAGATGCTCTACTCCCTCTGCTCGCCTGGGAACCCAAGTTCGCTTGTCCTTGAGAAATGCAGTCTTGGGGAGGTCCATCAGCAGATGACTACAGAGGAGGGGACAAGTGCCAAATGTGAACACAACTGATGGACGCTCTGTGCCTGGAGAATCTGAGGAAACTTCCAGAAGGGGTGGGTATATCTTACATCCCAACTGTGGCCAGAACCCTCTTGTAGACAGGGACTGGATCCTACTGGTATGACCATGGAAGAGCTCAGTGGTACAGGCATCCATGACTGAGCAGGCTTAGAGTGAGTGCTGTCAGGCTGTGAACGGATCTGTCAGCACTGGTGACCAATGGACCAACACTGACTATCTCAGGTGGGTGCCATTCTATGGTGGTCACATGAGGAGCTTATGAGCTGGCCACCAGCCAAGGACAATTCACTGTCTTCCAGCCTCGTGAGCCACTTGCTGAGCCCTGTCATGAGCAGTGATGATAAAGCAGCGGAAAGTGGGCCCAGGGGATGCAGAATACCCGGGCTGGCCAGCAGTGAGTTTGGAGACACTAGGCGGGTAGACATCCCCCACCGCATCAGTGTCTCCCTGTGGGGTTCGGTGAGCTGAGTCAAAGGCTTCTGTTCCTTTTGTTTTTGTTCATTCCATAAAGGATTTTCCTTGACTCATGGTTTCCCAGCTAGCTCCTTCCGAAGCCCTGGCAGGCAGGGGTGAATGCGTGCTCCAGGCTGCTGCTCCTTGGGTTTTCCCCTCCATGACAGGAATGTGTAAACACCCTGGGCTTTAGAGACAGTGCCAAGCCCCATGTGCCGGAGATGCCTCATGCTTTCAGGCAATGGCTAGCATCCTCGCTGTGGGAACCAGGCTGACCCTCAACCCGCTGCTGCCTAGGACCCTGCCTGGGAAAGGGGGCGGTGGTCAGGCTGGAGCTTCCTCCCATCTGCTCTGGGCTGAACTAGGTCCTCCCAAAGTGCACATGTAGAAGTCCTAACCCCCAGGGCCTAAGAATGTGACCGTATTTGGAGACAGGCTTAGAGAGGTGACTCAGGTAGCATGAGGTCATCTGGGTGGGCCCCAGTCCAATCTGCCTGGTGTCCTTCTAGGAGAAGATTAGGACATAGATGCACAGAGGGATGGCCAAGTGAGGTCACAAGGAGAAGGCGGCCTCGACAAGCCAGGGAGAGGCCTCAGAAGAGCCAGCCTTGCCGGCACCCTGACTCGGACTCTGGCCTCCAGAGCTGTGCAGAAATGCATTGTTGAAGAATTTTGAATGCATTTTGAATTTTGAAAATGCATTTAGAGAAGAAGCTGCAGACCAGGGTGAGACGGATGAGAAGCCGCTGATGAGAAGCCCTTGAACCTTAGGGCCCAGTGTGGGGCTCCAGGCTCCTCACCCTTGACCACTAGAGCCGGTTGCAGAGCGCTGGGCTCGAGTGCCTTTCCTGAAGGATGGCTTGGGCCACCTGCAGGTGGTGCTGTCTGCGACGTCCAGGGTTGGGGGACCCATGCCAGCCCCACCAAAGCCTCATGAGCTCCTTGCTCAGCCTTTAACAGTCTCGCCAAATTCCCTGGGTACGGCATGAACCCCCTTCCTCCCATCCTGTCTGCACAGCAGCGGGAAACAGCGCCTTCCAGCTGCAGGGTGCCCCCATCTCCCACACATTCCCAGAACTCCGGGAGGAGCCCTTGAGCCTCTCCTCTCCAGGCTGAGTCTCCACGGGGCCCTGAACTTGCTGGAGCAGGTCCCTCACCCTGAAGGGCAGGGGCAGCTGGGAGCACGTTGTTCCACCGGCCCCAAGCATGCTCCTTGTCATCTCATACCACCTCAGACATGGCATCCTTCTCCCCATGTTCCAGTGTGCATGGTGGAGAGGCCATGAAGCATCCCAGGGGTACAAGGTGATGACATCAGTGGTGTGATCGGGATGGGTGGGGACCGGATGTCAACACTCCCTGCCAGTGGGCTCTGCAAGCGCCTGCCAGGACCCTGAGCCTGTCATGAGTGCAAGGGAGGGACAACCACTGTGTCTGGTTCAGTGCTGGCTCCCCAGTTGTCGCCTGGGCCCTGGTGACACCTGAGCCCACCCCAGTGAGAGCACTGTCCCCAGAGCTCAGCCACCAACAGAGCTGCCACCAAGTCTGGGTTTATTCTCTTGAGCCTTACAGGTCCCCAACAAATAAACTTTTCATGTGACAATAGGGCTTTTTTTTTTTTTTTAGAGGGAGTCTCACCCTGCCGCCCAGGCTAGAGTGCAGTGGCGCGATCTTGGCTCACTGCAACCTCCACCTCCCGAGTTCAAGCAATTCTCCTGCCTCAACCTCCTAAGTAGCTGGGATTACAGGTGCGTGCCATGACACTTAGCTAATTTTAGTAGAGACAGGGTTTTGTCATGTTGCTCAGGCTGATCTCAAACTCCTGACCTCAAGTGATCTGCCTGCCTCAGCCTCCCAAGTCCTGGGATTACAGGCGTGAGCCACTGCGCCCGGCCTAACAATAGCACTTTTAACCCATGCTGCTCCGTGACCAAGCAGGGACAATGGCAGAGCCCTGCCAGGCAGCGTCTGACATGGTGTGGGCGGCCCTCCTGGCAGCCAGGGCCTGCAGGAAGATGGGGTTTCCGCCCAGCCCCTGGGGTGGGCCTCGGTGGCAGGTGGCTTGTGTGTCTCTTACCCCCACTGAGAGAGGGCTGGCGGTGCAGGCTGGGGCACACTGAGGGTCCCTGGCGTCAGCTGGGGAGGGGAAGTGGGCCGGGAAGGACTTTTCCATCACAAGGGGCTTTTCTTTTCAACCATCCTTCAAACCAACTCGCGGTTGCCCGTGGCTGCAGGTGACAGTGGTGATGTGCCTGTCTCCAAAATATCCCTAAGTTGCCTTCCACCTGGAGCGGTTAATTTCCCCTATTTTGAGGGCTCTGGGGTTGGCAGATACCCACTCTCCAGCCTTGCATCTTACACAGTGGCCTATCCCAGCTCCAGAGACGCTTCTCTCGCTCTCTGGTTGATGCATCTGCGTCTCTGTGGACCCCACGTTCTGCATATTAGTGCATTCCCTTTTCAATTCTTGCACCTGGTGGGCACAGTGTTGAGGCCAGGCGGTCAGCATGCCCGTGACCGATCCCATACAGAAAGGCCAGCCTCCCCACGCAGCCCTGGGCAACTGTCAGCTGCTAGCTGTGGCCTCTCTCCCACCATGCTCTTTCTCTGCCTCTCTCATTCCCTCCCTCCAAATCTCTCTCTCTTCCCCCATCACACGATTATTAGAGGAATGACTGGACTTCCTCCCACTCCTCCTTAAGTGACTCATTTCTGAAGGTCAGGCCACACTGTGGCTAAGTGAAAGAAACCCGTGTGAGAAGACACGTCCTGACCTCCAGAAATGACCGGGAGCACCTCCCACTGCTGATTGGGGCTGGCAGGACAGAGCAGGCTTTGAGAATCACCCCCTTAAATCATCATAGGCAGCCAGCATCGCCGGCTCAGGGTCAGTCACCAATGGGCATGGGTGTTTGGCTCTTCTCTGGGCAGGAGGATCGATGGCCCCGAGCACAGGCCAGAGCAGCAGCCCCTCCACCGCCAATGGGGCCTGGGCAGGTCTGCCTGAGCTTTTCCACCATCAGATTGTAATACCTACCTAGCTGGGCAATTTCAAGCTGGAAATAATGTAAATTTCTGGGCATGCAAGATAACACTGTCATTAAGAGACCACAGTGATTGTTAGCCAGGCATGGTGGCTCACACCTGTAATCCTAGCACTTTGGGAGGCCAAGGCAGGCAGATCACGAGGTCAGGAGATGGAGACCATCCTGGCTAACACAGTGAAACCCTGTCTCTACTAAAAAAAAAAAAAAAAAAAAAAAAAATATATATATATATATATATATATATATATATATATATATATATATATACAAAAAAAAAAAATAAGCCGGGCGTGGTGGCAGGTGCCTGTAGTCCCAGCTACTCGGGAGGCTGAGGCAGGAGAATGGCGTGAACCTGGGAGGCGGAGCTTGCAGTGAGCCGAGATCGCGCCACTGCACCCCAGCCTGGTGACAGAGCGAGACTCCGTCTCAAAAAAAAAAAAAAAGAGAGACCATCATGAAAATTCGCACTCAGACCCATTCCTGATCCCATCATATTCCAAGTCTCACCTGAAGCAAAGCAGTAGATGAAAGAATCCTGTAGTTCTTGGCACCTTTTATATAAGTGGCTTTCAACAGTCAATGCTAGAACTTAAAGAATCTTCTTCATCTTCTTTTTAACCACATAAAGGGGAAATAATTAAAACAACTACTTTTCAATTTTTTCCCAGCTGATCTACCCAACTCACAACTCTGGATTATAAAATGAACAAAAACGAGTAGGACCAGTAGAAAAACCCCAGAGAATAGCCGATGGCAGAGACTTCGGCACAACCCCACCTCCCTCACCCGCACCATGGCAGACATGTCTAATCTACACAGAGCTAGACCCAGACTCCAGACAGCCATTACCAGTCAATCCCAGTTCATGTGCAAGATTAAACCAGTTACTCATAGCCCGTTTTACCATGAATCAGACAAGGTCAGAAAGGGGGCAGTGACTCACCCAGCCTCACACAGTCACCAAGGAGGCTGGACTGTATCTCCTGAAGCTGGGCAGACAGCCAAGGCCATGGGAGGGAGGGAGGCCGGATCTCCACAAGGCTGAGGGGCAGGAACTTTCAGAAGCATGTTCTGTATGCAGTGATTCCACTACAAAGCAGAGGCGCCTGCTCTTCTCAACAAGGACAGTGGGCTGCTGGGCTCTGGTGGATTATCACAGGGCATGGCTGCCCCAGGGTCAGGTTCCGGGCTCTGCCCCCTTCCCTGCAGAGAAGGCTGGGATCTCCATGGTTTTAAGAGGGTTGATAGGAAGCTATCAACTTCACTGCCTTCTGGTCCTGAATGTTCTCAGATATATACATTTTAAAGTGTTTAAATTAAGTGGTGATTGGCAAACCCCAGTCTCCAACCCAGAGAGGACCTGGACAGTGGCCTCCTAAGGGAAGCCCTCAAGTTGGCTTGGAAAGACCCAGGCAGTCTACCTCGGGTCTACCTAGAGTCTATCTGGGGTCTATCTATCCAGGGTCTATCTATTTAGGGTCTATCTAGGGTCTATTTAGGGTCTACCTAGGGTCTATCTATCTAGGGTCTCTGCGTCCCACTTTGGGACATCCCTTCCTCCTGCCTCCTTCCCAGCAGCATCAGGGAGGGACCCCTGTGTGTCACTTGTGCGGCTCTCCACCCGACAGAGGGACAGAAGGGCTCATTCCTCTCTCCCTTCCCACGGGGAACTTCCAGCCTCCCTTCTGTTCCCTACCATGCAGTTCAGCAGACACAGGGTGAGTGGGTGCTGCCGGCCACATGGCAGCGTGGGCATCCCCCTCCCCGTCAGAGCTCCCAGTTGGGAGGGGCGGAGCACAGAGAAACAGGTGAAAATTAGAGGGTGGATTTCATCATCTCCAGAAACTTAGGAGAAACCAAGATACCTTCATAGGTGAATGGATGGGCTGGGGTCCCTCCAGACAATGGAATATTTTTCAGTGCTATAAAGAAAGGAACTGCCAGGCTGTGAAAAGGCAGGGAGGAGTCTTAGGTGCTGCTAGGTGAAGAAGCCCATTGGAGAAGGCTGGATACTGTGTGATTCCAACTCCATGACATTCAGGAAAAGGCAAAACCATGAAAACAAGAAAGATCAGCAGCTGCCGGGGCTGGGCAGAGGGTGACTGGCAGGAGCACAGAGTGCAGGGAGGGTGAGTGGCGGGAGCAAGGAGGGCAGGGAGGGTGAGTGGCAGGAGCAAGGAGGGCAGGGAGGGTGCGTGGCAGGAGCACGGAGGGCAGGGAGGGTGACTGGCAGGAGCACAGAGGGCAGGGAGGGTGAGTGGCAGGAGCACGGAGGGCAGGGAGGGTGAGTGGCAGGAGCAAGGAGGGCAGGGAGGGTGACTGGCAGGAGCACAGAGGGCAGGGAGGGTGAGTGGCAGGAGCACGGAGGGCAGGGAGGGTGAGTGGCAGGAGCACGGAGGGCAGGGAGGGTGCGTGGCAGGAGCAAGGAGGGCAGGGAGGGTGCGTGGCAGGAGCACGGAGGGCAGGGAGGGTGAGTGGCAGGAGCACGGAGGGCAGGGAGGGTGAGTGGCAGGAGCACGGAGGGCAGGGAGGGTGACTGGCAGGAGCACAGAGGGCAGGGAGGGTGACTGGCAGGAGCACAGAGGGCAGGGAGGGTGAGTGGCAGGAGCACGGAGGGCAGGGAGGGTGAGTGG
Organism: Homo sapiens; assembly: GCF_000001405.40. Lineage (NCBI taxonomy): Eukaryota > Metazoa > Chordata > Mammalia > Primates > Hominidae > Homo > Homo sapiens. The sequence continues at coordinate 88,237,301 of NC_000016.10, read as the reverse complement.
CGGGAGCACGGAGGGCAGGGAGGGTGAGTGGCGGGAGCACGGAGGGCAGGGAGGGTGCGTGGCAGGAGCACAGAGGGCAGGGAGGGTGACTGGCAGGAGCACAGAGGGCAGGGAGGGTGAGTGGCAGGAGCAAGGAGGGCAGGGAGGGTCCGTGGCAGGAGCATGGAGGATTTAGGGGCCCAGGAAGCTGCTCTGTGATACTGTAATGGGGATCGTGTGCCATGATTCATCTGTCAGCACCCACAGAATGTTCTCAGTAGTGGAACTGGAGGGCAAGGGAGGATGGAGAGAAGGGATATGGTAATTGTTATCTGCTCTATTTTCTGAAACCTAAAGCTGCTCTTAAAAATAGTTTATTAATTAAGAAAAAATTAGAGGGATGCTGGTTTGCTTGGCAGAGCACTGATTCTTTTAAGTCTGTGAACCAAATATAATTTTTTTTTTTTTTGAGACAGAGTCTCGCTGTGTCTGCAGTGGCACTAGCTCGGCTCACAGCAACCTCCGCCTCCCAGGTTCAAGCGATTCTCTTGCCTCAGCCTCCAGAGTAGCTGAGCTTACAGGCACCCCCCACCACGCCCGGCTAATTTTTGTATTTTTAGTAGAGATGGGGTTTTGCCATGTTGGCCAGGCTGGTCTTGAACTCCTGACCTCAGGTGATCCACCTGCCTCGGCCTCCCAAAGTGCTGGGATTACAGGCGTGAGATACCGCGCCCAGCCCAAAAATAAAACTCTAAGCTCCCCAACCAACTGAATGGAACCCTCTTCTCAGCCAAGAGGATTCCAAAGTAAACCTGAAAAACAAGTTCAGGCTGTGATGGGAAGTGGGGGTCGGACACGTCTCTTTATACCCGCCTCCCTATGGAATTCAGGCCCAGCTGACCAGCACTCACATTAAAACTGAGACTTTAAGACTGACAGCACAGGCTGTTTGTAGCAATAAGACACCAAATTCCAACCCGAGTCTAGTATAACATCACATGACAGGGAGCAGGTCCTGGAAGGAATAGAGTGTTTGACATAATTTTAAACGGCCCCGCAAAGCTGTCTCTTGTGGGGAAAATCCACATTCTGTAGAGAATCCTCTTCCCTTTCCAGGGCTTTTTCTGATGCTGGAGAGATGGGCTTAGCATCTAGCACATTTCAAAGGTCTCAATAGGAGACATTTGCCATCTATTGCCTTGAAGGGCAGCCCCCTATGAGATTTCTTCTACAGAATACGAACTTTGGTCTCCACAACCCCTTATCTTAATCCAGACACTCCTTTCTGTTGAGTCCAGGTGATCAGATAATAACTTAACTCTCTCAACCAATTGCTAATCAGAAAGTCTTTGAACCCACCTGTGACCAGGAAGCCCCTCCTCACCTTGAAGTCATCCCGCCTTTCTGGGCAGAGCCAACGCACATCTGTCAAGTATTGACTGACTCTGCCTGAACCTCCTGTCCCCATAGTGTATGAGCTCACACTGTGGCCCAACCCCCTGCGGCACATGTCCTCAGGACCCCCTGGAGCTGTGTCACGGGTCACGCTCCTCACATCTGGCTCAGAATAACTCTCTTCAAATATTGTATGGAGTTAGATGTTTTTTTCAGCAACAAGTCCTCATGGGGAACCACGGTTTGGTGTCTTTCTCTTCTCAGATACTGAATTCCTTGAAACGTTGACCTCCAAGATGCTAACTCAGGTGGGAGGAATTCAAGACAAGGAAGGAGCCTCTTTTGGGTTCTGGTTCCCGTCCCGCTACTGAAAACCCCTGATACAGTTCAAGGAGTGCGACAGCGCTGGTTTCAAATCCAGGTTTGCAGCCTGGTCTGGCGTGGAGAGGTTTTACTCTTGGGAGGCCCAGGAGAGGCAGAGGCTCTGGGCCAGGGAGGGCTGGTGTCCACGGCACTCCCAGTTCCGCGCTCCAGGTGTGTTGGGGGAGGGTGGCCACTCAAAGGAGAGAGCCTCAGAAGGAGGGCACTGGGGACCCAGGTACTGCTGAACCCAAAGAAATGAGCCGTTAAAAAGGAGAGAAATGTGTGCGGAAGCCCGGAGCTCCATGGGCAGGGAGGGCTGTGAGGGGAGCCAGGGACCAAGGAGAGACCCCGTGGCTTCGACACTGCCAGTCAGGACCCTCTCCATCCCTGGAGAGGCCCGGTGCGAAATGAAACCACGGGATCCCTTGTCAACCAGTCTCAAGAATTTCAGCAGCAGCCCCAGCGCCGGGCCTTCCCAAGCCAGATCCCACACCAGAAGGCCGGGGCCCTGCAGGACCCGAGCTTGGCGGCATCCCTCTCCTTCCCAAGTCTAGGCACCTGGAAGGGGGCGAGGAAGGGCAGAGCCGCCCCCACCCCGCTCGGCCGCCTGCCCCCCCGCACATCCCTTCACACCCTTCCCAGGGCCAAGGGGGAACATTACAGCTTCTGCGTGAATTCCTGTTTTCCTCCCTTCCTGTGAGTCAGGCACGATTGCTTGCACTGCGTCCGGCCGCCCCAGGCTTTATCTGATGGGAACGAGGCCTGGCCTAGGGCCTGAGAAGCTGCAATGGGAAAGACAAACACGGGCGGTGCGGCCCTCTGCTCTGTGACGAGAGCACTGCCCCCTTGGTTCAGGGACGCTGTGTCCAGCCTCCCCATCGGAGACACTCTGAGGGGACCCTGGAGGCCGTCCAGCTCCAGAAGAGCGCGCCCAGCTCCCCACGGGCTGCGTCCAAACCGGTCCCCTCAGGCACCCCTGGTGGATGATCCACAGGCTGTGCCACGGTCAGCCCTGGTCCGCGCTGCGAGGCTGGAGCCAGCCCCGGTCTGCGCTGCGAGATGGGAGGTGGAAACTGGCTTAGCCCAGCTCCGGCTCTGGTTCCCCTCCCTGGCTTCGTCCTCAGCGTTAATTCTTTGTACCGTTCTGAGCTAAAGGTCTTCTCCCTGCCCCTCAAGATCACACAAGGTCACACAAGTTTCTTGGCCCTTACAAAGTCTGGCTGCTGCAGATGTTAAATCCCATCCCATCTATAATATAGGAAGCTGACAGTTCTTAAATCCTTCAGCTCACTCAAGAGGGAGGCCACGACCCACGTGCCTGCATGCTAAGCTTTCCATGGGGGCCTTACTAGAAAAACGCAGTGATCTCAGAAGATCAAAGAAGTTGGTGCTACGTTCACAACCACCTCCTCGGGGACTGCTGAGACCCAGCGGCTTTTGTACACAGGGCTTCTCCTCTGGGTTCAGAAGTCCATGGCCCTTCCAATCACCCAGCGCCTGCAGCCCACACAAAAGCCAGTGAGCTCATCCCAATAGGAAAAAGATAATTTCATCGTTTAAAAAAGCACTTAAACAGCAAAAGTTCCTGTGGAAACCACATGTGGAAAACCCACTGACAAACAGGCCAAATCCCTAAACCAAGGTTCAAATTTCAGGGGCTTCAGACGGGGCTGCGGGCGAGAGAGCAGGGTATTAGGGCTGAACGTCCACCAGCAACCAAGAAGGCGGCTGCACTGCGCTCACCAAAGCGCTCGCGCACAGGAGGCACTCATGGGCTTCCCGCATCCTCTACGTCCCCATCGGGGTCCTGAAACAGATCTGCCTCCAGGCACCTCGGCACAGCCAGGCCAGCCCATCACGGCCCCAAAACATCTGCCTTCCCCTGGTGGGAGAGTGGGAGAGTCATGGGGCTGAGGTTTTGGGATCCTGTTTCATGCCCAGGCGGCCCTAAGCCTAATCAAACTCCCTCACCAAAACAGAACCCAGTCAAGGCCAGCTGCTATACATTTGGGCGCCTTCCCTCCCGCAGAAACCTCCAGAACACGGCATCCAGTAGCCCCCTGCTGCCTGGGGCCCATCCAAGGTGGCCTGGCCAAATTTCCAAGAGGAATAACAAAGTGAGCCCACGGCCCAGGCCAGGAAGACGGCAATGATGTTCAGGTTCCCAGGTGGCCCCCAGACTTTGGACACAGGCAGGGACAAAAGGAATTGACAAACCACTGGCCATGGTGGGGCTGCCCCAGTGCTGAAGGTTGGCGATTTCCTCCCAAGCCCCACAATGAAAACAGAAGCAGAAACGAGGCTACACACACAAAGAACCTGGCGGGGACGGCTCTCTGGCACTGTGGGAGGGGAGATGCTTGCCGCGGTGCCCACAGCCTCTTTCTCACCAGGCCACAGCAGCGGTTCATCCAGCCTTCACACGGCCTCAGTTCCCCACACAGGAACAGTGAGTCTTTCGGAAGCCTCGTCCTTGAACGGCTGGAAGGAGCAGACAGAGGCTCCCCCGGGCCGTGGGAGGCTGAGCCAGCGCCTGAGGATCTGGCGGAGGAGGAAGAGCCCAAGGTCAAGGGCAGCCCCACCCCAGCCAGCCTGCACCCGGCTGGAGGTGGCCATGCAGGCCTGCTAGGCGGCGGCCAGACCACAGGCCCCTCCACCTCCCAGCTCCTGGCTGCTGAGAAGGCTGGGGCGCAATATGCGACGTGCCCAGAACCCTGAGGAGCAGCTCCGAATGTCAAATAGTTGCTGGGCTCTGGAGAGGAAAAACACATTGACTTTGTTCAAGGACACATGAGTTGCAATCTGGGCAATGCTGCCAAACAGACCCGACCCAGCCCCAGGCAGGGCGTTCTCAGGGCCAGCAGAAGCCGCCGTGGCCTGATCACTCTGCAGCTACCCTCTTGCCGCAGGCTGACCCTCTCTCAGGCAGAGAGCTCCCGGACAGCCTGCTACCCACGCATCACTGCACCCAGGGCACCTCTTCTCAAAACAAGGACAGCGTTAACTGGGACAAGAATGATTTCCGCAAAGGGCAGGCCTAATCAGGATGGAGGAAAGATGCTGGGGTTTCTCTACTCTTTCCAGAGATTGCAGTGGCCAGTGCCTGGACACCCCCGAAAGTCCCAGGCCTGGTCCAGCTGTCCCAGGGAATTGGGAGGCGGGGTGGTGGTGGGAGGGGGAGCTGTTGACGCCACCTCCCAAAGTGGTGTCTCTCTCATTGACCAGCCGTATTGGGTGGGGGAGGTTTTTAAAATCTGTGTTCTAAACATCCAGGTAATCACTGAAACAGCCCGATGGCTGTGCAGGGCAATCCTTTCATCCTGCCCTCAGGTTGAGGCTGGGAAAGAAGTGGCAGGACTCAGCGTGATTTCGTGCTCTAGTTTTCTTGAACCTGGGAACTGTTGCAGCCTCAGCAGGGACCTTGCCGTCAACGTTGGCAGTGCCCAGCCTTTGCGTGGTCGAGGTCTGAGGGCCAGATACCCTCCTCGCGCCCGCCCTGCCTTCCCTCCAGGCTCCAGGTCCAGGAGCCTGCCCGGAGGGTCCACCATGCCTGGGTCCATGCAGAGTGTGGCAGCAGGGAGATTGGGGCCGGGTGTTCATTCCCTGCCTCCTGCGGCTTGGCTGCACCCCAAAAAGCCCATCACGGGCACCTTCAGACTTTACTGTTATTGGCTCAATAATGGCCCCCAAAGATGCCCACATCCTAATCCCAGATCCTGGGAATATGTTCCCTGGTGATATTTACATGCAGACGTGACTGAGCAGGTGAGTAAGTGAAGGCTCTTGAGATGGGAGTGGCCCGGGGTTGTCCCGGTGGCTCAGTGTCATCCCAGGGTCCTTGAAGAGGGAGGCGGGGGGCTCACAGGAGGAGGAGGTGTGAGAAGGAACACAGAGTCAGAGAGAAATGGAAAGAGGCTGCGCTGCTGGCCTGGAAGGTGGAGGAAGGGCCATGAGCCGAGGAGTGCAACGGCCTCAGAGGCCACAAAGGTAAGAAAAGGACCCTCCCCTGGAGGTCCCAGGAGGAACCGGCCCTCACACACCCTGATTTTAGCCCAGCGAGGTGTGTGCCAGACTTCTGACCTCCAGAGCTGACAGAGCTGTGAGCCTGTGGTCATCTCGTCGCAGCCCCGTGGCACTGACACACCTGTCCTCTGTGGATTCCAAGAAAGGACACCACCCCAGTCCCACCCCAGCCTTCAGGCTTAGGGCGATGGGGCTTCTCTTTCACAGGGTCCTCGGTCCCTTCACACAGGTTCCCTGAGCCCCGCCCAAACCTTTTCAGCACTGTGAAGCCCTCCTCCAGGTGCTGTCTCCCTCCTGCTGGGCTCTGACCGATGTGGTCCTGTTCCTCCCGTTTGGGCAACAGTGTTGCCTTCCCCTGCTATCCTGGAAGTCCCCCAGGCAATGCCATCCATGGGTTCTGATGAGCATGAACCAACTGGCATGACCACCAGGAGCCACCGTCTCTCCAGCCCGGGAAGGGCTTGCGTGTGTTGGGGGAGGGGAGGGCACGTGCGGCTGGTCTGAGGTTTTCTCCCGTGTGACATGTCAGATTCCCAGGACTTTTAGAGTTCCAGCCGTGTGTCCTGGGTCCCTTCGCCAGAGCCTACACCAAAGGCTCTGGCCCATGGCACCTGGCACTCACCGTCCCCAGCATGCTGACAGCTCCCGCTGTGAGAGCCCGGGCCTCTGCCAGGCAGCTTGCTCCCTGTCCACAGGAGAGGCCACGGGGCCAGGGAGGGAGGCCATGGGAGCAGCCGCTTCAGCAGCGGGTGGGGACTGCGGGACAGATGCCCACTCCTTGGTACGTTCCATGTTCCACTCCTCTAGGGGGGGTCCCCGGAGGCTCAGAGCCCAGTTACCCACAGCGACACCTGCTCATCAGCCCTCATAAGCTCCTTTCCCGCCCGACTTGCCCACTCCTTGGTGCGTTCCACTCTCTGGCGGGAGAGGGGGCGTCCCCGGAGGCTCAGAGCCCAGTTACCCACAGCGACACCTGCTCATCAGCCCTCATAAGCTCCTTTCCCACCCGACTTGCCCACTCCTTGGTGCGTTCCACGTTCCGCTCCTCTAGGGGAGTCCCCAGAGGCTCAGAGCCCAGTTACCCACAGTGACCCCTGCTCATCAGCCCTTATCAGCTCCTTTCCTGCCTGACTTGCCCACTCCCCAGGGCTGCCTGGGGTCACCCCCAAATCTTGCTCCCAAGGCCTGCCTCTGGGGGCCCAGGCCCAGAGGCCAGAGGCCGCCTCAGCAATCCTGAAGCAGACAGCAGACGGCAGCCTCGGATCAGCCCTTTCTGGCTGTTTCCAGGCTCCAGCTGAAGGTGGAAGGGTGGTTCTGCTGTGTTCTCTCTTCCTTGGAATTTCTGGGAAAACCACGAGCGGGACTAGAACCCAAAATCTTCATTCCATCGTCAATGAAAGCCAAAGACACCTGGACCTTGGAAACAGTCTGAGCCTTCCTGATGGAGAGCAGATGAGGACCGGAGGGAAAGGGACACTGGACTTTGGAAACAGTCTGAGCCTTCCCGATGGAGAGTGGATGAGGACCGGACAGAAAGGGCCCTGAGAAAGTAGGCTGCTGCCCTGGATCCCAGACCCAACCAGAGTGGCACAGAGTCCTCCAGAACAGAGCGCGCCCCCGGGAGAGCCACTGGCCCCGTGCCCCTGGGAGAGCCACCGGCCCTGCTGCACCTGCTGGGGGGTCCCTGCTGTTCACCCTCCCTGGGCTCCTGGACCACAGCGGGGCAGAGTGGAGGAGGAGGTGTGCACAGAGGCACCATTGTTGTGGGAAGCAGTTTGTTGGTGAGGAGGGAGCTGCGGTCCTGCATGACATCCACACGCGTGACATCAGCACACACGTGTGACATCCACACGTATGGCATCAGCACACACGCGACATCCACACGCGTGACATCAGCACACACACGTGACATCCACACGCGTGACATCAGCACACACGCGTGACATCCACACGCGTGACATCAGCGCACAAGCGTGACATCCACACGTGTGACATCCACACGCGTGACATCAGCACACACGCACACATTCATCATTCAGACAGGACTAGCACAAGCACCGCACGTAATGACCACAGAGGGTCTTGGCAGGAACGGAAAACAAGCTGCCTCCAACCTCGTGCAGCCTCTTTTTCCTCCAGATCATCGTTAAGTCCTCCCAGGGCTGGTGTGCCCGAGAAGCAGGAGGGTTCCCGAGAGCAGCTTTTTACTCCCAGGAGTGGCAGGTTCCTGCCGCCTGACGGGCTGCTCGCGGAGGAGGCTGGAGCCAGCACAAATGCCATGTCTTGTCAAGATCTTCACTAGAGTCTCTCCGGTTGTTTTTTTTCTCGAGAAAAATATTGGAAAATTGGTGAAAATATTTACATCGATTTTATCTCTTTATCTTGGTTTGACTTTTTTATTCTCCTTTAAGTTGATTCATTTTTAGTGAAGTGCAAAATAAATTCTCATGTTTGAAGTTTTGGAAAAGTCTGCAGTCCCGGGGAGGTGATGGGTTAAATGCTGTTTGTTGACCGTGGACTGCAGATGGCTCAGCTCTTACCTTGACAAGGACGGTGAGGACGGCAGATATGGGTGCCCGGCTGCTGTGCCTCCCTCCCCGCCTGGCTTCTGCCCGATGCTGCTGCTGAGCCCCCACATTGCCTCACCAGACCCCGTCCACCCAGACACTGGGAGCCCATGGCCAAACTGGTGTGTGTTGCATTAAAAATAAAAGCCATTTATGACATCTGACACAGGCAGGCCTCCCAGGAGTTGTATGAAAATTGTTTTCCAGGTCAATCCCAACTATTGAAACAATTCACAGGGGGAGCAAAGCAAGGCCGGAAGGAAACTCTCCAGAAGATGAGTAAGAGCTGGCTTTGGTGTCTTTTTGGTCCTTTATCTACTTTTATGTGTTTTCCAAATTTCTCATAATGAGAATATTTTGCAAAAAAACAGGAGTTGCCAGGTTTGGACACTCAGGATGAGCTTTCAAAATAAGTTACGGAAAATATTCTCCTCCCCAGGGGTGCGTCTCTGCTTTAATCAGCTTGTCTGAGAGTAGAGAGTAAACCACCATTGCCGTGCCCTCTCCTCTGCTCTGACAGGGCTGCTATAGGGCTTATCTCGGGAATCCCGCAGTAGTCCTGCGGGGCAGGTGCCATTGTAAGGCAAGGCCCCAGGACACACACCCCAGGGCCCAGACCCAGCGCCCATGCCAGGCGCCGTGTGTGCTGTCTCACGGGACCCACAGGGCGACCTGCGCAGTGGGGCCCTCATCCCGTTGCTCGGAGCCTGCGAAGCCGGCAGGCAGCACCAAGGAGCGAGGCAGGGTCCCCCTGCTCCACAGCCCACACCCTCCCAGTGAGCCAAACAGTGTCCTCCAAAGCCACGTCTTCCTGCAACCTCAGAAGATGGGTTTATTTGGAAAGAGGGTCTTTACAGGCGTGATCAGTTCAGCTTAGACGAGGTCATACTGGATCGGGGGCCCTAAATGCAACGGTGGGTGTCCCCATAAGAAAAGGAGGAGCCACATGAAGACATGGAAGGAACAACGCCCTGTAACGATGGATGCGGAGCCTGGCTGGGTGCACCTGTGAGCCAAGTTCCCCTAAGGATGGAGGCAGAGCCTGGCGGGGTGCACCTGTGAGCCAAGGTCCCATAATAATGGAGGCGGAGCCTGGCGGGGTACACCTGCGTGCCGGGGAACGCCGAGGACGGCTGGCACCCCTGGGCCGGCTCCTTGATGCCAGCCCTCTGCTTTCAGGGCTGTGGGGGATGCGTTTCTGTTGTTTTAAGCCTCCGGTGTGTGGCATTTGTTACAGCGGTGACGGGAAACAACGTCTCCATCATTGTTGGGGACGTCAACACAGAGATGAACATATGGAAAATACGCATCAAGGCAGGCACCCTTGGGAGGGAGAAGGGGAGACGGGGACACAGGGAGATGGGGCAGTGGGGAGACTCGAGGGAGGGAGAAGGGGGGGGCCAGGCCGGGGGCCAGGAGACAGGGAGAAGGGGAGACGGGGAGATGGGGAGATGGGGAGATGGGGAGATGGGGAGACGGGGACACAGGGAGACAGGGAGATGGGGAGACAGGGAGAAGCTGAGGGAGGGACTGGAGGCCGGTGTGGGCCTCCCAGGCCAGGAGCCAGGAGACAGAGAGAAGGGGTGGGGGCAGCCTGAGGCCAGGCACGGCTGAGTGGCGGTTGACGGGTCCTCCCGGCCTCCTTCCATCCTCCTTCCTCCCCCTTCCCCGCTTCCTCTCTCTTCCTGTGCTAGACACTGTTCCCGGCCCTGGGGAGACAGTGGGAACAAGACTAGTCAGGTGCCCGCCCTTATGTATCCCCACGACGGGCAAGGGGCTTTCAAACACAGAGGCAGCAAGCTCTGGCCGCAGGGATCCCTGCAGTGGCTGCAAAGTGTGGAGGCCCCGGCGTGGAGGAGGGACGGGTGGAAACGCGCAGGCCCCGGCGCGGAGGAGGCACGGGTGGAAACGCGCAGGCCCCGGCGCGGAGGAGGCACGGGTGGAAACGCGCAGGCCCCGGCGCGGAGGAGGCACGGGTGGAAACGCGCAGGCCCCGGCGCGGAGGAGGCACGGGTGGAAACGCGCAGGGCATTTTTTGGGAATCCTTCCCGGGTGGAACACAGGGGGCTGGAATTTAAACGTGCAGCCTGTGGTGCGTGATTTCCCACACGCCCTTTGCTTTGGAACCCACACTTCTTAACTCAGAGGTGAAGTACGCAGGGTGCAAATAAGACGGTGAAACCACTAAAGGCAGGAAGGGAGGAGGAAATGGAGCTGGAGGTGGGGGTTGGGGGGCGGGCAGGGCCTGTTTCGGGCCCTCCTGAGCCTTGTCTGCCAGGGGACATTCGAGGTCTGGGCGAGCATCTGGAGCATCACCCAGCACCATCGGTGTCTGGAGGGTGACATCTGCTTTCCAGAAGGAGGGCCGCACTGGTCTCTTGAGCTGCCGTAAGAAAGGGCCACAGACTAGGGTGCTGCAAAGCTTCAGGAACTCCTCTCTCCCAACTCCGGAGGTCACAGCCCAACATCAAGGTGAGGGCAGGGCCGGCTCCTTCTGGAGGCGCTGGGAAGGGTCTGCTCCCTTCCCACTCCAGCTGTGGGAGGCCCTGACGATCCTGGGGGTCCTCAGTGGGCAGCTGCACCACGCCAGCCTCTGCCTCCCGCTGCACGTGGCCTCTCCCCTACGCCTCTCTTCTCCCAGCCTCCTAAGGACCCACCCTAACGACCTCACCTCACCCTCCTCACATCTGCAGAGGCCCATTTTCACAAGCTCACATCCTGCGTGCTGGGGGTGAAGCCTTAACATGCCTTTTGGGGGGACACAATTCAACCCAAAACAACTGTCCAAAAAGACTCAGGACTTTAACAAGGTGGAAGACGTTTAGCACCCTCCACCCCCAGCACAGACGCCTGCGAAAAATCTCTGGCTCGGTTTCATGAGTGACCATGGACCAAGGCCCCCAGACACCAGCGGGGCCACTGTGACGGCACCCTGCAGCCTGGGGAGGTGGGGGGCGACCATCCTGGGGCTACAGAGAAAGCCCTTCTGCCATGTGCAAGGAGCCAGGGTGTCCTGAGACAGCCAGGAAGGTCCAGCTGCCAGAGACCTCAGGACTTGTCAGGGAGGCTGTCTTAGTACATACATGCTGCTATAACAAAACACCCGAGACTAAGTACTTTGCAAACAGCTGACATTTCCTGCTGGCAGCTCTGGAGCTGGAAGCCCAGGATGGAGATGCTGGCAGGTCCGTGTGTGGGGAGGCCCCTTCCTGGTTCATAGGCAGTGTTTCCTGTGTGTCCTCATGTGATGGGAAGGGCAGGGATCTCTCCAGGGCCTCTTTGTAAGGACACCAATCCCACCCACGAGGCCACACCCTCATGTCCTCCAGCTCCCAACACCATGGCCTTGGGGGTGGGGTTTCAACACACACATTTGGGGGCCACAGACACAGGCTGCGGCAGAGGGCATGGGCGGCTCCTCCTTCACCCCCTTTGCATTCACCTCCTCCCCGAAAAAGGCAAAGCCCTCCACCCTCCCTGCCCCTCACCTTCCCTTTGAAGGGTCTCCCCAATCCCTGCCCACCGATTTCCCTTCTGGCGATTAGAAAGGGGGCCTTTGATCTAAAGCCTCCTTCAAAATGCCTCGCACTCTATAAGATTTTGGGATAAGCAGTGGAGACTGTGTCTCAAGTTTAAACCTCAGGGACTCTGAATCGAGTCAATGCAGGGATTCAGCCAGAATTCAGCCACATCGGGAAATCAGAATCCAACTCCCAGTGGGTGCCACAAGGGTGATTTTTAGAATATTTGAGGAAACTCAAAGACAGCCACTCATTTATGGCTGGCTGAGGGCAGGTGGCCTGAGGAAGCCAGTGGGGAACGGAGGTTGGGCAGAGTCCAAACTGCTGAGAGGGTCGGGTGATCCCTGCGCCAGGCGCCCGTAGGCACTGAGGGGAAGGGGCAGGGGGGCCAGTGAGGAGGATGTACAGTGGGGAGCAGAGCAGCCCACGCTCACATCCTGCATGGTCAGAGGCGGAGGTTAGGGTTAGGATTAGCGTTGGGGCCCCACCATCCCACCATGGGGCTGAGCCACGTGAGCCCAGCAGTGAGGCTGGGGCACCTCCGCTCCCCAGAGCACAGCAGATCCTGAGCCGCTCAACACCCTGAGCCGCTGGGGACCCACTGGGCGCTTCACAGATAAGGAATCAAAAGGCTGTGGGCCCAGGGCACATGTGTGTGCACACACAGAGACACGTGTACATGCTTACAGACACACACGTGCACACTTACATATGTACGTACTTACACAGAGACACACATGGACACACACACACAGAGACACACGGGCAGAGCTCGCGGCCTTGCCGGGCTCCGACCCTGCGAGCCTGGATTGAGGTGCAGCCCAGACGCCCTCCTGCTGCGTGTCAGGCTGCTCAGCCTCTCTGCGCCTCAGTCTCCTCATCAGAGAAGCTGACGGGTTTACCACTAAGTGCCACGCTGCAGGCCACACCCAGGCCAGCCCCCAACCCCGTCCACATTCCTGTACTGCCCAAGTATTTGCTGGGGACCATGAAACAGAAAGAAGGCCCTTTCCTCCAGCGCATGTTACAGAGGCAAGACCCAGATTCACACCTCATCCGCGCCAACAGTGACGTTAAAAACCAGGAAGAAATCACTCACCACCTGCGGGGCCCCGCGGTGCTGTGTCCTGGCTCAATCCGCTTGGCTAACACCCTGCCTCGCCACTATAATCCTGGGGTCAGGAGGGACAGGCCCGGGCACGCAGGGTGGCGGTCCTGGGGCCGCTGGTTCTGTGTGTGGCCGCGTGTCTTCCTCCAGTTGAGGAAGGAATGTTTCCTTCTTTTCCTTCCAGCTCCCTTCTCAGCGCCCTTCTGCAGAAGGAGCTCGGCTCCCTTCAGACCCCTGCCCCGAGAAAACAACAGGCGTGTTTTGTTTTATTTTATCTTATTTTCAAACATAGAAAAGTCAACATCGCTCTTATCATTTGAAAGAAAATCATCCACATTAGAAATGACTGGGCGAATGGAAAACTAATAAAAATGCCCCAACCCCCATTCCTCCGCTCGTTCATTCGGCACATGTTCATGGGGGCCCCCAGGGCGGGACGCGGTGCTGAGCGTGAGATGAGGGCACAGTAAGACAGGCGAGGCCTGCGCTCCACACAGTTTACATTCTAACGAAGGGGGCGGGCGGCCCAGAGGGACAGGAGAAAAGTCAAATAACCACAAATTGAGATGAGTGCTGTGGAAGGACACAGCGGGCTGGATGAGAGGCAGCGGAAAGCTGCTTTCACACGGTCCCAGCCAGTCTTTGCTCCTGTGCTCTGTCCCCACATTCCTTCAGCAAACAGGGACGCCCCACGCACCAGGCACGGCTTCAGGCACCAGGGTCGAGGCATCATTCCCAAGCACGCATCCTTCCTCAGAGTTCTTCACTCGGCTTTGTGCTGGGGTGTCTGTCCACCTTTCTGCTCCGTCTCTAACCATGAGTGAAAAGGTTGTGTGATACTCAGTGATGCAAACACCCCACATGGTGTTTACTCAGCCTCTCTGTATCAGTTCTTCTTCATGCCGCTGATTAAGACATACCCAAGACTGGGTCATTTATAAAGAAAAAGAGGTTTAATGGACTCACAGTTCCATGTGTCTGGGGAGGGAAGGCAAAAGGCATGTCTTACATGGCAGCAGGCAAGAGAGAATGAGAACCAAGAGAAAGGGGTTTCCCCTTATAAAACCCGCAGATCGCATGAGACTTATTCACTGCCACGAGAACAGAATAGAGGAAACGGCCCCCATGGTTCAGTTTTCTCCCACTGGGTCCCTCCCACAACCCATGGGAATTATGGACACTATAATTCAAGGTGAGATTTGGGTGGGGACACAGCCAAACCATATCACTCCCCTATTAGGGGACACCTGGGTTGTTTCCAGTTCTTCCCTCTCACAAATGCCACTGCTGGGAACATCATCATGCTTCAGGTTTTTACCCTTGTGTGGCAGGTTTTAAGCAACTGGTTTCAACCCTCTTTTACAAATCAGGATGACTTCCTCTAGCATGGAACCCAGGTGCTGGGTGCTGTAGGGAGAGGCTGACGCTTTGCAAAAATAATCCTTTGGGATGAGTGTGGTGGCCCATGCCTATAATCCCAGCACTTTGGGAGGCCAAGGTGGAAGGATCGTTTGAGGCCAGGAGTTCAAGAGCTGCTTGGGCAATATAGCAAGAGCATGTCTCTAGAATGTTTTTGTTTTTTTTTTTCGGGATGGAGTCTCGCTCTTGTTGCCCAGGCTGGGGTGCAATGGCATGATCTCGGCTCACCACAACCTCTGCCTCCCAGGTTCAAGCGATTCTCCTGCCTCAGCCTCCCTAGTAGCTGGGATTACAGGCATGTGCCACCATGCCCAGCTAATTTTGTATTTTTAGTAGAGATGGGGTTTCTCCATGTTGGTCAGGCTGGACTCAAACTCCCAACCTCAGGCGATCCACCTGCCTCGGCCTCCCATGGTGCTGGGATTACAGGCGTGAGCCACCGCACCCAGCCTTAGGAAAATTTTGAAATTATTAGCCAGGTATGATGGCATGCACTTGTAGTCCCAGCTACTCGGGAGGCTGAGGCAAGAGGATCACTTGAGCCCAGGAGGTTGAGGCTGCAGTGGGCTGTGATTGCACCACTGCATTCCAGCCTGGGCAACTGAGCAAGACTCTGTCTCTAAACAAACAAACAAACAAACAAAACAAAGAAACAACTTTGATCCAGGCTGTGAGCTCTGGGAATCAATTAGTGGGTGTGTAGCCAGTGCTGAAGAGGAGGCAGAGAGAAAACAGAAAACATTACCACACAGAACGTGAGATAAGGATTCACATTCTGAAACTGCATTTCAGCTGCGGATGAGAGTATGTGCCTAGGGCAAAGATGAAACAGTGTATTCCTTACTGTGGATCTCAGCTCAGAAAGTGTGAGAGTGTGATGAGGGGGGTTGAATGGCAGCCCCAAAAAATAAGCCCACGGCCCAGAGACTGTGAGAGTGGCCTCATCTGGAAAAAGGGTCTTTGTAGGTGTGGTTCAGTTAAGGATGTAGCGATGAGATTGTTCTGAAGTAGGGAGGGCTGTGAATTCAATGACAAGTGTTCTTAGAAGAGAAAATCCACGGGACAGCAGAGGCAGAGTGGACTGAAGTGTCCACAAGCAGAGAAGAGTAGGGGCCAGCAGCAGCTGGGAGCGGATGGAGTGGGATTCTCCCTCGGAGACCCCAGAAGGAGTCAGCCCTGCCGATGCCTTAGGACTCCTGGCCGCTGGAAGCGTGCAAGGATGCATTTCTGTTGTTTGAAGCCCCCCGGTGTGTGGTCCTCTGTTACAGGACCCCTGGGGATGCATGACGGGGGCTCTCACTGATCTCAGAGGGGCACATGCAAGAGACATAGCAGACTGGACGCTGGCCCGCAGCCGGGGCAAGGAGCAGCCAGGCCCCTTCTCCGGCACAGTCTGGAGGAAGCGCTCAGAAGGCTTCCCGTCCCCCTGAGACCATGCATTCTTGCTCGTCTACAAGGCCCTGTATCCTGGCCCCACAACCTCCTCGGGGAGCTGCCTGCATGTGAAGAGCGAGGCCATAGTTGGAGCAGAGAGGAAGTGTGGCGGCCAGGCACGATAGTGGCCCACAGAGAGAGTTTTACAAGTGGGGAAGCATTTCCTCTGCGCTATCTCGCTCGAGCCCTCACGGCCGTGGGAAGCTGTTTTTATAGATCTGGTGATGAGGAAGCCACGGCTAGCAGGAGATGACATTCTGCGGCCCAGCCAGCCCGGGTCTGTCCTTACCCGAAGCCCTCATCTCTCTGGTGTGAGGCCTGCTCTATCCAGAACGTGCCAGCGGGTCCAGGCCTGGGTCACTGTGTCCTGGGCACTCCCAGTACCTCACAGTGACACCGAGTAGGAGCAGCAGAAGGGCCTGGCTTGAACTGGGTCCCTGATTAACGCCTTCACCAGTGTTCTGGGTGGTCCTTCCCTCTGGCCATTCAGGGACCAGTGCAGGGTGTAGGGTGGTGCTTACTGGTGGCAGTGAGTGGATGAGTGAGGCTCCCTGTACAGGGCAGGTGGATGGCAGCAATTTGAGACCCGGAGAGCAAGTGGCAAGTGGGAGCCAAACCTGAACAATGTATTGGAGAAACGCCCAGAGTTAATTTGGGAGCCAGGCCAGGAAGGATCCCCTTGTGGGGGAATGTTCAAGGGTGTAGGGGCCCCATGGCTGCACCAAGGTCTGTGCTATACGGTGGCTCAGAGCTCAGGCCCTGGAACCACAGACTCAGGTTCCTGTTTGGGCTCTGCTACTTAAAGTGACATGACCTGGACAGTGCGACCTCTCCCTCATCTTCCTCAGCTGTGAAATGGGACCATAACTGTGATTAGTTCACAGTGTCATGAGGATTAAATGAGATAAATCACGAGAATCAGTTTGCTCCAGGGGCTCAGTAAGTGTTGGATGAGAGCACCCGGTTCACCCCCGTCCCGTCATGGGTCACACTGTGGCATTCTGTCACCTGGCTGCCATCTGCTTGCAGCACACTTCATCCGGGCAAGAAAGCTCTGGCACTGCTCTCATACGGTGGGAATCCCAGCAAATCATCCACAAATCATCTCAGCAGATCTGAGGCCTCCATGACTTCCTCCATTTACAAACAATTCTCCAGGTTTTATAGCAGGGTTGGCGTCACACCGGCTGCACACTGGGTATCTTCCAATCTCGCTGAAGGATGCGTTCACACAAGGGAGCCTGCAGTGCCCTCTGCTTCAGGACCCCAGTAGCAGATTCTAGGTGGGAATGAGGCCAGCATGCAGTGCCCTCTGTTTCAGAACCCCAACAGCAGGTTCTGGGTGGGAATGAGGCCACCATGGGGCCATGGCTTACTGAGAACGGCTAGAAAAACTCTATTGGACACAAAATTGTCTTTGGAAGGCATCATGAGGCTGCTGAGGTCATGTCAAGTATTGGAGAACTCTGGAGAGGGGAGAACCAGGAAGGTGAGCAAACATCTACAGATGCTTTCTCTCTAGGGGAGAACCAGGAAGGGGAGCAATGTCTCAGGTGCCTTCTCTCTAGGGGCATCTGCCAGTTGTGGGCACAGGCAGGAGGCTGAGAACCTTGAGCTGTACCCACGGAGGGCCACTTCTGGGGACAGAGGAAAGAGCTGAGCTCTTGGTGGAGACTTGGGCTGCCTGAAGGACCTGGCCAGGTTTCCCCACAAGTCACATGATGAAAACTGGGGTCATGTGGAAATGGGATATATGGAAGGCCCCAGGGAAGTAGGTTGGAATTTCATGCCTATGTCCTGAATGGTAATGCCTAGGTTTTCTTCTAGGGTTTTTATGGTTTTAGGTCTAATGTTTAAGTCTTTAATCCATCTTGAATTGATTTTTGTATAAGGTGTAAGGAAGGGATCCAGTTTCAGCTTTCTACATATGGCTAGCCAGTTTTCCCAGCACCATTTATTAAATAGGGAATCCTTTCCCCATTGCTTGTTTTTCTCAGGTTTGTCAAAGATCAGATAGTTGTAGATATGCGGCGTTATTTCTGAGGGCTCTGTTCTGTTCCATTGATCTATATCTCTGTTTTGGTACCAGTACCATGCTGTTTTGGTTACTGTAGCCTTGTAGTATAGTTTGAAGTCAGGTAGTGTGATGCCTCCAGCTTTGTTCTTTTGGCTTAGGATTGACTTGGCAATGCGGGCTCTTTTTTGATTCCATATGAACTTTAAAGTAGTTTTTTCCAAATCTGTGAGGAAAGGCATTGGTAGCTTGATGGGGATGGCATTGAATCTGTAAATTACCTTGGGCAGTATGGCCATTTTCACGATATTGATTCTTCCTACCCATGAGCATGGAATGTTCTTCCATTTGTTTGTATCCTCTTTTATTTCCTTGGGCAGTGGTTTGTAGTTCTCCTTGAAGAGGTCCTTCACATCCCTTGTCAGTTGGATTCCTAGGTATTTTATTCTCTTTGAAGCAATTGTGAATGGGAGTTCACTCATGATTTGGCTCTCTGTTTGTCTGTTGTTGGTGTATAAGAATGCTTGTGATTTTTGTACATTGATTTTGTATCCTGAGACTTTGCTGAAGTTGCTTATCAGCTTAAGGAGATTTTGGGCTGAGACAATGGGGTTTTCTAGATATACAATCATGTCGTCTGCAAACAGGGACAAT
This sequence comes from Homo sapiens, assembly GCF_000001405.40. Classification (NCBI taxonomy): domain Eukaryota; kingdom Metazoa; phylum Chordata; class Mammalia; order Primates; family Hominidae; genus Homo; species Homo sapiens. The sequence continues at coordinate 88,218,824 of NC_000016.10, read as the reverse complement.
TTGACTTCCTCTTTTCCTAATTGAATACCTTTTATTTCCTTCTCCTGCCTAATTGCCCTGGCCAGAACTTCCAACACTATGTGGAATAGGAGTGGTGAGAGAGGGCATCCCTGTCTTGTGCCAGTTTTCAAAGGGAATGCTTCCAGTTTTTGCCCATTCAGTATGATATTGGCTGTGGGTTTGTCATAGATAGCTCTTATTATTTTGAAATACGTCCCATCAATACCTAATTTATTGAGAGTTTTTAGCATGAAGCGTTGTTGAATTTTGTCAAAGGCTTTTTCTGCGTCTATTGAGATAATCATGTGGGCAAGGACTTCATGTCTAAAACACCAAAAGCAATGGCAACAAAAGACAAAATTGACAAATGGGATCTAATTAAACTAAAGAGCTTCTGCACAGCAAAAGAAACTACCATCAGAGTGAACAGGCAACCTACAAAATGGGAGAAAATTTTCGCAACCTACTCATCTGACAAAGGGCTAATATCCAGAATCTACAATGAACTCAAACAAATTTACAAGAAAAAAACAAACAACCCCATCAAAAAGTGGGCGAAGTACATGAACAGACACTTCTCAAAAGAAGACATTTATGCAGCCAAAAAACACATGAAAAAATGCTCATCATCACTGGCCATCAGAGAAATGCAAATCAAAACCACAATGAGATACCATCTCACACCAGTTAGAATGGCAATCATTAAAAAGTCAGGAAACAATAGGTGCTGGGGAGGATGTGGAGAAATAGGAACACTTTTACACTGTTGGTGGGACTGTAAACTAGTTCAACCATTGTGGAAGTCAGTGTGGCGATTCCTCAGGGATCTAGAACTGGAAATACCATTTGACCCAGCCATCCCATTACTGGGTATATACCCAAAGGACTATAAATCATGCTGCTATAAAGACACATGCACATGTATGTTTATTGCAGCATTATTCACAATAGCAAAGACTTGGAACCAACCCAAATGTCCAACAATGATAGACTGGATTAAGAAAATGTGGCACATATACACCATGGAATACTATGCAGCCATAAAAAATGATGAGTTCATGTCCTTTGTAGGGACATGGATGAAATTGGAAATCATCATTCTCCGTAAACTATCGCAAGAACAAAAAACCAAACACCGCATATTCTCACTCATAGGTGGGAATTGAACAATGAGATCGCATGGACACAGGAAGGGGAATATCACACTCTGGGGACTGTGGTGGGGTGGGGGGAGGGGGGAGGGATAGCATTGGGAGATATACCTAATGCTAGATGACGAGTTAGTGGGTGCAGCACACCAGCATGGCACATGTATACGTATGTAACTAACCTGCACAATGTGCACATGTACCCTAAAACTTAAAGTATAATAATAATAAAAAAAAAGAAATTTCAACACAGTCACAAGGCAATGTTTAGACTTCAGGACCCATGAAAGACTGGGGCCCCAAGGAACACATCACGCTTTCCATAGAAAACTCTAAAGGATCAGAAAGCTCAAAGGAGATAGAGTTTGCCAGGCTGCAGCCCCACTTGACTCAGCAGAGTACCTGGCTGGATTAAGGAGAGGAGTTACTACTGTCTCATCCTAGCACAAGGAAGGGTAAACCCTCTGTGTGGGAAAATAGCATCAGCTGGAGCCTCCACGATGCATTTTATTCACCGTGTTAGTATTCAATCAAAAATCACATGTCATGACCAAAGGCAGGACCACACGACCAAAAACCAAGAGAAAATACACAACTTAGAAGCAGATACAGAGATGATCCAGATAACAGATTTTGCAAGCAACAACTTTCAAATAACCTTGATTCAAGAACCATAGCTCAGGAAAATAGAGGAACAGATGAAGAAATTCACCAGAGGGAATTTTAGAATTCTATGAAGAAAAAAAAACTAAAAGGAAGAACACAGATTAGACAAAGAAGAAGACAGACTTGGTAAACTGGAAAACAGTTTAATAGAACATAAGCAAACTGAAGCAACAGGAAAAAAATAATAAAAAATATAGAAAAATATGTTAGAGACAAATGGGACATAGTTAAAAGGTTAACATCCAGTAATCAGTATCTCTGGAGAAGAGGTAAGGTATGAAAAAGGCAGCAATATTTGAAAGGATAGCTTCCAAAACCCTTTCAATCAGAAGCATGATAAAGACAAAGGCACAACTAGGTACATCATATGAAGACTTCCAAAACCAGATATAAAATCTTAGATGCAGTCAGAGACTCTGTGTCTTCCAAGAATCAACAATAAGACTGACAGCCAACTTCTCAATAGAAATTAAGGAAGTGCAGAGGCAATGGAATAATATCTTTTTTTTTTTTTTTTGAGACGGAGTCTCACTCTGTTGCCCAGACTGGAGTGCAGTGGCGTGATCTCGGCTCACTGCAAGCTCTGCCTCCCGGGTTCACGCAATTCTCCTGCCTCAGCCTCCCAAGTAGCTGGGACTACAGGCACCCACCACCGCGCCCGGCTAATTTTTGTATTTTTAGGAGAGACGGGGTTTCATCGTGTTAGCCAGGATGTTCTCGATCTCCTGACCTCGTGATCCACCCGCCTCGGCCTCCCAAAGTGCTGGGATTACAGCCGTGAGCCACTGCACCCGACCTGAAATAATATCTTTTAAGTGCTGAAAGATGGTATCTGCCAACCTAGAATTATATGCCTAGCGAAAATCATCTTAAAAATGAAGGTGAAATAAAGACATGTTCAGACAAGTAAAAACTGAGAGACTTTGTTGTCTGAAAATCTGTACCAAAAAAAAATATGGAAGAGAGTTCTTAGGGCAAAAGGAAAATGACCCCAGAGGAAAACATGAAATTGCAGAATGGAATAGAAAGCAAAGAGAAAGTAAATCTGTGGACAAATATGAAGGAATATTTACTGAATATTAGCTGTACAAAGTAATGATAGGAATGGATTGTGGGGTTTAAAGTATATATAGAATTAATAATGCAAGACCACAAAAACATAAAAGTAGTAGCGGTTAAGATTCTGGCATTATCCAGGAGTAGCAGAGGCAACATTTCAAGTACCTGTTTTAATCGCTAAGGTAACTACTAAAAGACTAGCAAAAGTTAATAAAGGGAAATAATGGAATAATTTTTTTTTATTGATTTAAAAAAAAAGGCTGGCCAGGTGTAGTGGCTCACACCTATAATCCCAGGACTTTGGGAGGCCGAGGTGGGCAGATCATCTGAGGTCAGGAGTTCGAGACCAGACTGGCCAGCATGGTGAAACACTGTCTCTACTAAAAATACAAAAATTAGCTGGGGGTGGTGATGGGTGCCTGTAATCCCAGCTACTTGGGAGGCTGAGGCAGGAGAATCGCTTGAACCCTGGAGGCGGAGGTTGCAACAAGCCCAGGTCATGCCACTGCACTCCAGCCTGGGTGACAAGAGTGAGACTCTGTCTCAAAAAAAAAAAAAAAAAAAAAAATTAAAAGGCAAGATATGAAAGAAGGAAGCTATAAAAGAGATGGCTAAATAGAAAGCATGGTAGATAGAAATGCAAGTATTTCAGTAATTACATTAAATGGATTTGAAAGAAGGAAGGTATAAAAGAGATGGCTCAAACAGAAAGAAAGCATGGTAGATAGAAATGCAAGTATTTCAGTAATTACATTAAAGGCAAATAGACTACTCCAATTTAATGACTACAATTATTGGAGACTAGGTAAAAAACAAAATCTGTCCGCATGCTGATTACAATAGACATGCCTGACAGAATTATAGGACAGAAAATTTGAAAGATAAAAATATGGAATTAAAGATTATTCAAACAGTAACCAAAAGAACTAGTCTAATATTAGTTAAAGCTATAAAGCGAGGAGCATCATCAGAGACAAAGAGGGACATTTTCTGCAGATAAAGTGGTCAATCCACCAGAAAAATACTTGAATCCTAAGTCTGTATTTATTCAAAAAAAAATCAAGAGAAAATGTGGCACATACACACCATGCAATATTATGCAGCCATAAAAAAGGATGAGTTCATGTCCTTTGCAGGGACGTGGATGAAGCTGGATACCATCATTCTCAGCAAACTAACACAAGAACAGAAAACCAAACACCGCATGTTCTCACTCATAGGTGGGAGGTGAACAATGAGAATGCATGGACACAGGGAGGGGAACATCACACACCGGGGCCTGTCGGGGGGTGAGGGTTAGAGGAGGGATAACATTAGGAGAAATACCTAATGTAGATGACGGGTTGATGGGTGCAGCAAACCACCATGGCACGTGTATACCTATGTAACAAACCTGCACGTTCTGCACTGTACCCCAGAATTTAAAGTATAATAATAAAATAAAGAACTAAAATAAAACCATACCTTCTAAAAAAAAAACTCAAAAGAACTAAAAGGAGAGGTAGACAAATCTACAATCAGAGTGGGGACATTAACACCCCTCTTCAAATGCCCAGAGTCACCCTGACTCCCCTCATATGGAAACTCTAGCTTCTGGAAAATCTAAGCAGAAAGCTAACCAGCCCTCACATGGAGAACATCTTCTTTATAGGAAATCCTTGCTGTGAGCAAACTGCAGATGGGGTCATCACCGGAAAACCCCTGGGCGTGCTCTCATCAAGAGGCTATCAGTGAATCCTTCGGGGGGTATCCTATCCTCTTTATGGAATAGAGTAGCTTTCCCTTGTATTAATTCATGTGCCTCCATGCTTCCCTGGGGTCACTCAGGTCAAGACACACACAGTTCCCTGTTAAGCGAAGAGAGGACAGGGGTTGTGACTTCTGCAGCCAAGACAAGAGTAACCACCCAAATCTGAATCTTTCCAAACATCCTCTAAAAATCACACAGATCAGCAAGAACAAAATCACACAAATTCCACGCTTTCAGCATGTCTGCATGACAGAGAATAATATAAATGTTAAATGATCTGCAAATAGGAAAACAAACACCAGTTTCAAACAGAAGTATTTCTTGAGCTCTCATCGTAAGCCTCTGCGGAAAGCTGGGAGCAAAGGGAAGGGGTGGAAAAGCCACCCAGAAAACAGAAGAGGAGACTGAGCTAAAAGCACCCCCAGAAACAGCAAGGCCACAGTAAGTGTGGAAATACTGGGAAAAGAGCCCTGACTCCCGGAAAAGCTCTTAGAAGGACACACGAGAGTGAGGAGGTAATCTCAGAAAGGCAACCCTTTTGGGGGAGGAGGAGGAGGCACCCTTTGGAAATGGCATCGTGATGAGTAGGATGAGGAGAGAAATTTAGACTCTCTGAAGACACAAACATGTGGATGAGCACACACGTCCTTCTCCATGCTCACCCCGAAGACTTTTTGCTATGCTAACAAAAGACAATGCTCTTGAAATCTTGTAAACAACTCCAACTTGCCAACCCTGTCCATTAAGTGCAAATATGTAAGAAGTCTTCTTCTATAAAAAAACTACTATTAAAAGCAAACAGAGGCCGGGCGCGGTGGCTCATGCCTGTAATCCCAGCACTTTGGGAGGCCGAGGCGAGCGGATTACGAGGTCAGGAGATCGAGACCATCCTGGCTAACACAGTGAAACTCTGTCTCTACTAAAAATACAAAAACATTAGCTGGGCGTGGTGGCGGGCGCCTGTAGTCCCAGCTACTCGGCAGGCTGAGGCAGGAGAGTGGCGTGAACCAGGGAGGCGGAGCTTGCAGTGAGCCAAGATGGTGCCACTGCACTCCAGCCTGGGCCACAGAGCGAGACTCCATCTCAAAGAAAAAAAAAAGCAAACAGAATACGGAATCAAAACATTTCAAGTGACTAAAAATTACCACCCCCAGTATCAACACAAAGCAGAAGAAAACGGTAGCATAACATAAATTAAATATTCTTAAGCATTTGAGTATATAAAAATCACCTTGTGATGTAAAATTTAAAACTAAGGACATAGATGGACCAAAAAATGGGAAGAAACAAGGTACAAGTTGATGGAACTGAAACAAGAGGCAGGGAGCAGTGGCTCACACCTGTAATTCCAGCACTTTGTGAGGCCAATGCAGGCGGATTGCTTGAGCCCAGGAGTTCAAAACCAGCCTGGGCCACATGGCAAAACCCTGTCTCTACAAAAAAAATTACAAAAATTAGCTGGGTGTTGTGGTGTGTGCCTTTAGTCTTAGCTACTTGGGAGGCTAAGGTGGGAGGATTGCTTGAGCCCAGGAGGTAGAGGTTGCAGTGAGTCAAGATGGCACCACCTCACTCCAGCCTGGGTGACAGAGTGAGACCTTGTCTAAAATAAATAAATGTCAATAAATAAATAAGGGAAGAAAGAAGGAAAGAAAGAAAGAGAAGAATATGACAAAAATCACACTAATGATGAAGATTAAATTAAAAGGTACCCAAAGGAGAACAGATGTTAATGAAAATTCAGGGATACCACTGAAGAAGAGCAGAAAATCAACCATGGCAATGAAAATGAGATGATGTAAAAAAGAAAGAGTGTCAAAGATAAAGTGGTTGAAACAGAAGAAAGGAGAAGAGACACTGTGTATAAGTGAAGTCATGGAAAAGAAAAATGTAATGCAAGAGAACTCTCAGAGATAGAAGACCTGAGATAGAAGACCTATGCAAGGATCCACCAGGTGACTGGGGCAATCCGTTTGGAACAAGTGATTCCGAGGCATAGCTCAGTGAGACTATTAGACATTACATATAAAGAAAGAAATCCTCAAAGATGAAGAAAAAAAAATGCTTGGGTCCTCCAGACAAAAATAGCAGGCAACTTTAAGAGGACAAAATATATAAGAATTTTAGCCTAGCATCAAGGAATAAACAAAGCAAGGCAACTGAATTCCACTTGCAGGAATGGAGAAGTCATCCCTACAAGACCAGCTGTTCCACAAATAACCACCATAATCACTGGACAAATTGTTTTTAAAACATCTGGAGGAATTGGAGAGCATGGAAAAGCATGAAATGGAGGGTGCTGCACATGGGTGAAGGGAATGGTGCTGGGTGAACTTCCCATTTTCATGCCCCTTGCATCAGGGCAGGGCCCAGCTGGCACCACACAGGTGGCAAACATTCTAATAGGAAACTCACAAGCATACCGGCTTGAACAAGCAAAGGACAGAATTTGTGGAGATCACAGCAGCTGGACGGTTGGAGGAAAAATCCAGAAAAAGATAAAAACAGACAGAGCCCACAGTTCTGCATATAAACTCTGCCCAAATCCTTGTCTAACACCTGAAGTATGCACATATCTGCTCAGCTAAGTGAATTGCCCATTAAAACAGACACCGAGAAATCAGTACACATCAGAGAAACATGACAGAGCCCAGTCTTTGTTACAGGACCCAGGGTCTATACCATGTGTCAGTAACAACGTTCGGAATACAATAAAAGATCACTAGACATTCAAAGAAACCTACAATGTGACCCCCAGTTTGTATCGACTTTCCCTCCTGACAACCACCCACCCTGAAGAGTCCGTGACCCAGCATGGGATGTGAAGACACTGGCCTTCCAGGCATTTAACTAATGCCTGCCTTGTAGACGATCACCTCCCTGTACTAAGGCTTCTAACCTCTGTCTTCTAGTGATTCTGCATCTCCAAACCTGATAGAGGCAGCAGAATAGATCACAAACACATGAGAATCAATACCCTCCGTGTACATCAACAATAACCAGGTGGAAGAGCTAATGGTCGAAAACCTCCATTACAAAAGCACCAAATAAGATAAAAACATTTAGGGATAAATGTATCAAGAATGCGGGGAAAAACTATTTAAGGAAAACATTAAAATACTCCTGAGAGACACATACAAGTAGACTGACAAATGAGAAGGCATCTCCTGTTCCTGGCCAAGGCCACTCAACGGCCGAAGGCATCGGTTCTCCTGAAGTTAATTCCTACTGCTAAGGCAACCCCGCCCAATACCAATGAGCTTTTTACAATGATGCTAAGTTGATATGAAAACCTATATGAAAAATAAACACGTTAGCACAGTGGGGGCTGGTGGGGGGTGGAGGAGGAGGCCCAGCTTTACCAGGCATTAAAACACACTAAAAAGCTTCTAGAGAGAAAAAAGTGTGGGACCGATACACAACAAAACAGAACGGTGGAAAAGAACACCCGGAAATAGACCTGAGGACCTCTGAATAGTTCGTAGATGGTCAAAGTGACGTTCACGTCTCTAGGACAAAGATGATCTTTTTAACAAACGGTGCTGGGACAACTGGTTAGCTGTTTAGTAAAAGATGGAATTAGATTCATATCTCATACTATACATAAAAAATAAACTCCAAATGGATTAGAGATCTATATGTAAAAAATTAAACCATACAAATGCTAGAAGGAAATGTCAGAAAAGCTTTTTAAACTTCAGCATCCAAATGCAACACAAGAGAAGATGGGTATATTTGACGGTATAAAAACAGAACCACTTTTCAACATCCAAATGCAACACTAGAGAAGATGGATGCATTTGACGATATAAAAACAGAACCACTTTTCCATGGTTAAAAAATACCGCAAAGAAATCCAAAGGACAAATGACAAATTAGGAGAAATATTTATAACATACATCAAATATAGGGGAAATAGTTCTAATACAGAAAGCATTATTAAAAACTGAGGGAAGAAATGACCAAAGACCCAATAGGAAAATGAACAAAAGACATGAAGAGATAATTTACCAAAAATGTTTATAAATGGGCCTTAAACACATGAACAAATGGCTCAATATCACTCAAAACAGAAATGTCAATCAGAGCTACATTGCGGTCTCATTTCTCACCTCTCAGACTGCAACAATGTAGCAGCGTCACTGAGAACATGTTCCCATGAGAAAGCTCTGGGGAAGTGGGCCTTTCCTTACTTTGCTGGTGGGAATACAAATTGGTAAAACCGTCTTGGAGGAAGAGTTTAGTTTTGCATCAGTAATCTCATGACTAGAATTTACTCTGAAGATACTCTTACAACAGTATGAAAATGCATTAGAAAAAAACAGATGCACAGGTTTATTCATTGCAACATTGCATGTAATTGCAAAATATTAGAAACAACTGGAATGCCCACAGACAGGAGAGAGGTTGAATGAACTGTGGTATGCCCAAACAGTGGAGTACTATGCAGCTGTAAAAAAGAATAAGGAAGTCCTCTATGAACTCATATGGAGTCATTTCCACGATATGTTATTAAGTGAAAATAATGTAAAAGACTATCTCTAACATGCCATCTTCTGGGTAAAAGAAAGGGGAAATAAAACAATGCTTAGTTTTTGTAAAAAGAAACACAGGGGCCTGGTGCAGTGGCTCACACCTATAATCCCAGCACTTTGGGAGGCCGAGGTGGGAGGATCACGAGGTCAGGAGATGGAGACCATCCTAGCTAACACAGTGAAACCCCGTCTCTACTAAAAATACACAAAAATTAGCTGGGTGCGGTGGCGGGTACCTGTAGTCCCAGCTACTCGGGAGGCTGAGACAGGAGAATGGCATGAACCTGGGAGGCTGAGCTTGCAGTGAGTCAAGGTCGCGCCACTGCACTCCAGCCTGGGCAACAGAGCAAGACTCCATCTCAAAAGAAAAAAAAAAAGAAAAAAGAAAAGAAAAGAAACACCGGAAGAACAACCCAGAGACCGATGAGACGGTGTATGTCACAGGAGGTGAGGGACAGTGTTGGGGAGATGGACTAGGGAGCGACATTTCTCCGAATAGATGTGTGTGTGTAGGGTTTTGTTTTGTGGAACCAGGTTAAGTTTACATACTTGAAAGGAAAAAAAGAGGGGGCAGGTGACTCTAATTGGATTGCAGATAGAAACAAAAGAAGCTTGCTGTACTTCAGGCAAAGAATATGTGGGGTGAACAGATGTGGTTTCCACAGTGGGGTGGGTTAGCAATGCTGAAACTATTTTCTGTTTATTCTAGGACTGAGCAAATAAGCAAATACCCTGAGAATGGTAGAGGGCAGACCTGGCCCTGCTGGGGAAGGACTCGCAGGTATTCCAGGTTGGAACTGGAGGCATCGTGGGAGCTCGTGGCTCATGTATGTTAGAGAGAGAGAGAGAGAGAGAGAGAGAGAGAGTGTGTGTGTGTGTGTGTGTGTGTGCGCGCGCACGCGCATTTACTATGGACAGATTATAGATGCAGATATATGTGTGTGTCTTTTCTTGTCCTATCTTGTCTTATCTGTGCGTGCTTCCTTCCCTCCTCCCTTCTTCCCTCCCTCCCTCCATCTCTTCTTCCTTCTTCTCTCCCTCCCACTTCTCCTCCCTCCCTCCCTGCCTCCCTTTCTCTCCCTCCCTCTCTCCTTCCCTCTCTCCTTCCCTCCCTCCTTCCCTCCTTCCTTCTTCCCTCTCTCTCTCCCACCCTCCCACCTCTCCTCCCTCCCTTTCTCTCCCTCCCTCCCTCCCTCCTCTCCTCCCCTTACACTCCTTCACTGAAGCCACTGAAACACCCTGGACACCGAGGCACCCCAGTAGTAATGAGCGCACTAGCACCCACGTCTTGGTTTCTGGATACCTTTTGCCATGAACAGAAGGCTTCATGGGAAAAGTTCCAGATTGCGGCACGTGACAGGGAAAGCGCCAGATTGCAGCACGCAACAGGGAAAGCGCAGATGAGCTTGAGATATCTCTTCCTGCTGCAAAGGAAATAGGTACTTAAAGGATGATGGGGACACAGGAATTGGCTTGAAGGGGCTCCCACCGACCAAACCCGGGACAATGTGGGCATCAAACACATGATGATGGCAATGGATTATAACCCATTAAATCTTTAAAAAGCCACGAGTCCACACTAATGTAAATATATAAATGAATACACAGATAAATGGGGAGAAAGGAAATCTCTTCAGTCGTCATGAAATTTAACAAAGTACAGGACATTTATACATTCCAAAGGCAGCTCACAAAATACTTATTAAGTCTGGCAGGCTAAATCATGGCCGCCAAAGACACATCCACCCCCCACACCCTCGAGCCTGTGACCGCGTCTTCATATGGAAAGGGGACTTTGCAGATGGGATCGAGATGTGGAGGTGATGTGGCTTATCCAGGGCGCCCCAGCTGCTATCAGGTGCATCCTTATAAGAGGGCCAGAGGGAGATTTCAGATAGGAGAGGAGGCACTGTAACCATTAAGGTGGGGACGGGAGCGATGCGGCCACAAGCCGAGGAAGCCAGCAGCCCCAGAAGCTGGAAGGGCCGGGGAGACTCTCCCAGGTGCAGGGCGGCCCCGTCGACACCTTGGTTATGTCTAGGGGAGGCTGATTTTGAATTTCTGGCCTCCGAATGGAGAGAATAAGTTTTAAGCTCCCGGTTTGTGGTTCGTTGTTGGAGCAGCCACAGGCACCCAGAGCCGCCAGTCCCTTTACAGGGGGGACAGCTGGCGGCTCCACTGCACCCAGGTGGTCAGAGTTACCCTCTCAGCCAGGGAACCAGGAGGCGCAGCCTCAGCTCCCCGCTGTCCCCGCGGCCTCCCCTCCCCTCCGTCCCCGCGGCCTCCCCTCCCCTCCGTCCCCGCGGCCTCCCCTCCCCTCCGTCCCCCACGGCCTCCCCTCCCCTCCGTCCCCGCGGCCTCCCCTCCCCTCCGTCCCCGCGGCCTCCCCTCCCCTCCGTCCCCCACGGCCTCCCCTCCCCTCCGTCCCCGCGGCCTCCCCTCCCCTCCGTCCCCCACGGCCTCCCCTCCCCTCCGTCCCCGCGGCCTCCCCTCCCCTCCGTCCCCGCGGCCTCCCTCCCCTCTGTCCCCGCGGCCTCCCCTCCCCTCCGTCCCCCACGGCCTCCCCTCCCCCTCCGTCCCCGCGGCCTCCCCTCCCCTCCGTCCCCGCGGCCTCCCCTCCCCCTCCGTCCCCGCGGCCTCCCCTCCCCTCCGTCCCCGCGGCCTCCCCTCCCCTCCGTCCCCGCGGCCTCCCCTCCCCTCCGTCCCCGCGGCCTCCCCTCCCCTCCGTCCCCGCGGCCTCCCTCCCCTCCGTCCCCGCGGCCTCCCCTCCCCCTCCGTCCCCGCGGCCTCCCCTCCCCCTCCGTCCCCGCGGCCTCCCCTCCCCTCCGTCCCCGCGGCCTCCCCTCCCCTCCGTCCCCACGGCCTCCCCTCCCTTCCGTTCCCACAGAGATACCAAGTGGGATCTCTCACCAAGAAGCGCCCGCCAGACCCAGGCAGAGGGGCAACCTACAAACTGGTCTGTTCCCTCCAAAGCCATCGAGGTTTTAAAAGAAAGAAAGACGCAGGGTTCCAGGGAACCAGAGTCGAGTCGTGACAAACCAGCACCACTCTGGCTGCTGGGCTGGACCAGAGACAAGTGTAGGGTTTTGTTTGTTTGTTTGTTTTTTTGTCATAAAGAACACGATTGTGGTAATCGGCAGCCTTTGAACAAGGTCCGTGGATCTGGTAACAGGATTGCGATCATGGAAGTTTTCCCATTTCCGAAACTGAGCTGCGGTTATGAAAGGGCCTCTGCTTGCTCTTAGGAAGTACACCTGAGGTATCTGCGGTGAAAATAAATCAATGCAATGAATGGAAGTCCCAAGGGAGGCGCCCAGACCCACAGCCTCCTGCACTCAGTTCGGGTCTCCAGTCTGTCCAGCCAGTGGGCCCTGAGCCCAGGCCAAGACCCAGGATGGGCCCCAGGAGAGGGGCCGGGACCACGGCAAGTGAAGTCCTGGCCCTTCCGCCTCCGGCGCTGCTGTTGAAGAAAAACAAGTCCTATCCCGGCTGGACTCCTGGGTGCCGTCTCCGGGCACAGCTCAGCTTTTCCTAAAGCCTCTGCCCAGCATGGAGTGAGAGATCATGGAAAACACGGGGGGTCAGCACAGCTCCCCCCTCCCTCACCAGGAACGGCGTCTCTCCCTGGGGGCTGCAGGCCTGGGCGCCCCTGTGCCACCCGGGGTGGGGGCTCAGGGTCCTTCTTCAGGCCTGTCATGGGCTGGGCCCCCCCCTTCCTCTGAAACCCTCCACTGCTCCCCAGTTCTCCACACCCTCTCGGAACATTTCCCAGGCTGGCCTCATTGCCGACTTTCTTTGGTTTTCAGAATTTCTTTCCAGATCCGTGTTAAAGCCATCATTTTTTCTGGCCTGTGCGAGTCCTCACACACATCACTCACCCCCCATGACTGCTCAGAAAACCCAGCTTCCTCCCCATAGAAAACGTCTGAAATGATCGCGCGTCTCTGACACCTCGTCACTACACCAGGGACAGTGAGGCGCGGGGTTTGGGAGCCGGTTCCGCATCCGTGCCTTGTACTGTGCTGCTGTTACCGCCGGACGAGCCCCAGGCCCTCTCTTTGCTTGTGTGTGTTTTTATAGAGAATTCTAGCATCACCCCGAAACTGTTCATTCCACTTTCAGGATTGCCACGCTGGAGCTCAGCCCCTTAAGCTGAATGTTCAGGAAAAAACTATGAGGTTGATGTTAGGCTCTTAATGATGTTTGAATACAGGATTAGAATCCTTAAAAACGCCTTCTCAAAACACAGCCCAAATGGGGAACCCTGCCTAGAATGGGATTTCTGGGTACGGCCCTGCAAAGTGCTCCTGTACCCTTTAGGAGCCTCCTCGAAGCCCTGCTGTGCCTCAGGAGGCTCCTAAAAAACCCTTCGAGGAAGCCGGGACATAATCAGGTGGTTCTACGAAGCCAACGTTCTGCCGGGAAACATCTCCATTGCGGATTGAGGTCATGTATTCGGATATTATTTTCCTCATTCTCCATTTACTTTCCTAAAATAATCAGCTCCTGAGGATTCCTGTGGCAGAGGGCTTCCAGTAACATCTGCAGTGAAATATTGGGGTACAGGGAATGCAAGCTGCTGGTAGGGGCACCTCACAGAAGGAGGCCTGGAACACAATGGCGATGGACGCAGGCTCTGCTCCCTCGGCGCTGCCCCTTAACGCGAGCACTGATTTTTACATTATAAATCCTGCAGCTGGCGCACACTTGGGTTTCTATGGAAGGTCCCCAGCACTGTGCTGTCCGACTTCCTAGATGCCTGGAGGCCGGTCGCTAGCACCCAAACTGGAACTTTCAGAGCAATCACCCCCTTTTCCACGTCTGAAGGATCCAGGTCTCAAGAGTGACAGTGAAAAGCTGCAGACTTCTCGGCAGCAAATCCAGTGAACGCCCCACTCCAGGACCCTTTAGATTCCAGAAGGCCAAGCAAAGTCATTTGAGACCACAGCGGAGACGGCTGTGACCATCCTGGAATGACCTCCCACCCTGGCTGTGTGGGTGCCTTGTGCCTGATTTCCTCTTAACAGGGTCCTCCTGCATTCTGGCCAAGGCGGCTCACAACCATTTTGAAAAGTATCTCTTCCTCCTGTCGGAGAAAATCCTTTAGAAGCTTGAAGTCAGACATCTTTTCTCTCCTCTACCTGCCTCCCTCTGCACGGTTTTCCACGAAGAGGGACGAGGAGGGCCTAGCGGTGCTGGCCAAGTGGCCTGAAAGAAGTGGGAAACAGAATGGCAGGGGCTTCCCAGAATCTCTCCTGGTCCACGGGTGTCACAATCCCACTCTGCCCAGTTCCCAGGATGCCCAGAAAAACAGACAAGGCCTGGGGTACCCTAGCAGCTCTATGTGGCTTATGGGGCATCTCCAGCTGCTCTATGAGGTTACGGGGCACCTCCGGCTGCTCTATGGGGTTATGGTGCGCCTCCCGCTGCTCTATGGGGTTACGGGGCGCCTCCCGCTTCTCTATGAGGTTACGGGGCGCCTCCGGCTGCTCTGTGGGGTTACGGGGCGCCTCCGGCTGCTCTATGGGGTTACGGAGCGCCTCCGGCTGCTCTGTGGGGTTACGGGGCACCTCCGGCTGCTCTATGGGGTTACCGGGCACCTCCCGCTGCTCTATGGGGTTACGGGGCACCTCCCATTGCTCTATGGGGTTATGAGACACCTCTGGCCACTCTGTGGGGTTCATGGGGCACCTCCAGCTGCTCTCTGGGGCTTATGAGGGACTTCTTTAAGATTCTATTTCAAAACCCACACTTGCTATGGGTTGAGTTGTGTCCAAGTCCTACCCCCGACCCGTGTGAGTGTCGCTTTGTTGGAAATGCGCTCTTTGCAGATGTAATTAGTCAAGATGAGGTTGCGCTGGAGTAGGGTGGGCCCTAAATCCAATGACCAGTGTCTTTATAAAGCGAGAGACACAGAGATACACACACACACACACACACAGGGACAGACACAGAGCAGAGGCCATGTGAGGATGAGGTGGGACTGGAGTGGCATGGCCACAAGCCAAGGACGCCTGGAGCCACCAGGAGCTGGAAGAGGCAGGAAGGATCCCCGGGAGACCCCCCAGGCAGCATGGCCCTGAGACACCTGGATTTTGGTCTCCAGGCTGAGAGGGAGTGAATTCCACGGCTTTGGCCCCCAGCTCCTGCCTCCACCCCCGCCCCGTCCCCGCCCCCACCGTCATTTGTGGTGTTTTGATGCCGCAGCTCCGGGAGCTCACACGGGGCCCTGCTCCCTGGGCTGCTGTGGGAGCAGGAGAGGAGGCAGGCGCCGCCCTCAGGTGACAACCCCGGGCACCTGTGTGCGGACTCGCTGACGGTGGTGGGGGAGGGCCCTGGGCACAGAGCGGGCGGATGAGTAACCCACCTGAGCTCTGAGGACCCCATTCTTCCTAGACGCGGGTCTTGGCCATGTCCAAGGCTGCAGCCCTGTGGGTTGGGGGCTCCTCCCTCCCTGGGGGGTTCCTCACTCTCCGAGCACCTGGGCAACTCGAGGATGCTCCGGACTCGCCCTTCACCACCTCTGCCCTTCCCACTCCGAGCTTCAGACCTGCCCTTCCCGGCCCTTCTGCCCTTCCTGCTCTGAGCTTCTTCTTTTCAGCCTGACTCACGGCCCCCGCCCCCGCTCCGATTTGACCACTCTCCCTACGGTTGTGACTGAGCACTGTACCTGGATTCGGTGGGGGCTGCCTGCACTGCACAGAGACTGTCACGGCAAAGGACAGGGCATCGGCTGCGGCACCCGGCTCAGGGCCCTTCCCTCACCTCCAGCCCTCAAGGCCACCACGAGGCCCTCATCTCACCTGGGCTGCAGGGACCTGACCTGGCCTCCCTTCTGGTGCTCTTGACCCCCGGCCCCTGCCGCTGCCCCTCATCACCTCCTCACCCCCAGTGCTGACCCAGAGCAGACTCGAGAGATGCAGGCAGAGGCTGAGGATGCAGCACACGGTGAGGAGTGAGGCGCCCCCACCACCATCCGGCCACCTGGAAATGCAGACACAACGTTTCCTAAGGTCTCTTCCAGAAACTCAAAGTCCATTCTACACCCCAGAGCCTCAGGTTCTGAGATGCCCTGGACCAGATGTGCTTCCTGCGGTGCCAGAGCCAGCACCTGCCCCGCCCTGGGTCTGCCTGGGAGAATGATGATGGATAAGAGACAGGTGCCGCAGACACCTCAGGGGCGCACCTGAGAGGTGCTGGCTGTGCTCCTGGGGACAGGTGGGTGCAGCTTATCCACGGGGGCACCTGGAATGGCAAGGAGAGGACTTTAGGACCCACAGGCAGGCAGGACAGCCAGAGCCTCACTCTAAGCAGCCCCCGGTCCTGAGCCCGAGCCAAAGCGGCCTCCTGCAGCTTTGGGCAAGCTCCTGGGCTGTGTTCAGCCACTTCTGTATGTGGAAAATGCACGGTTGGTGTCTGCCTCACAGTGCAGCCACCACATGACTGGTGTGGGGAACAAGGTGTGTGATCCTTGTTATAACTGGTTAATAGTGATGACAGCCAACGTGGATTCGCAGGTGCCGTGTCCATGCCTCACACCACAGACGCTGAACCTGGCATTCCAGCCACTCTGGCCACTGCCCGTGGGGTGGCTGTGGAAACATGGCTACTCCTGGGGGGAGCACGGCAGGAAGTCACTAGAACCTCCGAGTTAGTGGAGGAGTCTCCTCCAGGCAAAAAGGGAGGAGGAACAGGAGGACACCCTGGACCCAGCAGGGTGGGCCCGCATGGGAGCCCCAGGCCATCAAGAGACACCACGGCCCCCACCACCTGTGGGTTATCGAATCACAGTTGAGCACACAAATGATAGGGTTCAGAGCTCCCCCACCCCTGCCAGCAGCCGGCGCCTTAGGGAACTTCTGGTCCTTCCCAGCCTCAGTTTCCTCATCTGTAAACCACAGGCCAACACGAGCAATGCCAGGCACTGGCATGTAAGGACCTGCTCAAGATGGAGTTGCAGGGACACCCGGAGACCCCTGGGCAGGTGCGGCCTCACCCCACAGTCCACTCCAGGGCTGCAGGACTGCCGGCAGCCACAGCTGTCTGTGCCCAGCCTCCACATTGAGAGTGGTGTTTTAACCCTTTGTTTTCATTTTTTTTTTTTAATTTATTTATGAGGCAGAGTCTCACTCTCTCACTCAGGCTGGAGTGCAGTGGCACAATCTCGGCTCACTGCAACCTCCACCTCCCAGGTTCAAATGATTCTCCTGCCTTAGCCTCCCAAGTAGCTGGGATTACAGGTGCCTACCACCACGCCCGGCTAATTTTTGTATTTGTAGTAGAGATGGGGTTTCACCATGTTGGCCAGGCTGGTCTCGAACTCCTGACCTCAGGTGATCCACCTGCCTTGACCTTTTTAAAGTGCTGGGATTACAGGCGTGAGCCACTGCACCCGGCCAACCCTTCATTTGTAAAGGGTTATTTTCTTTAAAAAGAAGACACAATGCAGAGAACTACAGTGAACTGCATTCACCTTCTGCCCCGTTCTGGAAAAGAGGTTGCCACCCCTGGTCCGGACAGGTAAACTGAAGCACGGGGTGGGGAGAAACTGTCGCTCAGTGGTGACAAGGACAGCACTGGGGACCTGCGGGGTGAGGATCCCCGGGGCACAGAGGGGCCCAGCCTCTGGCTCCAGCCCGCTTGATGACGTGGTCCCAAAGAAAGACGGGAGTCAGCTGGCCCGGCCCTCTCGCCCACACACAGTGGGGCCTGCTGCAGGCAGGGCCGGAGGTCCCCAGGGCCAGAGCCCACCGTCCAGTCTCCTGTGGCGGGAGCAGCCGGGGGCGGCCGGAGGAACGCGACCTGAGTGGGAGGGCGGGGACCCCTTTGCAGGAGGACAACAGAGGAGCTGTGGCTGCTCACATGCAGCTACTCAGTCTCAGCAGCCTCAGAAGACTTGGAAACACATCTTGTTTATTGGAATTCCTCTGCAAAGTCACATTTTATGTGTTTCCTCTTCCAGTGGCTTTAGAAGTGAGACCAGGCAGAGGGAACCAGCTGCTGGTCCCTGGTCTGGGCCGCCCCTACCTGACTGTGGTTTGACGTCCAGCCCAGGGCATTTGCAGAGGAAAAGCAGCAGCTTAGGCGGAGCAGGGTGAGGGCCGATGGCGTGGCGCCTTCTCTGGTTGCAGACCGGCCTCCGGGGAAGACAGCTCAGCTGGGAGAGCGGAGAGACCGTAGGGGCTGGAGTGCATTCGCTCCCTGCCGGCCTTCTGTTGCTGGCCACGGGGCAGGTGCGGTCCCTTCTGCGGTTCCTCGGTCCCCTATGGGGCGTGAGCATTGGAGCGTGTGGTTTCTCAGCTCCTTCCAGCTCTGAGGCTTCTGTCCAAGCAACCCAGGCAGTGCCCAGACACAAAAGATGTCCCTCGTCTTGGGCTGACAGGGAGAGCTGGGCACAGGCTAGCCCTTTCTCCGTTTCCCACTTCACCCGCTGGCTCCTGCTCAGCCTTTAACTTCTCCCCAAATGCCGCCTTCTGCGTGAAGCCTGCCGGGGTTTGGTGGTGCCACTGCTGCTGACACACACCCCACTGCCGTGTTCTCTTCGGCCGTGCCGGGCACTCCTCCCGTCACCTGTCATCCTCCCCCCGGGGCACGACCCCCAGCCCTCGCCTGTTTGACCGTCCCAAAGCCGGGGGTGGGAGCGGGAGGCATTTGGCGAGGTCATGGAGGGAACAGGGTGGTGAGCCCGGCATGAAGGGCCCTTGCTGCGGGGTCCTCGGCCCTGCCTGGTAGAGAAGGGTCATGGGACATGCAGTCCGGCCTCACCTTTGGAGTCTCCACCAAGACAGCCGAGGACTCAGAGAGGCTTGATCTGTGGGACAACAAACCAGCGCCTCTGCCTGAGCCCCCATCCTGACTCCCAGGTGGGGACGCTGAGTCCCTGGAGCCACACAGAGAGTGCTGGAATGGTGGTGTGACCTGAGGCTGCCCCAGCCCTATGGCCAGCACTGTCCTCCCTGCACCTGGCCTGAGGCTCTGTCCCCTCCCCAGTCCCCACAGCCAAGCACCCTCTGTGGAACATAGAAGCCCAGTAACTGTAAAATATGTGGGTGGTCCGAGCCGGCTGGTTCTGGAGAAAAGGAGATGGGATGTTCACCAAAGAATGTCAGAGGAGAGCGGGCTGGGAGCAAGGGCACCTTCATCAAACAATGGTTGGCACAGGAGGTGGGAGCAGAGTCCTCAGATCCACAGGCCATGGGGGCAGGTGGATTCCTTCCCGCTGGCTGCTCCCACCCCTGAAGACCAGGGACATGTGGGCCGGCGGATTCTGCAGTGACTGGTGAGCCCTGACCTGCTCTCATTTGCCCTGTGTGGCAGGATTTCCCTTGGAAAACACCCTTTTGGTACTGAAAGTCACCTCTCTGATGAGCTCCACAGTTGGCTCTAACCTGTTCCTGCCTCCTGGGGTTGTCGGGTGCCAGGGCAGACCTCTGGGGACCCACTCACAAATGTGTCATCTGCCAGGTGGGCGGTGCCCATGCCCTTGACCGTGAGGTCCTCATTCCCATCTGCAGCCTCCTCGTAGGAAACCAGCAGGGCCCTCAGCTGCGGTCTGACATCTCCTGCCAGGTCACGGTGGAATGGGAACCCTGGTGGCATTTGGGGGAGGGTCGAGGGTCAGACTGGAGCACTGGGTCACAACCCACCTCAAACACGGCCTGCAGAGCCCAGAAGACCCCAAGCCAGCTAACAGAGAACATGAGGCGGCAGCAGCGTCTTGTCAAGCAGCCGCCCTGGAGTTGCCAGGGGCCCTCGCCTCGGGTGGCTTGCGGGGCTAACGCTGACCCAATGTGAGCCACACACAGGCTCACGTCTGCTGCATTTGTGCCTTGCAACGTCCCGGCGTGACCAGCAGAGCCATCGCTCTCTTTTTAATAAACAGGGAGTTGGTGAGGTTGTGAGCTCTGTCCAAGACCACAGAACCACCACGAAACAAAGCCCAGGTTTCACAACTCCAAGGCCTGGCCAGCTAAAAACCCATTCTGCTCGCCACCCATCCATCAAGAAACCCGTCAGCCTCAAAGTACACACTCCAGCACTCACCTGCTTCGCCAAGGCCAGGTGGGCCTGCCCTGTCACTGCTAGCCATGGGTAGACATTTACATTTAAAGTGACAAGAATTAAATACAATTTAAAATTCAGCTCCTTAGCTGCACCAGCTGCATTTCCAGAGCTCGACAGTCACGTGTGACTCATGGCCACCTTACTGGACAGTGCAGATCTAGAATGTTCTGCCATTGCAGGAAGTTTGGACAACTGCAATAGCCTCTGCCCAGCCCCCCACCGGAGGAGGCTTTAACACATGTAATGAGGGGTCTGCCGGGCTTCCCACGTCCCTCAGGCCCCTGCTCCAAAGTCCCCCGCTGGGGAGGACGTCCCTGACCTCCACATCTGAGACAGAAGCCCCTCCCCACACTCCATCCTTTCACAGCTTTGTCTTCAGTGCACGTGATGTGGGATACGTCCTTCTGTCACGCATCTCACCCCGTGCAATGCAGGCTCCATGATGGCAGGAAAGGGCTCTGTCCTCAGCCCCAGGGCTGGGCACACAGCAGGTACTCAGGAGACAGTTTTTGAATGAGCAAATGAGATTTCTGTAGCTGTGATGGGTGTGGTGGTTTTAAAATACACCCCCAAACTCTGACACTCCTCCCTCAAAAGCTCCCTTCTTGAGTGTGGGCTGGACTCAGGGACATGCTTCTAATGAGTAGAGGGTTGTGGGCACACTAGCGTGCAGCTGCCAAGATGAAGTCAAAAGACACGCAGGCCTGCCTTGCTCTGCTGGGATCACTGGTCCCTGGGGAGCTGGTTGCCATGCTGTGAGGACACACAGGCAGCCCATGGAGAAGCCCGCATGGCAGATGCCCACGGCCTCCCACCAGCAGCCAGCACACACTCTCCAGGTGCAAACGTAGAAGTGGACCTTCCGGCCCTGGGGGGGCCTGCGAATGATGGCAGCCCCACGGACGCTGTGACTGCAGGACCACAAGGCCCACACCATCGTACTGGGTGGCTGTCAGACTCTGGGCCCCAGGAACCATGGGGAGGGTAAGTGTTGAGGCAGCAGCTGCTGAGTTGGGGGTAGTTTGTTATGCAGCAGTGGATGACTAATACAATGGGCAAGGGCTTTCTCCCAAATGCAAACTGATCGTGCCATCCCAATTCCTTGGCCCACATTCCCTTGGGAAAGACATCTGCTTTCCTGTGGGCATTTAATCCTGTGGGATAAACATTAACTGTGTACCTTCTATGTATCCAGCACTGAGAATAGAAATATTAAGAATCTAGACTAGTGGGGGACTTAGCATGAAGAAGCTGCCCCTGCTCGCTCCTGCTCTAGTGGCCAAAGCCCTCCTCTGTGTCTGTACAAAGAGGCAGGATCCCGCGGTGAGCCATGGTCCGTGCCACTGGCTTCTTCCTTTGCACCTGTGCTTCCTGACGTCTTTGCTCCACTCGGAGGCCAAAGGGGCAGCTTCCCCTGCAAGTACAGCTTTATCCGAAGGCTAGAAGGGTAGGGACAGCCAGCTTCCTAGGTGTGATGGCCTCGGTGATGAAGTCCAAGATTAGATCTATAGGGAAGTGAGCGCCAGCCAGAAGCATCCCTGAAAACGGTCAGTGACCAACACTGATGGACGAATTCCAGCCGCTGAACAAGACAGTCATGCTCTGGGGAGCCCAGCTCAGACATGACCCAGGTGAGAGGTGGCTGCTTTTCAAGAGCAAGTCACCCCTCCCAAGGCATCTCCCTAAGGGCATAAGCAGCGCTCCTCATGCCCCAAAGAGCAGGAGGAGCCCACAGGGCTCATGGAGGTGTGTGCACTCTCAGAAAGAGCTTTGGCATCGGACAAAACAGTGCTCAGTCTCCGGCTCCTGCTCTGTGTGGCCTGGCTGTGTGGCCTTGAGCAGTTGGTGGAGCTCTGAGCCTCACTTTCCTATCTGTGATGAAGGGGTGATATCACCTGACTAAAGGGCTACCAAGACAATTTGGGCAGAGCAAGGGGCCTGTCAGTGAGTGGCCCACAGCAGCCAACCTGTAGGCCCTGTTCCCTTATTGCTTCTTTCCAGCTATTTTTGGTGGTCACTCCTGGGTGGACACCACTCCACCAAACTCAATGGAGTGGCTGGAGGGGAAGTGGGTTTTAGTTGGGGCTGTCGGCCACTCCTGGCCAAGGGACAAGGTTGCAGAGTTCATTCTGAACGTTGGACATGTCTTGAGGTGGGGGTACCTCTGTCATATTATCAGACTCCTCCCATGACTGCTCAAACCCAAATTTCCCCCCGATGGCTTTGCTGAACTAGGCTGGGATCCTTGCCCTCATGAGAATCATAGACGTCATTCAGAGCCAGCTTTTGCACCTGACCTGACCCAGGCCACCTCTCTCCTTGGCACAGGCTGCAGGTCTTGTTCTGGGCCAGGCCTGCTAGCCTGGTGGTCCACAAAGGTAGATGCTGTCCCGACAGGTACTCCACTTCTAAGAGCAACTTCACGCCATCAGCACCACTTCGGGCAAGCCATGCCTCTCTCTAGGCCTCAGTTTCGCCACCTACACACAGAAAGGCGAGGGCTGGCCTCACAGACTCCAATGTCCAAATGCAGATGGATAAGTCAGAGCACAGGTCTCCAGGAAAAACAGAACATTACTGATGTGGCCTGAGATATCAGATGTCTGTGGATCACGACGCAGCCTCCTCTGGGCAGAATAATTCCAGTTTCCCAAGTTAATCATCTTGGGAGCAAGTGTCTGGGCATCAAGTCCTGCTCGGTGTTGTCTCTGGAGCTCCCTCCTACCTTCCCAAACCCACAGAGGCTGTCCTGACCAGTTGACATGGAATATAAATTACTCCAGAAGAGATTTCCCTGGAGACAGCTCAGGGTGGGGGACCAATGAGAGACTCATGGGACCTTTCCTGACGCTCTGGGCTCTGTTCTCCTTTGCATCTCGGGACACCCCGAGGTCTCAGAGCAAGAGCCCTCTTCCCCCTTTTCTTCAAACGTCCATCTGCCATTGTTAGCTGGGCCCATGCCCTCTCGAGGACTGTTACCACCTTCATGCTGAGTCTGACGATATGACAGAGAGACTCTCACCCCAAGACACGTCCAACTTTCAGAATCAACTCTGCAACCTTGTCTCTTGGCCAGGATCAGCCGACAGCCCCAGCTAAAACCCACTTCCCCTCCAGCCCTCAGATCACCTTCTGTTCCCCCAGAAAATCCTCCCTCACCCACAGCCTCAGAGCAGATTATCAGTGTGAACTGAATCATGGATTTTCGCAAAACCACCCAGCGGGGCCCACGAACACAGCTATAATTAGCAGCACAGTCCCGGTGCAGAGGCTGCAGGTCATGCATGTCCAGAAAGGCAGGCCCTGTCACCCCCTGGGCCGCCTCCTGCTTTTAGCTCTCCAGGCTGGGGGATTTTGTTTGTGCACACTGTAAAAATTCACGCTCATCTGAAGGCACGTTCCATGCACACGTTATTTATTGTGAGATCAGCGTGCGATTACAACACAGCCAGCTGTATTCTGAGAACAGGCGGCTTGCGACCAGAGAGCCGCGCCTTGAAGCCCATCACCTCCTCGCCCACATGCGTTTCCCGTCAGATCTGAAAGGCGACAAGGGGAGAAAGACAAGCCCATCCATCAGCCTGCACCTCTGGGGCCTACGTGGCCCAGAGTTCTCCGAACTCGTCCAGTGTCCACAGCCCAGCAACACGCATGAGGGCTGAAGAAAGAGAGAAATACCGTTCCCTGGGACAGCGACGTGGACCAGCCCCACCGATTCCCTCCCCGCCCGGGTAACTCACTCCATGCTGTGTCCTTGGCCTCCTCTGACGTTACGAAACCCAACCCTGCGCTTTTTTCTTTGCTGCCTTTTAAAGACAGAAGAACAGCTGACACTTCCCTTTCAGCCGGCACCGTCCTGGCATGGGGAAAAAGCAGATGGAGGCAAGTCAATTGACATGTTGACAAACCAGTGGATCGGAAAATAAATCTACCCTGATCAAGTCACAAAAGCACGGGGAAGGAGACGCCGGGGGCAGCGCGAAATCCCGGGCACGGCTGCCTCCCGCCCCACGCCCAGGACCGGGAAGGGCCACGCAGCTGTGATGTTTTTCTCTCCAAAGGGAATTAATCATTTCCAGACGCCGGCCCAGCACCTGGTGCCCAAAGCCATAGGCCTGGGAGCTGTGCAGGTCTTGCAGGCAGACGACACCACTTAGCGGACGCGATTTCTTCCCTGGTCCCACTGCCTGGTGCGTGCAGAGAAACTACTCCCAAGTGGGAAGTGAGTGGCTTGTTGAGGCTTGGGACAAAGCTCAGGGGTGTCCCAGGTGAACCCCCTTCTCTAAAACAAGCAGGTCCCTCCCTGCTCCGACACTGAAATGACATCACGGGGCACTGAGGACGTGAGGCCCGTCCCCGGCTGCTGCAGTGCAGTGCCACCTGCAGGCCGTGTGGCCTGAGCAGGCTGTGCCATCTCCAGGCCTGCAGTCTCTCGTCTGTAGGAAGAGGATGATCAGTAGCCCAGCCTTGGAGGTTTGTGTGGCGGAGGGGGGAATAAACCAAGTAACCAGGGGCGGGAGCTTAAAGAGTGATTGCACCAAGCCACACTCTGCAGGTGCCGGGCCACGCTGAGGCCTGAGTGTTTGTGTCCCTCCACATTCATTTGTTGAAATCCTTAACCTCAAAGTGATGGGATTAGGAAGTGGGGCCTTCGAGAGGTGACGAGGTTAAGAAGCAGAGCCCTCATTAATGGGATGAGTGCTTTATAAAAGGCCCTAGAAAGCCCCCTTGCCCCTTCCGCCATGTGAGGGCGCAGTAAGTTAACCATCTATGAGGAAATGGGCCTCACCAGACACTGTCTCTACTGAGATCTTAATCTTGGACTTCCCAGCCTCCAGAACTATGAGAAAGAAACTTCTGTTGTTTATAAGCCACCTAATTTATGTTTTTTTGGGGTTTTTTTAGAGACAGGGTCTCGCTCTGCCACCCAGGCTGGAGCACAGTGGTGAGATCATTGCTCACTGCAGCCTCAACCTCCTGGGCTCAAGCTATCCTCCTACTTCAGCCTCCTGAGTAACTGGGACTGCAGGTGCACACCACCACACCCAGCTAATTTTAAAATGTTCTGTAGAGATATGGATCCTCCTGTGTAGTGCCCAGGCTAATCTCGAACTCCTGGCCTAAAGTGATCCTCCAGCCTCAGCCTTCCGAAGTGCTGGGATTACACGTGTGAGCCACCATGCTTGGCCTCCAATTTACGGTATTTTGTTAAAGCAACCCAGATGGACTAAGACAACTCTCATAATCAATATCATCATCCTTATCATCACCACCGTCACCACCATCATCACCATCACCACCAACCCCACCACCACCATCTCCACCACCACCATCACCACTACCACCATCACCACCATCACCACCACCACCATCCCCACCACCACCATCACCACCATCCCCACCACCATCACCACCACCACCATCACCACCATCCCCACCACCATCACCACCATCCCCACCACCATCACCACCATCACCACCACCACCATCACCACCACCACCATCAACACCATCACCACCACCATCACCACCACCACCATCACCACCATCACCATCATCACCACCACCATCACCACCATCACCACCACCACCATCACCACCATCACCACCACCACCATCACCACCACCATCACTACCATCACCATCATCCTCATCATCATCACCATCATCACTATCACCATCATCACCATCACCTCCATCATCACCACCATCACCACCACCATCATCATCATCACCACCACCGTCATCACCATCATTATCATCATTGTCATCACCACCACCACCACCATCACCATCATTACCATCATTGTCATCACCACTATCACCACCATCATCACCATCATGATCATCACCACTGTCACCACCACCATTATCAACACCATCATCACCACCATTATCACCTTTATCACCACCATCATCACCATCACCACCATCATCATTACCACCATCACTGCCATCATCATGTGATGACTCTCAATACTGTCCTCATCATGTGTGACTTGGACTGTGGACCAGCCCCTCGGGCTCTGCTCTGCTGACCTGTATTCTTTGTCTCTTGCTCCTGAGAAGCTGGGAGTTGAGACCCAGTAAGGTGTTGTAGAGACACTTGTGACCCCAAATTCCATGAGACAGAGGACCTCCCATTTTCTTTTCCTTATTACCGCATGTCATCTTCCTGCACAAAGTAGACAAGACCTTGATGTCTGTCTCCGTTTCCCAAAAGAGTTACCAAGGGGGTGTTTTCCGAACTACCTGGCTCAGACTTCTTTCCCAGCATGGCCTGGTGAGTGCCAAGGAAAGGAAGCTGAGGCTCTACCAGCAGCCTTAGACCTGACACAATGTCCCTGCTCCATCTCCCTGCAGGAGCCATGCTCACCCCGAACGCTTCCACCAGCTCAGGCTGCATGGTTTCAACAAGAGGAATTTGTTTCTCATAGTTCTGGAGGCTGGAATTCCAAGATCAAGGTATGGCTGACTTGGCTTCTGATGAGGGCCCTTCCTGACTTCCAGGTGGCTTCCCACAGTGTCCTCACAAGGTGAAAGAGGGAGCTCCAGCCTCTTCCTCTCCTTGTAAGGACACCAGTCCCATCATGGGGTCCCACCTTCATGGCCTCATCTAAACTTAATCACCCTCCAAAGTCCCCCCCTCCAAATACCATCACGCTGGGTGTTAGGACTTCAATATACAAATTTGAGAGGGAGACAATTCTGTCCATAGCAGGCCCCTGGGGTCCCCATCCCAGCCAGAGTAACCCCACAGAAGCTACCAGTAAATCTCCAAAGCCATCACCATAGCCCACCGAACATTTCACCTCTGCCTGCGTTCTGAGAGTGGGACTTGTTCATTGTTCTGTTTTAATTCTCAGCAGGGCCTATGACCATGTCTGATGTTCAGGGAATGAAGAAGTGAAGAAAGCAGGAATGAATGAAGGAAGGAAGCAGCCCCAGCAATTGGTTCCCAGGCGAGAAGCTGGTGGGGTTCTGACTTCTATCCCGATTCACACCCTTTTCTCCTGCCCTCAGGGCGGTCCTTCTCCTGCTCTTGTTCATTCATCCCCTTCAGCCCTTTCGTATTCTCTTCTGTAGCCGAACCACAAAAAATAAATACATTAGAAATGTTTTCCGAGCTCATCGTGTCAATTTCTCTGCCCCAGCCCAGTGCGGTGGTTGATGCCTTTGCAGCCCCCAATTGCCAGGGGCACCTTGTGGGCATCTAGATCTCCAGACCTCAAAGCCAGCACCCACCCAACTGCAGGGTGCTGTCTGCTCTGTACGCATTCCGAGAGCTCCGTGGCCTGGGCCAGCCCCAGCTGGAACCTCGGGTGCCCTTCACTCTTCCAAAAGAGGCTGTTTGCTTTCAAAGAAAGGAAAGAGTAGAACTGCAGACTGCATTTGGCTACACAGCCTGAGACTCCTGGGAACAAAATAACCCACACAAACAAAATCCACAAGGAGCCCCAAGCCTTCACTTCAATCCACTTGGCTCTCAACACCCTCCTGGTCTCATATTTTCCTTTCTGTCCTTCAGAGGAGGGTAGCTAATAAGACTTTGTCTCTTGCCTCTGGTAATTGTTTCCTAGTGCCCCTAGCACTGCTATAACAAATGACCACTGACTTAGAGGCTTCCAACCACACACATCTAGTCTCTCCCAGTTCTGGAGGTCAGAGGTCCTAAGGTCCAGGTGTTGGCAGGGGCTGGCTCCCTCCGGACACTCCTGGGAAGAGCGATGATGAACATCTATTGTTCTAAAGTCCAGTTTGTGGCAGTGTGTTACAGAGGCAACAGGAAACTGATACTCCATAGAAGTCAGTGGGAAAGTAAGACTGCAAAAGGTCACAGCACTCCCGTTTACTCAACATACTTCCCTAGTTCAAGCCAACACCCTCCTCTGTTGAGTTCTCCAACAGCCTCAGCTTAGCCTCTATCTCAGCCTACCAAATGCAACAGAGATGCTTCTAAGACACACTCTTGCCTGTGTTGCTTCCAGCCTGGAGTCTTCAATAGCTCCCCATTGCCCTTAGTACAAACACTGATCTCAAGCATGCATTGTGAGGACGTGGCTGTGTGTGATCCCTGGATTTACTTCTCCAGTGCATGCTCTTCTCCCTCTCCTTCCTGTCCTCCCTCCTCCACCTCCTGAACACAAACCTCCACTAGTTTCACAAACACGCCACCTGTCCTGTTGCATGAGTTAAGAGGGTGAGTGCCTGGTGTGGTGCCGGGTGCATGGTGGGGCTGTGCTGGGACTGAGCAAGGTGTCACCTCTGGTTCAGCCACTACCCAGGCAAGTGCCAAGGGTTTCCACTTTTCTCCTCTAAAAATGACAATATTCGGCCTGAAATTAGCCTTAATGGTCTACCCCACTCCTGTGAGTTTACAACAATCAAAACATTTTGGGCCAGGAAAAAAAGTTGCCCAGAAAAATGAGAAGGTTTTGGCCTCGTGTAGCCAGATTAGCTGTTTGTGTGGCTTGAGACCCGTCCACTGGTCTAAAGCCCCCAGCCCCATGTATGGGTACCCATTTTGCAGCACAAAGGGTCAAGACAAGGCAACAAGAGAGAGAAAAGTAGAGGAAGTAACAGGGTGGGTGGGGTGGGAAATTGTGATAAGGATCTTGAAAGTTCCCCAGAGTCTGGTTGCCTCCTGGTTGGTTAAAATTTCTGTGCATTTTTCTTTTCTTTTCTTTCCGACACAGTCCCACTCTGTCACCCAGGCTGGAGTGCAGTGGTGCAATCTCGGCTCACTGCAACCTCTACCTCCTGGGTTCAAGCGATTCTCCTGCTTCAGCCTCCCAAGTACTTGGGATTACAGGTGCCTGCCACCATGCCCAGCTAATTTTTTGTATTTTTAGTAGAGACAGTTTCATCATGTTGGCCAGGCTGGTCTCCAACTCCTGACCTCAGGTGATCCACCCACCTCGGCCTCCCAAAGTGCTGGGATTACAGGTGTGAGGCACTGTGCCCAGCCTGTGCCTTTTTCTGTGGCAACAATTAGCACAGAAAACAATTCCCCCATAGGAGCGTTTCCCCAGCACCCAACCTAGTGCCTGGCACACAGTAGGAGCACAATAAGTGCATGTGGAATGGTGGATAAATGAACGTGCCCAGTGCTTTTCTAGAGAGCACGTCCCAGGGGCATGCAGACACGCATGTCCAGGTGTCCAAATATCCTTCCCCAACTCCAGTCAGAGAGAGACCATGAGAGACCCCAGCTGGGAAGAACCATCACATCCCCCCATCAGAGACCCCGGTTGGGAAGAACCATCACATACCCCCATCAGACCTTTGCTCCCCTTCTCCTTTGTGGGGCTAACACCCAAGCATTACCATCCTTATCCCTCCAGCTCTTACTTCTGGTGCTATCTGGAGACATGCATTTGGGTTGTTACGATCAGAAGTGACAGTGGCAGCTCTGCACTTGGGAAGGTCCAACAGAGGTATAATTGAGTCAGTGCAGCCGACTGTTAGGAGCTACACTTCCTCGAGGCTCCAGAGGCTCTCTACAGAAGGCCAGTGTATAAGCAATGTCCTTTCAGTGTTTTTAGTGAGACATCCTCCCCTCATTGGGGAACATTCTAGACACAAGGTTTGAGAAAGAAGGACCTTCCTTTCCAAAAGGGAAAAAGGAGGCCACATTTGGCTTACTGAGCATCCATTCTAAATGGCATTTGAGGTGCCTCCTACGTGCAGAAGCAGGTAGTGACACAAATGCAGAAGGAGTGGTGCATGGTGCCCACACCGGGGACTAGCATCTAAGGCTGTGCTCCTCAAACTCCACAGAGAGGTGCCCCCGGAATCTCACAGACATGTAGATTCTCGTGCAGTGGATCTGGGCAGGGGGAGGGTCTGCATTTCTAATGGGCTCCCGAGAGCTACAGGGGCAGCTAGCCTGGACTGGGATCCGTGTTCCCAGCCTGGAGACCCGTGGCACTGGCCATCCCTGAGAGTTTGTTTGATACGCAAGTTCTGGGGCATCCCAGACCTCCTGCCTCAGAATCCCTGGCAGTGGTGCCTGGGGACCCAGGTTGAACAGGACTCCCAGAGATTCAGATGCTCTGGCAAGTCTGAGCACCATGGGGGCCAGACCATGGCAACAGCCCATCCAGGAGCTGCACTTCGCCCTTCCTGCATGCTGTAAGATGTCATTAAGCAGCCCATGCCGTCCACTAGGCCAGGCACAGCCTCAGAACCCTCCAGGCAGCAGTCCAGGCCCCCAGGATGACAGTACGACACCCCAGGTCTACACAGACACTAAGGAGACAGCAGATGGTCCCCCAAGATGTGCTAGATGCTACCCAAGTGAGATGCACAGTTACACGGGTGCTCAGTCGGGGAGGGAGCAGCCTGTGGTGCTCTGGGGGAGAGGAGGTGTTGGGGTGTCACAGGAGAGGTGAGACGTGATCTGGACCTTGGAAGGAAAGGAGGAGTTGTCCAGGGCAGCAAGGAAGGGCACCCCAGGCAGGGGTCACGGCACGGGCAGAGGCACAGAGGTGGCAAAGTTCGTTGTTTGCTTGGAAACTGCGTGAATCAGCTTAGGGCCAGGCCCTGAGCTCCAAAGTGGAGATGGGGTTATGGGAGGAGAACTGGGGAGCAGGGGAGCCAGGAGGCTGGTGTGAAAGACAGGGCCCGGGATGCATCCCAGGAAAGCCCCTGCCCACCCGCTTTTCTTCCCAGGCCCCTTTCCTGAGACCCTGCTGGGGAAAAAGAGACAACAGCACAGGAGGAGGAGAGGGCAGTCAATGTGATTTCAGACACTCCAAGATAAACAGGGAAACTAAGAGTTGAGACTCGTTACATTGGCCATGGGAAAAATCACCATTAGGCACTGCATTTTAATACAGCATTCTGTCTGGTTTTGATTTCACAGATGTAAAAAAAAAAAAAAAAAAATGCAGGCAATCTGGAATTAAGTTGGACTACTTCAAACTGTTTCTATAAACCACATTTGGGATTCTTCCAGCGTTTCTGAGATTCAATTTACAGAGATTTCTTCAAGTCAAAAAAAATAAATAAAAAAGAAAGAAAAAAACAACCTAAATACCCTCTGTGGGGAGCAGTTGTTGGGGTCCCGGCTGGTGCCATGTTCCCACAAGGGGCCTCCCTGTCCTACTGTAATTGGCGTAATTCACACTGTTCTGATTACAGAGGGCCTGTGAGATGTTGCGTTTAGGAGCCATTCCGGAGGTTTTCCTTCCTGTATGCAATTTCATCTGCATTTTTATCAGCGAGAATTTTGCTGTTAATAGAACGTGTGTTCTCATGCTGACCATGAAACTGAAGTCACACACCTGGGCAGGTGCTGGGCCCACACGTGCTAGGTTCTGCGGGGTCCGGTCGGACCTGGGAGGCCTAGCTTGGAGGCGGCTTTCCTAGGCCACCCCAGGCAAAGAAGAGCTGCTTCAGGGTCCCCAACCTGCGCCACCCGCTCAGGGCTCCCCCCACCAGGTGAGCTGGACCCTGGGGGTCTCCACAGACACCTCAGCTAGTCCTGACCTGCTGGCCAGACGCCCACCAGCCCTGCCTTCCAGAGGGCCCCGCTACATCGTCTTCATACCCCGGGGCCTCCCAGCCGCCCCACCTGCAGGGCTGCTAGAACTTTCTCCCGAGACAAAGCCTGCCATTGTGCCTCCCTGGAGCCCGTCTCTGCAGTGGGGGGCAGGGTGTGTTGAGCGTCCCGGGTCCAGTGTCTCCGGCGTGTCCTGCATCTCGGCAGCCAGCTCCTCTGCAGCTCAGGCCCCGTGAGTCACAGCCGCTTCCTCAAATGCTTTGGCTGACCGCATCCCCCCGCCCCGCCAGAACCCTGGATGCCGGAGCCCTCCCAGCGAGAGCCGTGTTTATTTTACTTTACATACATTTTCCAACACGGAGCGGCTTGCACACATGCAGCTCTTAGGCCCGGGCCGCACGTCTCAGAAGCCCCGTGTGCGACTTTGACCGCCGCACGATCCTCTGCCGGGGGAGGTGGGCCCGCTGCGCTTTGGGAGCACCCGCGCCCGACACTGAGGTCTCGGTGCTGTGTTCGGCCTCTTCGTCCCTGCGGGTCCCCTCTGGGAGCAGAGGCGGTCGGAAAACCCTGGGGCTGAAGTGCAGGCTTCGGGAGGACGCGACCTGCCAAGATCAGCTCCCGGCACGTGATGGGAGCCTGGCTCACCTTCCCCCAGCGCACGATGGGCCGCAGCCTCCCCGGTCGGCCTGGCCTGCTGGAAAGGAGCAGCTCTGTTTCCAGAGGCTTCTGGCGAAGCCCACGGCCTCCCATTGTTGGCTGATTTATAAGGAAAGAGGGGAAAGGCCAAGTGTGGATGCCATTAGCATAACCTAATCCAGACCCCATGACAAGTCCAGGATCCTGCAGGGAGAGGGCATCCTTGAACGTGAAGGACTGGCTTTGGAAACTTGGCCTCCCGGAAGAAAGGTCTCCGGGCCCACCCACACCCACCTTGTGGACGCCCCCGCAGTCGAATACACTCCACAGGAAGACGGACCACAAACAGCAGCAGCCTCCGGTGTCGGCCCAGTGATCCGGGAGCTCAGAGTGTAGGTACCTGACGGCTTGACTCGTCCCCAGGACAAGGCCTGTGAGAGGGAGGGGGGCACTCTGAGTGTGCGAATGTGTGAGTGTGTGTGTCTGGGCACGAGTGTGTATGCGTGTGTGTGTGCATGTACTATATTCACATGTGTGAGAGTGTGAATGTGTGTGTCTGTGGGTCTGCGCACATAAGTGTGTGTGTGCATATACTATATTCACGTGTGACTGTGCAAATGTGAGTGTGTCTGTAGGTCTGGGCACGTGTATGCGTGTGTGTGCGAGTACTATATTCACATGTGTGAGTGTGCGAATGTGTCTGTGGGTCTGGGCACACGAGTGTGTATGCGTGTGTATGCATGTACTATATTCACGTGTGTGAGTGTGCGAATGTGTCTGTGGGTCTGGGCACATGAGTGTGTGCATATACTATATTCACATGTGTGAGTGTGCAAATGTGAGTGTGTCTGTAGGTCTGGGCACATGTGTATGCATGTGTGTGCGAGTACTATATTCACGTGTGTGTGAGTGCGAATGTGAGTGGGTGTGGGTCTGGTCACATGTATGTATGCATGTGTGCATGTATTATAGTCATGTGAGTGTGCAAATGTGTGAGTGTGGGTCTGGGCACACAAGTGTGTATGCATGTGTTTCTATTGTATTCATGTGAGTATAAGTGCAAATGTGTGTGTGTTCTCTGCACACACAAGTGTATAGGTATGTTTGTGTGTGCATGCATTGTATTCATGTGAGTGTATGTGAATGTGTGACTGTGAGAGTTTGAGTGTGCCTGTGTGTCTGGCTATACTAGTGCGTGCCTGTGTTCGTGTGCATCAGTCTGGGTGTGCCCGTGTGTGAATGTGAGTGTCTATGCGTGGGTGTCCCAATATGTGTGTGCCTGTGTATCCATGTCTGGGTGTGCCTGTGAGTGTGAGTGTGCACATGGGTGTCTGGATATGTGAGTGCTTGTGACTACCTGTGTGAGTACCCATGTCTAGGTGTGCCCGTGGGTGTGAGTGTCTGTGCGTGGGTGTCTGGATACGTATGTGCCTGTATGAGTGTGTATCCATGTCTGGGTGTGCCCACGGGTGTGAGTGTGAATATGTAAGTCTTGCGTGTGCATGAGTGTGTTCACATGAGTGTGAGGGTCTGTGCATAACAGCCTATTGTGTGAGTGTGTGCATGTGGATTGCATTTATGTGAGTCCGTGTCTGTGCACGCACGTGTCCCCGCACAAGCCAGCCCGAGAGGGAGTGTCCCCTGAACACACCCTGGCAGCACTTGCAGCGTGACGAGGTTGAGGGAATGTGTCGCTGAGGTCGTAAATGCCTCTCGCACGTCCCAACACGCTGGAGCAACAGCAGCCCGTGACGCCGGCCGTGCAGCCGTGAAGTCCGTGGAGCGTCCCTAATCACTGGGGGTTCTGCTTTGCGGCGACAGCGGTGCTACTCACAGCTCCAGAACTCTGCAGCTTCCCCCCTGAAACGGGAACGGGAAGGTGGCGCGGGCGTCCACACCTCGAGCCACAGCCGGCGGGAGGCACAGGCTGGCAAAACTGCCTCTCAGTAGTGAGAAGAGACAAACAAACCGAACGCCAGGAGCAGAGGAAACGAAGACGATGTGGCCAAGAAAAATTGCATTTTTCTTTCCAGTTTTGCTAAAATAGCCTTCTCATTGGCTGCGGCTTTGGAGGTGGCAGAAATCATACGTTTAATCACGGCGCCCTCCTGCTTGCCAAGGTTAGCAGGGGCTGCACTGCTGTGCCCTCCTGTCCCTGGAGGCTCTGGTGGCCCCAAGCCCCACACTGCCAGGCTGGGTGCCAAGCTGCCGTGACCCCGGAATTCGGCCTGTGGTGATCGGTCTTCCCTGGCACGGAGCTGAGTTAGGGGCTCTAGAATCAGTCCCAGCCACGTGAGGCTCTCCCTGGGATGTGAGGGTCGTCTCGTCTGTTTACACGGGGGCCACAGTGCAGATCCCAGCCCGGGCAGGGGAGGGGCAAATCTATGCCCACTTCAAGCTTCCACTTCTGCCCGCCTCAAAGTGCCGGAGACTCCGGCACCTCTGCGTTCCTCCTTCCCGGTAGGAACAGAAAGCTGGGAAAGGGCTGGGGTGGCAAGGAAGAGCCCCAGGAAGACGCGAGTGGCTCTCCCCACTCCCTACAGGACCTCCCTCCCCCAAGCCCATGGGCCGCCTTCTCCAGGGACGCTTCCCTGTCCCACCCACCGGGCAAGGTGGGCCCAGCAGGGTCTCCTTTTCACCGTGCGCCCCCTCCTGTGGCCGGGTCCTGGGCTGATGACTTCACATGCTGCTTTTACAAGTCAGGTTTATTGCGGTATCACGTACACACATAAGGCTCACCCCTTTTCGATGCACAGCCGACGACTTGGTAAGTGTCCAGAGTGGGGCACTTCTGCCCCGACAGAGGCAGCCCACATTTTGCCCCTCTGCAGTCAGGCCCCTTCCCGGCCTCCAACCACCACCTGTCTCTCCTCGGTCCTACAGCTTTGCGTCCTCCAGAATTGTCCTGTGAGTGACTCCCACAGGATGGAGACTTTTGTGTCTGGCTTCCTTCACTTCGCAGCAGGCTTCGCGGGACCCGTGTGGTGGCACCAGCGTCCCGCCCTTGGTGCTGCTGAGCTGTAGGTTGTGGGACAGGTGGAGGTACACAGTTGCTCACGGGTTCACCTGTGGATGGGCATGTGGGCTGTTGTGAGTGAAGCCACTTTAGACATTTGCGTGCAGGTTTGGTGGGGACGTGCAGTTTCATTTCTTTTGAGAGTGGGATTGCTGGAGCCCGTGTTAAGGGTACGTTCAACTCATCAGCTCAACTGTCTTCCAAATGGCAGCCCCGTTTTCCACCCCCGCCAGCAACGCCCGCGACTCCAGGCGCGCGGCATTTTCATCAGCACCTGGCAGTGGTGATTCATAATGCTTTCAATGTTAATTTCCCTCATGACTAGTGATGTTAAACATCTTAGGTATTATTTCATGGGTTATTTCCAATCTTTTACCTACTT
Organism: Homo sapiens; assembly: GCF_000001405.40. Taxonomy (NCBI): domain Eukaryota; kingdom Metazoa; phylum Chordata; class Mammalia; order Primates; family Hominidae; genus Homo; species Homo sapiens. The sequence continues at coordinate 88,183,065 of NC_000016.10, read as the reverse complement.
TTTAGTGGATTATATTTGTCTTCTTAGTATTGAGTTATAAGAGTTAAATATTGTGGGTACAAGTCCCCTGTCAGAAATGTGTTTTGTAAATAATTTCTTCTAGTCTGTGGTTTGTCTCTTCATTTTCTTAAGTATGTCTTTAAAGAGCAGAGGCTTTTGATTTGGATAAAGTTCAGTTTGTCAGTTTTTTCTTTTAGGGTTATGTTTTTGTATCCTATCTAAGAATCTTTGACTATCAAATTCTCACAAAGCAGTTTTTTGTTTTCTTCTAGATGTTTTACGGTTTTAAATTTTACCTTCAGGTCTACAACCATTGTGATTTAGATTTTGTATTTAATGTAAGGTATAAGTTGAGATTCATTTCTCTCTGTTTTTGGAGACTTATGTCCAGCTATTCCAGAACCATTTGTTGGAAAGAGTATCTTTATCCCATCAAGTTATGTGGGCACTTTGTTGAAAAAGATCTATTGACCATATATACATGCGTTTATTTCCAAGACTCTATTTTGTTTTGTTGACTGACTTGTTTGTCCTTATGACAATATCACACTGTTTTGATTACAGTGGCATTATTGTACCTCTTGCAAAAATCAAGTGTGAATCTTCCAAAGAAGATTTGGAAGATTTTCTCTTTCAAAGTTGTGTGAGTTATTTAAGTGCCTTTTAATTTTCATATAAGTTTAGAATTAGCTTGCAGTTTCTAAAAGAAAAAAAAAGTCTGATGAGACTTTGATTGTGATTCCATTGGATCTATAGCTCAGTTTGCAGGGATTTACATCTTAACAATACTGAGTCCTCAAATCCATGAACATGGTACATCTCTCCATTTATTTAGGTCTTCTTGTATTTTTTCTCATCAACATCTTATAGTTTTAAGTAAACAAATTTTGCACATATTTTGTAAGATTTATCATTAAGTATTTCATGTTTGTGATGTTATGGTGAATATTGTTTTTAAATTCAATTTCCTATTGTCCACTGCTAGTATATGGAAATACAATTGGTTTTCATACATTAACCTTATGTCCAGCAACTTTGCTAAATGTATAAGCTCTTACACATTTTCTGGTAGATTGTTTAGGATTTTCTACATCGATGATCATGTTGAGTGCATATAAAGGCAATTTTATGTCTTATTTCCAATCTGCATGCCTTTCACTTCTTTTCCTGGCTTTATTTCAGTGGCCAGAACCTCTAGCACAGTGTTAATAAGAGTGATGAGAGTGACATTCTGACTTTGTTTCCAGTCTTTCTGCTTCGATCATTATCATATTCTTTCTTTTCCTTACTTTGAATTTATTGTGCTCTTCCTTTTCTAGGCTTTTAAGGGTAGAAGCTTAGATTACTGATTGGAGAACTTTCTTCTTTTCACATATATACATTTAATGCTATAAATGTTCTTCCAAGCACTGCCTTGCCAGCACCTACAAATTGTCATATGTATTTTCTTTTTTGCTCAATTAATTTTTTTTCTAATTTCTCTTTGGATTTTTTGATCTATCAGTCATTTTAAAATATGTTCTTTAACTTCCAAATATTTGAAGAGACATACTATTAATTTCTGGCTTAATTCTGTTGTGGCCACATATTTCGCATAACTTCACTTTTTAAAATTTGTTGAGATCTGTTTTACGGCCTGGAATATGGTCTATCTTGGTGAATGCTCCATGTGCATTTGTAAAAAAGTGTGTATTCTGGCCGGGAGTGGTGGCTCACGCCTGTCATCCCAGCACTTTGGGAGGCCGAGGCGGGTGGATCACGAGGTCAGGAGATCAACACCATCCTAGCCAACACAGTGAAACCCCGTCTCTACTGAAAATACAAAAAATTAGCCAGGCGTGGTGGCGGGCGCCTGTAGTCCCAGCTATTCGGGAGGCTGAGGCAGGAGAATTGCTTAAAGCTGGGAGGCGGAGCTTGCAGTGAGCTGAAATCGTGCCACTGCACTCCAGCCTGGGCGACAGCGAGACTGCGTCTCAAAAAAAAAAAAAAAAAGTGTGTATTCTGCTAATATTGAAAGTATTGCTTAATAAATGTCAAATCAATCAATTTGGATGATATTGTGATTCAGGGTTCTACATCCTTACTGGTTTCCTGTCTACTTCTTCTATAGCTTACAGAGAGGAGTATTGGAGGAGTATTGAAGTTTCCAACGATACTCAGGGATTTTTCTATTTCTTCTTTACTTTGTGATCCATGTGTTTTGAAATTCCGCTGTTAGGTGCAAGCATATTTACAACTGCTATATTTTCCTACAGAATGGCACTTTTATTTGTTTGTTTGTTTGTTTGTTTTTTGAGACAGAGTCTCTCTGTCACCCAGGCTGGAGTGCAGTGGGACCACGTTGGCTCACTGCAACTTCCATCTCATGGGTTCAAGCAATTCTCCTGCCTCAGCCTTCTGAGTAGCTGGGATTACAGACACCCACTACCACGCCCGGCTAATTTTTTTATATTTTTAGTAGAGACAGGGTTTCACCATGTTGGCCAGGCTGGTCTCGAACTCCTGACCTCAGGTGATCCACCCGCCTCGGCCTCCCAAAGTGCTGGGATTACAGGTGTGAGCCACCGCGCCTGGCCAGAATGGCACTTTCAGGATCATATAATGTATCTATTCATCTCTGGTAATATTCCTTGTTCGGATATCTATTTTATCTGATACTAACATCTCCGCCCCAGCTTTCTTTTAATAGTTCAGAATATAACTATTTCTGTCCCTTACCTTCAATCCACTTATGTTTTTATGTTATTTTTTTTTTCTTTTGTAGACAGCATAGAGTTGGATCTTGTTTTTATATCTACCCAACCTAAAAATCTGGATATTTTTATTGGGAAGTTGAATTTAAATCTACCACCTTGACATTTATTTTGTATTTGTCTCGTCTGTTCTTTTTAAATAATTTTTCCGTTTTTCTTCCTTCTATTGGATCAAGTACTTTTTTTTAAAGTGAAAGCCAATTTATTAAGAAAGTGAAGGAATAAAAGAATGGCTACTCCATAGGCAGAGCTGCTGAGTATTTTTTATTATTTCATTTTATCTTCACTATTGCCTTGTTATACCTCTTAGTGTAGCTGTTCATGGTTGCAGTAGGGCTTATGATAAAGTTACAGCTGTAGCTTCTCAGTCTGCCATTACACAATATTCTACCACTTCACATACATGTAGTAACCTGACAGCAAGGCCTGTACTTCCTCCCTCCCATACTTGGTACTGTTGTTACCACAGATTTGCTTCTGCATGTTACAAACCCCACAATACACTTTTCCCGTCTTTGCTTCAGGTAGTCAATTATCTTTCTGTCTTTGGATATCTTTTTAAAGATATAATCCACATACATAAAATGCACCCATTTGAAGCATGCAGTTCCAGAGACCAGAGGTTCTCAAACTCTGTATGGGAATCACACAGGTTCCTGGTAAAAGGCAGACTTCCAGGCCCCTGCTGGAGTTTCTGACTCAGCAGGTCTGGGTGGGGCCTGAGAATCTGAATTTATAGCAAGTTCACAGGTGAACATTTGTGTGGCTATCAAGGGACACCTGGGGCCGGGCAACTTCTAAAGAAAAGTGGTTTCTTTGGCTCACAGTTCTGCAGGCTGTACAAGAAGCCTGGCAACAGAATCTGCTTCTGGTGGGGCCTCCGGCTGCTCCTGCTTAGGGTGGAGGGTGAAGGGGAGCCATGTGTGCAGAGGGCACAGTGGGAGAGGAAGCCAAAGGGAGGGAGGGGCCACGCTCTTTTAACACCTGGCTCACGCAGGAACTAATTGAGCAAGGGCTCGTTCATGACTGCCAGGTGGGGTCGGCAGGAAGCCATTCCTGAGGGACCTGACCCTTGACCCAAACCCCCGCCCGTAGGCCTCACTCCAACACTGGGGATACATTTCAACATGAGATGTGGAGGGGACACACGTCCAAACCACAGCACCAGGCAATGCTTACACTGCGGGTCTGGGGCCCACTCCGAGAATGACTGCTCCGGACAAAATTACACACACGGACCACGCACCCACCCACAGGATCACACGCCCGTCTTCGGGTTGGGGGTGCAGGGAGGACGGGTAGAGATGTGTTGGGGTGCAAAGGAAAAGTCCTCATGGCCCACATATGTGCTCTGACCCAGTGGCTCTGCAGAAACCCATGAAAGAGGATCCTGAAAGAGCAAGGGCGGCCTCCAGGTGAAGGTGGTGGGCGGCCTCCAGGTGAAGGCGGCCTCCAGGTGAAGGTGGTCAGCACCCTCCCTTTGGCCAAGAGGAGACTGCAGTTTCAACTCAAAGATTATTCCTGAATGAGTGAGTGACTGTGTCTCTCTTCTCCTCACCCCTGCTGTGGTTGTGTCTCCTCTTCAAGAAAAACCAATATGTGGGAAGGCCCAAGTCTGCACAAAACAAATATTTATTTTACAAAATATTGTTTTTTGCTCTTCCAGTGCAGCAAGCTTAAACTTCCTTAAAAACAAACCTCTGGGAAGAGGAAAACGAGGCAAGATGCTGAGAAAAAGTCATCTCCCACTCTGCCCTTCTCTGGCAAATCGAAGTGTCCTCTTGTGGGAGGCGGTGGGCAGCGACACTCCTGTTGGACGTCAGTGCTCTCGGGATGGGCCCGGCCACCCCGGAGCAGAACTCACTTAGGGCCTGGTGCCCCTGTGCCCAGTTCTCAGAACGTCGGAGTGCTCAGTTCTCAGAACGCCGGAGTGCCCCATTCATAACCTGCAGCCCCGTTCATAGCCTGCAGCTCCCCTCCTTCCTCTCCTCCCGGTCGTCAGGGAGCACCCCCAGCTCCCCTCCCCACTCTCAAACCCTCCTCCTCCCTCCCCTCTCTCATTTCCCTGTTTGCAGGATCTCCTCCTGCCCACTCTCCAGCCCAGGTCCTCCCCTCTCATCTCCAATTCTGCTTCATGGGCCATGACAGCAGGCAGGCCATGGCCTGCTCTCAGCAGTTTGATCGATGGACTAAGGAGATCACTCCTATGAGAGTGAAAAAGTCAAATGTGCCTGAGATTCGGATGGGGAGCTCTCAAAGCTACGGATTGCAAGAGTCAACACCGCCTCAAAAGTACAAGGCCGGCCGGGTGCAGTGGCTCACACCTGTAATCCCAGCACTTTGGGAGACTGAGGCGGGTGGATCACCTGAGGTCAGGAGCTCAAGACCAGCCTGACCAACATGGTGAAATCCCGTCTCTATTAAAAATACAAAAAAGATTAGCCGGGTGTGGTGGTGCATGCTTGTAGTCCCAGCTACTCGGGAGGCTGAGGCAGGGGGAGCACTTGAACCCGGGAGGTGGAGGTTGCAGTGAGCCGAGATTGCACCATTGCACTCCAGCCTGGGCAACAGAGTGAGACCCTGCCTCAAAAAAATAAAAAAATAAAAGTACGAGGCCCGGTTTAAATGCAGGAGGAATCTGGTGAGCGAGTTTCACTCTGATGCAACAGAAAAGCCAAGCCAAGCCTTGGCTGTGCCTGGTCTTGGCCGGGGAGCCACAGGCAGGGTCTGCTGGTTTCGGTGTCAGGGGCACATCCCCAGGACCACGTCTGAGATGGGAAGTGCCTTGATGGAAAACTGATACCTTTTTCTTTCCGAGTAACTTTAGAACATGTCGCTTCAAATATAACTAATATCCTGATTTCAGTGGACTTGCATGGAAGGAAACGCAAGTTCATTTGCCAGTGGGGGGTGAGGACTGGGAGAGTGGGGAGCAGGGTGGGGAAGAGGGGAGCATTCCACAAGCCGCAAGAGCCTGGACACCTCCAGCCTTCAATAAATAGCATTTGAATTTGCTGTGCCTAATTCAACCTTGCATTTGCGTAGTGAAAGTCAGGCCCGCGGTGTGTATAGTTTGGCACATGAGTTCAGCTCGGGTCCCCTTGATCTGCTTCTGTGTTCTCACTCTCTCCCTGCCCGGCACGCCCCTCTTTTTCTATCCAGATGAGCGAAGGGGTGAATTAGTCCAGAAATGTTTCTGCTCCAGTCAAACAAACATTATCACCTGTCAGTCAAACATTATCACCTGTCAGTCACCAGAGACGTGCACGGGTGCCTTCTCCTTTGCCTCGAGGTTTCTATGACCTGGGAAAAGCCCATCCCATTCCCGGATGAGGCTTCCCTGCCACGGGTCACAGACACACGAGCTACGCCCCACCTTGCCAAAACTTTCAAGGTGGGATGGAAGAATCTGTCGTTTCTGCATTTACGATCCCGTACGTGTTCCGTGCTGCATCTGTTCTGGTTGGGTTGTCTCTCCTCTCAAGGCCTCTTTTGACCCAAACTTACTGCAAAGCAGATGAGTGAGCCAGAAGCTGCGCTGGGCGTTGGGGGTTGTGGCAGGGGCCGGGGCTGTATGTGGGCCGGCAGGCCACGGGCCGACCCACCACAGGCAGCGTAGCAACCTGCCAAGGACAAACACACGGTCATCATGATAACAACTTCCCCACCTTCATTTTTTTTTTCATATTTCTTAGAGTTTCAAGATTGAGACTTCTTGTAGCAGCTCTTTAATTTCATGGGAGAGAGGGTGGTGTGTGGAGGCCGCCATTGCGTCTCTGCTATCCAACGCCCTAGTGGAGAAGCTCCTGGCAGGGGCTGGAGGCATGGCCTGGCCAAGCTCCTTGGCACTGCAGAACAAATCTCCTTCTTTGACGCCTCTGAAATGTTGATGGAAAGCACACGGGTGTCCCAGCCAGCTCCCCCAGGCCCAGGTCCAATCCATCATGTTCTCTGCACTGCACATCTCTGGGTGGATGGCCTCAAGGAGCAGCGCCAGTGATGTCAGCTCACTCTGGCATCTCCCAAGACAAAAGCATCCCAGGGTGGAGAGCAGGAGGCCCTGCGTGATGATGGACAGAAGGCTGGAACTTGTGAGCTCCGTGCAGTCTGGTACTAATAACTCAGGATCCCCATCTAATGGAAGCATTTTATGAGCTTCGGTGGGTGCAGGGTGCCAGACGTCCTCAGGCCATCAGGCTGAGACCCCCCAGCCCTCTGGGAGTGGAGTAGCCCTGGGGTGGCAGGAAGCAGGTGGGAACTTCTACAAGCAAGAGGGCCTGTGTTTGAGTCAGCTTCACCACACACTAGCCACCTGGTGTTTCTGAGCCTATTTGTCATCTATGACTTAGGAAGGATAATCGTACAGATTAAGGTAGGATAATTCCTAGATCATCATATAGATCAGGGCAGTGTCCTCCAACTCCAGAATTAAAAGGACCAGTGAAACGGATTTCCTCTGTTTCTGTTTTACTGATTCTTCCTTTTCTTCTCTTCTCCTTTCTGGGTTGTTGAGTTTAATTTGCTCTTCTTTCTCTAGTTTCTCAAGGTGATAATTGATTTGGGACCTTTTTTCTCTTCTAACATAAGCATTGAATGCTATACATTTCCCTCTGAAGTGCGGCTTTAACTGAACTCTATACAGTGTGATGGATTGCATTTCCGTTTTCACGCAGTTCCAAATATTTTTTAATTTTCTTAGTGATTTCTTCTTTGAAACATGAGTTATTTAGAAGTGTGTTGTTTAATTTCAAATATTTAGGTAGTCTCCAGACATCTTTCTGTTACTGATAACTAGTTAAATTAATCCTCTTGTGGTCAGAAAACATATATTGTATGATTTTAATCTTCTTAAATTTAGTGGTATCTATTTCATGGCCCAGAATATAGTCCACTTTGATGAATGTTCCATGTTTATTTTGTGGTTAGAGGGAATTTTCTGTAAGTGCCAATTAAGTAAAGCTGATTGGTAACGTTCTTCAGGTCTTCCACATGTTACTGACTTTCTGTCTGCTTATTCTATCAGTTGTTGAGAGAGGGCTCTGATGACTTTCTGATGTGTCTGTTGGTGAGGTTACAGTCCCAGTTACCCAATCTAAATCTATTCTAGGTGCTGCTGTGCGGGGATTTTGCAGGTGTCACTACAGTCTATAATCAGTCCATGTTAAGTAGGGGAGATTATCCTGGCAGGGCCTGACTGAATCAGTCGGAAGATCTTAAAAGCTCAGTAAGCCTTTCCCAAAGGAAAGAAGAAATTTCTCCTATGAACAACAGCTCCAGCTTGTGTCTGTGTCATGTCAGCCCATGTTCACACTTGCAGACAGCCCTCACAATTACATTAGCCAATTTCATTTACACACACACACACACACACACGGTTGACCCTAGAATAATGCAGAGGTTGTGGCGCCAATGTTTGCACAATTGGAAATCTGCAAATAACTTTTGACTCCCCAGAAACTACGAATAGCCTACTGTTGACCAGTAGCCTTACCAATAACAGAAATAGTTATTAATACATATTTTGTATGTGTATTATATACTGTATTCTTACAATAAAGCTAGAGAAAAATATTATAACCATAAGGAAGAGAAAACATATTTACTATTGGTAAAGTGGAAGTAGATCATTGTAAAGGTCATCATCCTCATTATCTTCACATTGGGTAGGCTGAGGCAGAGGAGGAAGAAGAGGGGACTAATCTTGCTGTATCAGGGCTGGAAGAGGTGGGAGGAAATCCACCTATAAGTGGACCCTGCAGTTCAAACCCATGTTGTTCAAGGATCAACTACAGATAGATGATAGATAGATAGATAGATAGATAGATAGATAGATAGACAGACAGACAGACGACAGACAAATTCTGCTCCTCTGGTTACACTCTGACTGATCTGATACAGGGGTACTGAAGCCTCCAGCTATAATTTTGAATTTTTCTATTTTTCTGTTCAGTTCTATCAAGTTTTGCTTCATGTAAGTTGAAGTTGTAATTAAGAATGTACATATTTAGGATTTTGTGTCCCCTTCATGAACTGACACCTTGATCATTAGGAAATAACTGTCTTTATCTCCACTAATATGCTTTGCTAGCAAATCTCTTTTGTTTGCCATTAATAGAGCCACTCTATCTTTCTATTGATTAGTGTTAGCATGATATATCTTTTTTCTACCCTCTTACTTTTAACCTACTTGTGCTTCTTATTTAAATTGCATTTCTTGTAGGCAACATATACTTCGGTCTTCCTTCTTTACTGTATCTTACAATTGTTGTTCATAATTTGGAGGTTAGATAATTTACATTTAATGTAATTATTGATTATGTTTGATTTAAATTTATCTTCTTGCTATTTGTTTTCTATTTGCCTCCATCTGTTCTTTCTTTCTTCTTTCCTTTTTTCATGCCTTCTTTTAGATTAATCGAGGGTCTTATTTTTAATGATTCTCTTTTATCCTACTATTGAATTATTAGCTATCCCTTAATTTTTAATTTTTATTGAATGTTCTAGAGTTTATAATATGTATTTTGACTTATCACAGTCTACTTTCAAATGATATTGTTCCACTTCACATAGAGTGTAGGAATCACTGAGTGGTGTACTTCCATTCCCCCAACCCTCATTCTTTGTGCTATTATTGTCATAGATTTTACTTCCACATATACTATAAACCCCAAAATAAATTGTTTTAAACAGTGAATTATTGAGGAAAATGCGTTTATCTATCTTTTGCATTTATCTCTGTAATTACTCTTCACTGATTTGTGTCACTCTAAATTTCCATCTGGAATTATTTTTCTTCTGCTGAAAGAAGAAAAATAAAGAAATGTTGAAGGAAGCCTTTAACATTTCTTGTAGAACAGATTTGCTGACAATGAATTCCATCAGTTTTTATTTGTATAAAATAGTCATTATCTCCAATTTTGAATGATATTTTTACTGAGTTAAAAAAATCATTCTTGGCAGGTTCTCCCCACCAACCGCCTCCTTAGCATATTACAGATGTCTTCCCATGGCCTTCTGGCTTGCATGGTTTCTGTCAAGAGATCTGCTGTCTCTCATATTTTCTTCCTCTATACATAATATGTTTTTTCTTATCTGGCTGCTTCTAAGATTTCTCTTTATCACTGGCTTTCAGAAATTTGTTTATAACATGCCTTGATGTGGCTCTTTTGGTATTTATTCTACATGGGATTTATCAAGCTTCTTAGATCTGTGGGTTTATACTTTCCAACAAATTCAAAAAACGTTTGGCCATTATTTCTTCAAAACATTTTTCCGTCCCTGCCTCTCTTCTCTTTCTAGATCTCCAGTTACACACAGACACGATGCTTTGATATTATCCCACAGGTCACCAGTGTCCTGTTTTTGTTTTTGTTTTTTAAGACTTTTTTCTCTGCTTTGATTCGAACAGTTTCTATAGCTATAGCTATAGTTTCTCTAGCTTCAGACTCAATGATCTTTTCTTCTATTCTGTGAATCCCATCCAGTGTATTTTTCATTTCAGGTATTAAATTTCTATCTCTAAAAGTTTCGCTTGTGACCTTTTATATGCTTAATTTCTCTCCTTACATGACCATGTTTTCTTCCTCCTTCTTGAACACATGGAAAACATTTTTAATAGCTGTTTAGCATCCTTGTCTGTGAATTCCATCATCTGTCACTTATGATTGATTCCCACTCCCACCTCCAATTATGGATCTTAATTTTTTGCATATCTTCTTATTTTTGACCAAATGCCAGACATCGTGAAAATTCATTGTTGATTTCTGGCTTTTGTTGTACTCCTTTGAATAGCGTTGGACTTTATGTGCAATGAAGTTATTTGGAATCAGTTCGATCTTTCTGAGGCTTGCTTTTAAATGTTGTCAGGGTGGGTCCAAAACAGCCTTAGGCTATGGCTAATTTACCACCATTTCTCAGGCAACACTCTTCTGAGGATTTTCATATTATATAGTCTTTCCATCCTGGCTGGTGGGAACACAAACCGTCCCCCACCCTGTGTGAGCTCCAAGTATTGTTCTGCCTGCTCCTTTCGGGTGGGTGTTTCCCCAGCCTTCAGCAGTTTCTTCACACGCACACACAGATCAACGCTTAGCCAAAACCCCAGGGGCCCTCTCTGCAGACCTCTGGCGCTCTCTTTGGGCAGTGCTTTCCTCTCCAGTAGTCTGCCCTCTGGTTCTTGCTATTTGCCCTCCCTGAACTCATTTCTATCTCCTCTACTCAGTGAGATGGTCACCTTGATCTCCTCTCCCCTCATTACAGTGAGCTGGCACCTCCATGGGACACTTGTGTCCTTTCTCGCAGGGATCACAGTCTTGAGCTATCTGTTGTCCAATGTCTGAACATGATGCTCTGAACACTTCATCCAGTTTTCTAGTAGTTTACAGCAGCAGGAGGGTAAATCCCCATTCCTGTTACCCCGTATTAGTCAGAACCAGATGTCCAAATAGCAGTAAAATTTTGAGTTTTTTTGAACAAAATCATTTTTCATTCCCACATTTTAAAGACTAACCCCAACAAATACATCACCCTCTACTGTCACTGTCATTCCATCACACAGCAGGAAGGACATGATATCAGGATAAAGACCGTTTCTCCCCAGGGTAACGCAGCGATGGGTCTTCCACCCATTTATAAACTCTCTACAATGTCCGTATTTAACCACAGAGTCTGTGCATTTTTCATAAGCTAACATTTGGGACTATTCACTGGAGATCATGGAGACACAGTACCTGATCATAGGACTTAAGAATGTGATTATTTTTATGTGTGTGTATCTGAAGCCAAGATTGTGAGCCTGACATTCTTTGCTTGTGTCATCCTGGCAGAAAGGTAGGGTTCCTGCTTCAGGAGCTTTCTGAGATACAGCAGGGCAGGCTGGGCCTGGGCTGGCACCATCAGGAGCAAGTTCTTACACTGAGCTTCTGGGTGCAATCTCTGAAACATGCTCCACAGAACTCCAGGTGTTCCTAGGCAAGTGCCTGGGACAGTGATCACTTCGAATTCTCAACATGCTCCTGGAACAGGTGGCAGATGGGCCACCACTACCTGGGGTGGAGCTGGGGCTAGAACAGGCCAAGGCCCTTTGCATTATTTCAGGGATTCCCAAACATCACTCACATGTGCATCCTCATGACTTTTGCCAAATCTCCATCATGCCTACCTAGGTAAATGCCTACCTTGCTAAATGCCTACCTTGTTATTTATTTAACGTATTTCTTTAAAATTAGCTTCTCTCTTAAATTTAGATAAATGTATATTTAAAAGACATTTGTATTACTACAGTGCTGACCTCCTAGAGGTTGTCCTAGGGTGAGTGTTTAACTATGATGCACTTCCCCTCCTGTGCCTGGACCCTGGCCTTCGTGGCAGCCCGGGGAAGTCTGCTGTCCCCCGCTACCCCTGGTGCTGGGTGTGGAGCGGCAACACTTGCTCGCGGTTGGAGGGAAAGTCAGTTAGCTTCCGGGGAGGAAAGTATGCAGGTTCCTCAAAAAATTAAAAGTAAAACCACCATATGATCCTGCAACCCCATCAACGGGTACCTATGCAAAGGAAAGGAAATCAGTACAACATTGAGACGTGTCGGCCCTGCTCACAACAGCCAAGAAAGGAACCATCCCAACGGCTGCTTGGCAGACGAGCAGACAAGCAGGGCGTGGTATAGACATGACGGAGCATGCTACAGCCTTTAAAAAGAAGGCCGTCCTGTCATCTGTGATGACGTGGAGGAGGCTGGAGGACGTCATGCCAAGTGAAATGAGCCAGGTGCAGAAAGACAAACACTGCACGATCTCACTTACATGTGGCATCTAAAAAAGTTGAACTCACTGAAGCAGAGAGTAGAGCCGTGGTTGCTGGGGCTGGGAACAGGGAGGGAATGGGGAGGTGTCCATCAAAGAGTGAGAACTTTCAGTTGTACAGTGAATATGTCCTGGGGATCTAGTGCACAGCCTGGTGACTCTAGTTCAGAATAATCGATTGCGTATGTGAAATTTGAGAAGAGCAGGTCCTAAGCATTCTCATCACACACAAAGGTCACTGTAGGGCGATGGATGTGACAATTAGCTGGATTGTGGTAATCATTCGGCAGTGTATACGCACATCAAAGCTTCACATTACATGCCTTAACTCTATTCAATTTCCATTTGTCGAATATACCTCTTTAGATAAAGGTGGAAAAGAAACACAGTGATAGGAAGCGAGGCTGAGAGAGGTTAAGTGACTCACCCACAGTCACACAGTAAGTCAGCAGCCACAAGCGGGACTCGGGTGCTCTGTCCTCCTCCAGCCTGTGCTCTCTGCACCATGCCCCCCATAAATGCATCCTAAAAACAGCAGCTGAAGTCCATGTAAGGCACGCAACATCACTAGTCACTAGGGAAATGCATCTCGAAACCCCAGCCAGGTGCCACTGCACCCCACTGGCAGGGCCGACCCCAGAGAGACTGGTGGGCCCACGTGTGCCAGAGGCGGAGGGGCCACAGGAACCCTCATGCACCGCTGGTGGGAGCGTGGCATGGCCGCTCTGGAGAAGGGTTTGTTCAACATGCACACGCCAAAGCCCTTACAAACATTCCTGGAGCACTGGCTGGGTGCTGGGACGGAGGGGCAGACGGCCAATGTAAGCACGAAGGCCGACCTGGGCGCAAAGGCTCACAGCAGCTCTGTGTCCAGTTGGCAGACCCGGAATCAGCCCAAACGTCCTTCGGCAGGTGGATGGACCACCGCAGCTGGTGCCTCTAAGCCCCGGACTCAGCTCAGGACTAAGAAGGATGGAGATGGGCTGCAACCTGGATCGCCAAACGCACTCTGGTAGGTGAAAGGTTGCGTACTGGAGAACTCCACCTCGATGACGTTCTGGAACAGGCAAAATCATCTCCAGGACAGAAATCAGAGGGGGGCTGCCAGGGGCTGGCGCAGGGGAAGGGCTGACTCCCAGGGCACAAGGGAGTCTGGGGGAGTGATAGAACATCCTGCACCTCCGTTTCCATGTTGGTCACACAACTGTACACATTCGCGGAAACTCAGAGAGCAGCAATTGAAAGTGTGGATTTTACTGACGTAGATTACATCCCAGCAAACCTGACTTCAGCAACAACAGGTACATCCTCCTGTACCAACGTCACCTCATCCCTCTGCCTCATGGCAGTCATGCGTGAGCTGGGCCCTGTCCTCAACCCCACCCTCTTCACAGCTGACCCTCCCACCCACAGCTGCACACACTTCCGGCCTGTCCCCTGGTGTCCCAGGGACCCTAACACTCTGTCCCCCAACGTGAATGTTCATCCTGTCCTCCTCCCCACATCCTTCCAGATGGCGTCCTCCCTACCACACACGAGGAGGCCCCCCTCCTGCCCTTTCAGATTCTAATTCTTATTTTTTGTAGAGGGGGGGGTCTCACTATGTTGTCCAGGCTGGTCTCAAACTCCTAGGCTCAAGCGATCCTCACGCCTTGGCTTCCCAAAGCTCTGGGATTACAGGCACAGCCACCACAAAGCCCAGCCTCAGAGTCTTATTTTTCTACTTAGCTGTCAGCTCCCAGTTTGCTCTGCAGAAGGCCTGCCACGGTGCTGTTTGCTAATCCTCAAAGCCCAGCCCTCGTCCTAGTGCTTGCCAAACGGCAGGTGTGCAATACAAATGATTAAAGAAGCCGGTGGATGAATGGACAGATAAACAAACTGTTCTGGAGAGGAGATGGGGACAAAATGACTTATCTAAGCCCCATTCTTTGGCAAGAGAAAAGGGACTATTAAAAAGAAAGAAGTTACCTGGACCCCTCTTGAACCTGCACAAGGTCACAATCACACACGAGCAACCCCACACAAGGTCACAATCACACATGAGCGACCCCACACAAGGTCACAATCACTGATGAGCCAGCCCAGGCCCACAGCGGGCAGGTGACAGGGAGGCCACGGAATTCCCAGCTCAAGGCCGTTGTCAGCCTAGAAAATATGTGGGGAAAAAAACCAGTTCACTTTGCCTGGATTCCAGCATCTTTCCCAACAGCCTGGCTCTGCTCAGCCTAAAATCAGTAGAAAATGTTCGGCCAAGTTCAGTACCCCTCAGACACCCACACTCTGAGTTTCAGACCAAACTTCAGTCTTTTGAAGTTGAGCTTCTGTTAACTCTTGGCTCAAAACTAGAGAGATGGTAAGAGGCTTATAAAAAAGATTTGAAAGGCTACCCCGGTGCCAATTAGCTCTTACAAAACTGTGTTTTGATGAACGAAGTGTAAATGAATAAGGGACACATGGCTCACGTCTCCCTGGAAACGCCCATGGGGTTCATCGCGAAGCGGGTGGAGGGGGACCCGCCCGCCAAACTGCATGACAGGTCGTGCCAGATTCCAAATGTTTGGAGGGGGGCAGTGTTCAAGACGCCTGGCTGACATCAAAACACTGCTGGATTCTTCCTTCCTCGAAGCCAACATTATTCTCATTAAAACCTAATCAGATCATCGCTGTAAGGAGCGGTCCGTCCTGGGGAGCGGTGCAGAGAATCCCTCTGTTACACAACAGCTGCTCTTCCGGCAACCAGGGGAGGGGGCTTGGTGGCCACACCCACCCCCCATTTGCAGCTCTGCCCGGGATGGGCGCCCCCTTGACCAGAGAGATGAGGAAACGCAGCGGAGTGGCTCCTGAGATGGAATCAGGACTTCCCCCGGGGCTGGGTCTCTGGGTCCTGCCCCCCACCTTGGAAACCTCCCTACCACATTCCTAACCAGGGCCAGGGCAGGAGGTGGCAACTTGCAGGCGTCCAGTGCAGGAGGGAAATCTAATGTGTCGCTCAGTGGGCTGGGGGCAGTGGCGGTCAAGCAGCAGCCTGGACACTGCAGTGCAGGTGCCAGGTGGACGTGGTCGGTGTCAGCAACCAGCTGCCGGAGTCAAGGAGATTCTTCTTGCAATGCAGGGACCCATCTGGTCAATGGCAGGCCTGAAGAACAAATCTGCGAGCGGGGCATGGTGGCTCACGCCTGTAATCCCAGCACTTTGAGAGGCCGAGGCGGGCGGATCACCTGAAGTCAGGAGTTCAAGACCATTCTGGCCAACATGGTGAAACCCCATCTCTACTAAAAAAACAAAAATTAGCCGGGCACGGTGGCAGGTGCTTGTAATCCCAGCTACTTGGGAGGCTGAGGCAGGAGAATCGCTTGAACCCGGGAGGCGGAGGTTACAGTGAGCCAAGATCACACCACTGCACTCCAGCCTGGAGGACAGATGGGATTTCCCTCTTAGAAAAAAAAAAAAAAAAAAAAAAAAGAATAAGCCTGCAGTTTTCCAGAGAAGAGGGAATTGCACCTGAAGACCACAGCATGGATTCCGCCCAAGAGTCCTGCCTGCCGGCACCTGCACACCGTGAGCTCGCCAGCCCCTACAGTTGCAAGAGAAAACTCCTAAAAATCACACATATAGAAATGATTTTACAGATATAATGCTATCTGTTATCAATGTGGTGGATTTAGATATAACATTTTTATATATTTACATATTTTATATACATTTATATGTATTTGTGTGTGTGTGTGTGTGTGTGTGTGTGTTTATGATTCTGATTCTCTGGAGCGCCCTGATCCACGGAGTAGGAAAGGCATATCGGTTCTGAAACCCAGCCCTTGAAAAACGCCTCACCCAGTGGCGCTATCGATGGGCGGTTTCCAATGCTGACTCTGGCTTATATGAAGTTCTGGGACTAAAAAAACTATTTTTGATGAAACAGTCAGGACAATGGTTGCCTCAAGGGGTGCAGGAGGGACACGGATGGCTGGGAAGAGTGGGGAGGGAACTTCCTGGGGTTCCATGTCTTGATCAGGGAGGGTGCCGAGGGGCGCTCACATTTGCCAAAACAGCGAACCGTACATCTAAGACTTGTGCATTTCACCGCATGGAAATTTCACTTAAAACGTAAACAACGATTGCACTCTAGCTAATGAAATTGAGCTAAAACCATTTAGAGTGAATCATGCTTGCGTCCACAGTTGTTTTCTGAAATGGATCCAAAAATAAGATGGATGGAGGGAAGGAAAGAGGGAGGGAGGGAGGAATGGAGATTTGATCAAAGTGAGTGTAGTTCACTGTTAATGGAATTTAGGTGGTGGGTGTGTGGGTGTTGACTGCAAAATTATTTCAACTTTACTGTATGTTTGAACTTCTTCACAAGAAAATGCTGGAAAAGAGAATGAACGCAGGCTCTGGGCCAGCCTGTCTGTCATGAATCTCACTCTACACGCAGTGACCGTGGGACAAGGGTCGGCCTCCTCACTGGCGTGGGCCTCAGTGGCCCCTGGGTGCGTAACAATAGTGCCCGCTTCTGGGGTTGTGCAAGGTTTTAAAAGTTTAAAAACACCACTCAGCCTCAAAAGGGAAGGAGATTCTGACACACCCCATGTGGATGAGTCTCGGGGGCTTTGTGCTGACTGAAATAAGCCAGGCACCAAAAGACAAATGCCGCAGGATCCCACTTACGCGAGGTTCCTGGAGGCATCAGACTCAGAGACGGAAAGGAGGCGGCGGGGCCGGGCTGGGGCAGGGAAAGCGGGGAGTCGGGGTGTAGTGGGGACACAGTTTCAGTGTGGAATCAAATAAGTTCTGGAGATGGATGCTGGTGAGGTTTGCACAGCATAAAGAAAGTACTGAGTCCCAGAGAACTGTACCTTAAAAGTGGTTAAGATAGTACGTCTTATGTTATGTTACCACGATTTAAAAATTGGAAAAAAGTTAGCGTGCTGAAGCCCTGGCCCACAGAGAGGGCCGAGCAGTCCCCAGAGATTCTCACCAGCTGCTTCACATCCGAGAATCCAGGAGCCCAGAGGCTGAGGAAGGCCTCAGACAGCAGAGCCCTGCATTCCCAGTTTCTGGAAGTTGAGCCCGAGTGAGCCCTCCTGAAATGGTGCCTAGGAGAGACCAGCAGACCCCGCAGCAATGTCCTCCCTCAATGGCCTTTCACAGCCATCGGGGACACCAGGTTGAAGGCACAGGGACTGGGAGGCGCCAGAGAAGCCTCGGCTACCCGGGGTGGCGTGAGCTGGGCATTGGGAGCCAGGGAAGGCAGCACATGCTTCTCCATGGGGAGGTGACAGGCAGCCTTTTGGGGAGATGACTCCAGTGAAATGCACATGATGCCAGACAGACCCTGCTGGGTGCCCTGAGCCCACTCACAGGAGCCCTGCTGCCTCTACCTTCGGGCTGAGGCCACTCTGGTTTGAGCACAACTGAAAGCCATGAAGGGGATGAAAGGCACACTTGCCCACAATGGCCCTCCCCTCCCTCAGGATCATCGGCATGGAGGGGCACACCACCTGTGGGGGGATAAAAGACACACGAGCCCACGATGGCCCTGCCTTCCCTCGGCACCGTGGCATGGCGGGGCACACCACCTACTGCCTGGCCCTGAGCCAATTTGGAAAGCACGCTCAGTGTAGACTGTGATCCAACCCCACGGGAAGTGTCCTGTGCTGGTCCTGCCTCCAATGGACTCATGCACTATTCAGTCACAGGGGATACTGCAGACCCACCACCCAGAAACCCAAGGCCCAGCTGCTTCCCTGTGAAGATTTAAGGGCTTTATTCTGACCTCATCCTGCTTTCTCACCCCCTGCCCTGATGGCCAGCCCTGTGATCCCCACTGGCAGAGCCATAAAGCACAGTGAAATCATCTGGCCAGGGAAGGCACTGTGCTGTCATGAACCAGAATCCACGTCAAACATAAAAAGGGAAAAAACTCAGAGTATCAACAGTGCCCTCATCAACAGCGAGGTTCAGGCCACATACCCACCCTGTCTGTCCATCCACCCACACATTCATCTGCTCATCCAAACATCCATCTACTCATTCATGCATCTGGCCACCCATCTATCCATCCATCCGTGCATCCATTCATCCACTTACCCACTTATACATCCACCCATCCATCTGTACATCTACCATTCCTGCATCCGTCCACCCATCCATTCATCCACTTACCCACTTATACATCCACCCATCCATCTGTACATCTATCATCCCTGCATCCATCCACCCATCCATTCATTCATCTACCCATCCACATATCTGCCCACCCATCTACCCAACTATTCATCCACTTATCCCACCCATCCACTCACCCACCCATCCATTCATCCATCCACCCACTCGTCCATCCATCCATCCATACATTCATCTATCTACCCATCCATTCACCCATCTACCCATCCGTCTACCCAACTATTCATCCACTGACCCCGTTCATCCACCCACCCACCAACCCATCCATTCATCCATCCACCCACTTATCCATTCATCCATCCATCCATTCATCCATCTACCCATCCATATATCTACCCACCCATCTACCCAATCATTCATCCACTTACCCCGCTCATCCAGCCACCCACCCAGCCATTCATCCATCCACCCACTCATCCATCCATCCATCCATCCATTCATCTACCCATCCATTCATCCACTTACCTACCTATCCATCCACTCATCCGTCTGTACATCTACCATCCCTGCATCCAGCCACCCATCCACTCATCAACTTACCCACCCTTTCAGGCATCTATCCACCGATCCATTCATCCACTTACCCATCCTCTCATGCATCTATCCACCCATCCATTCACTCACCCATCCATCATACATCCACCCACCCATATATCTGCCCACCCATCTACCCAACTATCCATCCATCCATCCATCCATCCATCCATCCATCCATCCATCTACCAATGCACATATCTGCCCATCCATCTACCCTACTATTCATCCACTCACCCACTCATCTGCCCACTTACCAATCCATCCATCCATCCATCCATCCATCCATCCATCCATCCATTCATCCATCCTTCTCTGTCCATCCTTCTATCTATCCATCCATCCATCACTCCATCTACCCATCCACACAACTGCCCACCTATCTACCCATCTATTCATCCACTTATGCCACTCATACATCCACCCACCCACCCAGTCATGCATCCATCAACCCATCCATCCTTCTATCTATCCATCCATCCATCCATCCATCTACCCATCCACACAACTGCCCACCTATCTACCCATCTATTCATCCACTTATGCCACTCATACATCCACCCACCCACCCAGTCATGCATCCATCAACCCATCCATCCTTCTATCTATCCATCCATCCATCCGTCTACCCATCCACACAACTGCCCACCTATCTACCCATCTATTCATCCACTTATGCCACTCATACATCCACCCACCCACCCAGTCATGCATCCATCAACCCATCCATCCATCCATCTACCCACCCACACATCCATTCATCCAGCCACCCATCAATCCACACATCCATCTACCCATTCATCCACCCACCCATCCATCCAACACCTACTCCCTCCCCAACCATCCGTCCATCCAACTTTAAAGGGCCTTGTGTTGCTATACTCTTGCTACATGCTGAGTTTACAAAGTTCTAATACCCAGCTTGGAGTAGGCACTAAGTATTTTTTGGATAGCTGAATTGAGTGAATAATTAACACAAAAATAATTAAGATATCACTTGTACCTTTATATAAAGGGCAAGGAAAGTGAACAAAATAATCATTCCACAAATGTGATGTATGACACACTGCCAGGGTGGCAAGGGAAACTGCCAAGCAAACCAAGACACAGAGAATAAAAGGGGGGGGGCACTAAAAAGAATTGTTAAGATAAATGCTTTTTTGAAATGCCTATTTATTTTCTGACATTTGTGTGTATTTATTTTTATTGGCAGACTTATAAAACAGTTCTATTTAAAATCTATTATCAAAAATAAATTATTTCAATAGATCTGTATATTAAAGCAAAATGTTTTTTATAAAATCCTTTGTATTGATTACACTTAAAAAACAAGCAGAATAATTATTCTTGGTACATACTTACAAACTTCATTTCAGTCTTCAAGCATTTCTGGCTCTAACACTATGTCATTGATGTGGTTTTTTTTTTTTTTTTTGAAGAATGTCTTTTTTCATTATTTCTTTTATTTTTCATAAAATATCCTCCAATTTTTTTCAGTGTTGAATTTTGTGATGGATAAATTAAAAATTGTTGACAGCTTTGACTCTACTCTGTAGTATGAAATATTTTATTGAAAAAATACCCTTCCTACGAGTCTAAGAGACCCAGGAAGCTCAGGGCAAGTTGGCTAAATGGAGGATTTTCTCAACTCTCATGTTTCCATGTGGAGATGTGTGGCTCTTTCAGCCAGGCTATTTGTGTACGTACCATCTTTTTGTCTCCATTCAGAGAACTTTTCATAAACAAAAAAATTGGACAAATCTTCATGCAAAACTCTTCCAAAAAGTTGTCTCTATTTGTGATTCTTTCCAATGTTTCACTAAATTTAAATGCTCTAAAATCATAGGCTGTCTCAACGGCATTCCATTTGGGTCCAGAATATAAATATATCCAACTTAAAAATGTGGACTCCATCAGAAGACTCTTGCCCAAGTGCAGGACATTGCACAGTAAAACTGTAACACTGCACGCCAAGTCCACGAGCCACGCAAGCTCACGTCATCTGGCTTCCTCGGCTGTCCCTCGGTTTTGCAGGGAAACATTTATTTCAGCTTCTTTTCTTTCCTTGAGCTAGCTTTTTTTTTCCCCTTACAAAACTGATGTTTTCTGGCACAACATTCATTGAATAACTGGAAGTTTCTAGTGAAGTCCGAATAAAATGCAACCAAAATTTATAGAGCACTCACATACGAAAAGTTTCGATACCCTCGTGAGCCACTTTGATTTACAGAGGCAAGGACGTTTTCTCTAAACGCTGAGTGGTGACAGGCAACAAACAGAAAGCACTGACTGAGATGAAGTTTGTTTCGTGTTTTCATTCAGTGTCAGTTTTCTCACACACATGCTGTGGTCTAGTCACTCTGCACCTCCTGAAACATCCGCTTCTACTGTGTTGGGAATAGATTCTGATGAGCACACACCTGCAGGCAGTACTGTCAGTTCCAAGCATATTTCCGCCCCATAGATCGTCGCCGTTTAGGGAGAATATTTCCGCCCCACAGATCGTCACCGTTTAGGGAGAACGTTGTTTTAACCATGCTATTATGCTCCACCAGAATTGGTATTTGTAAAGATAAATCAGTGTACCTTTAAGGTTGGACTTTTCAATGGAATTAATAAAGCCCGTTTTTTTTTTTTTGAGATGGAGTCTCGCTCCGTCACCCAGGCTGGAGTGCAATGGCGCGATCTCGGCTCACTGCAAGCTCTGCCCCCTGGGTTCAAGCGATTCTCCTGCCTCAGCCTCCTGAGTAGCTGGGATTACAGGTACCTGCCACTAAATTTTATATTTTTAGTGCCCAGCTAATTTTTGTATTTTTAATATAGAGACATTGTTTTGCCATGTTGGCCAGGCTGGTCTTGAACTCCTGATGTCAAATGATCCGCCCACCTCGGCCTCCCAAAGTGCTGGGATTACAGGTGTGAGCCATCGCACCTGGCCTTTAAAACCCTTTTTATTTCCTGTGCTGCTCACTGTTCCTGCCTGCTGGCGGCTGGGTGGCTCAGTGTATCTCGCAGGCTGCTGGGTGGGAAAAGGTGCAATGTCAGAGCCGGGCAGCAGGTGCCACGCCTCTCCCACCACCAACGGGAGGTACAGCAGTGCCTCAACCCTAACAACAGCGGGAGGCACAGTGGTGCCCCAACCCCTTGTTCTGGACCCACCTGATCCCCAGAGGGAAGATTTTAGCTAAGTTGTTGTGAAAAGAGTTGAGAAAAGCGAAAGGGCTGGTGGCTCCTCTCAGGCCTCGCCAGGCCTCTGCCCACGGCCCACATGCCTCCCGCACCCGCAGAAAAGACCGCGATGGAGCCAGGAGCACGAGGTCAGAGTGCAAAGTGCGCAGGCAGCACCCCTTGCTCCCCAAGCACATTCCAGTGCAGTGATCAACAGCAATACCTCATTAAAAATGCCGGTCTCGGACAGATGCCGGCCCTAACAAGGAAACCGGCATCTCTTGCTGTCAATGGGAGGTCACTTCAAAAATAAAATCGTTTAAAAATCTGTTACATTCTAGAGAGATAATCTTGCCCACCAAAGTCTCCAGGCCTGATATTTGCCGTCTCTTTGCTCCAAAGGGAGATTGGCAAGCGACAGCCGTGGCTCCTTAGTCCCAGACCCAGTCTCCTTCCTTGTCGCAATCACAGGATTTGGAAAAAAGGCACAGGGGTCAGCACCCTTCGGTGGGTTCTGTGGGACTGATGAAAGCTGCATAGGTAGGATCATCCATATGGGATAGGAGAAAAGCCAGCAGAACTCACACTTCAGGAAACTGAGTCAGAAAGGGGGAAAACAAGCTACCCGAGGTGATCCAGGCAGCCTTGGGCCCAAATACCTGCTGCCTCCCTCTGCCATCAGACAGGCTGCCAGTTCAGACGGGGGAGGCAGCTCTTCTGCAGGATCCTCCCCTGAGCCTGTGCTGACGCCTCACAGTCCTCACTCTCTTATCCCTCAGGGACCATCCTTGCTTTGTGGGATGACAGCCTCACTGCCCACCGCTGGTGACAAGGGACAGAGATGGCTGCCCATGTGTCTGTGAAGACGACAAAGCCATTGCACAACGGGAGGTGAGAAACAGCACCGAGAATGCAGCAAATAATTTTAAATGATAGGAAAGTGTTAATATAAACACTTAGAGGCTTTGATGAAAGGCAGCTCTGTTTCAAAGTCAGAAAAGGAGGCTCAGCTGTTGTTTTTGCTTCAAGCTGATTTAGAGACGAGAATGCGGGGAAGGGCTGCTCCTTCCCACCCCTCTCTCCGTACGCTGCGCTCCACACTCTGCGCTCATCCGTCCGGGCCTTCCCTTCCCAGATCCCTGAAGCGCTTCCGTGCACCACATGGACACGAGATCCACAGAGCCATGGCCTGTCCCCCAGGACTCTGAGAAGATGGGATCAGATGGACCCGTGAGCCGTGGCACGGTAGAGACGGCTCCTCTGGGGTGCTGCACACTGCACGGGACACACACAGGCACAATCGCTCCTGATCTTTTCCACAATCTGCAGTGCCCTGAGACCATATGGACAATCTTGAGGAAACCAAGGGTGTAGGGGAAAGAGCTCACACAGACAGACGCTGCAGGACGGTGAGAGTGGTCCGCACGGCCCTGTGAGCATCCGTGACCAGGACAGTGAGTGGTCCACATAGCCATATGAGCATCCGTGACCAGGACGGTGAGAATGGTCTGCACAGCCCTGTGAGCATCCGTGACCAGGACGGTGAGAGTGGTCCATACAGCCATATGAGCATCCGTGACCGGTGCACTGATAAGACATCACCTCGTAGGCCACAAGTTCTGTACAAACTGACCCACCCCATAGGAAGCCCCACTGGACCAGCACGTGTGCACCTGGGGAGCTGAGGTCCCTGCCCCAGCGAGGTCTGGGGAAGGAGGATGTCGGAAGGCCCCAGTAGGTTCAGAACCACAACTTGATTCTGGGCCCCAGGAGCTGGAAAGGAGTCTTCCTGCAGAGCTCTGCCCCCCTGCACTGCCCGGTGCCCCCCAGACCCCAGTCCTGTCTGCACTCTGACTCGGCCTGGCTTCCCGCCAGGGAGGGCAGGAGCTGCTGTCCACAGGCCACAGATCCACTTTAGAAGAGAGTAGCAGAGCTCCCCAGCAGAGGGGCAGCGGTGGCCACATTCTCCCATCTCTTCCCCTCCGTTTTCCAGGCTCACGGTCCTCTCCTGCTGAGAGTGGGCTTCAGCCAGGTTGTCCAGCCCTGAGTCCTGACCAAGAGGCTGCCGGGACAGCAGAGATGAGGCCAGGCTTCTGCGCAGAGGCAGGCATGTGCCCAAGTTCAAGGTGTGGCAGGTGGTGCTTCCACTGTCGGAGTCCGAGGCCCCCAGCCTGAGCTCTCCCACCCTCCCCATGGGGTCCACAGCACCCCCAGATGGCAGGATGTCGCCTTGCAGCTCGGGGTGGGTGGGGCTGCAACCCAGACACCCTTGCCTGCCCCGGGGGCTTCCCGTGCCCCCACCCCACTCTCTAGCAGCGAGAGCACAGAGCCTCGGCTTTGTTACAGCTGCCCCCACTCCCTGGCCTCCCAGCCCCCACCTCCCATCTCCCGCCTCCCTGCTGTGTGGCCCAGAGGCTGCCTCTAACAAGGGTTCTCAAGGTGGGGCCCCAGCAGCAGCACCCCCAGGGGACTTGCCAGAAATGCACATTCTCAGGTCCCTCCCTGGACCCTGAGTCTATAGGGCTCAGGCAAGCAATAAGGCATCCCCTGGGGGTGGCGGACACCCCAAGAGCAGACCCCCGGAGCATCCCCGCAGCAGGACCTGACCACGTTGCCGGCCCAGGTGGCCTTGGTCTTGAGCAAAGCACTCAGAGCCTCGTGTGGCATCCAGGTCTTAGAGCTGCCTCTCCAGGACAGGAGAGGATGAGGGGCCCGTGAACCCCAACACAGGATCCCTGGTCATTCAGCAGAGACCCAGGCATCCTCACCAGGTGCCAGCACTTTGTACGGGCATGGCACCCAGCAGTGGCGAGGATGGCACGGTCATATAACAATGACACACAGGGAGCCCCCACCTGGAGCCCTGGACCCAGACTCGGGATGGGGGCTGAGGGAAGGCATCTGGGGCCCAGGAGGCCACCAGGAGCGGGGAGCTGGGCATTTCTTCACCAGCCCCACATCCAACCAAATAAACTTTCCTGAGAGAGTCCATCTGCTATGGCACTTCCAGCCCCTGAGAGGGTCTGTCATGGTGCTGTGGATAAGAGCAGGTTTGGGGGCCTTGGGAGGGGGTGGCGGAGGGTGGAGGAGAGATGGGTGCTGTCCCACCCTCACCATGGCTGGCAGACAAGGCTTGCTGCCCTCTGAGCCACAGTGACACAGAGGAGAGCCCTCACCAGGACACAGCTCGAACTGTCCACATGCAATTTTGCACAGGAGGTGGAACTGGTGCAAATGGATTCCTGGAGTAGGAGAGAGGCTCAGAGCCCAGGCCTCCCTGTGGTGCAACATCTTGTGTGGAAGAAAGTGGGCCCCACGCCTGAGGCTGTGGGGCTCCACTGAGTCCATCAGGCACCGAGTGTTCAGGGAGAAAGAGCACTGAGACAGCAGGCCTTCCTGAGAGAGCCTGTGAGGTGGGGGTGTCGGCTTCAGCCCCGAGAGAGCAACAAGCGCATGTCCCTCGGTGGCGCCGGCTGCCTGTGTGCCCTGGTGCTCATGAGTGATGGTTGTGGAGCCTCCGGGACACAGGAGCCCTGCAGAGGGGAGGGGCATCCCTGCATCGGCTGCATGGGCCATGGAGGCCCAGCAAGGAAACCCCGGCACCGAGGCCCATCTAGAGATGACTGTTGGGGCTGTGTTTTCTTCGAGGCTTTGTTACCAAGGACATTTTGTGCCAAATCCCTGCCCCTCACCTGAGATCATCGTCCATCTCTGTGAAAAGACAGAGTAATTATTTCCATCCCTGCTGGCCAGGTTGGGTGTTCGTGGGCCAGGCTGTTGTTGGCATGGCAACAAGACAGGGCTGGGAGTGGTGAAGCCTCTGCCTGCACAGTCAGCTGGGTCATGCTGCTTGCTTCCCACCAGCCAGCCCCCAGCAGCACCTCAAGTCCCTCCAGGAGAGAACATCCCTGTCCTTCCTCCTCACTTTGTCATCACCTGGTGCTCCAGGGGTCTGTAGGATGCCAGGGCATGGATAAGACATCCCTCCTGTGAATTATTTCATTCAACCCTTGTAATAGCAATATGATGCAGGTATTAATTTTTATCCTGATTGCAAAGATATAAATCTAACGCTTCAACTTCTCACATGTAGGTTCAATTGATTTTCAACAAAGGCATCAAGACTATTTGATGAAGAAAGAATAGTCTTCAACAAACAGTGCCGGGACACCTGGATATCCATGTGCAATAGGATGGAGCTGAACCCCTACCTCACACCATACACAGAAAGGGACTCACAGTAGATCAAGGGTAAATGTAAGACGTAAGACTATAAAAGCCTTAGAAGAAAGCAAAGGTATTAATCTTTATCACCCTGGGTCAGGCAATGGTTTCTTATATATGACACCAAAAGCATCATAAGAAAAGAACAAATAAATAAATTGCATCAAGATGAAAACTTCTGTGCAAAAGATATCATCAAGAAAGTGAAAAGACACACAATGGGAGAAACTACTTGCAAATCACACATCTGATAAGGAACATGTATCTGGACTATATGAAGCACCTCTACAACTCAATAATAAAAAGACAGATAACCTGATTAATATATGGGCAAAAGAACTAAACAGGCATTTTTCCAAAGCAGATACACAATGGCCAGCAAGCACATGGAAAGGTACTCAGTGTCATCAGCCACCAGAGAAGTACAAGTCACAATCATGCGAGAGGCACCTCACACCTATAAGCACGGCTGTAAGAAGAAGGCAGACAGCAGTGAGTGCTGATGAGAACGTGGCGATGACGAGGCCCTCATGCACTGCTAGTGGGAACGTCATGGTGCAGCTTCTCAAGTTAAACACAGCAATTCCACTCCTCCGTGCACACCCAAGAACCAAAAGCCGATGCCCACATAGAAACTGATGCACCAGTGTTTTCAGCAGCGTTATTTGTAATGGCCAAAAAGTGAAAACGACCTAAATTCCCACCAAATTCATGCATAAACTGTGGTCCATCCACACCATGGAATATGATTCAGTCATACAAAGGAATGGGGTTCTGGTCCACACTGCAACATAGATGGAGAACGCCATTTGGAGTGAAAGAGGCCACAGGCAGAGGCCACGTCTTGTGTGATCCCGGTTCTGTGAAACATCCCGAACTGGCAAATCCACAGAAGCAGAAGCAGAGGACTGGTTGCCAGAGGCTGGGGGATGAGAGGATGGGAGTGGCTGCTCAGTGGGGACAGTTTCCTTTTGGGGCAACAAGAATGCTCTAAAATTGATTTGGTGCTGGCTGCACACCTCTATGTCTATAACCAGTCATCACTGACTTGTACACTTTAAAAAGCTGAATTGTATGGTAGGAAAATTATGCTTCAATAAAGCCGTCATTCAAAACAGTGGAGGTTCAGCAGGGTCAGCAGGGGGCTGCACACACACCAATGGCAGAAGCAGGACTTGAACTCAGCCCTGTGGGCCGGCACTTGCAGCTGCGCTCCATGGCCCACTCTGGACTTGCAGGCTCTGTGTCTGTGTCCCCAGCTCTGCATCTCCTCACCTGTGCCAGCCTAGCCCTGTACCCCATGGAATGCGGTCTGTGAACCAGCAGCATTGTGGTGCCCGGGTCTGCTGGTGATGCAGAATCTCCAGCCCCACCTGGACCTGCAGACGGGATCTGCATTTTGTCTGCCGTACAGGTGGCTCATGTCCACATTAAAGCACGGGTTGAACCCTGCCACCCACACCCCACTGCCCAGAAGCGCTTGCCAGCTGTTCCTGGATGTAGATGAGTCACATCAGAAGCCAGGTTAGTGAGGAAAAAAGCCCATGATCTGGAGCGAGAAGACCCAGGCTTAAATCCCGTCCGTGCCACTCCTGTGCACATCCCTGCCTGCGTTCACCGTCCCCTCGATGGCACGGGCAGCTGCCTGTGATGTGGCAGATGCTGCTCTAGGGACACAGACAGTGATAGACAAATGAACAGAATCCGCCCCATGCAGCTCACAAAATAGCGAGTCTAAGCAGCCCTTACAAACAGGAAAGTGAGCAGCCAGCCCTTCTCTCTGAGCCTCAGCTCCTCCTCAGCAAATGGTGATGGGGATATGCTGGCCTTGGAGGCCAGCGAGGCTTCAATCAGGAAACACAGTGGCCTGGAAATGGCAGAACTTTCTACGATGGTACCATGGTTCTTCCCAAAGTGTTTTTTGACAGAAGCAATGGGGCAGACCGGGTGCGGTGGCTCACACCTGTAATCCCAGCACTTTGGGAGGCCAAAGTGGGTGGATCTCTTGAGGTCAGGAGTTTGAGACCAGCCTGGCCAACATGGCGAAACCCCATCTCTACATCTCTACTAAAAATACAAAAATTAGCTGGGCGTGGTGGCGCATGCCTGTAATTCCAGCTACTTGGGAGGCTGAGGCGGGAGAATCACTTGAACCCGGGAGGCAGAAGTTGCAGTAAGCCGAGATCACGCCACTGCACTCCAGCCTGGGCGACAGAGCTAGAATCCATCTCAAAAAACAAAACAAAAACAAACCAACAAACAAAAAAGATGCTTAGAAAAGCATGAAGGCTTGGCAAGGTGCCATTACACACCATGATGGAGACTGACCAGAGGACCGGAGAAGCTGGAAACACTAATTCACACCTCCTGTGGATTGAGCTGTGTCCCCAAATTCATACCTTGAGGCTTAATTAGGCCCCAGTGTGGCTGTGTTTGAAGATGGGGCCTTTAAGGAGGGGGCTTAGGATAAATAAGGCTTTGAGAGTGGGGCCCTGATCCACTGGGGCCGGTGCCCCCTAGGGAGAGGAGGAGACACCAGGGATTTCTGTCTCCCCTTCTCTCTCTCACTCTCATTCTACCCCGATGTATGCACAGAGGGAAGGCCCTGTGAGGACATGGGGGAGGAGACGCCATCCGCAGGCCATGGAGAAAGGCCTCAGGGAATCCAACTCTGTAGGGCCCTTGACCTTGGACTTGCAGCCTCCAGAACTCTCAGCAGCAAGCGCCTGCCTCAGGCACCCGGGGCTGTGTGCCTTGCAGGCGGCCTGGGCTAACACAAGGCCTCCCGCAGTCCACAGTCAGCGACCCTGCTGAGGGCTGCTATGACCTTCTCGCCTGCACGTGCCATTTGTGTCCCCATAAGCAAAGGTCAACCTCACCCTGTGACGGGCAGGTGCATCCTTCTACCCACTCGGGAAAAATCCTCAGGGCAATGGGTAAATTCTACCTTATTTTCCCAGCCACTGTTTTGCTTCCAAAACACCAGGTAGCATCACCGATACCAAGGTGTTAGCATCGGAAGAGACAACGGAGACTCTTCTAGACCAGCCCATTGCTTTACATGTGAAGGGATACAGGGAATAACTAGGGTTAGGGTGCTCAGTGTGGAGCCCAGCACCACCGCAGGCCCCCCACGAAGGCGAGGGGACACCCCGGAACACCCTGATTGGAGGCTCCGCTGTGGTGCAGCCATTCAGCCCCCCACCTGGGTTCCCGGAGTGCAGAGAGAACGAGATTGGGCTGGAAATGGGATACCCTGTCCAGCCTGTGCTGGGCACTGTCCACACCCCCGGCCCCGCCAACCTGCCCGGGGCAGCAGGAGTTCAGAAAGAAATATCCTGTCGTGGGAGGGAACCCTCGCGCCACCCCCCATACAGTGCAGAACGTCACCACAGCAGCAGACGCCAGCCGGAGCCACGGTGCTGGGGGCATGCCCCGCCAGAGCCCTTCACGGCCAGTGAGGTGGAGGAGACGGCATTTGGAGCTGATCCCCTTGACAGAAACTTGCCCCGGCTCCAAAACCATTAATGAAAACGCAAATGGTTTAAGTCTGGGAAATCATTAGACAGCGGTTTGTGTCAGAAACACAAAGCAAATCACCCTGGCTGCGGCCTCCCTGGCAACTCTGCAGTCCTTCCGACCCTCGCCTTCCCAGAAAGGGACAGTTTCTCTGGAAATGAAGAGAGGGAAGTGATTTACCAACTGCTAAGTAATTCTTACATTAAAAAAAAATCCATCCAGAGGCCCAGGTAGGGGCAAATGGTTTTTTCCAATTAGCACAGAGGTAGCTACAAAGCACCACAGAGCCCGCCTGTGGACGCCAGGACTCCGTCAGGGCTGGCACAGGGGGGCTCAACAGAAGACCCAGCCAGGGACAGATTCCACAGAGAGGCATCCAGCGCGCCAAGCAGACATCAGCAGCACGGATCTGGGACCGCGGGGGCAGCCAAAATCCACAGCTGCCGAGGCCCCGGCCCCAGCCTCGGCCAGCACCATAGACGGAAAAGCAGCTGCGCTCCCCCAGCCCCAGAAGAAACCCTGCAGAGGAGTGTTGGAGAGCTATGGAAACCAGAGCGTGTCTGTAGGCTGCTCATGGCTGCCCGTGACTTTTCCAACGCCAAAGCCCATCTCAGAGGGTTACGCGTTAGGGCCAGAGCAAGGTGGGGCCCGGTGCAGAATCTTAGCCAAATGGTGATTTTTTCAACACATTTAAAATGAAATCTTCCTTTCGCTACAGTTCTCAGAATTGTTTTTGCATCCACAGCCTGAGACGCCTGCCCTCCTCCACCCATGGCCTCACCTCCAGGCCATCTTCTCCAAAGCCAGCTCTCTCTGTGGGGCTTTCCCCACACCCTGCCCCCAAGAGCTGAGAAGCAGGCGTTTCCATCTCTTCTGTGTAAGAAGGGAGTATCTACTGCTGGTGTGGGAACATCAGCTCCTCCGCAGAAACATCTTTTACACAAGTATTTATTTATCAGAAAAGGGTTTTCTGAGTTTCTGGGTTCCATGACTTTGTTGCTCAGAGCAATTCTGCACTTTTGCTGTGATGAATGCGGGGACGTCTTTACTAAGGTGCCTTAAAAATTGTTGGAGGCTTCCTGCCAAAGCCTGGGCTCAGGTTCTTGGGAGCTGTAGCTTGCAATTCAGAAGTGGCCGAACGAGGATCCTTCTCGACCAGCAGGTTGGGTTACGGGGAACATTTACAGCAGCAGCCAACTGAGGGTGCACACAAGTATTGTTTGGTTTTAAAAGAATGATTATGATACTAATGGTGCCTACCAATCCACACGGAAGACACTAGAAGCAGTGGTGTGAGGCACACAGTTATATTAACAGCAAAGGACTGCAGCAGACGCCACCCTGGCAGAGGTCTCACCCAGAGCCCTGCGCATCTGTGGACTTTTGGACAGTCGCTTACAGGTGAGCACCGCAAAGCGAAATTGGTTGGAAGCAGGGAGAGTCTGCGGCCATTTCTGTCCCGCCGTTCCATCGGGAAACACTCATTCTCTGACACGCAGCCGCCCAGCGCTCCCCGGCTTCCGTGTTTTAAGCTTTGGCTGAGTCACCGAACACATCAGGCTGGCTGACCACGTGGACGCTCCTGGCTGACCACGGCCCGCGCCCGTGTGATCTGGGGTCGTCCCGGCTGACAGTCGAGGCCTGGATGAAGCCCGTCTGCTGGGTTTGACAGTCGGCACCAGTCCCCAGGCGGCCCCTGAGGGTTCCTGTTTCAAAGGAATAAGACTTTGTTTGCAGAGGGGCTGCCTTTGGGTTGAGCCGGCAGAGGAGCTCACTGAGGTCCCAGAAAGCTGCCCCCTGTGGGGCTTCACCTGGACGGGTGCTGGCTCTGGAGTCGCGTGTCACTTCTGTGCCATTTTCATTAGTGAGTCGTAAATTATACATAAGCACTTTCTTCCTGGACTTCTTTGGACGATACTTTCAAACTCCATGGCTCGAAACCCCTTCCCCGGGCCTGAGGAATTCAAACCCCTGCCTCTACCCTCAGTTTCCCCACCGTGGCGAGAGATGAATGACGTGGCGCAGAATTCCACAGCCTGCCTACCGGAACCCCACGGCGCTTCTACGGCCGGGCCAGTTTCATGTTCTTCCTTAGAGGCTGCTTCCTCAAAATTAGCGCCCTCCCACCCCCCTCCCAAAGTCCGGAAACTCGAACCTGGAAAGCTCAAAGCTCCCGAATCGGCCCCACCCAGTCCTGGTGCTTCCTGTTCATGGCACTTTTCCCAGGCCGGCAGGATTTTCACCGTGGGTCCAAAGACCACCTGCAGCCAGTCGCCTGAAGGGCTGATTCACAATGCAGCTTCCTGGGCACTGTTCCAGGCACTGAGAGTCCACCCACAAAGGGGGAGCAGCTATTTGCCATCAGCAACCCCTCCGGATGACCCTAACACCCACCTGAACGTGGAGGCAGCTCAGAGGGCAAGTCTAGATTTTACCCAGATGCTATGGCTTGCCCTTCGAAATATTTATACAAAAACCAAAAAACAGCTGTAACTGAATCCAGAGAGGAAAATGGCTCTAAATTGATTTTTGCAGCACATTTTTTAGTTTATTTGTTTGGTTTTTTTGTTTGTGTTTTGAGATGGAGTCTCGCCCTGTCACCCAGGCTGGAGTGCAGTGGTGTGATCTCGGTTCACTGCAACCTCCGCCTCTCGGGTTCAAGCGATTCTTCTGCCTCAGCTTCCCAAGTAGCTGGGATTACAGACATTTACCACTACACCCAACTAATTTTTGTATTTTTTAAGTAGAGACGGGGTTTCACCATGTTGGCCAGGCTGGTCACGAACTTCTGACCTCAGGTGATCCACCCGCCTCGGCCTCTCAAAGTGCTGGGATTATAGGCATGAATCACTGCTCCTAACCAACAAATGTTTTTTGAACCCAGTGATGTGCTGGGGGGCTGTGCCCCTGCCTGACAGAGGTAGGCAACACCTGGAAAGTTCTATGGGGAGCACAGCAAAGCTGGAGGATGGCAATGCCTGTCCACCTGGAGAGGAGGGGCATGTGAACAGGGCTTTGAAGGATAAGTAGGAGTTCACTGGGGGCAAAGGAGTTTATAGACCAGTTCCTCAGCCTGTTTTCTGAGGAGAAACCTGAGACTGAAAGAGGGAAAGAGAGCCTGCCCAGCACGTGTCAGGGGTAAAGCTGCAGCCAGGAGCTGAGGCCCAATGCCCTGGCATCATCCGTGTCTCCGGGAGCTGCTGTCCTGGCATCATCCATGTCTCCAGGAGCTGCTGGGGGTGCGGGGGGTTCTTCAGTGGTGAGACCATGGTACAAATCAGTCCCCTTGCTACTTTTGGACTGAGTGCAAGACTCGCCCACTGCTTGCTAAACTCCACTCCCCAAGCCACAGCGCTGCAAAGGGTGTCAGGAGAAGCAGAAAGGGTTGTTCAGGGATGCGCCCATCTCTGCACTCAGGCTGCGGTTGCACAGAGACAGGGCAGGAGAGGCGGGGGCCGACAAATGGCCTCTGTCAGGACACAGACACCGGCCTGACAGATAAGGGGCGGCTGGACGGCTTTGGTCTTTTCTGTGAAAATGAATCCATGGAAATCTCTCCCGCCCAGCACTCACCAGGGGAATTATCTCTGGCCGAGTGAAGGCCGGAGAGCCCACGGAGGTCTCCCATGTGGCCTGTGCACATCTCTTTCCAGGAAGAGCACAAAGAAGCGGGCCTGGCTGCTGTCCTTCAAGGAGAAGTTCCACAATATCAGCTGATGTGGTACCAGGAGACCTTGTGTGACCTTGGAGGAAAGACTGTGAGCTCAGCTTCTGACTCTGAACAATGACAAATGAACCAGGCCCAGCCCCTCCTGACCCCAGGGAACACAGGTGGCTTTGATTTAATAAATGGAGCAGGCACAAAGACAGCCAGAAGGGCCTGACCTCACCCTTGAGGATGTGATATGGTGGCCCGCAGTGAGGGTCCCTGCCACCCAGCCACGGCCAGAGCACCTGCCACGTGCCAGGCACTGTCTGAGTCCTGAGGACCCTGCAGCGTGTCCCACACATGAACCCCCCGGCACAAGAGGTCATGGCCACACAAGGGGATGCTCAGCTCCATGCCGGACTCAGGCCAACGGCCCAGTGAGAACAGAGTTGGCCCCAGCACGACGCCTCCCAACAGCCCAGCCCCAGAATGATGACAGCCTCACCGCCACCAAGGCAGGGTGGTGGCAGACGCCTGAGACAGGGTTGCCAAGCCCAGAGGGAGGAGCCCATCCAAGGCCCGGATCCACTGACAGCTTCTGGAAGGGGGTTTGCCTCAAGGACACCAGTGACCTGGGAGC
Organism: Homo sapiens; assembly: GCF_000001405.40. Lineage (NCBI taxonomy): Eukaryota > Metazoa > Chordata > Mammalia > Primates > Hominidae > Homo > Homo sapiens. The sequence goes on along the minus strand of NC_000016.10, from coordinate 88,148,598 downwards.
TCAGGGACCCTGGAGAAAGGGTCCCATGAGCTCAAAGGAGCTGCAATTCACAGAGACATTGGTGCCGCAGCCAGGCTTCCACATTGCCCCTCTGGCCAGTTGTGCCCCACAGGAGACCTCCTCCCTTAGGATTCGTGATTAAAGAAAGACCTCACAGAGTGGGACGCTGGTGGGAGGCACCGCGCCAGGGCCAACTCCGCTCTCCTTGGGCCATTGGTGTGTGTCCGGCATGGAGCAGGGCATCCTCTTGTGTGGCTGGACCTCCTGTGCTGGGGCATTCATGTGCAGAACATGCTGCAGGCCCCATGGGGGTGGTGGAGCTGGGAACGAGGCCCCGAGGGAGTCTCTGAAGGAGCAAAACACCACACGCCTCTGCCCCTCAGAGGGGCAAGTTGGTGAGTGAACACACATTGATGCGTGGGAGGAACTGGGGGAAAGCCCCATTGCAGGCTACAGAGCAGGGTGCAAAGACAGGTGACCGCTGGCGTACACACAACGACGAAGGAAGCTGCAGTCGCCGCCCCACTGCAGGCTGCAGAGCGGGGTGCAAAGACAGGTGACCGCCGGCGTACACACAACGACGAAGGAAGCTGCAATCGCTGCCCCATTGCAGGCTTCAGAGTGGGGTGCAAAGACAGGTGACCGCTGGTGTACACACAACGACGAAGGAAGCCACAATCACTGCCGCCTGTGATTTCTCTTCAACACTCAGGGGTCCCTTCCATAGGCTGTGGTTTCTCTTCAACACTCAGATTGCCTCCACATGGGATATTCTCTGAGCTCAGCTGCCTGGTCAGCTGCACGTGGGCTGTGGAGGGCAGGAAGCCCCTGTGATGACCAGGAGGCCAGTTTGCATCCAACATGCTCACAGTCTAAGGGGTATGTTGGAATGCCCCAGGGTTGAGCAAGCAGCTGCCCAGGGACTCCCTAGCTGGCAGGGGGCACAGCGTCCCGTGAGCACACTGCACCCAGCAGGTGCTCTGCTCACTGGCCTGGAGGTCCCCACCTCCTCCAACTCACAGGCCCCTCCCTGAGAGTGAAAGCAGCCTGGCCTCTCCTCCCAGCACCGACCAGAATCTCTCCTGGCTCCCACCCACACCCCTGGGGGCTGGGATTCCATCGGCCTGAATTCGCAGCCCTGGACCCCAGTCGGTGCTCCCCACCCGAGAGCTTCCTGTGTCTCCCACTGCTGCCAGAACGATGGCCACAGTCTCTGTGGCTAAAACAACATGGACTGACTTTGGCGCTGAAGGTCAGAGGTCGACGTGGGACTCCAGTCTCCCTGGGCTACGGTGAGGGCACGGGCAGGCTGGCTGCTCCCGGAGGCTCCAGGGGAGAATCTTCCCCACCTTTCCAGCTTCCCAGGCCCCTACATCCCTTGGCTCGTGGCCCCTCCTCTGCCATCAGAGCCAGCTGCGTGGCAGCTCCAGTCTCTCCGTGGCCTCGTCCTTCTGCCTTCCTCTTCCAAGGACTTGAGATGACAGGGAATCCAGGGTCCTCTCCCTGGAAAGGGAACCTCAGTCACATCTGCAAAGTCCCTTTTGCCACGTGAGGGCACATGTTTGCAGGATCCAGGGATCAGGACATGGATGCCTCTGGGGCTGTTATTCAGCAGACCCCTCCTGACGTGGGGACAGTTTCTCTGAGCTTGAGACACCCCCAGGAGGCCACCCACGCTGTACCGTGCTGGAAGCCCCACTGCCCTCTCTTCCAGCGTGCTCTTCCGGCCCCTTCAGCCTTAGTCCACCCGTTGGTCACGTTCAGCCCCAGGGGTCCCTTCCATCCTGGAAGCCCCGTGAGTGCCCTGGAGTCCCTCCCGCAGGCCCTTCAGACAGCAGCCCCTTCTCTCAGGTGCAAATGGATCTCATGGGCTGGAAACCACCCTTGTGCTGTGTGGAGGGCCAGGGAGAGGTGTAAGGAATGCCCCCCCACAAATGCACAGCACACGGGAGCAGCCGTCCCCAGGGCAGAGACTGGAGACGGTGGGAGAGAAGAGCTGTCCCCATCCCTGGGGCTTCTGCTTTGGGCCCTGGCCACCAGATTCTTTCCCAGGAGCCCAGAAAACCCCACGGGGGCTGAGACTGGGGGGAGGGTGCCACTCTCCCCGGGCCTCACCTTAGCTCTGTGCTGCACCTGGGGGCGTGAGACCCGGGTCCACAGGGAAGAAGGTTCCAGCCACGGCTGCCACTGCAGGTGGCATGGCTCCTCCTGACCCCAGAGAACACAGGTGGCTTTGATTTAATAAATGGAGCAGGCACAAAGACAGCCAGAAGGGCCTGACCTCACCCTTGAGGATGTGCTACGGTGGCCCGCAGCGAGGGTCCCTGCCCCCCCGCCACGGCCAGAGCACCTGCCACGTGCCAGGCACTGTCTGAGTCCTGAGTCTAGTCACCTGGGCCCGGGTGGGTCGTGGTGCCGCTGGTGCATGGATGCCTGAGCAGCCTGGACTGTGCCCAAGGAGCTGGTGGTTCCGGCATTACAGGCAGCAAGGAGGGGTGCACAGCCAGGGCGAGCAGGCAGGCCCTGCACCGGGCACCGTGTGGAGGGAGGCGGTGTTGGATGAAGCTGCTGTTCCTGTTCTCAAGCCCAGAAAACACAAAGTGGCCCAGTCTCCCAACACGGGACTGCGAGGCCGGCTGGGAAAATTCCAGCTTCTCGGCCACTTCCCAGAGGCCGGACCGCTGGGCCCTGGTCTGAAGGCCCCATCAGGACACTCACCACTCATCACCCCACATCTGCCACCCACTGCCCTCATGGCCTCGGGCCACAGGAGGCTCCAGCGGCAGGGGGAGCCCGTCCATCTCCCAAGCATCCTTCTGCAGAGCAGTTGCCCGGCACTGGGGGCTGGGGCAGCACCCTAAGCCTGCAGCGACGGGGCAAGAGGCCCCCTGGGATCGGGAATAAGGAGGACGTGAAAGCCCAGCCAGGACACAACATCCAGCTCTGGTCTTCACTGGGCCCCTAGGGGAGCCAGAGAGGAGAATTCTTGCCAGAAGAAATTAGAAGCCATTTGGAAGACCAGACCTGGCAGCAGAACCACCACCCTGGGCCCATCGCAGGCACCTCTGCACCAACAGCGGCAAACCCAAGAGGGCAGCTCGGCCCGGTGAACAGCGGCCAAGCACGAGGCTCGCAGGGGCTGGATGGCAAAGCTAGTGCTGTGGGATTCCAATGCGTGAGTTTGAGAAAGGCATCTGGGATTTGCCACCAATAGCCCAGTGGGAGGGGAGGTGGGGGGAGCAGAGATAGCACGAGGGGCCGTGGTGTTGTGGCCCAGCCCCAGGTGGCATGCATTCATTATGTGTGTGTGTTTGAAATGCTCCAAAATAATTGCTTTTAAAATGCTAGTCGGTTGACTGCAAAGCTGTTTCCCTGAACATGACACATCACCCTTCCCTGGGACTTAAGGTCACTTAAGTTTAAAGATTTTTTTTTTTGTAATCGTTAAATAGGCAACAATGGGCCGGGTGCAGTGGCTCATGCCTGTTTGGGAAGCTGAGGTGGGCGGATCACTTGAGGTCAGGAGTTCGAGACCAGCCTGGCCAACATGGTGAAACCCTGTCTCTACTAAAAATATAAGAATTAGCTGGGCGTCATGGTGGGAGCCTGTAATCCCAGCTACTCAGGAGGCTGAGGCTTGAGAATTGCATGGGCCCGGAAGGCGGAGGTTGCAGTGAGCCGAGATCACACCATTGCACTCCAGCCTGGGCTACAGAGCGAGACCCCGCCTCAAAAAGAGAAAAAAAAAAAGGGGGGCAAAAACAGGGCATGTAACTTCCCAAGATAAGAGACTCTAGAATATGGACACGTCTAGCAAACAAGGAGAAAACAGCTACAAAACCCAACAAGTTGAACTTCTCACTTCACTGTCTGAGGCTGAAAAGCAAGGATAGAGCTTCGCCTTCTCCTTAGAGTTCAGGATTTCGCTGGGCCACACGGGTGATGACAGAGAGAACATACGTCTTAAAGAGGCTTTGGAATCAAAGGCCAAAAATTAGCCTAAAACATTTCAAATGCAGCACACACTGCGTCTGTGACCTCATCTGTCCTTGAAAATAGAAAAATGTGCCTCAAAGAGCAAGAAAAATCTTTAAATGTCACGTGTCACGGGCTGGGGTGGCTGGAGGGACGTGATGTCCTCCGTCCTCTCCACCAGGGCAGAGGCAGCTGGCGTTAATCACACCATCCCCTTATCTCTGCCCTACCTCCTGAAAGGACATGAGACAGCTACGTTGACGCCAGGCAGAGTCCTGTTTTATTCTGGTTATGGCATCTCCTGGCCAACACTGTGCATGGTTCCCGAAGTTAAACGTGACCCAATCAACAAACAGACGTAGTAGGGACTGGCAGCTCTGCCGGGACCAGAGAGACGCCCCCCGCCCTCCCCACCACGCCTTTGGCCTTGTTGTGGCCTCTGTCCCACCGGCTGCTCACTGCCACAGGCTGGACCAAGCCTCTGCCCTGCTCCGGGACGGCCCCGGGCGTACCTCTTCCATCCCCTCCTCTGGGGTGTGAGGCCACTCCCCACTCCTGTCTCCCCAGCAGGCGGGTTCTGCCTCTGACCCTGCGCCGTTTCCCCTGCGCCTGGCACGTGGCAGACCCTCGTAAACGCTGACGATGGGCGGGAGGAAGGGCAGATGGGAGGCCCAGAGCCAGGGGCTCTCGGTGTCCTTGCGAAGAGGAAGGCAGCGAACACAGGGAAATAGCGGCGGGTCCTTGGTCTGGTGCCGCTGGCCGCCAGCCAGGCAGACAAGTGAAGATGCAGGAGACACAGAGCCAGTGCATGGCCTGGGAGGACACAGGCAGGGGCCGATCAGAGGACACATCCAGCCGGGACCGCTCCCCGCAAGGCTGCGACTTGTTCACAACGTTCCCTTAATTAGAGCAAACGTGTGTGATGTTTCTGACAAGCTGTCATCATTTAACAGCAAGAGACAGACGTCAGACACAAAGGCAGCATTTTCACCCGTGTCTGACACATGTCAGCCCTGGGCCTGGGCCACCTCCTGGCTTTCTTCTCCTGCTGCAGGGAGACGCATGGCCATGGGCCACGCATGGGGGGAGCAGAGGCCCGAAGGTGGGGGTGATCCCCACTTCCAGTTCCAGGCTGGTGGTTGCGTCTTAGGGGGAAGGAGTGGGGGGGCATCTGTATCCCCCCAGCAACAAGGAACACAGCCTCGGTGCCCCACCCTGCTCGGCGCCCCAGCCCGCTCTGCACCCCACCCCGCTAGGCGCTCCACCCCGCTCTGAGTGGTGCCTCCTTAAGGCTGGAGACGGCCCTGAGTGCGTTAAGCACGCTAACCTATTCCATCTTCATGGTGTTGAACAGGTTGGAACTGCTGAAATCTCCATTGACACAGGGGGAAACTGAGGCACAAAACGATCAAGCACTTGCCCCTGATGCCATGACTGAAGAAGCTCCAGGTGGGCATTCCGTGGGCAGGGCCGCTGAGCCCCCCACCCCCCCAGGGCTTCTCCAGGTGAGGATTCGGTGAGTGCTCACCGGGTGTCGGTGAAGTGCCTGGGGCCCCATCTCAGCCTGTCTCCTCCCATCCTAATCACAGGCCGGTGAGGTGGGGATTGCCACCCCCAGTTTTCAGGCAGAGAAACTGAGACCTCTGCTTGTCTTTATTCCTGAGACTCTGATTCTGCCGCAGGGGCTCTCCCTGAGGGGCCCTGTGCTCTCAGGCCCCTGTGCGTGGAGGGTGACGATGCCATCCGTCCCACCCTTGTGGGCCATGCTGGCCCCAGGCTGCACATCCAGGTGGGGCTGGGGATTAAAGCCAGCACACAGGTGTGACCCACATCAGGGACCCTCGGGTGGGATCCACAGCGACGCAGCTGCTGCCGGCCGACTCCCCGCAGGGTGAGCTGATGAGCCTCCCCAAGCCTCAGTTTCCTCCTCTGTAAAACAGGGTGGTGACATGTGCTTTATAGACCAGGCAATAGAGTTCGAGCCCCAGGGCCACACCTGGCACATCACGTGTGCTCAGTAAACAGAAGCCATTCTTCAAGCTCCTGAGACTTGAGGCTCACGCTGAGGTCTGTGCTGTTGATAAGGACCTTCTCAGTCCTGAGGCTGGAGTTCAGTGCTTGAGGCTCACACTGGGCTGTTGATAAGGACCCGCTTAGGCATCACTCTGAGCTTTTCAAGGTCCCTCCCATCTATTTCCACTTTCGAGCCTCAGGATAACCCTCGCAGGATTCTGGCCCGCCAACATCATCTGCCCAGCCTGGATGGCAGGGCCAGGGCCAGGAGGTGAAGGTCAGGTGCCTTCGCCTGACCTAGCAAAGCAGGGCAGGGCTGTGGCTGAGAGCCCAGGGAACCTGCTCACCCTCCCAGGGCAGCCTTTCCCAGACCCCCCGCCCAGCCGGGTCTTGCAGGAAGGACAGCTGATTTATTCTCACCTTCTTTCTCTGCTTCCCTGTGCTGAACGTGGCCCTGCAGTTTCACCCTGGACGCACCCTTGGACATCGCTGTGTTGTTCCCCTGGAAGCCTGTTGAGATCCTGGCCGCTGTGGACTATTTCCTATCATCTGCATCAGGCATCTCGAGCTCAGCTCAGATCTGCACACATGAGCCTGTCTGCGTAGCCTCCTGCGGCTGCAGTCACAAATGGCCCACAGACTTATGGCTGAAACAACACGAATGCATTCTCCCACAGCTCTGGCGGTCAGAAGCCCAACCGGCTCTCACGGAGCTGAAATCAAGGTGTCGGCAGGGCTGGTCCCTTCTGGAGGCGCAGGGAAGAATCCCTTTCCTGCCTTTTCTGGCTTCCAGAGGCTTCTGTGTTCCTGGGCTCATGGTGCCTCTGACGTCACCACGACCTCTGCTGCCATTGCCACTGCCTGCTGCTGACCCTCCTGCCCCTGGCCTCCCGCCTCCCTCCTACAAGGATGCCCGTGATGACCTTGGGCCACCCAGATGACCAGGATGGTCCCCACCTGGAGGCCTCTCGCTCAGTCCCATCTGCACAGGCCCTACTGCCGTGGGAGAGGCACACAGCAGGCTCCGGGGACCAGGACGGGGGTGCCTCCCAGGACCTCTTTCCCAGGCTGAGCGTTTCATAGCAGGCTCCGGGGACCAGGACGGGGGTGCCTCCCAGGACCTCTTTCCCAGGCTGAGCGTTTCATAGCAGGCTCCGGGGACCAGGACGGGGGTACCTCCCAGGGCCTCTTTCCCAGGCTGAGCATTTCATAGCAGGCTCCGGGGACCAGGACGGGGGTACCTCCCAGGGCGTCTTTCCCGGGCTGCATGTTTCTTTCCTAGTCCGACTCTTGTCTTCTAACACTGGTTTTGGTGTCTTTTGTTACACAACTGCTTTAACTTCTTATGTAACTGAAGACGTCCATCTTGTCCTTTTTGGGATTAGAATTTGGGGTAGAAAGTCTTTTCCTCCACCAGAATTATACAACTATTCTATTTTTCTACTAATACTTTTATACTTTTTTTGCAATTTAGCGGATTTATCTGCACAGAATTTATTGTGTCCGTAAGGTGGGGTTCTAACTTTGTTTTTCCAGATGGTGGATTCATTGGCCCAACGATGCCTCTGAATGATTCTTTCCTCTCTTTCAAACGTGACCAATTTCCTACATTAAATTCTCTTGTAAAGGGCCATACGCTAGACTTGATTTTTTTGTTTTTTTGTTTGTTTGTTTTTTTGAGACAGAGTCTCCTTCTGTCACCCAGGCTGCAGTGCAATGGCATGATCTCAGCTCACTGCAACCTCCGCCTCCTGGGTTCAAGCGACTCTCCTGCCTCAGCCTCCCAGGTAGCAGGGATTATAGGCGCCCGCCACCACGCCCGGCTAACTTTTGTATTTTTTAGTAGAGGTGGGGTTTCGCCATGTTGGCCAGGCTGGTCTCGAACTCCTGACCTCAAATGATCCACCCACCTCGGCTTCCCAAAGTGCTGGGATTACAGGCCTGAGCCACTGCGCCTGGCCTCAATTTAAAATCCACTTACCTGTTTCTATACTGAAATTCCTCCTGGATTAACACAGTTTTAGAGTATATTTTGGTAACTAGAAGGGCAAGGCCCCCGGCTTTTCTGCAGGATCTTTGAACATCGCGTCTCTCACGTTCTGCCTGCTCATTTGTAAATCAGTGTTGTCACTGACTTTCCGTGCTACCCCCCGATTTCTACGTGGCTCCGTCCTCCTTTCCTCCGTGCTACCCCCCGATTTCTACACGGCTCCGTCCTCCTTTCCTCCGTGCTACCCCCCGATTTCTACGTGGCTCCGTCCTCCTTTCCTCCGTGCTACCCTCCGATTTCTAAATGGCTCTGTCTTCCTTTCCAAATATTTATTCCTCCGTATTGTATTTCCCCGGCCACTTTTCTTACCAGCTCTCTTACAGCTTCCATTTAATATAGCCAAAGTTTTTTTTTATGACTATATTTTTCATTTAAATCGGTTCTGCCACTTCAATGCCAAATCCATTTCTCTTGCTCTGGACTTTCATTATGACTCCCTCTTTTGTATTAAATAATTTTAGATAAACACATGTATTTCCTGCTGTTCAATTATTCCCTGTCTGCACAGTGCTGATTCTGTGTTCACTGCACTTGATCCTGACAGTTCGTTTCTTCCTGTGGCTGTTTATTGGAGCTCAAACTCGGTAGGAGTTATTTTGTGTATCTTTTGTTGTTGATGCTGTTGTTTGGAGACTGTCTCACGAATGCTGGGCTGAGGAAATGTCCTCATTTACCAGATCCTCTGGCCTGGGGTTCTGTGAATTTCCGTCTTAGGGATTCTGTGCTGTGCTAACCATGCAGTCACCAGACTCAGGTGTCGAGAAGGTCTGGAGATTCTATTTCTTATGGGAAACTTCTTTCCTCTACTCAAAGCCTGGACAGACAGCAATTTTCCTCATCATGTCCCCAGGCCAGGGGACAAAAAGGTTTCAGATCCACTTTTCACAGCAATTTTCTTCATCACGTCCCCAGGCCAGGGGACAAAAAGGTTTCAGATCCACTTTTCACAGCAATTTTCTTCATCACGTCCCCAGGCCAGGGGACAAAAAGGTTTTGGATCCACTTTTCACAGCAATTTTCCTCATCACGTCCCCAGGCCAAGGGGCAAAAAGGTTTCAGATCCACTTTTCACAGCAATTTTCTTCATCACATCCCCAGGCCAGGGGACAAAAAGGTTTTGGATCCACTTTTCACAGCAATTTTCCTCATCACGTCCCCAGGCCAAGGGGCAAAAAGGTTTCGGATCCACTTTTCACAGCAATTTTCCTCGTCACATCCCCAGGCCAGGGGGCAAAAAGGTTTCAGATCCACTTTTCACAGCAATTTTCCTCATCACATCCCCAGGCCAGGGGGCAAAAAGATTTCAGATCCACTTTTCACAGCATGCGCAGTTCCTTGGGGCTCTGAGCCTCCTGGCTGGGCTCATCCCAGCTTCCAGCATGTGGGATGCAGAGCAGTCTCTGCTCTGACGCTCATCACAATTCTCAGGATCTCCGAAACACCCTCTCATTTCACTCTTCATTTCTAGTCCTGAAAGCTTTCCCGGTCTTTCTTTCAAGCTTGTCTATGGACTTAAAATGTTGCAGGTTACATTTCACCCAGAATGTCTGTGTGTTTACATTGGGACAGGGTCCCCCCTGTCAGCACAGCCTAGCGTTTCACCAGAGGCCTCCCTCTAGCATTTTCCAGGCAGCCGAATGGTGAATAGCCGAATAGCTGTGCTTACGCTGCTTATTTCTTTTTCTTGTCTTATTCCTTTGGCGATGACCTCAGATACAACATAGAAAAGTAGCAGCAAGGCCAACACCCTTGTTTTGCTACTGACTTTAGTGGAAATGCTTTAAATGTGTTTCCATTAGGAATAATATCCTATGCAAGTTTATGAAGTTAAGAAGGCTGCTTTTTATGTCTAGTTTACTGAAATCAGGAAGAGGTGAATTTGGTCACATGGCATTTTGAATGGATTTAGAGGTTAATCTGGTGATGGCTTGTTATGTTCCTTTGCAGAACCAACCTTTCATGACTCTAAATGTCCCTTTTATTCAGACACTGCCACATAAAGTTTACTAATATTGTGTCTAGGGGCAGATTCCTTTTAAAAAGATGACTTTTCTACTATTCAATCAGGCTTATGTAGAATGAAGATGAAAATTAGGAGGTTTATGTGTTATGTTATTCCAAGAAGTAAGGAAGCTGGGGCTAGGACTCTGTGTAATCATCCCTTGACAACCCGCTGGGCGCTCCCAGGCAGGCACATCCCCTGCCAAGACTTTGGTGTGGCATTTGGGAAAGTGGGCTGAGGGCAGGGGAGGGGCCGATCCCAGCACTAGGACATGGTTTAAACGGGATTGTGATTACAAGACAAACAACAGTGAACTCTTGCCAGTGAGTAATGATTCACCAACTACTACAAAATTATGGCTGAGTTTGGAATAGTAAAGTCCCTGCTCTTGGATGCCAAAAGAGTCCATGGAACATTCTAGAATGTGATAGTTTCAACACACCTTGATAGTTTGTGTGTCTGATTCCACAGTTCTGCTGTCCATGTCACAGACACTGAGTGAGATGGGCACTCCCTTGGACCGGGAGTGGTGGAATGCTCCGTGATGGGGTGAAGGCCACACCAGCAACTCTCCAGGCTCTGTTGTTGCTTTAACCCGGCTCTATCGTCTTGGGCAAGACAGCACCCCTAGAGCTTTCCAATCCCATCTTCCTCTTCCCACCCTCTGTCTCCCTGGGCTAGCCATGGTCTCCCAGCCAAATCTGCAAACCCAGGGCTCTGCACCTCACATTGCTCCCTGAGCCTTGACCATGCCTCGTATCAAACATCTTTCTCCTCCTCAGTTGTAAAGAAGCTCTTCCTCTAAAGACTACAATAACCCCTTGGCTGTCTTTCCCTTCCCTCTTGCAATGAGTTACCATGGCTCATAGCATAGTTATACACACACAGTTACAGGCACACATGGTGGTATGCATACATAGCTGTGCACACACCGTGGTGGTATGCACGCATAGCTGTATTCATGCACAGTTGTATGCATGTATAGCTGTATACATGCATGGCGGTATGCACATATAGCTGACACATGTGGTTGCATGCATGTGTGGAGTATGCACACACGGTCATATGTGCACATAATTGTATACATGCATGATTGCATGCATGCATAGCTGCACACACACGGTTGCATGCACATATAGCTGTCACACACTTGGTTGTATGTACACAACCGCACACATGGTGGTATGCACATATGACTGTTTACAGTTACAGACGGCTGTATGCATGCATAGCTGTACACAGGCTTGGTGGTATGTACGCACAGCTGTATGCACACATGGTCATACACACACATGGTTTTACACATACATGGCTCTATGCATGTGTGGTGGTATACATGCATAGCTGTATGCATATGTAGTTGTATGCTCACATAGCTGTATGCACACATGGTTGTATGCACACGTGGTTATTGCATGCACGGTTGTATGTGCACATGGCTGTATGCACACATGACTTGCACATGCATGGTTGCACACACATGGTGCTTGTGTGGTGGTATGCTCACATAGCCATATGCACACATGGTTGTATGCACACATGGCTATACGCACACACAACTGTACATGCACATGGCTGTATGCATCCATAGTTACATACATGCATGTCTGCCCAAGGATGCTGAGATCTTTGAGTGTGGAGGACAGAACTTATCTTTGCATCCTCCCCTCCCAGTGGCCAGGCTCAGGACAAAGCCCTCCACAGTCATCACTCAGGTACAAACTGCACCGACCTGAGCTCTCACCCAGGCCCTGCCCTGTACTGGGCACGCTCGGTACATGAGAATCGTCTAATCTTCTCCACAAAGAAGGCAGAGCTGGCAGGATGGCAGCTGGGGACAGACTCGTAACAGGCATGAGGCAATCTCTGGATGAGATGAGCCATCAGACGTCCATCGTTCAGGCTCCAGGCCTCCTCTTTGAGTAATTAGCAAAATGTCAACGGGCCCCCACGGGCGGGGCCCACGCTACATCTGCTAGCTAGGTTTATTTGTGAAGGGCACACAATACAGCAAGTGCTGCTGACCAGGAGCACACAACTCATGCATCTAAATGGTCAACCAGGCCTGGGGTTACGAATAGCCAGAAATAGACCCTGCTGCCGCCATCTGGACCCAGCCTCCTGGCCAAGCCGGAGACGGCTGCAACACGCCATCCTCAAAGCTCAGGACAGCTGCATGCCTTGAACATGTCTCTGCTTTATCCCAGCAATCTGAGTTAACAAAATGAAAATCAGCGTTGTGAGAAGGACATCTGTGCCTGTAGGGCGGGCCAGATGGGATGAGGAGGAGGAGGGCAGGGGCCAGGCTGGAAGACAACACTGGAGGTGGCTCTATCCTCACAGCCTCCCCCACGCAGAGGAACCTGACTTAACAGCAGTGCCTTGAATTTCACAGCACCTCTGGCACTGCTGTCCAGCTGCACGTTCATAGGTCCAGGGACTAGGACGTGGACAACTGGGGGACCTTTGTCCAGCTGAACACATAGAATAAAACATGGCTGGCCGGGCGCGGTGGCTCACGCCTGTAATCCCAGCACTTTGGGAGGCGAAGGTGGGTGGATCACGAGGTCAGGAGATCAAGACCATCCTGGCTAACACAGTGAAACCCCGTCTCTACTAAAATACAAAAAATTAGCCGGGCGTGTTGGCCGGCGCCTGTAGTGCCAGCTACTCGGGAGGCTGAGGCAGGAGAATGGCGTGAACCCGGGAGACGGAGGTTGCAGTGAGCCGAGATCAAACCACTGCACTCCAGCTTGGGCGACAGAGCGAGACTCCATCCCAAAAAAAAAAAAAAAAAAAAAAAAAAAAAACATGGCCAGCTTCACAGTGAGATCCCTGAAGACAGATCTGTGCCTGTGGATCACCGGTCCCAGCACCAAGCCGCTGTTGCTGAGGAACCGAATGCCCAGGAAAGAGGGGCCCCGGGTGTGGGTGCTCCTCCGGGTGTGAGTGCTCCCCTGGCTGTGGGTGCTCCTCACCAACAGCTAACGTGCGGGGCCTTCCTGTGCCCCAGCCAAGGTGACACGAACACCCCAAGTTTTCACCCCTCAGGCACCCATGAGATGGCCCCTGCCCGGGAAGCAGCCACGGGCTGGCACTGTTGGCCCAGATCGACCCTGGCCAACCTCGTCCATCTGGAGTCAGCCCCATCTGGCGGTGTCACTGACAACAGAGTCAACCAGCCCCAAATTCTCCCCAACAGATGACTTCTCAGTGAGCCTGGAATTCCAAACATTGAGCAGTAGAACAAAGCAGACGACAAATGATGTGTGCCAGAGAGGATTCCTCGGGGGAGACTGGGCTCGGCCAAGAGGCCTTGTGAGATAAAGGAGGGGAGAAATGAGGACACTGAAGATTTACAGAGACGATTCCTTCATAGCCCTGCCCCACGGAATGCTCGGGTCCGCAGGCCAATAGGCTTCTGTTCCAGACGCCAGCAGGGAGTGCCCATTCTTCCCAGGTGGTCAGGAGCCCCTTCTGCCCGGGGCCTCGCCCTGGCTTCATCGGTGAGGCAGGCACATGGGGGTGGACTGACCCCTGTCCAGGAGCTGCCTGCAGGGAGGAGCGGCCTGGGGACTTTCTTTTGAAACAAGATGAAAACTCTGATGAAATGAATCAGTTAACAGAGAGAAAAATGGCAATGGGTATATGGCAAGGAGTAAATATCCTCCATATAGAAAGAGCTCTTATAAATCATTGAGGAAAAGACAAATCCGTTTAAAATTTTAAAATAATATACACTGGCAATCAGCCAAAGAAAAAATGCAAACAGCTGTCCATCCTAACTCACAATCCATGACACCAGCTTGCTCGAGGCCCAGGCCACCTGCCAGACGGCAGGGATTTACACGCGTGGCAACACCCTGCTGTCAGGGTGAGGAGGCGGGCACACCCACACGGGGTCGGCAGATGGAAATGGATGCCGCTTTTTAGGAGCTACTTGGACATCCGCCTGGCTTTTAAATGTGCTTATTCTTGATTCTGTAATTCCACCTCCAGGAACTTACTCTAAATAACTAATAGATACATATGCAAAGATGGATAAGTGGAGACATGCATTGCAACACGGCTCATTGCAGAAAGTAACCACACGGAATGATCTAGACCCATCCATAAGGGGTTTGTGAAATGGATGGTGGTGCAACCACGCAGACCTCTCCGTCCTCCTCACTGTGTCCCCAGCTCCCAGCACATGGTTCCAGCACACAGCACGTGGTTCGTAAACGTTTGCCCAAAGAGTGAGTACAACAGTGCACCGTGCAGCCATGAAAAGGAACAAAGCAGTGTGTCCCGACGCAGAAGGATGGCCCCAAAATACCACCGGGTAGAAAAAGTGGTCATAAAGCTAAATGCCAAGGGCAGCCCATTTAGATGACAATACATTCAGAAAGATGATACTCTAAACCTAAGTACTGGGATCACTATGATGATTCCATTCATTCATTCATTCATTCATTCATTGAGACAGAGACTCGCTCTGTTGCCCAGGCTGGAGTGCAGTGGCACAATCTCAGCTCGCAGCAGCCTCCACCTCCGGGGGGGTTCTATTGATTGTCCTGCCTCAGCCTCTCGAGTAGCTGGGATGACAGGCGCCCACCACCATGCTCAGCTAATTTTTTGTATTTTTAGTAGAGACAGGGTTTCACCATGTTGGCCAGGCTGGTCTCGAACTCCTGACCTCAGGTGATCCACCCGCCTCGGCCTCCCACAGTGCTGGGATTACAGGCGTGAGCCACTGTGTCCGGCTGATGTTTCCGTTTTTATGCATAATGTACAATCAGAAAGCCAGGTCGAGGTATTTCCAATATTCAAAACACAAGAATTTTATAACTTTAATATCCTATGAATGTTAAGTTAGTTAATTAATTTAATAATTATTTGATTTTATTTATATTTATTTCATTATTTTATTTATAATTTATTTTATTAATCTATTGATTTATTAAAATTATTGAATGATTTGATTTATTGCTTGAATGATTGAACTTATTGGTTAAATCTGTTGGTTTTATTTATTTTTAATAATACATTTAATACATACATTATTAAATTAAATCTTCCTGTGAGAATCCGCGTCAGGCCTGGACTCAGAGCCCCAGGCGGCGTCTGCCATTCCCACCATCTGTGTGAGCTGCGGTTTCCTCAGCCCTTCCCTGACAGGCCCCAGGGGCTGCTTGACAGGGAGGGTTGCAGAGCAAAGATGAATCCTCTGTGCAAAAGACGTTCTCGAGCTGCCAAGCGCTGGGAATGTGCGGGATCGCCAGCAGTAATGATTTGACCGTGGGAATCATCAGAAGTAACCCTTTATTCTTAGGCCGTCAGAAACAATACCAAGGACGAGGGCGGAAGGAGCCCTGGCAGGGCCCTGTTTCAGTGCCCGCCTTCCCGAGTGAGGTGCTGTGGCCGGTACGCTGCAGCACAGCTGGTGGGTGATGTTGATCGCAGGCAGTGCTCTCCCGCAAAGCTACGGTGCACAAGAAGGGCAGCCCCCCGGCCCCCAACCTGTGTGTGGTGACCCTCCCATGGGAGCTGCCCACGGGTCTCCTGGCATCTCTCCCAGCATGCCCACCGCACCTGTGCCTACCTGGAGTGGCACGCCTTGGCTCTGTGAGCCCTTCACCTGTGGTGGTCAGCTCGGGGGTCCACAGTGCTGCCCAAGGCAGCTGCTCTGTGCAGGGCCCTCAGCTGACCTGTTTATGTCCAAATTCGCTTCACCCTCCTGTAACTGATGCTGTGCGGAGGCCTCCACCTCTGACTTCACTAAAGAGGAAGCGTGGGCTGACATGGCAGAGGGCCACTGCCCCAGGACACTCAGCCAGGTGCACAGCCACCAAGCCCAGGAGAGCCGCACTTATGTCTCCATTTAGTTTGAAAACTTGAATCTGCTCTCGTAAGATGAAAGTTTGTCACCACCGAGAGCACAGGAAAGAATGTGATATGGATTCTTTGAACAATTCTGAAAATGTTTTCCTGACGGTAGCAGAGCTGGGGCCAGCGTGTGTCTCCAAGACCCCGGGTTGTGTGAGTTCAGATGAGTTTGTGACACTGGACGGCCACGTGTTGTTGGGAAAGGCTCAGTCTCTCGAGCCCCATGGAGCTGGAGAGATGGGGCCAGTCACAGATCCAGCCCCGCCGGCTACGCGGCGCTCTGGGTGGGCTGAGCACCCAGGAGGGAGCGATGGGGATGATGGAGCTGCAGCCTCTCTTCTGGGCAGCCAGTCACCGCGGGGAGCCGAAGGCCAGGGCATGGGGAGGACAGAGAGAGCGTCCGTCCCCGAGCACCGAGTGACTGGGATCACTTCCTGGGTGCAGGAAGGCGGGCGTCGGAGGCCGAAAGCAACCTCCCCGTCCTGGGTAGGGGTGGGGGCCTGGCGCTGTGGCATGACCCCAAGTGCAGCCTGAGGCACCTGAAGCCATCGGTATGGCCGGGGCCACAGACAGCGATGTCCACACATGGAGAGGAGAGTGGCCACGAAGCATCGGAACTCCAGGCCGTGATTCAAAGCCGATGGAGAGGCTGGGAGTGCCGTCCTGCCGCTGCCCAGCTTCCCACGGGCGGAGCATCGCTGCCCTGTCTTCAGCAGCCCCGGAGATGCGCGGGCCGGGCAGGAGCCATTAGAGGCTGGCAAGGCAGCATCCCACCCAGAGCGGGCAGGTGGGCGCGGGCAGGTGGGCGCCCCAAGCCACCCACCAGGAGGGGAATTCCCCACCAGGAGGTCACAGAGCTGACCCCAAAGCACAGCCGTGTCCCAGGGCAGCATCTAGGCAACAGCCAAACCCGTCCCTGACCCCATCCCTGGACAGAGTGTCCACCAAAGACATGCAGTGGACGCCGTGTGGCCAGGTCAGCCCCTGCCTTCTGCGAGCGGCCCCTCCCTGCACTGGCACGTGGGGTCCAGGAGCGCCCCAGCCTGCCTCGCCTCACAGGATGCCCAAGCCCAAGGGGCATTCGGTATTGTTTTCAGAAATGGGGAAACATAAGACCTTCTCTGCCTGACTATGAGAGACCCGGTGAAGGGGTGGTTTAGGAGAAGGCCTGGGCCCCCGGGAAGGCAGCGCCGAGAGGTTCTAACAACAGGCCACGGGAAGGGAAAGCCGAGAGGTTCTAACAAACAGGCCCCGGGAAGGGAAAGCCGAGAGGTTCTAACAAACAGGCCCCGGGAAGGGAAAGCCGAGAGGTTCTAACAAACAGGCCGGCCCCTCTGCATCCAGACAGGTGTCACAAGGGCTTAGGCGACACACCAGCCTTGGTATTGTTTTGACTTCTTTTGTTTCGTTTTTCATTTTTTTCAACAGTCCCTGGCTGAGAAAAGCAGTCACTTTTGAAATTTATTCAACGGGGTGTGATTCTGCGCCTTACTCGACACGGAATGGCCCAGACAGCCGGTTCTGCCGCACGTTTGTTTTGAAAATGCCAACTGGTTCCAAAGCAATTGATTTCCAGGAGACGATCTGAACATGATGCAAATTTGTGTTTACCTTTGTGCAATTTCACCCGCCAGAAATGCCAGGCGAACGCCGCGCTGCCCGCCGTGGAACCGAGCCACGCAGGAACAGGAGAAGCACACGCCCCTCGCACCCCCGTCCCCGGCTGCCCGGGCACCTCGTCCTCATCGGGACGCCACTTCCGCCTGTCTCTGCCGACACCCCGCGGCCACTTCACACCCCCACTCCGCGGGGCCTTCCCACGCGCCCGCCATCCCAGGCAGCGTCGTTTCCCAGCGCCGGTGCTGCGCTGAGACCAGCCGAGGTAACATCTGTATTGCTGTCTTCGTGTGTCTGAACCACTGAGTGCGTGGGAGGCTGCGCTGCCGTTTTTATTAGGTGCCTCTTTTTTTTTTTTTTTTTTTTTGACACAGAGTTTCACTCTTGTGGCCCAGGCTGGAGTGCAATGGCGCGATCTCGGCTCACTGCAACCTCTGCCTCCCAGGTCCAAGTGATTCTCCTACCTCAGCCTCCCGAGTAGCTGGGACTACAGGCACCTGCCACCACGCCCAGCTAATTTTTGTATCGTTAGTAGAGACGGGGTTTCACCATATTGGCCAGGCTGGTCTCGAACTCCTGACCTCAGGTGATCCGCCCGCCTCGGCCTCCACTCCCTTTGTAACCTGGTGCCGGTGAAGTCCTTGAGTGCTGCACCCTTGGCTTCCTTTCCCCACACGCCCTGTGGTTTTTAACTGTGCCATTCTGCCTGCGTGGTGGTTTCTAGGGACGCCGATATCACGTTTTGGCAGAACTGACTATACCGGCTGTCTGCGGCGTGCGGTTTGTCCAGAGCATACAGCGAGACCTCTCTGAAGACCCCCAGATGGCCTCGACCCCGGCTTTTGAGGGAGGGCTGGACAGCTTGGCCTCCCGTTTCCTGCGCACGCACCCCGATGCTGCAAGCTGCCATCTGGGAAGCTTGGCATTCGGGTTAGACACAAACAGCGCCCGATGGTAATGGTCCTTGAGCCCAACTCTGCCGACCCACGCATTCGGTTTAGTCCTCTTAAAGCAGATCTAGAAATGGTTTTTCACTGAAGAGAAAACTACAGAAACTTCTGCCACCACAGGACCAGGACTTGATCACAAGCAAGAAAAGCTGAGTCTGAAACTGGTAACTTTTCCAAACCAAAGACCAAAGCATGCCAGGATTCCCTCGGAGGGGCTTCGGTGGCTGGTGTGGCAATAGCCTTCTTTTTCTTTTTTTCTCTTTTAGACAGAGTCTCGCTCTGTGGCCCAGGCTGCTGAAGTGCAATGGCACGATCTTGGCTCATTACAGCCTTGATCTGGACTGAAGTGATCCTCCCACCGCAGCCCTCCTGAGTAGCTGAGACTGCAGGCGTGCGCCACCACATCTGGCTTTTTATATTTTTTTGTATTCTTAGTAGGGATGGGGTCTCCCATGTTGCCTAGGCTGGTCTCAAAATCTTGGGCTCAAGTAATCCTCCTGCCTCAGCCTCCCAAAGTGCTGGGATTATAGGCATGAACCACCACTCCCAGGCAGCTTCAATTTAACAAAAATATATTTATCACCTACTGAATTCCAAGTACTGTGTTGAAAGAGGGTAGGACCCCAGATTAAGAAACAGATATTTGCATAAATCAATGCAATGCAATATAGAACTTGTAGCAAAAAAAACGGTATGTGCAAAGTACGGAAGCAGAGGACAATGAGTTCTGTCTTCTCGGCTCCACAGATTCCAAGGAAGAACAGAGGCAGTGGCAAGACTCACCGAGGACCTCCTGCCCGCCAGACCCCGCCGAGAGGCTGCCGTGATGGCTCACCAGAGGCCGAGACGACCCTAAGGCTAACCCCACTTTAAGATGAGGAGCCTGAGGCTCGTGTTAGTTTGGTTCCTGGCATGACGCTGTGGCAGGGCTGGGGAGCTCACCTCTCTGACCCAGAGCTCACGGGGATGAGCTCCAGTTGGAATGAATGAGGCAGGTACTTTTTGATAGTTGGAGTTTAACGCTTTATCACTGCATTACCGATTGTTTCTCTTAACTCATTTTACGTATTCTTCTCCACTTAATGCTGTACCTGTAAGCACAGCGCCATCATTCAACGCAAACATGCGTATTTCACACATTCCCAGTGTGCTGCATTTTCCAGTCATCGAAGGTTCTCTCCATTCTTGGTCATTCCTGTGAGCCAGGAGCTTTCTCAGCAGCGGCAGATGCTGGCGAGGGGAGTTCCTGCCCTGCGCTCTGCTCTGCCCACCTGCCTGCCTGTCAGATCCTCCCGGCCCAGGTGAGCAGAGCCCCTGGGATGCTCTGTCTGGACTATCCCAGGAAGCTTAGCAGAGGCCTGGAGGGGCTGGGAGGGCCCCAGCTCTTGCCCAGGCAGCTTGGGGAACCCACAGCCTAGAGGGGTTTACGTGACCAAAGCGTCATGGGGAGCAGGCTCAGGGGCAAAGGGAGACCTGGGTCGGGGGAGAGAAGCCCCTGCCTCTGCGGGAGGGGGTCTCTTGTCTGAGCTGTGGGCTTTCACACCCACAAAGGGAGTGCCCACACCTTTGCTTAGGAGCTCAGGCCCTTCCAGGTGGAGCACCCTCTAAGCAAAGTGTAAAGTGTTCTGAACCACAATGGTGCCACTTCATGGAGGATCGATTGTATTTGAGGGTTGGAGGGTGAGAACAGCAAAAAATAATAATTCAACCAGTTGGTTATTATGAACATCATTTTCATATTTTAAAAAATATGCTATATCATGGAATTCAATGTAAAACCTCAAGAGACGCCATCCTTGGAGAGGGCTGCACCAGCCTGTGCCCCAAGTTACCCAGGATCACCCCCTACTTCTCCTGACAGCCCCCCGAGAAAGGCCTGCATTCTGGGCGACGTGGCCCTCAGGGGCTCAACCCTTGGCCTCGAGAGGGGCCACCCATCCTCAGCGGCTCAGGCATCTGTGCTGGTGCCGTCTCGCCATCTGGGTCACCCAACAGCTGCCATCCTCTGCCCTTCTCCCAGGGCCCAGGGAGTAATTCCCACAGAATTCACACAGACTAGAGGCCGGTGGGCTGAGACCTAAACGGGCACAGCCCCTCCTGTGCAGAACCCTTGGCCTACACTCACTGCTGTGGCCGCCGGCACAGGCAAGCCTCGTGCCTGTGTGTCCTGGAGCTTGGTTCTGGGGAGGCGTTTTGGGAATAAACTCTTTGATCTTCACTGTTGGGCTGGTCCTTCACAGTCTCCCTCACTTAACTGAGGTGAGGAGACAGCAAAACCCTCTGGAAATTTGGAGTAGGTGTTGCTTCAAGAAATGGAGTTTTCCTTCTAAACACAGTTCCTGTTGTCACCAAATCCAACCTTCTTCATCTCAAATACAGAATTCAGATGGAAAGGAGGCCACCCCACCCTCAGCCCAGTGCTCAACTCACACAGCGGCTCCCAAGGTAGAGGTGAGACAGGGCAGCCCCAGGCCCTCCCTGCCGCCTCCAGCACTGACGACGCTCATCACACCAGCCTTTCCACTCTCAACAAATGGTTTCGCCGTATCTGAATACCGCCCTCCTCCTCCCGCCCCAGAATGCTGTTCACTTATCTTTCTTTAAACAAATCTTCTCATAAGCTGCAATGCAAGTATTGAGAAATCAAACTTGATATTACTACTGTAAAGGAAAAATCAGAGTCAACTGACCAAATAGAAAGTCGCCATAAAAATGAAAGCAGTGAAATCAAGGCGATAATATTCTATTCTAGCGAGATCCTGGAAGCCAGGGATTCGTTGCTGAATTCTATTAGACATTTAAGGAAGAGAATGACGTCAAACTCATACAAACTTCTTCAGAAAGTGAAGGAGGAGGGACTGTTTTCCCATCTGTGTTATGAGGCCTGTGACGCGGACAACGCTGGAAAGAACCTGCAGGCAACAGCAGAGCAAGGCCCTCGTGAGCACGGCAACATTCCTCAACAAAAATGAGCAAATCCATCCCAGAAAACATGAAACTGGGCCGGGCGTGGTGGCTCACACCTGTAATCCCAGCACTGTGGGAGGCCGAGGCGGACGGATCACCTGAGGTCAGGAGTTCGAGACCAGCCTGGCCAACATGGTGAATGAAACCTCGTCTCTACTAAAAATACAAAAATAGCCGGGCGTGGTGGCGTGTGACTGTAATCCCAGCTACTCGGGAGGCTGAGGCAGAAGAATCACTTGAACCCGGGGGACAGAGGTTGCAGTAAGCCGAGATCGCCCCACTGCACTCCAGCCTGGCCAATATGGCAAAACCCCATCTCTACCAAAAACACAAGAATTAGCGGGGTATGGTGGTGCATGCCTATAATCCCAGCTACTCAGGAGGCTGAGGCAGGAGAATTGCTTGAACCCGGGGGACAGACGTTGCAGTGAGCCGAGATCGAGCCACTGCACTCCAGCCTGGGTTACAGAGCAAGACTTTGTCTCAAAAAAAACAAAAAACAAAAAACATATTATCGCCAAGTGAGATTCATCCCAAAAATGCAGAGTTGGCATTCACAAATCAATCAACACAATTCACTATATAAGCAGAATAAGGAGAAAAACAATAAGATCATTGTGGAAGATGCAGTAAAGGCTTTGGCAAAACTCAACATCCAGTTATGATTAAAATCTCCAAGCACAACTGGGATAGGAAATAACTTCCTCAACTGATAAAGAACATCTCTGTAAAGTCTAGAGCTAACATCATCCTTAATGGTGAAATACGAGACGTTTCCCCCAAGGCCAGGATGTCTCCACACATCACTTCTATCTCACATTGTACTAGGTTCCAGCCAGTACAGTAAAGACAGAAACAAACAATAAAAAGCATGCAGGAGAGGAAGAAATAAAACTGCATTATCTACAGACAATGCAAACATCTACTTCGATAATCCCAAAGAATTTTTTTTTTTTTTTTTTTTTTTTGGGATGGAGTCTCACTCTGTCACCCAGGCTGGAGTGCAACGGTGCAATCTCGGCTCACTGCAACCTCTGCCTCCCAGGTTCAAGCAATTCTCCTGTCTCAGCCTCTTCAGTAGCTGGGATTACAGGCACCCACCACCACTCCCAGCTAATTTTTTATATTTTAGTAAAGACGGGGTTTCACCATGTTGCCCAGGCTCGTCTCAAACTCCTGAGCTCAGGCAATCCACCCGCATTGGCCTCCCAAAGTGCTAGGATTATAGGCGTGAGCCACTGCGCCCAACCGGAACTTTTTAAAAAGTTACTAGAACTAGAACTAAGCAGGGTCTCAGGATAAAGGCCAGTATGCAAATATTAACAGTATTTCTGTCTATAAGCACAAGCAATTGGAAATTTAAATTTTTAAAAAATACCATTTGCAAAAAAATAAAATATCATTTGCAAGTGAATCATAAAATTCTTAGGGATAAATTTAACAAAATATGAGCTACTATACTCTGATTTCTCTTCAGATCATATAAATCCTTCTCCTTTTACAAAGTATGAGCTAGACCTGATAGTGAAAACTATAAAATGCTACTGAGAGAAATTAAAGGAGATCTAAATAAAAAGAGAGGCAAACTATGTTCATGGATTGGATTACTCGATAGAGTTAAGATGGCAACCCTTCCCAAATCGGCCAATAGATTTAACTCATTCCAGTTCAAGCCATGCAGGCTATTTTTGTAGAAACCGACATGCTGATTCTCAAAGTTATATGGCTTCATAGAATGACTTAGGGAGGATTCCCTCTTTCTCCGTCTTTTGGAATAGTTTCAATAGGATTGGTACCAATTCTTCTTTGAATTTCTGAAATGCAAAGGATCTATAATAGCTAAAATAATTTTGAAAAGAACAAATTTAGAAGACATACTATCTTAAGATATAGTATAAAACCACAAGACAGCATGCCAGTGTAAAGATAGATGTGTAGATCAATGAAAGAAGTCCAGAAATAGACCCACACATAAATGGTCAATTTTCAACAAAGTGCTAAAGCAATTCTGTGAGGAAAGAACATTCTTCTCAACAAATGGTGCTGGCACAACTGCAAATTCATATGGAAAAATATGAACCCCACCTCACAGCACACACAAAGTATCTTGAAATGGAGCATAGATCTAATTATAAAAGCTTAATCTAGAAAACTTCTGGAAGAAAACATAGGAAAAATTATTCATGACCCTGAGATAGACAAATTTTTTTGGATAGGACACAAAAAGTATTTTAAAAAGACTGATAAATTAAACATCGAAAACTTCTATTCTTGGCCGGGCGCAGTGGCTCACGCCTGTAATCCCAGCACTTTGGAACACTGAGACGGGTGGATCACCTGAGGTCGGGAGATCAAGACCAACCTGGCCAATATGGAGAAACCCCGTCTCTACTAAAAATACAAAATTAGCCAGGTGTGGTGGTGCATGCCTGTAATCCCACCTACTCGGGAGACTGAGGCAGGAGAATCGCTTGAACCCGGGAGGCAGAGGTTGCAGTGAGCCTAGATCGTGCCATTGCACTCCAGCCTGGGCAACAAGAGCAAAACTCCATCTCAAAAAAAAACCAAAAACAAACAAACAGAAAACACTTCTATTATTCCAAACACATGATTAAGAAATTAAAAAGGAAATCAGCCTGGGCATGGTGGCTC
Organism: Homo sapiens; assembly: GCF_000001405.40. NCBI lineage: Eukaryota > Metazoa > Chordata > Mammalia > Primates > Hominidae > Homo > Homo sapiens. The sequence continues at coordinate 88,124,504 of NC_000016.10, read as the reverse complement.
ATGCCTGTGATCCCAGCACTTTGGGAAGTTGAGGCTGGTGGATTGCTTGAGCCTGGTTCAAAACCAGCATGGGCAACATGGTGAGGCCCTGTCTCCACAAAAAATACAAAAATTAGCAGGGTGTGATGGCATGTGCCTGAAGTCCCAGCTACTCAGGAGGCTGAGGTGGGAGGAGCCCAGAAGGTGGAGGCTGCAGTGAGCCATGATTGCACCACTGCACTCCAGCCTGGGTGACAGAGTGAGACTTTGTCTCAAAAAATAAATAAAATAAAAATAAAAAACAAGTCACAGACTGGGAGAAAATTCTGGTCAAACAGATACCTGATAAAGGACTTGCATCCAGACCACAATCAAAAGCTTTTGAAACTCAACACAAACATCCCCATAAAAATGAGTGAAACTGGCTGGGTGCGTTGGCTCATGCCTGTGATCCCAGCACTTTGGGAGGCCGAGGCAGCTGGTTCACCTGAGTTCAGGAGTTCGAGACCAGCCTGACCAAGATGGAGAAACCCCGTCTCTACTAAAAATAGAAAATTAGCTGGGCGTGGTGGCACATGCCTGTAATCCCAGCTACTTGGGAGGCTGAGACAGGAGAATCGCTTGAACCTGGGAGACGGAGTTTGCAGTTAGCCGACACTGCTCCATTGCACTCCAGCCTGGGCAACAAGAGTGAAACTCCATCTCAAAATTTAAAAAAGAGTCAAATATCTGAATAGACACTTCATCACAGATTGCAAAGAGGTATAGGAAAAGATTCTCAAAATCATTAGTCACTAGAAAATGAAAAAACTAGAAAAATAAAAAATAAAATTATAATACGCAACCCATCCCTACATCTACTGGGGGGGACGACCCCTTTGGCAAGGGTTTGGCGCTGCTGATAAAGTCACACATATACTCACCACGTGGCCCCGCAATTATCCTCCTAGGCCCTCACCCAAGAGAAATGAAAACCCAGGCACACACCAAGACTTGCTGTTAATATCCACGGCAGTTTATTCCTAACAACAGCCCAAAATTAAAAACAGCCCAAATCTTCATCCACGGCAGTTTATTCCTAACAACAGCCCAAAATTGAAAACAGCCCAAATCTTCATCGACAGGTGCACATGCAAACAAACCGCAGTATATCCAAAAATGAAGCACTGCTCAACAATAAAAGGAATGACCTTCTGAGAGGCAACACTGCATGGATAAACCTCGATGCTCCGCTGGGTGAAAGAACAGACACACAGCCAGTGCATGCTGCCCGACTCCATGGACACGAAACCCTGGAAAACCGTCTCATCCAAGCAAGGGAAAGCAGACGGGTTGGGGCATACAAGGGGTGGAGCAGGGCCTTTCCAGGTGATGGGTAGTCTCGGGATGGTGCTGGCTATGTGAGTGCAAAAATGTGTCCATACTCGCCAGCATATGCCATTCAAACCACTAAAATCATTTAGCAAAAATAAATAAATAAAAGTGATAGCCAACAAAGAGGCAATCTGAGTATCAAAAATATAACAATTGCAGCTGGACCCAATGGCGGGCACCTGTAGTCCCAGCTATTCTGGAGGATCACTTGAACCCAGGAGGACAAGGCTGTAGTAAGCTATGATTGCACCACTGCACTCCAGCCTGGGGGACAGAGTGAGACGCCATCTCTAAAATATATATTTATACACACACACACATATATACACAGAGTTAAGCATATATATACATATATATACACATATATATACACACAGAGCTAAGAATATATACCTAAAGTATATTTATGTACACACACATAAAACTGTGGCAGACTAAAGCATACAAATATGTGTACAAATCCTCCAGCTCCTGACCAAACTGACTGTGTTTGCCTTTTGGAGGTTGCCGGCTCACACAGGGTAAATGCTTGACCTTCTTATTTTATTGACCAACTATCCAAGTGGCTGCCGTGGCCGTAGTGAGTGACAGAGTGCCATCTGAGTGGCTGCCGTGGCCATAGCAAGTGACAGAGTGTGATCTGAGTGGCCGCCGTGGCCATAGCGAGTGACGGGAATGTGATCAGAGTGGCTGCCGTGGCCGTAGCGAGTGACGGAGTGTGATCCGAGTGGCCGCCATGGCTGTAGTGAGTGACGGGATGTGATCTGAGTGACTGCTGTGGCCATAGTGGGTGATGGAGTGTGATCCGAGTGGCTGCCGTGGCCACACCAAGTGACAGAGTGTGATCCAAGGGGCCATCGTGGCCGTAGCAAGTGATGGGGTGTGATCAGAGTGGCTGCCGTGGCTGTAGCGAGTGACAGGTTGCGATCACAGTGGCTGCCGTGGCCCTATTGAGTGACGGGATGCAATCCGAGTGGTTGCCGTGGCCATACCGAGTGACGGGGTGTGATCTGAGTGGCCACTGTGGCCACAGTGAGTGACAGAGTGTGATCCGAGGGGCTGCCGAGGCCGCAGCAAGTGACAGGGTGCGATCAGAGTGGCCGCCGTGGCCGTAGTGAGTGACAGAGTGTGATCCGAGTGGCCGCCGTGGCCGTAGCGAGTGACGGAGTGTCTACACTGTTTATTTGGCTTCTGTGGAAGTTTGGCAAAAGGAAGAGGAATCACTTTGATGAGAGGACAGGGACGCACCATCTCTGTACGCGTTACCACGAGCCTCTGTTCTAGTGGCCAGTGAGTAAAAAAGAAGCGTATTTTGACAAATAAATTCCTAATCATAAACAGTAAACTTCAGCAAACCCAGGACCTAGTGGGCGAGTATTTGCACAGTTATATCAGAACTCTGCAGTGCGGCCTGCAACCTCCTGGCCAATTTAGGATTAGGAAGGCAGGGCTTAAAAGTCACTGAACAACAGACAAAATGATATATGATTCCTTAGGTCATTGGAATAAATTATAGATAAGCTTAAATATGTATGGAATTTTGCCTACTCAACTCTCACAGTGGCCCAGGGCCGGATTTCAGCCTGTGAGCCGGGGTTGTGACGTGACAGCCAGACTTCAAGGGCCCATCTGGCCAAGGCTGAGCTCTCTTCAAGGTCAATTTTGTTTCTTTGCGAACGTTTCATTCTGGAAGTTCACTGAGCCAGCCCCTCCGATGGCCAGAATCGATACTGAAATGTTCGGCTCATGACACAGCGCTGGCGACAGCGGCTTAGTTTCTCTCTTTAACTCTATGTTTTTATGTTTGGTTGGTTTTTGTTTCGAGTTTTAATAATAGGGTGAACTCCTCGGAGGGTTTGGACAAGGACCAAAGTCAGTGTAAGGAGAGCACCAAGTACAGCGCCCCCACCCCCCAACCTCCCCCCCTTCACCATGCATGGTACACAGTGGGTGCCAAGTGCAACACCCCCCCAACCCCCACCCCACAATGCATGGTACATAGCGGGTGCCTCATGCAGCGCCCCCCTCCCGACCCCCCATCCCACCGTGCATGGTACACAGCAGGTGCCTCATGCAGCACCCACCAGCACCCCACCCCACTGTGCACAGTACATAGCGGGTGCCTCGTGCCATCCCAGTGAAGGAGAGGGTGCAAAACACCCCACACCTATGGTGAGGCCTTTCTAGAACCTCACCCAACGCCTGCGGCCAAGAAACGCCGCATGGCTGAGGACCAAGAAACCACACGGCCTCCCACCCTCGGGTGAGGTCAGGCGGCTCCAGTGGACGCAGCCAGCCGGGGCTCACACCTGGATTCTAACTGCCCTCGACACGGGCGTCTCCTCCGGGATTCATACGAGACGCCGTCGACAAGCTCTGTCCTCCGAGTTCCATTTTCCAGCCAGTGTTCCCGGGGCTCAGGCCTTCCACCGTGCTGGGAGCTGCCACGTGTCCTGACGTGTCCCGGTGCAGTGAGGCCCGCCCGGGAGCCGCGGTGACCCAGGCGTTCTGGTGGGTCTGCATGCTCCGTGGACAGGGCGGCTCCGTCCCTGGTTGAGGGCTCTCGCCTCCCTGCTGCGGCCGTGGAGCTCACGCTGCGGGTCCAGCATCCGGCCGCCTGCAACTGCCCAGTCCAGGTGACCGTCACAGTAACACCACCCACGTCCTCCAGCTGCCTGTGTTCTCCGAGGTGGGGCGCGCCATCTCCGCTGTTTCCCAGCCCTCTGGCTAATGCGTCCCGCCGGCCCGATGACATCACTCCGGGAAATGAGCACCAAGCTCCGATGGAGGAATTAGTTTATCATCTGCCATTTCTGTAACACACACATGCAGCAGAAGGCAGGGGCCTGGGCCTCCTGCAAGGACCCCAGAGAAAGCAAGTGTCACGAGGCTCTGCTGAGGCAGGCAGTGGCTCCCCTGGGCCCAGGGCTGCCCCTGAAGATTGCTCTCCTCCTCGGCAACCACGGGGCAGTTCTGCGCTCCCTGGAAGCCGGGAAGCTGGAGAATGGCTCAGGGGCGATGCCTCCCCCTCCACGGGACACGTCCACCCACCCTGGCCTCAGCACACTCTACCCGGTGCAGCCTCCACCCTCCCAGGCGGACTTGGGGGCCCCTTGGTTGTGTGTGGTTCCCCATCCCATTCTCAGAAGACAGTGCTCCCCTCACAGCACGCACGGCGGCGGCAGAGAGACCCAACACCAGGACCCCACGGGCCAGGACTCCACAGACGGCTCTCGCTTTGCAAATGTGGTCTGACTGAACCATCCTGTCCCAAGCAGTGGGCAGGACAAAAACCAGATGTCCCCATCTCTTCCCTAACCCCACTCCCTACGACACGCTCCCAGTTAACCAAGACCAGGCTTCAGGGAGCTGGGCAAAACCTTATCAGTCTGCCGTTGACTTCCCAGCGGAGAACCAGGAGAGGCAGCCACCTGGGAACAGCCCAGTCCCACACATCCAGAGCTGGGCCGGCCAGCATCCACCCAAACGGCTGGACCCGGTAGGGAAAAGCTTCCGGCACCTGTGTCTCCACCCCATCCTCTGCGTAAAACACATCCAGGCTGCCGGCCCCGTGACCCAGGAGCAGGTGTTGTTCATCAGTGCATGTGGAGCGAGGCATTCTGACGAAAACTTTGGTATTTGGTTGCTTTGAGCAATTGGCTTGGAAGGAAAATTGGTGACCAAGAAGAATGCTGAGTTGCTCCCAGCCGTGCAAGGTTATTCTCATCAGGGTCACTTAATAATGACAAACACCCGGCACAGATGGGCCCCGCACGTGCACCACAGGCTGCGGACGGCCAGGCTTCTGCACTGAGGGATGTGGCTTTAAGGAAGAGTGCGGGGATGAAGCGAGGGAGGGAGATAAACCTGTAGGAGATCATGAAATAGTGAATTTCAGACCCGCTTCCCAGGGTGCCCAGAGCTAACCGTGAGACCGCCTCGGCTGATACAAAGAAGCTTGTAGAAGACATTTCTTCACTTACTATCTTTCTTTTCAAGCTCACAACTCCTCAAGGACTGGACAAACGTTATTTTCATTCCACAGATGGCAAAACAAGCCCAAGAGTTACGAGTTGTCAGGGAAAATTGCAAAAGACTTTGAAACGAGCAAAAACAAACAGTGACTCAGTTCCTGCCTAGCGCCCTGCCTCTCATTGTCTTGGGGCTATTTTACAACTTTGTAAATCCTAGAAAAGTGAGAGCAGTGGAAACACAAGTGAACTGCATCTCCGTGGAATGCAGCCGATGACCACCTGGGGATAAAGCAGCTCGGCATCTATTTGTAAACTCATCTCAGCATTCTCTATTGCTTATCCGTGTGGTTCTCTGAATTCTCTCCCAAATGCCGGAAACATCTTACTGGTGCCTGCATTAGTTAATGAGTTAAATAAAGTCTTTGACATGTATGTATTCTGTATTTGTGAGTCAGAATTGTATCTTCTTTTAAAAGCAGTCCTTTGACAACAGGGCCCCTCTGCTAAGGAAGCCGTAGAGTCGGGAATCTGAGCCTGGATCAGCGCACTCTGAAGGGAAGAAAACAGGAAGATGAGACTCCAGGAGCACCCGGGGTGTGCCTGACCCCTGCGCGCCATCACCCTCCTTCTGCAGAGGCGGAGGTGACAGGTGAGCTGACACAGAAAGCAGAGAGTCAGCCCAAATGGTAGACATTGCTCCCACGGTTCTCTGGGCCCACGGCGGGCAGGACCAGGTCGAGCAGCTGAGACTCTTGTGCCTCCTTTGCTGACACCGGCCCCATCCAAAGGGCTCCCGTCCTCAGGGTGGGGCTATGGAGAGCCCGTGAAAAAACTCAAAAGGCTCCACCAGAACACTGCGAAGAATTCTAAAAAGAACTTAGAAGAAATGTACAGTCTTTAAAAGCTGCGAGGCAAGATTTCAATGAAAAGATAGGAGCCGGGTGCAGTGGTTCACGCCTGTAATCCCAGCACTTTGGGAGGCTGAGACGGGCAGATCACCTGAGGTCAGGAGTTTGAGAGCAGCCTGGCCAACATGGCAAAACCCCGTCTCTACTAAAAATACAAAAATTAGCCAGGTGTGGTGGCGGGAGCCTGTAGTCCCAGCTACTGGGGAGGCTGAGTCAGGGGAATGGTGTGAATCCAGGAGGCGGAGGTTGCGGTGAGATGAGATCGTGCCACTGCACTCCAGCCTGGGCGACAGAGCGAGACTCCGTCTCAAAAAAACAAAGAAATAAAATCACAGTATGGCGCCTCCCCTCGTGCTCCTCCTCCTGCTCTGCTGACGGGCGCAGTGTGTGGAGCCTCCCTTTGCCATAGCTGCCTCTGACGACACGGCGGCCTCCCACCTTCACACAGCTTCCCTCACAGTCACTCCGACAGGTCCACCTCCCAGGTCACTTGCACACGACCGGGGCTCCAAGAAACTGGGTCCCAGCAACAGTGCGGCAGCATCAAGCCCTTCCCCAGGAAAAGCCCCTCTTCCACGGTCCCCGAAGACACGTGGCACCTCCACGGTTTGTGAAGACACGTGGCACTTTCCCACGGTCCATGAAGACACGTGGCACCTCCACGGTCCCCGAAGGCACGTGGCACCTCCACGGTCCGTGAAGGCACGTGACACTTCCACAGGTATAAACTGGCCTGAGTCTCAGAGGCCCAGCCCTCCCCAGGGTCTTCTAGGCAGTCAGTGGCTGAGTATTCAGAGACCTGAATTGTCTCTCCAAGTAAAAAAAGATCAAAGGGACAAAACAGGAATTTGCAGTGATTTTTTCTTCATTTTTTTCTTTTTGTAAAAAAACTTTTATTTTTGAAACAATTATAGATGCACAGGAAATTGCAGAGAAAGGCAGAGAGAGCCACACGCATCTGTCCTGGCTCTCACGCATCCCCAGCCCTCACATGCCCCCAGCTCTCACACGTCCCCGGCTCTCACACGTCCCCAGCTCTCACACGACCCCAGCTCTCACGTGTCCCCGGCCCTCACACATCCCCGGCCCTCACATGCCCCCAGTTCTCACACGTCCCCAGCTCTCACATATCCCTGGCCCTCACGCATCCCTGACTCTCACTCCCACCCAGCCACACCCTTCAGAGCATCAGGCGTGCCAACACAGCAGCACGCCAAGCCATCAGCCTGGCATGACCCACAGGGCCGGTTCAGATTCTCGTAGCTCTGCATGCCCTGGTGTGTGTGTGTGTGTGTGTGTGTGTGTGTGTGTGTGCACGCATGCACTTCAGGCAAGGACATTTTATCACACGTGTAGATTCGTGTAACTGCCACCACCACCAAAGCACTAACCATTCCCCTCATCACAGGCTGCCTCCAGCTGCCCCCCTGCGGCCCCTACTCCCCCGACCCACAGTCCCCAGCCCTGGCAAACCACCAACCTGTTCTCAGTCTCTGGTTTGATGACGCCAGTTCCATAAACAGCGTCATGGCATGTACAGGCTTTTTGAGGTCGGCTTTTCCCACTCGGCAGAATTCTCTGGAGATGGTCCAAGTTGCTGTGTGCAGCTGGTCTGTTTGTTTTCACGGCTGAGTAGCGTTCCGTGGTGTGGCCATTCGTGTGTCCACTGAAGGACGCTTGGGTTGTCTCCACGTTCTGCCTGTTACAAATGCAGCTGCACGGTTTTTGGCATGAAGATACGTCTTCATTTCTTTGGAATAAACGCCCCAAGAGTGTCATTGTGGGGTTGTACATTAGTCGGGTGTTTACTTTTGGGTGAAACTGTCAAGCTGGTGTTTACAGTGGCCATGCCATTTGCATTCCTGCCAGCAATGGAGGTCCAGGTCCTGTGTCTACACTGCGGCATTGCGGCATCGCTGGTTCTGGAGGTCCAGGCCCTGTGTCTACACCGCAACATCACCGGTTCTGTGCTGGCCGTCCTCATGGGGGTGTGGCAATCCCTGCCTGTGGTCTCAGTGCGTTTCCCGACAGCTGCTGGCAAGGAGCACCTGCCATGCCCTGATTGGCCGTCTGCATCCTCTTCATGGAAGAGCACCCCCCACATCTTGCCCATTCTCACATCGGCTTGTTTTTTCACGGTTGAGTTTTGAGAGTTCTCTATACAGTCTGGACCCCAGGGCTCTAGTCGGGCATGTGTGTTAGTGAATACTTTCCCCGCTCTGCAGTTTCTCTTTCCATCCTCATCAAAGAGCCTTTCCCAGAGCGCACACTTTTCACCTGAGATGGGGAGGCCACCCTGGATGACCAGGTATCCTTACACGAGGGAGATGGGCGGGGCAGGGTTTGCCCCCAAAGACGAAGAGACCACATGAGGATAAAGGCAGAGATGAGAGCAATGTGGCCACAAGCCCAGGAATACCTGGAGTGCCCAGGAGCTGGGAGAGGCTGGAAGGGCCCAGAGCCTCTGGAAGGAATACAGCTAGAAGGACCCAGAGCCTCCGGAGGGAGTATGGCTGGAAGGACCCAGAGCCCCCAGAAGGAGTACGGCTGGAAGGACCCAGAGCCCCCAGAGGGAGTACAGATGGAAGGGCCCAGAGCCTCCAGAGGGAGTACGGCTCGGCGGGCCTCTTGATTTCCCTTCTGGTCTCCAGAACTAGAGTTAGGAAGTCCAGGAACACACAGGGCCCTGGCACCTTTCTCTTTCCACACCACCGTCCTGGACGGTGCATATTTTTAGCGGAGCCCATGGCCATCCCAGATAAACCAGGGTCAACTCAGGAGGGAAAGCGGGAGGGGACCGGGTCATGTGCACTGTGCAAGGCTGACATGAGCTGGAGGGGTGCACGGCGGTGACCCCCGAGCTTCTCCAGAGGAGCAACCTTGGCTGATCAGCCGGGACATATGAGCGTCACACATGTACTTGTCTTCCTAAAGCTTTTTATAATGTGTTTTTCTGATTATGAAAATAATATATATCTATTGCAGATCAGAAATGGCAGCAATGCATAAAATAATCCAGCCCCTTGAAAATAAACACAGTGGCTGTTTTTGGTGTGCTTCCTGCCACGTTTCCCCTTTGTGCACTAAGGTTTAGTTTAAGTTTAATTAAATGGAATCACACCCTGAATGCGCAGAGCCCGGCACAGACCAGGCAGCATGGTTAAGACAGGCTGGGCAGGGGCAGAACCACCTGCGTTTCCCTGCGGAGCCACCGTTCACTGCCCTGCGACCTGGAGGGTTGGTGGTTGTTTTTTAAGTCACCTCTGGGTTCTGCTTCCCCGGCCCCAGAAGCATCGTCTCCATGAGAGGCCACAGCAAGAGAAAGGCGGCTGAAATTTTTTACAGACTGAGAAGACATTTTCGCCCTGGCCTGTTTCCAGTGCCCACTTCCTCCCAAAGCAATGGTGTCCAAGAATTCTCAGTGCGGCAGCCACAAGGAACCAGGTTTGCTGGGCTTGTAGGTGGAGAAGGGGAGGCACCTCTTCCCCAACAGCCCCTCTGAGCTCCCTGCCCCTCTGTGGGCCCAGCAAGCCGACTCACCGCACACACAGCTGCATCTGGGGGCCAGGCCCGCCTTCACCAGGCTGCAGAGAGGCTCAGACAGGGTCCCAGACGCCCAGGGCAACACTTGCAGAAGCTGGAGGCACGGAGGAGAATGCAGTACCAGAACCACGGCTCCGTCTACCCCAGCTCATGGCCTGGGAAGTCAGCTGGGCACCGCGCGTTCCCTGATCCAATCTCACCTCAGACTCCGCAGTGAGTGTGGTCCCTGTCATTCCCCAACCCGGAGACCCCCGCAGTCAGTGAGTGTGGTCCCTGTCATTCTCCCCGGAGACCCCCGCAGTGAGTGTGGTCCCTGTCATTCCCCACCCCAGAGACCCCCACAGTGAGTGAGTGTGGTCCCTGTCATTCTCCCCTGAGACCCCCGCAGTCAGTGAGTGTGGTCCCTGTCATTCCCCCCGAAGACCCCCGCAGTGAGTGAATGTGGTCCCTGTCATTCTCCCCGGAGACACCCGCAGTGAGTGAGTGTGGTCCCTGTCATTCTCCCCGGAGACCCCCGCAGTGAGTGAGTATGGTCCCTGTCATTCTCCCCCGAGACCCCCGCAGTCAGGGAGTGTGGCCCTTACCGTTCTCCCCATTCACAGGTGGGCAAACTTGGGCACAGAGAGGTGGAGGGACTTGCAAAGGCCATGAAGCTGGGGGTGGGGGACAGGACTGGCTGTGGGGTGGGGGAGACCCTTCCTTAGCCACCCATGGTGCTCGCCGGACATCATGGGACCACAGGACCTCCCATCGCACGGCCCACAGCCCTGCCCAGTGCGGCCCTGGCAGGAGCCAGGTGTCCAGTCCCACAGCACTCTCAGTGCGGCAAGAACTTTCCTCACACCTGGGAGCTTCTCCACGCACTAGACCACACGGTGAGCTTTCCAAAGCAAGAGGCTGCATGTGTATCTGATCTCCCTGCAGCCTGCACCGGGGGGTGTCAAACCAGCCGTGTCGGTGAAATTAAGAAGAAGGGACGCACGCCTCACAGCTGGGGCCCTGCACCGCCTGTCCCAGAGGGGCCACTTGTTACCCGTTTAAGACAGGCCAGACCTGACCTACGATAGGCCCTTCAGCTGCGAGAGCCTTTGTGCCTTCACCACAGTCTGCGGAGGTAACTGAGACCCAAAAAGCATGGCCTTCCCCAGGGCTGGAGGTAAACTGTTCCTCCCCGAGCCGGGCTTCAGCCACAGGTCCTCACGTCCTGCGTCCACAGGGCTGGATCCCTGCTCAGCAGGCTCTCCTGTCACCAGGTGTCAAAGCGCCAGAAGCCATGGCAACTCACCAGCTGGAAGAGCCGCCCATTACCCACGCACCTACAGTGAACTCAATTTCAACAAAGGTGGCAAGAACATACCCTGGGGAAAGGACAGTCTCTTCCATAAACGGTGCTGGGAAAACTGGCTACACATCTGCAGAAGAGTGAAACGAGACCCCTAGCTCTCGCCACATACAAACATCAAGCCAAAATGGATTAAAGTCTGGAATCCAAGACCTCCAATGATGAAACTACTACAAGAAAACACTGGGGACAATCTCCAGGACATTGACCTGGGCAAACATTTCTCAAGCAATGCCCCCACGCACAGGCAACCAAGGCAAACACAGGCAAATGGGGCCACCTCGAGCTAAAAAGCTTCTGCACAGCAGGCCAGGCGCGGTGGCTCACACCTGTAATCCCAGCACTTTGGGAGGCCAAGGCGGGTGGATCACGAGGTCAGGAGATCGAGACCATCCTGGCTAACACGGTGAAACCCCGTCTCTACTAAAAATGCAAAAAAATTAGCCAGGCGTGGTGGCGGGCACCTGTAGTCCCAGCTACTGGGGAGGCCGAGGCAGGAGAATAGCGCAAACCCGGGAGGCAGAGCTTGCAGTGAGCTGAGATCGTGCCACTGCACTCCAGCCTGGGCAACAGAGCAAGACTCCATCTCAAAAAAAAAAAAAAAAAAAAAAAGCTTCTGCACAGCAGAGAGAGCAATCCAGAGTGAAGAGACACCCCACAGAATGGGAGGAAATATTTTCAGACTACTCATCTGACAAGGGATTCATAACCAGAACATATAATGAGCTCAAACAACTCTATAGGAAAGAATCTAATCATCTGAGTAAAAATGGGCAAAAGATCTGAATAGACGTTTCTCAAAGGAGACACACAAATGGCCAACAGGCATCTGAAGAGGAGCTCAGCATCATTGATCGTCAGAGAAATGCAACTCAAAGCTACCATGAGACATCACCTCACCCCGGTTAAAATGGCCTTTATCCAAAAAACAGACAATCACAAATGCTCGCAAGGATGTGGGAAAAGGGAACCCTCGTACCCCGTTGGTGGGAATGTAAATTAATACAGCCGCTGTGGAGAACAGTTTGGCGGTTCCTCAAAAAGCTACAAATTGAGCTACCATAGGATCCAGCAATACCACTGCTTGGTATAGACCCAAAAGAAAGGAATCCATCTATCAAAGAGATGTCTGCAGTCCTGTGTTTACTGGAACTCCTGACCTCAAGGGATCCACCCACCTCAGCCTCCCGAAGTGCTGGGATTCAGGCGTTAGCCAACGCGCCTGGCCGGCACGCCTGTGTTTACTGCAGCACTGTTCACAGTATCAAGATTTGGAAGCAACCTAAGTGCCTATCAATAGACAAACAGATAAAGAAAATGTGACACGTACACAACGTAGTACTATTCAGCCACAAAAAAGAACGAGATCCTGTCATTGGAACAACGCGGATGGAACTGGAGGTCATTAAGTGAAATAATCAAGGGATGGAAAGAAAAACAACACGTTTTTGGCCGGGCGCGGTGGCTCACACCTGTAATCCCAGCACTTTGGGAGGCCAAGGCAGGCGGATCACAAGGTCAGTAGATCGAGACCAGCCTGGCCAACATGGTGAAACCCCATCTCTACTAAAAATACAGAAATTAGCTGGGTGTGATGGTGGGCACCTGTAGTCTCAGCTACACAGGAGGCTGAAGCAGGAGGATCGCTTGAACCCGGGAGTCGGAGGTTGCAGTGAGCTGAGATGGCACCACTGCACTCCAGCCTGGTGACAGAGCGAGACTCCATCTCAACAAACAAACAAACAAAACAAACAAAAACACGTCTTCACTTATTCGTGGGAGCTAAAAATCAAAACGATTGAACTCATGGATATAGAGAGTGGAAGGAGGGTTACCACAGGCTGGGAAGGGAAGTGGGGGGGATGTTAATGGGTACAAAAAGACAGAAGAAATGCATAAGACCTATTATTTGATAGTACAACAGGGTGAGCACAGTCAACAATAATTTGTTGTACATCTTAAAATAACTAAAATAAAATCACTGGCTTGTTTGTAACAGAAAGGATAAATGCTTGAGGGGATGGAGACCCCATTCTCTCTGATGTGATTGTTACACCTTGCATGCTTGTGTCAAAACATCTCATGTACCCCATGAATATATACATCTACGACGTACCCACAAAAAAAAGTCTTTAGAAAAACAGCCCATTGCAGACTGGCCACTGCGGGGAGTGGTTTTAGTTCAAAAGGCCTTCCTCACGCTGGCCTCTTCGGCAGTGGCGTCACAGCCCCATCGCTGCAGGAAATGGTTTGACATGGGGCGGTGCGGGAGGGGCCCTGACAGTGGGGTTTGGGAAGTCGCACCGGCCCAGGTGCCTGGGGGCTGAAGAAAAGCAAGGGGCCTTCGACACTGACTGCAAGCGCCACGAGTGCCCGTCTGGGCCGCAGCGTCTTCATCTGTGAAGGGGGCCTGAGCTTCCCTGCCACGGACACTGTGCCATTGCTGGCCCGGGTCTGCAGTTTCTCAGGTTTCCCAGTGCCTGTCCCGAGGCCCCACAGAGCCCGGCTGCAGACGCATTTCTCCAGCGAGGCTACACCCGGCTGAGCTGCACCTGCTGCCCTGGGCCCCTCGTGGAAATCCATTTGTTAGAGCCCACAAGCACCTGCCCAACCCGCACAGCACTCCCTGGGTTGGAGGCCATTTTTCTCCCCTCCCCACCTTCGATGGAAAAGGCATTTTTTGTCTAGAGAAGACACTTTAAGACGAGTGGTTCTGAATGACCACGTTATGATTCTCACCCGCAGGACAGCAGCCCACGCTGGGAGGACATCTCTCCGATACAGTTCACACTGAGGCAGAGACGGGCCTGAAGTCAGGAGGCTGCACCAGGGCTGGGGAAGCTGCTCACGCCATGTGGGTGTGGAGGAGCAGGAGGGGAGCCTTGGACATTACTCACAGACACTGTAAGCAAACTGAATTGGAACAACCAGGCACTCAGCGACACCTGGGAGAGCCAGCCCCTGCCAGAGAAGACGGACGGAGACCGTGGTAGGCTGGGCAGCAGCCAGTTCAGTCCGGCGTGAGCGGGAGCAGAATTCTCCAAGCGGACTGGCAGCGGACCACCTGCAACTTGTCAGCAATGTGGAGCCTCAGGGCCCGCCCCAGCCTCCTGAATCAGAAGCCCAGGAGGCGGCCCCCCGGGGGTCTGAACTCACCCTCCAGGGGGTTCTGACGGGTACTGGGGTGGGGCGGCCTCGGCCTGGGTGATTTGGGGAGGGGCAGCTGGACGTGTGTGTGACTCTGAAGAAGTGTTAATGATTTCATGTCTTTGTCTTCCTCATAGTATTTGCATTCTATATGTGAGGAGTGAGGGAAAAAGGAGTCACCAATGGTGAGGCCCAGGCATTCTGGTGCTAGTTTCTGGGAGGCTGTTTGCAGGAAGAGTTTTCTCGAATCTCCCACACAGATGGCCACCTAGCCTGACTCCTCCTGTGCCACCCACTCACATTTACTCAACTAACATTTGGTAAGAGTCCATCATGTGCCCAGGGGCCAAAGGTGAGCAAGCTGGCAAAGCCCCTGATCCCAGGGAGGAGACAGCGTGGACACAGACGCTCAGCACCTCCTGATCCCGGAGAAGAGACAGCGTGGACACAGACGCACAGCACCTCCTGATCCCGGAGAGGAGACAGCGTGGACACAGACGCTCAGCACCTCCTGATCCCGGAGAGGAGACAGCGTGGACACAGACGCTCAGCACCTCCTGATCCCGGAGAGGAGACAGCGTGGACACAGACGCTCAGCACCTCCTGATCCTGGAGAGGAGACAGCGTGGACACAGATGCTCAGCACCTCCTGATCCTGGAGAGGAGACAGCGTGGACACAGATGCTCAGCACCTCCTGATCCCAGGGAGGAGACAGCGTGGACACAGACGCTCAGCACCTCCTGATCCTGGAGAGGAGACAGCGTGGACACAGATGCCCAGCTTTGCCTGATCCACGTGACATCGGAGGCTGCCGGGGAGAAGCCTCATGCCTGGGTCCCAGGAAACAGATCTGAGTCTGGGAGGAGGTGCAGAGGCTCCTTGGAGCAACACCTGCAGGGGTGTGGAAAGTGGGCCTGGACAGGGGGAGCCACTGGGCTGCAATGTGGTTGCAGCAGAGGCCTCAGCTGTCTCACTGTTGAGGTCTCACTGTTGGGGCCTCACCCACAAAGAAGAGAGACCCTCTGTGGGTGTCCTGAATGGAAACATGAGGACCAGTCTTTCCATGCAGCTGCTCCCAGGAGAAGGCATTACGTGGGGTGACACGGCAGCCATTTCCAGAGGGACCCAGCTATGAGCCGTCGACAACCCTGGCAGCTGGCGCATTTGTTCTCTGCTTTTGCGTAACAAGTCACCTCTGAACTTGGTGGCTAAAAAGCACAACAGTCATTGATTATCTTGGTTTCTCTGGGTCATGAATGTGGCGTGACTTGGCTGGGCAGCTGTGGCACAGGCTCACTCATGAGGCTGCCGTCGAGATGTCTTTGCTGGAGTCATCTGAAGTCCCGACCGGGGCTGGTGGCCCGAGGCCTCAGCACTCCCCTGTTGAGCCTCCCCACAGAGCTGCTGGCACATGGCACTGGACTCCCCTGGAGCAGGAGGTCTTGGGGAGTGAGGGCAAGAAGCTATTGGTGCCCATGATGACCTAGCCTCAGCAAACACATGCGTGGCCCCCCATACAGTGGGCAAGGCCCTGAAAGAGGGTGAGGCCAGGAAAGGAGGCCAACACCCTACAGCGTCACCACCACCTGCTTTCAGGGAAGTCACACTGAAGTGGGGACCCTTGAGCCGAGAGTTCTCTGGGGAAACAGAGGTGGGGAGAAGATCCTAGGACATCAGCAACTCAACCCCCAAAGATCCTCACCCCCAGAAGTCCCCTTCACCAGGTTTGTGCAACTTGACAGCCTGATTCTTCAGGGTGGAAAGAGCAATTGAATTCTGGGCAGCAACCCCAGAGCCCTGTCTTCTGCCTGCACCCAGGAGACGTCGGGTGTGACCACTGAATCTCAGTCCAGAATCGAGATGGGCTGCACCAGCAGCCAGACCCAGACACGCTGTCCCACAGGGATGGCCAGGGCCACAGTGTGACGGTGCAGGGCTCACTGGAAGGCGTCCTCTGTGCACCTCCATCCCCACATCCCCACAGACATGGACCCCCCTCCCCGCATCCCCACAGACGTGCACCTCTGTCCTGGGATCCCCAGAGATGTGCACCTCCATCCCCACATCCCCACAGACGTGGACCCCCATCCCCACATCCCCACAGACGTGCACCTCCATCCCCACATCCCCACAGACGTGCAAATGTCCTTATTTCTTCAAAGAGAAGGGCACAAAAATCCTCAAGAAAGTCTTCTCTTCTCTACCCTGCATCCACCTCCAAATGACATACAGATCGCATGGAGGAGTTGACTCTGGGGTCAGCGAGACCTGTGTGCAGGGCATGGGAGGGCACCTCAGCCCTCAGCCATTACCAGGCGCCTGGGCTGCCATGACATCACAAACCAAGGGCCTTAAAATGTGGTGTGGAGGCCGGAGCCCAACATGGGCCCTGTGGGGACAAAGCCAAGGGCTACAGTGCTGTGCTCTCCTGAGGGTCCTTCCTGCTTCTGCAGCGTCTGCAAGCCAGGCGTGCCCTGACTTGTGGCTGCTTCCCTGTAATCTCTGCCTCCGCGTCTATGTCCCAGGGCCATTGCCTCTGTGTGGGCCGAATCTTCCTCTGCCTCTTCCTTAAAAGGACCCTGCCATTATGTTGGGCCCAGCTGGATCATCTGGGAAGACCTTGCCTCGTGACCCTCAGCCACAGGCAGTGCTGTGCACGGCAGTGGCATGGTCAGTTTCTGTGTCTCCACGCAGATCTCACCTCGAATTTAATCCCCATGATCCTCACGTGTGGAGGGAGAGCCCAGGGGGCGGTGACTGAATCACGGGGCAGTTCCTCCATGCTGTTCTCATGATAGTGAGTGAGTTCTTGTGAGAGCTGATGGTTTTATAAGAGGCTCTTCCCACCTTTGCTCTGCATTTCTCCTTCCTGCTGCCTTGTGAAGAAGGTTCTTGCTTCTTCTTCGCCTTCCGCCATGATTGTCAGTTTCCTGAGGCCTCCCCAGCCATGCTGAACTGTGAGTCAATTAAACCTCTTTCCTTTATAAATTACCCGGTCTTGGGCAGTTCTTTATAGCAGTGTGAAAATGGGCTAATCCAGGCATCAAGCACAGGTTTTGGGGATCAGGGCATTTGGGGAGCCTTTTCCAGCTGGCCAGAGTCAGCCTGTCTGAAGCCTGGGACAGTCACGGCACCTCCCGTGCGGGCCTGAGAGAGCCGAGGCACGCAGACCCCCGCCCGCCTGCCAGCACGCCCCAAAGGCAGAACTCGTGACCCTCGCTGCTGTTACTTGGATATTACAATGGCTCTTCACCCCATGAGGCTGAGCTGGCCATGGTGAGGGCCCAGTTTCTGGGATCTAGAGGGGTCTGTTTCTACCGAAAATCACCCTGGAGAGGCTGGCGTTGCTGCCACCCCTCCTGAAGGCAGACAGTGGGATTCCCGCCTGGGGGCGATGGCTTCAGCTCAATTCACCTCCTGGCCTGTGCGGCAATGGCAGGCGGTGGCTGAGCTGAGCTCCGTCCCATGGCATCCCAGGCTGGTGGCCAGCAGGCATCCACGCCCACCCCAGCCTGCACCTGAATGCCCATCGCTGGGACCAAGAGCAGCCATGGCCCACCCAACCTGCCTTGGCTCACGTGGTGCAAAATGAACAAGGGAGTGTCTGCCAAGACCACAGACAGTGGGGGCTGCTCCGGGTGCAGCATTGCAGAAAAGCCGCTGGTTGGCCTAGACACGTGGGCACAGGCAGCCTACTCCTTTCTCTGTTCACATTTGCCCTCTGAATCGGTTTTTAAAGTGAAAAAACATTTCAAAAGAAAATTAGGCAGGAGGTTGCAAAAATAAATAAGGTGACACCAAAAGAAAGCTCTAGAACACAAGAGTAGACAGGGTTCTCCTCTGCTAGACAGCCAATCTCATCTGTGGGAGATTATCGTACTGCCTCTCGGATGGAGAAAAATTCCTTCAGGAATCCCTGTGCTGAGCCCCATAGGTGAATCACGAGCAGGGAGAGGTGGGCGCAGGAGCGGCATGGAGGAAGAGGAGGGGCCGTCACAGTTCTGCAGTGCGCTGACTCCAGGGTGTGGGGGCGCGGGTGGAGGCTGGAGCACGGCCTGCTGGCGCCCGCCACACTGTCTCCCTCTGCAGGGACCCGGCTACCCAAGAAGGACACACACTGTGCTGGGCCAGATGTTGCAGGTGTGGCAGGGCAATGGGGTCTGGTTTTTAAATCCTCTGCTACTCAGAGGTGGCTGACCCAGGAGGCAGCTCCTCACAGACTCCCTGAAAGCAGCTTACTGGGCCCGTGCCAAGACCCAGTTGGCCTGCAGCTTGCAACCATGATGGAGCCTCCTGGGCCAGGCCAGCCAGGCCCTGCTGTCCACACACAAGGTGGTGTGAGTGCTTGCTTCCTGGGTGTGGCCACCCTGACTTCTGGAATCCAGGGACTTTTCCCACCCAACCAAATCTGCACCAGATGCCACCACGTAGCACACGTGCCGTTATCCCCCTACCCAGTCATGGCAGACATCATCAATCAACTACCGAGCTCCCACCAGGGCTTCTGAGTCTTTACAACTTAGCACTCAGGCTTTCAGCTCTTCATCCGTTCCCAATTATGCTTATTTGCTAATCCTGCCTGGGGTTGCTGGGTTCACTGTGTCCCCCTGGGCCCTTTGAAAATGCTGTATGTAGTCAAGCATGGTGGCTCACGCCATAATCCCAGCACTTTGGGAGGCCGAGGCAGGTGGATTGCCTGAGGTCAGGAGTTCAAGACCAGCCTGGCCAACACAGTGAAACTCCATCTCTACTAAAAATACGAAAATTAGCTGGGCGTGGTCACAGGTGCCTATAGTCCCAGCTACCTGGGAGACTGAGACAGGAGAATCCCTTGAACCTGGGAGGCAGAGGTTGCAGTGAGCCAAGATTGCACCATTACACTCCAGCCTGGGCAACAAGAGCGAAACTCTGTCTCAAAAAAAAAAAAAAAAAAGAAAGAAAGAAAAAAGAAAATGCTGTATGTGTTATAGAGGCCTTTATAGTGTTGAGGATCAAAACTCCTCTTTCCTTTTTTGTGACAGGGTCTCACTGTGTTGCCCCAGCTGGAGTGCAGTGGCACCATCCTAGCTCTCACTGCAGCCTTGACCTTCCCAGCTCAACTGTTCCTCCCGCCTCAGCTTCCTAACTGGTTGGGACTATACACACGCACCACCACCCCTGGCTAATTTTTTAAAATTGTTTCTTGTAGAGATAGGGTCTCACTGTATTGCCCAGGCTGGTCTCAAACTCCTGGACTCAAGTGATCCTCCTGCCTCAGCCTCTCAAAGTGCTGGGATTACAGACATGAGCCACTGCTGCACCTGGCCAAAATTCCCCTTAATACCCAAGAAGTGTCCTCTCCAGGAAAAAAATAACCAGAGGTCCACACACTGATAGTGAAACGCAGGCCTGAAGGAAGTCTAGCTGGAGGCCTCCAGGTGTAGGAGAAAGGGAGGGGTGGGGAGCACATTTTATCAGGCTGTGGGGACAGGCAGAAAACGGGATCACAGAAGGATAGGAGCGTCCACACTGGCTGGAGCCAATGAAGCTGAAGTTTCTAACCTTTCTTTAGGAATCTTTGTAGGCTCAGACAAGAACATCTGGGGTGGTGCAGGCTGCATGGACAGGCCCCCGGAATGTGACGCTGAGCGAGGGAGACACTCCCAAAGGGCCACGCGTTGCGTGACCCACGCATGGGACAGGACCAGAGCTGACGACTCCAGGACTGAAGCAGAGTGTGGCTGGCGGGGTCAGCGAGAGGCTGGGGACTTAACGTCCGGGGTAATGAAAGGGGCCGGCAAGAGGCTGGGGGGCTTCAGTCCAGGGTAATGCAAGGGGCCGGCGAGAGGCTGGGGGCTTCTGTCTGTGGTAATGAAAATTTCCAAGTTGATAGTGGTTGTGGGTGCACATCTCTCTGCAGTCTAAACGGAATTGCACTTTGATGGGTGAACTCTATGGTATGTGAAGCGTATCTCAATAAATCCCTTGTCTTTTTTTTTTTTTTTTTTTAAGATACCGTCTGGGAGGCAGATGACGTCCCCATCGGACAGTCCTGGTGCAGGCAAGGCCCGGAAGCTTCCCTGCCAGGTGGTCCTGGCCAGTGTCTTAACCTCTCTGATGTCCCAATTTTTCAGCCATGAAAAGAGTTGAACACTGTTTGCCTTGCGGGGCTGTGTGGGCTTTGGCAAGGAGTAAAAAGCACCCTACGAACCACCTGGGGCACAGCAGACGCAGGCAACCCCCGTTCCTCAAACAGCAGCCCTGGCGACTGTCACACGCACTGCAGCTAAGAGTGACGAATGCAGTGACCGTCCTCGTGCCACGGAGGATTATTCCACTGCCCCCTCGTGCCACGGAGGATTATTCCACTGCCCCCTCGTGCCATGGAGGATCATTCCACCCCCTCCGTGCCACGGAGGATTATTCCACCGCTCCCTTTTGCCATGGAGGATTATCCCACCAACCCCCCATGCCACGGAGGATTATTCCACCCACCCCCGTGCCACGGAGGATTATTCCACCGCTCCCTCGTGCCATGGAGGATTATTCCAGCGCTTCCTCGTGCCACGGAGGATTATTCTACCGCCCCCACCCAGCCTCGGCATCCCAGGGCTCCCGTGGGGTGAGAAGATGATCTGATTCATGCAGGAGAAATGAAACTAGGAACCCCTACTCTCCTGATCCCCCCCAAGGGATTAGGGAGGGGGAGATTCGGGGGGGACAAGGAGGGCAGGCCCCCAAACTCAGGCAGTGACAGCCCCACCCAGGAGCCCCAGCACCGGGTCTTCACGCCGGTCCCGAGGGCGGGTGGCTGGAAGCATTTCTGAGTTTCTGAGCTGGGTCTCTGGCAAGGGGCACTGGGCAGCCCCAGCAGGTGGAGAGCTCAGACCAGCTTGGTGTGAAGGATAGAGAGCAAAGCGTCCAGTGCCCAGCCTTTGAGATCTCATGGCCCGTGGACTGCTGTGGGGACAAACAGGACCAGAGCCGAAGGGCGGCCAGGAAGCTCTGCGTCCCTAAGAGCCACCACACTGGGCGAGAGGCCATGCCAGTGTTTTTAACCAAAAAGCCACCGACACCATCTGTCCTGTTCCTGCTCTACCCAGGGGAGGGGGGAGGGGCCAGAAGGGGCGTCCGCCAGAAACCGGCCACTGCAGTGGACACATGAGAACAGCTTTAGCGACTGATGACGGCCCCATTCTTGGTGTTAAAGAATCGCATTACCATCAGGCACCACGTAAAACACGAGAACAAAACTATCCACGTCTAAAGAGTTGGAGGAGAGCGATTCCTGTCCTTGAAGAGTCTTTGAACACCCTCATCTTGGGACACCCTTTCCAGAGGAACCAAAGCCATGAGCACATGCATTCTGCCACGTGTCACCACAGAGGCTGCACAGACACGAGGCCAAGGGGCCAGGTCCCGGCGGATGGAGGCGGGGAGGCGGCGATCAGGGGCCCTGCGGTGGACGCCTTGGTAGCAAGTGACCCACCACCCCCACCTACCCCAGGGAGGGTTTCTCCTCTTTCACAGCCCAATCCAAGTACGGCGTCTGCAAAGAAACACTCCTTGAAGTCTGGGAGGACGATGAGGGCTGTCGGTACCTTGTGATTTAGCCCCTGGACCGCTGTGAGGACGGATGGGACCAGAGCCGAAGGGTGGCCAGGAAGCTCTGCATCCCTAAGCCATCACACTGGGCAAGAAGCCCTGCCCATGTTCTTTTGTTTGTTTGTTTTTGTTTGTTTTGTTTTGTTTTTTGAGACGAAGTCTCACTCTTGTCCCCCAGGCTGGAGTGCAATGGTGCAATCTCGGCTCACTGCAACCTCCACCTCCCAGGTTCAGCCTCCTGAGTAGCTGGGATTACAGGTGCCTGCCACCACACCCAGCTAAATTTTGTATTTTTTTAGTAGAGATGGGGTTTCACCATGTTGGCCAGGCTGCTCTACGAACTTCTGACCTCAGGTGATCCACCCGCCTTGGCCTCCCAAAGTGCTGGGATTACAGGCGTGAGCCACCAAGCCTGGCCTGGCATGGCCCTGCCTGTTTTTATCCAAAAAGCCACCGACGCCCTCTGTCCCGTTCCTGCTCAGGACACTGGAAGGTGTGATAAATCACCAGCACATGGGAATTCTGCACCAATATCTTAGATCACGCCAGATTTCTGCACAAAGCGTAAGGACACTGGGCGGGGGGCGGGGGTGGGGGGGTGAATGTCACTTCTGAGGCCGGCCTGTCGCTAAGCTCAGCCACTTTTCTTCCCTGTTCCGTCGCTTAAGTCCCCTCCTGGAGTTTACAATCCTGACCTGCCACCCTCACCAGGATCCTGACGGAGCCAAGACGCACCCGCGGCCGACCTCCCAGCGTGACGGCTTTCTGGTTATGTCTACACGTCATGGAGGAACCTTCTAAAGGAGTTTCAGGAAGTTTATGTTTGGAAGCTGCGATTGTCACTTTCATTCATGGCCCAGCTTTATAATGGGAAACAGACACCTCACCGAAGTGCCAGGAAGGGGTCTGCTCTGAAACGTGTTCAAATGAAAGGATTGAGGAGAGCCTAGTTCTTATAAATATCGTAAAGGCACTTTGTTATTGACGGTGCCTGCCTCAGATTCGCTGTGGACTTGCAAGCCCCAAACTCGTCCTGCCCCTGGGTGGCCGGGGCACCCAGCCCTTCTGCCTCCACACTTTGTTTTTCTTTTCTCAAAAAAAAAAAAAAGCGTAATGAGATGCACGTTTAACAACATGTTTAGCTAATTGAGTCTGTCCACAGCATATCCCAACCCGGGCGCTGAGAGATAAGCCGGTCACCTGGAGCGTGCCACAAAAAGGAGAGAAGACAAAGCCAGCAGCTAATAGAAATCATTAATTGGGGAGGACGCCCCTAACCACATCAGATCAAAGATGCAGGCGGACTCTTCCCACCAAACGAATTCGCCTTTGAGCTCTTGGCATTGGGTTCAGCACTCCCTATCATCAACTGGAAAGCAAAATGCTTTGTTTTGCCTGAAAGATGTTCCCGGATGGCACGTTCCCCTGCGTGCACCCCCTCGGTTGCGAGCCTGAAGGCATCGCGATCGTCACCATCGTCAATCCGGATGGCCCAATCGCATCGAATCCAGCCTGCGTGAAAACACTTCACTTCTGACCTCCTTAACACCAGAGCCACCCCAGACGCCACACACTGCACTTACCCTGGAGCGAGCAGGCGTGTCTGCCGGCGCCCATCCCCTGTGGTGTGTGGCTGCAGAGGGACAGCTGCCCCGTGCCCCGGCTCCACGCCCCAGGTGTCCGCAGCAGCAGCAGCGCGTTGGGGCTGCGTCTCTGCGCACTGGCTGGCTCTGGGCTGGGAAGTTTCAAGTTCCAGGCGGTCTGCATTCCCTTCTCCCCCTTCACACACTTAACCCTACCTTGTCTGGTCAAGAGAGATCCAGACAAAATCAACCTTCTGCGTCAACAGCCGCGTCCGGCTGCCTCAGAGGCACAGAGTCTGTTCCTGGCTTCACCTGGCTTTCGCCATAAACTGGAACGAGCGGCCAAGACCCTGGATGCTGCTGCGGCTTTGCAAGGGTGAGCGGGTGTTTTCTAACCCACTGGGCTTTTTTCCTCCTAGGCAGCAGAGGGGTGCACCTGCTCCAAGGAATTCGGGATGTCAAGCCCTCCGGTCTCTGCGGGGGTCACCCTTAGTGGGGGTTCCCCTGGAGATTTTAACACTCAGACCCCACTCCAGGCTCAGCAAGGGGCACTGGTTGGGGGGGAATTCCAGCCCACTCCTCAATTCCCTGTGGGGACCCTTAGCCAGCCTTGGTGCTTTCAGAGCCCTGGTTTCCTCGTTCGTAGGAGATAAACAGCACCCAAAACTGAGCTGCTGCCACTGAGGCAGGCTACTGCCAGGTGGAGTGCAGGTGCATCAGTGATTCTGCCTGCCTTCCCCTGAGCCCCGAGTCGCCGTTCCATCCACTTAAGGCGTCCTGGGCTCTTATGAGCTTCCAGGGAAGCCGAGTCACAGGAATTTAATCATGGCCAAAATTTAGCCCACAAATAGCTACTGAGAGGCTTCATGCCAGATGGGGAGATGTGAGGGTGGGCGCAGGAGGAGGCGTGGGCCCAGGAGGAGCCATCGGCACATGCCCTGAGGGCGGCAACATGCCATGCCTTCTCGGTTAGGTCTGGACGGCAGATTCGCAGCACCTTTTCCCACTTTCTACTTTCCTGTATTTTTGCAGTTTGCTACAATGAGCATACATTGCCTTTATAATCAGAAAACAGACATTTAAAAACTGTTTCAGAAGCCCGTCCTGACCGCCCCCTCATTTTCCCCAGACCCCCCTTCCATTGCTTCCACACACACTGCTGTTTTCACGCTCGCCTTCTGACGGGCACCTCCCACAGCCCGAGCACTCCAGCAGCCCCCTTTGCTACCCTGAAGCAGGTGCAGCCACTGAGGCAATGGGAGGGAGATGTGCCCGTCCTTACGGGGCCTCTGGACTGCGTTCCCCGCGCCTACACAAAAACTGGCTCTCGCTTCCAGGAAGCTTCTAGAAAGGGCCCCAGCGCTGTGGTCGGAACACAGAGACCCAGGCTGCCAGTTGGTGCACCCTCGGCCACCCCTAAGTGAGGGGTCTGACCTCGAGAACATGTGGGTGGGGCAGGGTCCACCCGGGCGACGCCCTCCCCCCTCGAAGCCCCAGGCTGCCGGGACACCATCCCATTCTTTTGGGGGCTTTGTACAGGTCGTCAACCCCAGAAGGGCAGGAACGGCACCCGGCTGGGAGTCTGCAAGTGTGTGTGGAGTGTGACATTCATCTCACATGCACAGAGCACACAGGGAGTAAACAATTCTCATCCTCTGGTACTTCTCTTCCTGTTTTTTAAATTGAGGTGAAACTCACTGCACATCAAATTAATGTTTTAAAGTATGACACTGTAGGTGGCATGAGGCGCATGCTGTACTATGCCCTCTGTTTACTTCCAAAGCGTTTTCATCATCCCCAAAGGCCACCCAATGACTGCCCATCCCCTCCAGCCCCGGACAACCACCCAGGGCCCCCGTCTCCGCAGACCCACCTGCTCTGCCATGTCACAGGGATGCAGCTGGCCATGTGTGGTCCTCCCATCTGGCTCCTTCTGCTTCCATGACGTTCTCCAGGCTGGCCCACACCGCAGCATGGGTGAGGCCCTCATTCCTCTATGGCTGAGTCGTACTCCTCGGTGGGGAGAGACCACATGTTGGGTAAGCAGGCATCAGTCCACCCAAGGACATCTGGGTTGAGTCCACCTTTTGGCCACTGGGGGAACTCTAGAGATAGAAGTGCCATTTTCACCCCGACCCGCGGTGCGCCCCCTGAAGTTTGAGCTGGAACCACCCACCTCTCAACGTGTCCAGACGGCCCTATTCCTCCAGCATTTCCGAGAACGCGCCTGGCGCACATCGTCACCTGGTCTCGACCCCATGGAGGGACCCTGGGGTTGCTTCTAATCATTGTTCAACGTCTACCCTCTCTGTGCATGGCTCAGGAAGAAGGTGGGGTGGGGAAGAGAGATCTCTGGGTGATCACGTTGTCTCGGGGCTCAGGACGCTGCTCCCAGTGTTGGTCGACATTGGTAGATTCCAATTTCTAGAGCCTCTGGCGGCTCAGATGAAATATCGAAAGTTGGCACAAAAGCAGCTGTCCTCGGGCAGGGCCCCATCACCCTCAGGAAAGCCAGGGCATCTAGCGGGGAGCTGGGCAGCTCCATCGCCCTCAGGAAAGCTGGGGGTTCTTTGGGCAGCAGGGAGCTGGGCAGCTCCATCACCCTCAGGAAAGCCGGAGGGTCTAGGCAGTGGAGAGCTGGGCGGGTCCATCACCCTCAGGGAAGCCAGGATGTCTTTGGGCAGCAGGGAGAGTCCCCTGTCATCCTTTGGACATCCTGTGGACATCTGTCATTTGTGCAGAAGTATCTACATAAGATAGAAGCAACGTTTCCTGGAAGTTTCTTACAAACTTACACCAAGGACAGAGGGTCCTAGAGGAATTGAGGGGCTTGCTGTCCACTTTAAGTGGAGGGAATTCTTTTTCATTCCTTTATTGTCACTAAAGGTTGGATTTCAGAGCAAGCACTCAAGCGCATGGAGAAAGATGAGGGAGGGAAGATGGGAGGAGAGTGAGGAAATGTGGGCATCCGGTTCCCTGGCTGTGCTCTCAGGGGACCCCGGAGGACCACCTGCTTAACAGGCAGATGCCTCTGTGTGTCACCATCAAAGTGAGGACATGGCTGAGCCCAGTTAACACTCAGGGCGCCCATGCACAGCTGGGCCTGTGCAGTCTCTTGGTGACAGCAGTGACCACATGGCGTCCTCCTGTAGGGACCACGTGGCTGGCTTTTATTCTTTCTATCCTTGGGCAGAAAGAGGAGGCAGAAGTGATGAGTCCTGCCCTTCTACCTTCGAGTAGGTCAGAAATGTTTTCATAAGATAAAAGTTACAACTGAAAGAAACAGCAGGTCTGGGCATAAAAATCCTGCGTTTTCAGCCTCGAGTGTGTGTGGGAGAGTGGGAGCTCAGGGTGTCTCTCCTGGGGGCCATGAAGCAGGAACAAAGGGCTGTGGGGCTGATGCCGGACCCACTTTACATCCGTGTGCTGGGGCTGCTGCAGCAAAGTGCCACAAACCGGGGGGTCCATGTGACAGAAATTCACCCTCTCCCTCGCTGGAGGCTGAGTCTGAGAGCCAGTTGTTCCAGGGCTGTGCACCCTCTGAGGGCCCTGGGGAGGCCTCTTCCCACCTTCTCCAGCTCCCAGCAGCTCCCGGGGTGGGGTGGGGTGGGCAGCTGCATGTTCAGAGCTCCCAGGTGTCTCCAGGGCTCAGCCAAGGCTGACACCCTGGTTTGGCTCTAGGACTCTGATTAGGCATTTTGGACAAAGCATTTCCTCCACGGGGCAGACACGGAGCACACCCCTGGGTAACGGCATGTCCAACTTTTTAGAAGAGTCACCAGTCAAACACTGGCCACCCAAGTGAGAATCAGTGAGATTGCAAAGTGGTTGTCATTAGTGAGGTTGTCAGATGGCCTGGCATGTTTAAGTAACCAAAAGCAAGTCCTTCTCATACCTTGCATGTTGGAGGGGACACGCCAGTGCTGGTTAGAATTAAAACCCAAAGCAGGTCATTGATTCTGATAGGAGTGCCCTGACTCCAGGATCATTAAGAAGGGTTTCAGGGAGGAAAAACAGATGATATTGTCTGTCCCTGGTCCAAATCCATGGTGCATCCCCACTTCCATAGGAATTCTGTGCAGGTCTTTTATATGCTGCTATATTTTATATCTGTTGCTGTGTTGCTACACACCCAAAACTTAATGGCTTAAAGAGCATAAATCACTTTTTATCCCTCACAGACTGTTAGCCAGGAAAGTGGGAAGTGCTCAGCAGGGCGGTTTTCCTTAGGGTCTCTCATGTGGTCTTATGTCAGCTTGGGGTGCATCACCTGAAGGCTAGACTGGGGCTGGTGGCTCCCTCACGAGGTGGGTGGGCTGGTGCTGGCTATTGGCTGAGGGCCCCAGTTACTCTCCAGGGCCTGCCTGATGTCCTCACAGCATGGTGGCCAGCTTCTTCTAGAGTGAGTGAGCCAACAGGCCAAGTGGAGGCTGCAATGCCGTTATAATCCAGCCTCAAGGGGAAGTCACATGTTGCCCACCACCGTACTCTATGCTGACCACACAGACCAGCCCTGCTGTGTGGGAGGGGAGCACACACAGACAAATACAGGAGTTGGGGGGGTCACTGGAGCCATCTGGGAGGCTTGCCACCATCACCTGTCCTGTTCCCTAAATGACCTGCATCCCTGGGTTTCCTATTCTCAGCATTGTGTGCCACCTTGAGGGGCCGGGAATGAGAAAAAGTGTTTTCAGACAGAAAGCATCTCTTTTATATTTAGCAGCCCTTCCTTTAGTTTATCTCTTCCCTCTCTTATTTTATTTAAAAGTAGCAAGAGGCCAGGTGTAGTGGCTTATGCCTGTAATCCCAACACTTTGGGAGGCTAAGGCAGGTGGATTGCTTGAACCTAGAAGTTTGAGACCAGCCTGGGCAACATGGCAAAACCCCATCTCTATTTTATAATATTACTATTTAAAATAAATAAATAAATAAAATAAAGTACAAGATATGCCACCCTCAGTGCCCTCCTTACAAAGCTTGCTAGCTTGATCATTCAGCTCATTGGGCCACTTTCCACATTACTGCAGGCCATGATCTTGCTGATAGAATAAGAGTCCCTATTTCTGGAGGGGTTTGATTAAACATTCTTGCCTGAAAGTCTCCTGAAGCTGTAGTCTTGCATCAGCTGGAGTTGCAGTCTCATTTGAAGGCCTGACTGGGGCTGGCCTTCCCAGGTCACTCCTAGGTCACTCCATCACACACTGGCCAGTGGTGCTGCTGGCCAGAACTCAGTTCTCTCCAAATGGACCCTGCCATGAGGCCACTTGAATATCACAGCATGGGGGCTGGCTCCCCTCGGAGTGGATGGCCTGAGAGACCAAGACAGAAGCTATGTTGCCTTGTACAGCTCAGTCATGGAAGTTACACACTGTCAGCTCTGCCATGTTCCACGGGCCACACACATCAGCCCTGAGTCAATGTAGGAAGATGATAAACCCCAGGAGGCGTGGGTCAGTGGGTTCATCTTGGAGGCCACAGAGCTGTCTCAGCATTGTCCCAGAGGGGGATTCGGTGACAGGGCCAAAGGGATTCCAATGATTCAACCCAAGAATGACCAGTTTAGACAGGACTGATCAGGCTAAGATGACGAAATGCCAGCTGACATGAAAACATGGGACAGGCCCTGGGCAGAGTCCCTGGATTGAAGTCTCCACCCCAGCACTTCCCACCTGGGGTTTGGGCTTCATCCACTGGCAAGGCAGAGATGATAGTGAAACCCAGCCTTCTCCCACCCATGTGCTGGATGATCAAAGGAGCAAACAGAAAAAAAAAAAAAATGAAAGTGCCAAAGAGTCACACTATTATCATTTATTTTTGTTATTAGAATGATAAATCCCTTTAGAAATAAACAGCTTTCTTGGATATAATTAATATACTATACATTTCACCTATGTGAAGTGCACAATTCACTAGTCTTTATTCAGAGTTGTGTGACCATCATCATTATAGAATAAGGTCTTATTGATGCTTGAGAGATGATGATGATGATGATGATGATGATGATGATGATGATGATGGAGACAGAGTCTGCTCTGTCCACCAGGCTGGAGTGCAATGTTGCTATCGTAGCTTACTGCAGTGTCCACTTCCTGGGCTCAAGTGATCCTCCTGCCTTAGCTTTCCGAGGACTCCAGGCGTGAGCCACCACACACAGCTGAATTTTTTTTTTTTTTTTTTTTTTTTTTTAGTAGAGGTGAGGTTTTGCTACGTGGCCCGGGCTGGACTCGAACTTCTGACCTCAAGCGATCCTCCTGCCTTGGCCTCCCAAAGTGCTGGTGGGATTATTTTTAGACCACATTGAAAAGTTCCAGTTGATGTTACAGGAAGCGAGCCAGGGAACACTTGACCCCCAGGCTCTAGGAACCATCAAGATCAAGCTAGAAAAGGGCATCGGCAAGAAGGGGTGTCTGGAGGCGTCAGGGCTGCGCTGTCTGTGCGGAGAGAATTCCGCCGTGTGGAGCAGCTATGCTCCCTTAGGGGTGGCTGGCTATGAGGGCTACGGCCTGTCCTCGAGGGTCCCACCTCTTCCCCAGCTCCCAAGATTCAGGGGGTGGGACTTCCCCTGGAACCCTGGAAAGCAGGGAGCACCGACCGCCCTGGATGCCAGGAAGGAGGGAGTGTTGCTGCCTGTGGACCCTGAGAAGGAAGGAGCATTGCTGCCTGTGGACGCCGGCAAGGAAAAAGCACCAGCCGCCCGTGGACCCTGAGAAGGAGGGAGCATTGCCGCCCGTGGACGCGGGGAAGGAGGCAGCATTGCCGCCCGTGGACCCTGGGAAGGAGGGAGCATTGCGGCCCGTGGTCCCTGGCTGCGTGCCCTCCCCTCGTCTCCTCCACCCAAGAGCAAAGTCGAAGCTCTTTTTCCAAAGCTCTGTCTCCCCCACCTCCTCCAGCTTCCCTCTAAGAGTTCCTGTTGGTGTCCTCCACCCCCAGTCCACAGTCCAGGAGCCAAGAATTCATGGCAGACCCCGAGCCACAGCTCGCCAAATCATTCGCTCATTGTTAGACATCTGGGGTTTTCAACTTTCTGTTTTCATAAAGGACACGGTAAGTGCCCCTGGGCAGCGGCTCCTCTGGAGCTCCAGTCCGAGAACCTCGGGGGTGAAATTCTGTTCTCAGCTCCGCCCCTGCCCAGGCCGCTGTACCATCCCATGAGAGGCTGGAGTTGGAAGCCCCTTGACGTCCCGGCCTCCATGGGCATGAGCATCCCGAGCACCCAGACCTCGGCTTCTCAGTACCGTGTTCCATTCAAAGTGGCCAGGACTCCTGGGAGAATTGGCCAGCTCCAGCCTGGGCAGGGAAAACACCAGAGGCTTGTAGGAGATCGCGACCCTCCAGGGCTACGAGGCCGTGCCCGAGCACTCAGGAGCCTGCTTGATGGGGAGGGTTGTGGGGGGATGGTGGGAGCTGACAGTGCCAGGAGATGGCCTGGGGCACAAGCGGCCCCACAGCTCAGGCTCAGACAAGCAGCTGGAAGCCTGGTGCGCGTGGATGTCCCCATGGCTTTAAAGGACGCCCCACAGAACACGGATTAATCATAATAGAGAGAAAGGACAGCGTTGCAGGGGAGGCTGCAGACACGGCATCAATTAAACCGTCAGCGTTCACGTCACCAGAGACCGCCCAGGGTGAGATTTTACACCCGCCGCCAGGACACCTGCAGAAGCGCAGCCTCGCCCCCTGCTGTCCCCGCCCACCCAGGATCTCATCACCAGGAATCCAGAGGCAAAGCAGTCCGAGTGCCCACAGCACGGAGGGGCCAGGAGCCTGCACAGGCTGACAGAGATGGAGGAGAGACGGCGGCTTGGGGAAGGGCGTGACACCATCAGACTCCGCTCTCAGAACCTCGTGGGGACAGTGGTCAGGCTGCAGTGGGGCCTTGCAGGGACCTGTCCACTCCCTGATTCTGACGATGCTGAGGGCTTGTGAATGTCCTTGTGTGCAGGAAACACACCAAAGAGCCTGGCTGTGTGGACCACGGTGCAGCGCAGCTGCGCACACTGCGTTTCCTGTACCATACTCGGCACTCCGGCCTTGCCTGCGCACTGCCTGAGTCTGCATTATCTCTGTGTGTAACTAGGCCCCACCCCGGGATCCGGGGAGGCTGATCCCCCACGGGCCTCTCCCAACCTGAGCGGCGCCCTCCTGGCCACTGTCCACTGCTGCCTGAGGCCCTGCCCCAGCAGAAGGCACAGGCTGGGGCAGGCCTGCAAGAATGGCCAGGAGGGGCCTCCCAGGGTCGAGGCATCTGAGCAGCACCCTGCAGGACGGGCAGGCCCCTCATGCCCCGGGCACCGGCACAGGGCCTGCGATCTCATGCATTCGAATGGTGCCGAATGGGCCAGGGTGTCCTGGGGGATCCTGTCGGGCGCCCTCCTCAGCTCTTCCACCTTCCACAGTAAGTACTTCGATAGTACGGCTCATGGTCACCCCAAGTCCCCGAGAAGGAAAGAGAGTGACGCCATGGAGATGGGAGGTCGGCCCTGCAAAGGGCACCATAGTCCTGGGCACTACCTCTCCTGGGGAATGGGGGCTTGGGCACCTTCTTCTCCTCCTTCCTCCCTCCCTCCCTCCTTCCTCTCTCCCTTCTTTCTCCCTCCCTCCCTCTTCCCTCTGATTTACACCCCCTAATTGCCAGTATCGCCCCCTCCCCAGTTGCAACAACCCCAAACATTCACATATTGATTTGTGTTTCCTGCTTGGGGGCAGAATCACTCCTGTTCCAGCACCGCTGGGCCCCCACATTCCCCCACGGGCAGGGACCCACCTCACTCCCCCCACACCCATGAGCCCACAAGGCTCTGGCCCCCACCCCCATGGCTGCTTGGTGAAATGACAGCCCCGCTCTGCTGGGAGCCGGGGAAGAGGAAGGAGCTGGGGCAGGGAGTCCAGCTTGGGAGCCCTGTGAGCCCCTCTAGGAGCCTGGCCCTGGCTGGAGAGAGCAGCACTGGGTTGAAACCCACTTAATTCATGGCGGCACAGGATTGCCATCTGTGCTAAACTCCAGCAAAAAGCAGACGCAGGCTTTCCTTCCTGGCTCCGCAGCCCGGGGCCGGAATCAGCTACGCCCACTGCACCGAGATCAGCTTTGAAAAGTCCCCATTGCAGACGTGCGGCAAAGGCTGGGGGAAGCTGGAAGCTTTGCTAAGGCCGCTCTGCTGTGATCAGCCTGGCCTGGGGCGCCCTGAGGGATTCCTGAGCTGCCTCCTGCACCCCTCCCCGTCCTCCAGGATGAGGCCCTCACTCAGGCACGCCTGGCGCCTGGAGGCGTAGGGCCTGGGACTCCACGGAGAAGCCGTGCCCTGCGCCCACTCGGCCTGGATGGGAGCCCGGGCCCTGTGTGGTCACACCCGGAGGTCCTCGCCGGCAGCGGCGGGGGCAGACTCTGTGGGGGCACCCCCTCCTCTAGCAGGGCTGGCCCAGTGGGGTGGGAGGATGTGGTGCAGTGCGTGACCTCTGGAGAAGCTTGGCCGGAGCAGCCCTGGGGGGCAGCCAACTGCTGGGCAGGGGCTCCGGTGGCCCATTTCCCATGACAGGCGGCCTGGCCGGGAGGCAAGCATAGTTCCCACCACCTGGTCCCAGCTCCCCAGCTCCGGGCATTCAGATGGGCTCGTGGCCACCAGGCCGTTGGGTCCAAGGCGAGTTCCGGGCATTCAGATGGGCTCATGGCCACCAGGCTGTTGGGTCCAAGGCGCCCTGTTGCTTATTCCAAGGGTTGGCAGCCAGCAGGGTCTGAGGCCACCAAATAGAAAACGTGTCCCAACTCAGACCCCCTGGCCATGGGCAGGCGGCCTCGGCTCACTCCTCTCCTCTGGGTCCTTCACCCGCAGTGAGGACTCGGCGCCCAGCACCTTCCTGTGCAAGAAGTCAGGGAGTTCAAGACGAGATCAAGGCTGATCCAGGCCTTGCGCGGCTCCTGCTCACAGGATCCTGGGGACCGTTTCAAGAAGAGCCTCAGGACACGGAGAATGCTCAGTCTCTCTCCTGGCTGTCCCCGCCAGGCAAGAGGGCCCGGGGGTGGAGGGAATCCAGGGGACACGGTCCTCACCCCACTGTCAGCGCCGGCAGACCCCAACACTCATCCCCCAGCCCCAGGCACACAACCCGCCCTGCCGCCCCTCGCCAGGCCCTGCCGGGTGTCCACCCTCTGAGGTGGCAGGTGGGGGAGGAGACATGCTGGGGAGGGGCCCAGGCCTGGGCGGCGCGGCCCTTCCTTTCACTCCCCTGCCAGGCAGTGCCTGCGCCCACCCTCACCCCCACCACCCCCCCCGACCCCCCGCGGGCTGGGAGGAAATGTAATGAGTGCAGGGCGGTGTCTTTGGTGCTGCTGGGGTGGAGTCAAGGGCCAGATCCCATTGTGAATTTGACAGAAAAGGAAACGGGCTCCGAGCGCAGGTGAGGCTCAGCCAGGGCTCCGCGGCTCTCACCCAAGAGCTGAGCTCCAACCTTCCTGGCCCGGCTCCGTTTCCCGAGCTGTGGAAAATGCCTGTCCACCCGGCATGGCTGGGTAGTGCCTGCCTCCCCCACGCCAGCCACGGGCCGGCTCCCCAGTCCTCTGTGGGAGGGTTGCTGGTCTCTGTTAAAAGCCCCCCGGGTGACGTGCATGCCGCCAGGGCCTGTGCCCCCGGGAGACACTCTGGGGAGGGGCCACCACAAGGAAACCTCAGTCCAAGCTGTCCAGCGGAGGCTGGGCATGGCTGTGCCAGCACAGGAAGGCAGGTAGGGGTCTCCGGGGCAGGCAGCTCTCCCTCTGGCCCAGCCCCCTGTGTGAAGTGCTCAGCCTGGGTAGGAACGTGCTTCCCACTCAGCCTCCTCCAAGCCGCTGGAGGTCCCGCTGGTTCCCCAAATGGCTTCTGTCCTGAGCCGTGGGCTCCTGACCACGCACCTACCTTGCACGGTCTGAACAAGAGTCTGTGCCAGGGACCCCGCTCAGGAGGGGCACAGAGGAAGCCAAGGGCCCACACAGGTGAGGGGGTCTCAGGTCTGGGCCTCACCCAGCCCAGGCTCAGCAGCAGCCTCAGAATTTCCTGGCATCTGCTTGCCTGTGTTGCAACCCAAGTGGGGTGTGCATGCCGCCTGAGAGAGAAGACACTCGGGGAGGATTATGTAAGCGCTTTCCTCCCCAGCACAGGGCCGTCTTGGGCACATTGCGACCAGACCATGTGCAAAAGCACTCGGGAGAGTGGCAGGAGCTGACCCACCAGAGAGGGATTAACCCCTTCCGGGATGCTGGCGGCTTGTCCTGGGGAACGTGGGGCTGGTCAGGATTGCAGGACACGGAGGGGCGGAGTGTGAATGTGGAGGCACCGGTGCTGCGTGATTTTCCACAAGTTGTCTAACCTCTCTGTGCCTTCGTTGCCTGACTCGGCTGTTTCCAATGCAGCTGATTTTAACAGCACCTGTTTCATGAGGCCACAGCCAGGATTCTGGGAGGCAAAGCACAGAAAGCCCTCAATGCGGTTTGAGGCTCCAGGCAAGGCTCAGCTGACAGTAGCTGAAAACAGCAATTTCAGCCGCAGAGTTGCCCGTCCTGTGCACCACAGAACGAACAAGGGTTTCCAGCTTTGCTCAGATTTGTGGGGACCACTGGGTTTGGACTTTAGGAAAAGCTCATTTGCCTTTGGGCAGAAGTGACCGGAGCTGGGGTCACCTGAGGTCTGGGCAGGAACCTCTCGCTGGCTGACGCAGGACCTGGGGAGGGGCCATCTGTGTGGGGCAGCTCTGGACTCAGACCCGTGGATACCTGTGAAACCTGTCAGGCTGAGCCACCGTCCAGCAAGTGAAGAGACCCCAACTGGGCCACTGTGGAGTCACTTGGCCACCACCCCCGGGTTCTCACAGCCCTCATGTGTGTCCCAACCGCGAGCAGGCGGCCGACAGTGCACCCTGACAAGGCACGCGTGTACCATCGGGGACACCTGCTACTTTAAAGTGACCGGATGGTGCCCAGGACCACAAGAACCAGCCTCGTGGCAGGGTGCCCAGCCTCCTTCCCCCTCCACTGTTAACTTTTTTGCCAAGATTCCAAAAACGAAGCTGCAGCTGAAAATAATTTCTTTTTCTTCTATAGCCCAAATGACCGATGGTGTAGAGATTTTCCCATCATAGAACTGCAGTCTCCATTTCTAGTAGGCCCAGGAGGTGACATGTCTGAGGTTGGGGTGCCTTGGGGCCAGTGCCCAGAGGAGAACCCACATTGGCGTCCTAGTAATGTGAACCCTCATAAGAGCTTCAGGACAGCAGAGGCAGTGGAGATGCCGGCAGGCAGGGAGAGCCGGCCCGGCCAGCCCCTCGGGAATGAGCTTCAGTCCTATTCTAGCTCAAAATGATAAACCTCATCTCAGGCGGCTGCTTGTGACTCCAAGAGACCACCAGGCCCCGGTGATAGCCAGCACAGTACCTGGCACATAAATCCCACCCACCAGCCTGGTGTGGCTGGGAGACCCGCCCGGGTGCTCTCTGTCTCTCCCTCCCTCTTTCACTGCTCCCTGAAGGCAGCATCTGAAGAGGCTGAGGCTGTCCTGTCGCTGCCCCGACCTCTGCGGAGAAGCCCGCGGCTGTCCTGTCGCTGCCCCGACCTCTGGGGAGAGGCCCGCAGTTCTGATCACGGACCTCAGACGGGGAAGCGCACAGGAGGCCTCGGGTGGCCGGGCTGTGCTGCTTCTCCCTGGACGGGCAGAGCTGGCACATAGGAGGTGCTTCGCAGGTGACTAAGGAGGCAAAGACCCGAAGCCTGGGGGACTGCAGTGTCCGGTGGATCCCAGCTGTGGCCATCAGGCCCATGGGTGGGAGAGCCAAGGGAGGGGCTCAGCTGGGCAATAGGATGCGAGTGGGCGGGGGACACTGCTGGGAACTCCCTTCACTGCATGGCCAAGAATGTGTGTAAGCAAACAGGGCGGGAGAGCTGTGTGTCGCCTCGGGCAGTCACTCAGCCTCTCCGCCCGTTTTCCTGGTCTGTAAAATGGGCCGAAACGCCCGCCCTGCTCTGCTCTTTGGGCAGTTTCTATAAATGCTTGGCCCAGCCTCCCCGGCACACGGTTCCTACCTGGGTCACTGTTCTGTTATTTTCATCCGTGCCCCTGCTCTTTGCTTAGACTGACTTCCCCTGACTCCGGTGAAATCAGCCTCCACAGGCATTTCGTCAGCCCTTGTTCGTCCACAACACGGCTAGGCAGGTGTGCTCAGGGGGTCTGAGGCTTTCACGGACGTTAAATGTATGTCCCTGCAGGAAACAGGTTTCTGTACAGCCTCAGAGACCAGCAAGGTTACGGGCTTGAGGGGCAAAGATCCCAAGGATGCTGATGCCAGGGATGGGGCTGTAGTCACGGGGGTGTAGGGGAAGCGGGGAAGGAGCACCCGCCCTGCCAGGACCTCCCACAGCCGAGTCCACTGCGAAGCCAGCCTGCACGGCCTGGGGTGGGGGAACAGGGAGCCCACCCAGCAACACGGGGACGATCCAGAAGTAGACAGAGAACCCCAGCGGCTCTGTCACAAGGCCACACACATGACACGCATCTCTCGGGACCGGGACTTCGGCTCTTGGAGGGCCACTTACAGAAAAGAGTCCTCTCCTCAGAGTTCACTACCCTCGGTTTCACAGCTGTGCCAAAGTTTAAAATCAGGACGGATTTCCTTCCCCCGCTGTGTAGAAACGCCTGGTGTTCTTTAAATGTGAGATGTCGTTTCCCCACTAGGTGACTGGCCTCGGTTCATCCATCACACTCACGGCTGCTGGATGCTGATGGTCTCAGATCCAACCCCCCGGGGAAGATGGGCCGGGCAATCCATCATCCATCCGAGCCTTCGAGCCGGATGCGGCGAAGGTCTAGTCTGACTCCAGGGACCAGAGATGGAGGGGAGCTTGCCACAGCCCCCATGCCATTCTGCTGAGGGGCACCCCTGCCCCGTGCCAGGCTGACGTCCACACCGTCCTGCTGTTCCCACCAGCTGAGCTGACCGCCTGCCGCCAAGCACTCAGAGAGCTGACTCTCACCCATCTTCCCACAGCCCGGCTGCTGGGGGAGCCAGGCAGGCACCCGCCTATGTGGGAGAGCAGAGGCGGGTGAGTGTGGGGTGGGTGGGGACTGGCTGCTGGGGGAGCCAGGCGGGCACCCGCCCATGTGGGGGAGCAGAGGGAGGCGAGCGTGGGGCGGGTGGGGCCCGGCTGCTGGGGGAGCCAGGCGGGCACCCACCCATGTGGGGGACCAAAGGGAGGCGAGTGCAGGGCAGGTGGGTGAGTGGGTGTGGCTGGGGTGCCTGTGGGGTTTCTTTTGATTGCTTTGGCTGATGAACAGGGAGGCATCCCCAGTAGTGGAGTGGAGGTGGGGAGGCGGTGTACAGGTTCAAGGCAAAGGGAAGGGAAGTGGGGCTGCCGGGCAGTATGAAGAGGCTGCCTGGAAGCCTGTGGTTTCACAGCAAAAATGCAACCAGGTGTGCGCTGCTTCTCCTGCTCTCAGGTACAGGGCAGGCGAAGGTTCATGTATCTCTGCTTGGGGCTTTGTCTAGGTGAGTCCTACGAGGTGAGTCCTCGGAGGTGCGAAGGGGTTGAGGGTGTGTCCACGCAGAGGGGAGCGCGGGTCTGGGCTCCTGGCCCGGCTGAAGAAGGGGCCAGGGCAGCCAGCCACAGGGGAGACGGCAGAACAGGGGTCAGCACAGTGTGCTCTGCAATCCACGGATGCGGGATGGGGCTCCCTTAATTTAGGTCTTCTTTAACCTCTTTCAGGAAAGTTTTATGATTTTTTTCCCATAAACATCTTTTTGCATCTTTAATTGGAGTTATTTCTTGACATTTCTATATCTTAAAGCTTTTTGAACGGTGGCTTTTTAAAGTTTCCTTTTCGCATGACTGCTGATGACAGAAACGCAATGACACCTTGTATACTGACTTTGATCCCCAAAAACGTGCTGACATCTCTTAATATTTCCGATATTTTTCCCTGGGAAATATTTTAGGTTATCTTTGGAAATTGTTTGGAGTTTTCCAGAACACAGTGACATCACCTGCGAACAGTGGGTTTTGTTTTGTCTCTTCGTTTCCACAGTGTACCTCTGGCTTGTTTTCTTTCTCTGTTCCCGAGACCTCCACACAGCTGGACAGAAGCTGTGAGAATGGCACCCAGTCCTGCTCCTGACCATGGGGACGCGCGCTGTGGCTGCAAGGCTTCTGTGGAAACTCTTGATCAAGTCAAGGGAATTCCTTTTATTTTCTAGAATGCTTTTTTTTATTTTTTAAGAGTTGGCCGGGCACAGTGGCTCACGCCTGTAATCCCAGCACTTTGGGAGGCCGAGGTGGGCAGATCACGAGGTCAAGAGATCGAGATCATCTTGGCTAACACGGTGAAACCCCGTCTCTACTAAAAATAGAAAAAAACAGCCTTGCGTGGTGGTGGGCGCCTGTAATTCCAGCTACTGGGGAGGCTGAGGCAGGAGAATCACTTGAACCTGGGAGGTAGAGGTTGCAGTGAGCCGAGATAGTGCCAATGCAGTCCAGCCTGGCTGAAAGAGCGAGACTCCATCTAAAAAAAAAAAAAAAAAGAGAGACAGAGTCTCGCCCTGTCACCCAGGCTGGAGTGCAATGGCGCAATCTCAGCTCACCACAACCTCTACCTCCCGGGTTCAAGCGATTCTCCTGCCTCAGCCTCCCCAGTAGCTGGAATTACAGGTGCCCACCACCACGCAAGGCTGTTTTTTTGTATTTTTAGTAGAGACGGGGTTTCACCGTGTTGGCCAGGCTGGTCTTGAACTCCTGACTTCCAAAGTGCTGGGATGACAGGCGTGAGCCACCATGCCTGGCCCTTTTTTTTTTTTTTTTTTTTTAAGCATTTTTCTTGGATGCTGAATTTTCTCAAAAGCTGTGTCTGCCTTGGCCGTGAGGATCACATGAATTTCTCCTCCTTTAATCTGTCAGTGTGTTGAGTCACATTGAGTGATATTCTAAGGTCAAGCCAAGCTGCAGTCACAGCCCAAACACGTGTCATGTTGAAAATCTAAAGGACTGAGATTGTTATATTGTTGGAAACTGTTATGATTAATTAGAGAGCTTAACAAGGGTACAGAATACAAGATATGACACCTGATTGAATCCAGCCACAGTTAGTTACCAAATGAGATTGTTCACTGCTAGATTTGGTTTGCTAAAATTTTGCTTAGAATTTATCTGAGTAGGAGGCTGAGGCAGGAGAATCGCTTGAGCCTGGGAGGCAGAGGCTG
Source organism: Homo sapiens (assembly GCF_000001405.40). Classification (NCBI taxonomy): domain Eukaryota; kingdom Metazoa; phylum Chordata; class Mammalia; order Primates; family Hominidae; genus Homo; species Homo sapiens. Next base: position 88,084,863 of record NC_000016.10, on the reverse strand, counting down.
CAGTGAGCTGAGATTGCACCACTGCACTCCAGCTTGGGCAACAGAGCAAGACTCCGTCTCAAAAAAAAAAAAAAAAAAAAAAAAAAGTATGTGAATGTGTAAGCATAAGATTGGGCTGTAATTTTTTTCTCTCTGCTGATGTCTTCAGATTTTGATGCCAAAGAAATGCTAGCCTCAAAACATGAGTTGGCGGATGTCCACCTCTTTCTGCTTCCTGGAAGAGCTTGTGAAGGAATGGAGTCCTTTCCTCCTTCGGTGTCTGGTGCAACACACATCATTTGGGATCTCTTCCTCCCTGTTTTCCAGTTCACCTCCTCCCTCCTCAGATGTGTCTCATCTGCTATTATACCTACATACTGAATTCTTAATTTTGATAATTCTATTTTCTAGTGGTAGAGCTACTGTTTGGTACTTTTTTTTTTTTTTTTTTTTTGAGACGGAGTCTCCCTCTGTCGCCCAGGCTGGAGTACGGTGGCGCCATCTTGGCTCACTGCAACCTCCGCCTCCCGGGTTCACGCCATTCTCCTGCCTCAGCCTCCCGAGTAGCTGGGACTACAGGCACCCGCCACCACACCCGGCTAATTTTTTTGTATTTTTAGTAGAGATGGGGTTTCCCCGTGTTAGCCAGGATGGTCTTGATCTCCTGACTTCGTGATCCGCCCGCCTCAGCCTCCCAAAGTGCTGGGATTACAGGCGTGAGCCACCGCGCCCGGCCAGTTTGGTACTTTTTAAAAGTGTCCAGTTCATCGCTGTGGGGCTGTTTCTATTCTCTGTTATTTCCATAGGTTTTTATTTACATTGTTTTCTCTCCTTTGCCTGATTGTTTCTGTGTGCTGGATACCATATTTGCAAAATTGCTCACAGACATAATTTAGCATTATCTTCCTCCCAGAAGGATTAGTGTTTACTTCTGCCTGGCAGCTGGGGACACCAGCCGTGCAAGACCACGTCAGTCCAGGATCATGACTGGGACGATGTGAGGCTGAGTGGCAGCCCCGGGAGACTCAGGGTGCAGCCCTCCCAGGATTCGGCCCAATGGGAAGGGGAACACTGGGGCCCTCGTCCTTGGCAGCCCCAGGTCCCAGTGCCCATCCCTCCGGCTGCGAGGCTGGCCAAGGCCCCACACACCCCCCAGGCAGCACTTGTCAGGGCAGCCACCAGCCCAGGAGAAAAGTGACTCCGGGGCTGCCCCAATGCCCAGACACTCTCTTTGCCCAGACCCTTGACTAGGAGGGCTGCACTCCCCTGAGACTCTCAGCACATTTGTACATTTCAGTCAGCTTTCCTGTTGACCCCGAGGAGGGCCAGAGGCACTGCCAAGTGGACACCCCCAAGGCCAGGCCCCCGTCCTTTCCTGTCTTCTTTTGGACAGACCATGTATTTTTCTAATTGTAGCTTTCACCTCTACTAGCGTGGAAGTTACATATTCTGGGTGTAGCCTTTAATGGATAAGGGATCCTGAAGTTTCTTTTACATATGCTAATTCTTATCTTTTTCTCTTTTTAAGCCCAAGACCTCTTCTTTTATAAATCCAGTTTTTGGCCTGCCCACATATTTACCATTTTCTCTGCTCTTCCTTCCTTCCCCATCTCAGATCTTCCGTCTGGAACCGCGGTCCTCCCGCTTCGTGTAGTCTTACAGCATCTCATAGTGCAGGTCTGCCCGTGGCCAGCTCTGGCCCTTTGTGTTTTAATTTTTTTTTTTTTAATTGAAGAATGACATTGTGAAGTGTGCAGATCATAGCACACCGTCTCACAAAGTGAATACATGCAGACTGGGAAACAATGCCAGCCTCCTGGAAGCCCCCTGCCTCGCTCCTTCATCCCTGCCTCCTCTCCCTCTGCAGAGAATGCCTCAGCCACTGATGATTTCATTGGTTTCTGAAAGGGGCAGACAGGATCACGCTGCATGTCTGTGTCCCACGTCACGCACACGTGCAACTCGCTGGTGTGACTGTGGGAGCCGCGAGCCCCTCCTTTATGTTGCTGCAAAGTCTTCCATGGGACGAGCAGCAACTCTGCATTGGTGATGGGTGTCTGAGGCTCTCCAGGATCAGGCTGACCATGGCTGCCAAGGCCATCCTGGCGGTGTCTCCTGAAGCCCACTTGCCGTTTCTGATGGGCACACCCAATATGGGCTGCTGCAGCTGTTGGCAGAAGGCACCGCACCGTCTTCCACCCCACCAGGGTGTGGGGAGGCCCAGTTGCTCACACCCTCCATGGTGCTGGCCTTTTACACCTTAGGGATTCTGGCGGTTTTCATTTGACCAATGAAGCTGAGCACTTTTTCACATTTACTGACCATTTGGAGGCCTTCTCTTAGGTGACTCTTCATGTCTTTGGCCTTTTTTCTTTTTTTGATAGAGGGGAAAATTCACTGTCAGATAACCCAGCAGCAATGAAGGCAGGCAGGCTTCCGAGGAGGATGAGGAAACACTGGTGTCTGCTCCTGGCAGAACAAAGTCCATAAATTGACCAATTTTATTTATTATTTATTTATTTATTTATTATTTATTTATTTATTTTTGAGACAGAGTCTCACTCTGTCACCCAGGCTGGAGTGCAGTGGTGTGATCTTGGCTGATTGCAACCTCCACCTCCCAGGTTCAAGTGATTCTCCTGCCTCAGCCTTCCAAGTGGCTGCGATTACAGGCATGCACCACCACGCTTGGCTAATTTTTATATTTTTAGTAGAAATGGTGTTTTGCCATATTGGCCAGGATGGTCTCGAACTCCTGACCTCAAGTGATCCGCCCACCTCGGCCACATTTTCTTTATCCAGTCTATCACTGATGGGCGTTTGGGTTGATTCCATGTCCTTGCTATTGTGAACAGTGCTGCAATGGACATATGGTGCATGTAAATTAGTTCAGCCATCGTGGAAGACACATGTGGCAGTTCCTCAAAGACCCAGAACCAGAAATACCATTCCACCCACCAATCCCATTACTGGGTATATACCCAAAGGAATATAAATCATTCTACTATAAACATGGCAATTTCCACAAAAATCTCTGCTTGGATTTTCATTGAAATTGCACTGAATGTACCATTTAGAGAAAATCATCATGTTTACGATACTGAGGCTTCTATTCACCAACAGGCTACATCCCTCCTTTTCTTTTGTTTTTTTTTTTTTTTAGGTTTTCTTCACTTTCCTAATATTTTATAGCTTTCTGTCCCAGACATCTTTTGTTAGATTTGTTTCTACATAGTTTAAATTTCTTAGTGTCTATAATAACATTTGTAAGTGATTATTACTGTTCGTTTCTGGAATTTAGAAATATAATCAGTTTTTTGTATGTTGGCCTTGTGGGCAGGAATCTTGTAAATTCACTTATTAACAGTTTGCTTGTGAGTTCCTTTGGATTTTCTTCACATATAACCATATCACCTGTAAATACTGACAGCTTCATTTCTGGTTTTAAAGCCTTTTAAGCTTTTTTTTTTTTTTTTTTTTTAACAGTTTCACTCTTGTCGCCCAGGCTGGAGTGCAATGGCATGATCTCAGCTCACTACAACCTCCGCCTCCCGGGTTCAAGCGATTCTCCTGCTTCAGCCTCCCGAGTAGCTGGGATTACAGGCATGCCCAGCTAATTTTGTATTTTTAGTAGAGATGGGGTTTCTCCATATCGTTCAGGCTGGTCTTGAACTCCCAACCTCAGGTGATCCACCTGCCTCAGCCTCCCAAAGTGCCGGGATTACAGGCGTGAGCCACCACACCCAGCCCTTTTAAGCCTCTTTTCTTGCCTTGGTGTGCTAGCACATCGCAGTGAGGGGCAGCCATCTCAGGGAACGGGAGAGGGGGGTGGGGGCAGCTCTCCACTTTCCACCCTTGAGTGGGCTGCTTGTTGTAGATTTCTTATAGATACCTTTGATCAAATTAAGGAAGGTCCTTTCTATTCCTGGTTTGCTAAAGGTTCCCTTAACCCATTTATGCCTGAAGTCACCTACTGCTTGGCAATGAGCTTGAGCAGTAGGATATAAAGAACTCTCACATGCTTGGCATTCCAATAATGGAACACTACGCATAGTTCATCATGAATGGGTGTTGAAGTTTACAAATTACTTTCCTGCATTTATTAAGATAACCATATAGTTTGCCTCTTTTGTTAGTGTGATGGATTACATTGACTTTTAAAATATTATACCAACCTTGCATTCCTGAGCCCAACTTGATCATGACATATCATCCCTCAATGATACTGGATCAGGGTTATTCATATTTTGTTTAGGGTTGCTTAGGATGTTCAAGACAGACACTGGCCTGGATTTTCTGTTTTTCTTTGAAACATCCTTGTCAGGGTTATGCTGCCTCATAAAACAAGATGGGAAATGAGAGTCTCGTGTTTTTCTGTTTTTGTTTTTTTTTTTTTTGTAGTTTTTTTTGGTTCTGTGGAAGACTTTTAAAAGACCGTTATTCTTTCTTAAACATTTGAAAACACATAACATTGAAATGCTGAGCCTGGAGTTTTTCTTTGTGACAAGATATAGGTAAGATTTCTGAAAGACAGGAGCTAGTAAGATGTTCTATTTCTTCTGATAGCAGTTTTTTCCTAGTAATTTGTCAATTGCATTTAACGTTTCCCACTGACTTCTGAGACAGCCTCAAGTTTTCATGTCTGAAGGGTTCGTAGATTCTGACATTGTAATTTGTCCCTGCTCTCTTTTCTCTGACTAGTGTACCAGGGCTTTCTCAAGTGTACTAATCTTCTCAAAGAATCCAATTTTAAGTCCTGGAATTCACTATGACAAACACTTCAGAAACAAGGCATAGAAAACGTTGGTAGAGATGCAAGGTACTGCAGCAAGGTGACGAGCACCTTGACCCAAGTCGTGTGAGGAATGTCATGCCCCTTGGCCGGGCATAGTGGCACATGCCTGTAATCCCAGCTACTCGGGAGGCTGAGGCGGGAGAATCGCTTGAACCCAGGAGGCAGAGGTTGCAGTGAGCCGAGATCATGCCACTGCACTCCAGCCTGGGTAACAAAAGCGAAATTCTATCTCAAAAAAAAAAAAAAAAAACAAAAAAAAAAACAAGGCCGGACGCGGTGGCTCACACCTGTTATCCCAGCACTTTGGGAGGCCGAGGCAGGCGGATCACGAGGTCAAGAGATTGAGGCCATCCTGGCCAACATGGTGAAACCCCATCTCTACTAAAAATACAAAAATTAGCTGGGCGTGGTGGTGTGTGCCTGTAATCCCAGCTACTTGGGAGGCTGAGGTAGGAGAATCACTTGAACCCGGGAGGCAGAGGTTCCAGTGAGCCAAGATCACACCACTGCATTCCAGCCTGGGCGACAAGAGTGAAACTCCGTCTCAAAAAAAAAAAAAAAATTGCACGGCCCTTCCAGCCTTTTTCTGCAGGGCAATACAGGGGCTTTAAAACAATTCACCTCCCTTCATCCATGGCCGAAGTTACACAGTAATGTTTTCCAGTATATTGTTTTTAAAGTTTCAATGAAACGATTTATGTATGTTTATTATTCTCTTTGTCCATCGCTCCATCTTACTCTAGGCACCTCCCCTGGATTCATACTCCTGCTCTTCAAGAAAAATTCCTAACAATTCCCGGTAAAGGAGGTGTCATCGGAAATGACAGCTTTTTTTTCTTTTGTGAGACAGGGTCTTGCCCTGTCACCCAGGCTGGAGTACGGTGGTATAATCATAGCTCACTTCAGCTCAACCTCTTGGGCTCAAGTGATACTCTCACTTCAGGAACTCAAGTAGCTGGGACCACAGGTGCGTGCCACCACACCCAGCTCATTGTTTTGTATTTTTTTGTAGAGATGGGGTCTCACTATATTGCCCAGTCTTGTCTCTAACTCCTGGGCTCGAGCAATCCTCCCACCTCAGCCTCCCAAAGCGCTGGGATTATAGGCGTGAGCCACCGCACCCGGCCTCAATTTTTGTTTATACATTTTTTTAAGTATCACCTAATTCTTTATTTTTGTAATTTTGAGATAATTTATATGCCAACAAATTCGCCCTTTTAAGTGAAGGATTCAGCGACTTTCAATTCCACAGCATTCTAATCACCCAAAAAGAAACCCCACGCCCATTCGCAGTCACTCCCAATCCTGCCTCACCCCAGTCCTTGGCAACCACGAACCGGTCTCTCTGCAGTTGTCTTTTCTGGACATTTCGTATCAATGGAATCAAACAGTAAGTGGTCCTCTGCACGTGGCTTCACTTGGCACAGCTCCTCTGAGTGCTGGCCGGGATGCAGCACGCATCCATGTTCTGTTCCTTCACGTGGCTGGATGACGTCCCATTCTTTGGACAGTCAGCTTTGTTTCTCCCTTCATCTGCTGATGGAAACCCAGGTTGCGTCTACCCTGTGGCTGGTATGAGCCGTGCTGCTGGGCACAGCCAGGCACAAGTGCATGTGTGAGCAGCTGTCTTCAGAGCTCCGGGGTGGATCCCCACAAGTGGAACTGCTGGGTCAATTGGTGGCATGTCACTAGCATCCTGAACAACAGGTTCACTGAAGACCCAGCCCCACACCGAGAGCTCCCTCCTCTGCACCAGTGGCTCCCCCTCCACCCAGCGGCCAGTGGGTGCCCACGCCTGCTGCCTTGCTTTCATCCCATCGCAGGCATCTGTCCTTTCTCTCTGGCTGCTGTCAAAATTATCTCTGCCTGTGATACTTGAGTGTGTCGAGGCAGAGACTGATGTTCGTTTCTCCTTGGGGTTCTATTCTACTTCCTGAATCCTTGAAATGCATCTTCCTTCTGTTCTCTCCATTCTCTCCTGGGATTCCAGTCATACACGTGTGGATTTGACTTTCTACACCCTGCCTCCCAGCTGGTCCTTTCTGTCTCCTGGAGAGTGGCCAAGCTCCGGTGACCTCCTGGGAGGCCTCGGCCCGGCTCCTTGTGGTGGCCATCTTCAGAGGCGGCCCCACCACGATGGAGACGCAGAACCCATGAGCGCCATCCCCCTTTCGAGAGCAGCTCATCCCAGACCCTCACCCCCAAGGGGACCCAGCCCAGGATCCTGACGGGGTGGAGCAGGCTGGAGCTACGACCGTCTGGATGGCAACGCGGAACTCCTCCCAGAGAAAGCCCAGAGAGGCCCCGCTCTAAGTCAGCGAACACGGCTTCACGTAGGCCCTTCCCAAGCCCCTAACGCAACTGCCACAACGGTGTAGGTGAAGCAGTCCAGGCCCGGCTGGTCACCAGGGATTCAACTGCCTCTGGCACTTCTATTTGCAGATATTATCTCTGCCTTAAAAAAATCTGTAAATAGTAGGGCCTGCCCCTGTGGCTGCAACTTTCTCTAAGGACCCCAGGACTGTGCCTTCTGGAGCTGGCAGAACTCTGTGGTTTATGAGAACAAGAAGTTCCACAGCTGTGTCCTAAACCAGGTTTCCCCTCGGCAGTGCCTACAACACGGAAACAGAACTGACTGTCCCGGGGTGCCCACACCTACTGTCTGCACAGTGGAGAGGGCAGCAGCGTGGCCTGAAGGCCAGCGAGCCCAACCCCCCAGGGACAGGCACTCTCTGGCGAACCGTCTCGCAGGAGGAAAAGCGTAAGGCTGCTGTGGTCATAAATACATTTTATTTCATTAGAAATGCATAATTACAGTGTTTAAGAGCATTTCCCCTAGAAAAGTAGGTCAGCAATACCCCATCGGAACCGAGAGCTGGCTTTGCAAACACCTGCCTCATGACACTGGACAGAGCACACAGCAAAGGGCTCCCGTCTCATGACACTGGACAGAGCACACAGCAAAGGGCTCCCGTCTCATGACACTGGACAGAGCACACAGCAAAGGGCTCCCGTCTCATGACACTGGACAGAGCACACAGCAAAGGGCTCCTGCTACTCCCCTGGGATTTTTTTTTTCAAATTTTCTTTTTTGTTATAAACACCATAGCAAATTAAAAAAAGCTGTTTAAACAGAAAAATATCATAGTTCTTGATTTCCCGCGCATATGCGACGCTCTCCGCACCGTGCCTCCCCTCGTGCTCCGACACCAACAGCAGGACTCAAACGAAAGGGGTCTCCGGCTGGGGGCGGCGGCGGCTGCTCTTTCAGTTGATAGGATGCTGTTCCCCGCGGAGGCAGCGGCCTTCAGACGCACTTCAGCAGAACACGTGCAGCCGCTGCCTGTGCCGAGGCCGTGAGAGCAGGGCGCGTGGGGGCCGGGCCGTAGGCGGAGCCGGCGAGGGGCTCCTGGTGCCATGGGCACCGCTCACTGAATCTGGATGGCCCCGTGCTCGAGCTGCATCTCCGGCTGTAGCGTGGGCTGCAGGGCTTCGGCCGTCTGCAAAAGGGAGAAAGGAGGGACTTTCTAGAAAAATACCCAGCACTGCATGGCCAGGGGGTGTCATGAACAGCCAGTGACTTTAAGGCAGAATGAGAAACACGCACACAGGAGCGCGAAGGAGCCCTGACGGCCCCAAGGCTCACCCGACTTGGTACACAACGCCTGGCTCCCAGCGGAACGACGCGCCCACGACCCTGGCGCCCAGGGAGGCTCCGGCACACCCAGGCCCCGGCCCGCCCCCGACATGGACTCCGTCACCGGGGCCGGCGCAGCAGCTGCTCCTGCCTCTCCACCCCCAACCCGCTGCCTCACTGGGAAGTAACCTGGAAGTGGAGAACATCCTGGCCCTCCCGAAGATATTTCCCTGAAGCTTCAGGTACCATTTTGCCTTCCTATAAACACTGTCCCAATGTTTCAACAAAGGATTTTCGGGGCAGCTATGATTCTTCCCTCAAAGATACAGGTTCTGGTCAACGAGTTACAGATATTAAAAGGACTTCAAGTACGAAATCACAGCTTTATCTTAAAATGAGTTAAAGGAGGTCGGGCGCAGTGGCTCATGCCTATAATCCCAGGGCTTTGGGAGGCTGAGGCAGGTGAATCACTTGAGGTCAGGAGTTCAAGCCTAGGCTGGCCAAAATGGTGAAACCTCGTCTCTACAATAAATACAAAAATTAGCCGGTGTGGCGGTGCACACCTGTAGTCCCAGCTGCTAGGGAAGCTGAGGTAGGAGAATCACTTGAACCCAAGAGGCAGAGGTTGCAGTGAGTCGAGATTGCACCAATGCACTCCAGCCTGGGCAACAGAGCCAGACTCCATCTCAAAAAAAAAAAAAAAAAAGTAAAGGAAAAACATACAGTCTTGGAATAAGTCACTCATCCTCCAGCTCAGCCACACGGAACACGCCCCAGGTGGAGGAGCCCACTCTAGGGCTGCCGTGCACACTCCCAGAAGCTTCAGCTGGAAGGCACAGGAACCACAAAGGAAGAGCCAGGAGAAGCCACGAGCCCACGGCCGAGCCCACGGGAGGAAGAGGCCTGGCAACTTCTACTCTAGTTAAGGTCCTGCTTCATTTTATTTTTTAGAGATAGGGTCTTGCTCTGTTGCCCAGGTTGGAGTGCAGTAGTGCAAGCACACCTCACGGCCGCCTCGACCTCATGGGCCCAAGTGATCCTCCCACCTCAGCCTCCCAAGTAGCTGGGACCACCAGTGCACACCACCACGCCCGGCTAAATTTTTTTGAGACGGAGTCTCACTCTGTCACCTAGGCTGGAGCACAGTGGCGCAATCTCGACTCATTGCAACCTCCGCCTCCCGGGTTCAAGCAGTTCTCCTGCCTCAGCCTCCCGAGCAGCTGGGATTACAGGCACCTGCCACCATGCCTGGCTAATTTTTGTATTTTTAGTAGAGATGGGGTTTCACCAGGTTGAGCAGGCTGGTCTCGAACTCCTGACCTCAGGTGATTGGCCTGCCTCAGCCTCCCAAAATGCTGGGATTACAGGCGTGAGCTACCGTGCCCGGCCCCAGCTAATTTTTTTACGTTTTGTAGAGATGGGGGTCTCGCTACGTTGCCCAGGCTGGTCTTGAAGTCCTGGGCTCAAGCAACGCCCCTGCCTCGGCCTCACAAAGCACTGGGATTACAGGCATGAAACACTGCACCTGGTCCAGGTTGTGCTTTTTCAAGACAAATGTCAAATGACACTCGATATACTGTTCCCTGGATGGAGGAGGGGCCTTCCAGGGTAGGATGAGGGGTCAGTATGAGGACTGTCTCCTGCGAGCCCGGCCACAGCTGGGAAGGCCTAACGGGAAGGGGTGAACCTCAGCTGGAATGGAGGAGCCACACCAGGGCCCTGGGGTGGGTGGCTGAAGGCCATGGGAGGTTGGGGTAGGGGGGCCACCGCCTGGGATGCAAAGCCCCTTCCCCCAGACAGCTGGAAAGGCAGCTGGGGACTTGGGTGGGTGGGGACAGTGGGGCACAGGTCTGGGCTGGCTGGGACTCACTTGCCCTCCAAGGACAGTGGCCAGACCTGTGTTCTGGGCAGAGGCTGGTGGAGGTGCTGCCTCTGCTACAGATGGTTCAGGGAGCCTGTGACACCCACAGGCCACCGCGCATTAAGACAAGTGTCTTCCCCTGCAAATGGCACCCCCCTACCCTCCCAACCCACTGCTCCAGGGAACAGGCCCCACTCTCCACTTTGAGGATTGGCCACCCCCACAGGCCAGCTACCTGCCTTCCCTCCTAAGGGAACCCATCTTCTCAGAGCCAGGCCCTCACAGCTGAGCCACAGGTTTTCCTAGAACGAGCTCAAGCGCGTGACCCTGCTCTGACCCATGCAAGATGCAAGACCATTCCCAAGCATGACTGGGGTGGGGGCTTCATGTGGATAAGGAGGCTCAACCAGAAACCTGTCTCTGTTGGGTGCAGTCACGCCTGCAGAGTCACCATGAAGGCCTTCGGTCACTTCCCAGTGGGGCAGAGCTAGCCTGAGGACAAGCTGAGATGGTAAGGCAGAGAGCTGGGCCCTTGGTGACAAGCTAACGCACCCTGCAGTTGTCTGGCCTCAGATGGGCAAACCCGCTCACCACCAAGTCCAACCACGCTGGGGTTTTCTGCAGGGAAAGCGGCCCCTTAAGCACGCCGTCTTCCTTGGCTGTTACGATGGATCCTAATTAAATCATTCACCTGGGGCCTGCCAGGAGGGCATGGTAACAGAGAGAGCTTACAGGAAGCTAGGGGTGTAAACACCAACCATGGGACACAGGTTTGTTCAATTCTGAAATCGGAAAATGACCAGAAACTTATAATGCAGCAGGACGCCCTCAGGCATGGCCCCCACATCTAGTTTCCTGGGCGCGGACCTCACTGCCCTCCTGCAGCGCTCCTATCTGGAACGGCACGGGGGGCTGCCACGCGTCCTCGGCAGGGGCTGAGGCAGCCACGCCTGACTGTTCTTCACGGACAGGCCAAGGTTCACACCACATAAAATAAGCGCTGCCGAACGAGTTTGCCTTCACCATCCCACCCACCCGCTCCTCACTGCCTGTGCGTTCTGCGCCCATGGCCCTCACCGTGCTTCCAGCGCATCTCCAGTGAGGTCGGCGACAATGTGGAACCAAACACCACGCAGAGTACAGGGCGCGCCTCTGCGGGGGCCACCGCGCCCATGGGCAGAGTACAGGGCGTGCCTCTGCAGGGGCCACCGTGCCCATGGGCACAGCAGGAATGCTCAGGCCAGAGGAGGGGCCAGACCTTCTACAGGACACGGGTCCTTAAACTCTGGGCCCGCAGCTGCCCCGCTGTGAAGACGTGAGCGTCAGGTGAGCACTGACATCATCACACGGCTGTCGCGGCTGAGGGACTGCAGAACCGCCCAGCCTGGCGACCTGCGCACCCTGGTGAGCGTGAGCTCTACCGAGCCCACTTCTTCAGCAAGCGCCTCCTGAGGAGGACCCCTCTCTTCCCGAGGGCTGAGGGGCACACCTGCCCTCAGCAGTGCCCGGGGAGCAGGGAAAGGCTGCTCAGACATCTAGGATTTTAATTCTAAGCACTGAAGGTGGATGGCATCAAGACACAGGTGGATCACCAGCGCTGGGTCCACAGAAAGGAGCGGAACAGACCCAAAGACAGCGGCCAGAATGTTCCAGAAGGGCTGGGCAGCAGCCAACCACCAGGCTGGAGGTAGAACAAGGACAACGTCCCCGCTGGGCACGTTCCCAAAGCAGGTGGCACGGAGGCTGCGGGGCCAAGACTGCTCCCGGATGCAGGGCCACCTTCTGCCTCCAGTGTTCAGAGCAAACAGCCCACGGCATCACGGGGCTCTTGTCTGGGCCTCGGCCACGCTGGAGATTTCGGCACGGCCTCACCCTCGGGGGCTTCTGCCTGCGAGGTATGGAGATGCTGGCCTGGGCCCGCTGGGCCATCCACAGAGCACAGCAGCCCTGCGCTTTGTTTTCGTGGACGCTAGGGCCACAGCAGCCCGAGGTACTGGCTCTGCCCCGAGCTGAGACCTTCAACGAGTGGGGCAGGGAGCTCTCCGGCTAAAGGGGCCCCCATGCTCCCCAGCCCACAGGAAAGGGCTGTGTGGAGGGAGGACAGGGCAGAGCTTCACTTCTGCCCCTGAATTTACAAACATTTCCACAAGACAGTCTCAAGAATCAGTTGGAATTTGGAACTGGGGCAGGATCTACCTTCTCACCTTCACGTTCACGGTGAGTGTGAGACGTAGAACCCTCAGATGGGCATCTGTGTCCAATCACGTGCCCTCTGCACAGGAAGAGTCACGAGAAAGCCCCGGGGCCACGTGTGCCCGGTGGCAGCGGCAGGCGGCCATGCCATCACTTCAGTGTCCCGGCGCGGGGCCCCAGACTCACCTGTGCCCCGGCCGTGTGGTCACTCACTGGCGCCAGCTGCACGTACTGAACCTGGATGTCGCTGCCCTGGAGTGGCGACCCATCCACGCCCGCCGCCGCGGGGTCCGAGGAGGCCACGGCGATCAGCTGTGCACCCTGCAGCACCTGGAGGGAGACACACGGGGGCCCGTCAGCGGCGTGGCCCACAACCCACAACCCACAACCCACATGGCTCCACAGACCGCAGACCCCAGCCCACACGTGCTGTCCCCTGAGCGGCAGGGACACGGCCTCAGGGCCACACCGAGGACTCTGCGGCACATCCTGTCTCCCCATCGCTCTCAAGTCGCATCAGATCCAGTGAGAGAGTGCCATCGAGTCTCTGCTGGATCTGCAACTCCGCCCTCAAGCACCTACAGAGCAGAAAAAAGGGAAAAAAAAAAAAGCAAGGCAGAGCTTCCACAGAAAAAGAGAGCAACAGCAAATGCCACAGAGCCTCCTGGAAAATCCCAGTGGCAACCATGAAGAGCACAAGCGCTCCCAGAGTGCCACTGAGGCCTAAAATCCAAGCCAGGACCGTGAGCGTGAGGCTGAGACCCAAACCCTCCCCATTCCCAAGGCAGAGTGACCTCAAGGGCTCAGGGAGAGCAAAGGAGCTGCTGGTGGGCACTGAGAACCCAGCAGAAGCTCGCAGGAAAGTGAGGCCCAGTTCCAAGATGGGCGGAAGTGAGTCCTGGTGGCAGAGAGCCCCGCTGGCCCTCCCGACCTTGTACCGCCTCCCAGAGTATGGAATGAGAATGGGGGACAGGCGAGGCCCCTGGGTGGGCTCTGGTGACCCCATCGCCTGTAAGCACCCAGGCCCACTTCCCACTCAATCCACTGGGCGCTCCAACATCCAGGCAGGCAGCTCCGGTGTCAAGACGGCCCAGGCAGGCGGGTGGGCAGCCCCAGCCCTGAGGGCACTTGACATGAGCCACGGGGTCTTCACTTGGGGTTGCACCCCACTACGGGAGGGCCAGGAGATGCATCCCACACCTCCACACAGAACCGCACTCTGTGCACTGAGAGTCTCACCGGTGGCCCTGGGAAGAGGAGCAGCCCGTCGCAGGGTGCCCCACCCCACGGAGCCTGGCCGCAGCATCCCCTCCGTGGGACCTGCCCTGGACAACAGCAGCACTGCACAGAGCAAACTTGGCCCCCGCAAACACACTGCAGAGACAGCGCCGGACCAGGGCTTTCACCTGCAAGTGCTTTTAAAGACTAGACTTCACCTACATGTGCTTTTAAAAATAGTTATGTTTCTAAGCAAAGTTCACCTGCAATGCTAGAAGACAAGCCTTTTAAAGATACGAAGTATAATTCACTCTACATTGAGGTTAGCAAAGTACGGCGCCCAGAGCAAACCTGCTGGCTGCTTTTGTACAGCTGTGAACTGAGAATGGCTTTTAAATGATTTTTAATGACAGAAAAAAATGCAAAAAAATATTTTGTGCCACATGACAAATCTAGGAACCTCCATCTTCAGTGAGCATCTACAGGCCTGCAGGCCCCCCACGTGCTGGCCTGTCATGACCCAAGGGCCGTGGTGAGCAGCTGTGATGAGACCAGGTGTGCCCCCCAAAGCTGAAAACCCATCCCCCCTGGTCCTTTGCAGACAAGCCTGGCAACCCTGCCAGCCACGACTTGCGAGCACACCAGCCTCGGGGACCAGCCTCGGGCGAATAGCTGAGCCATCAGAATGAACCTAAGGAGCGGTCGACCTTCTGCCTCGGGATTTTGTTGTCTCAAACAGATGCTATACAAGAAGGAATATGGCCAGAGTCAGATGTTCTGCTGGACTCTGGGGTTTCTTTACCCGACGGCCCCTACTGCAGAGGCCCTCTGAGTCCAGGTGTCAGATGCCAGCCCGACATGGTCCCAGGGATTAATTCATTGTGCAGCTGGCCCTTGAACACCACAAGGGTTAGAGGCACTGAACCCTTGTGCAGCTGAAGTCATGTACAGCCTCTGACTCCCCAAAACTTTACTAATAGCCTGTTGACCAATGGCCCTACTGATAGTGGTCAATGAGCAGGTATTTTGTGTGCTGTGTGTACCATCACCTGTATTCCTCTAATAGAGTAAGCGAGGGAAAACGTGGTATTCAGAAAGGCACAGGCGAGAGGAAATATGGCTGCTATTCATGAAGCGGAAGTGGATCTTTATTAAGCGGAAGTGGATCGTCATCCTGGCCTTCGTCCTCACCGTCCGCATGCTGACTGGGGCTGGGGGGAAGAGGAGGAACAGGAGAGGCTGGCCTTGCTGTCTCAGGGCAGCAGAGGCAGAAGAGACAGAGGAGGTGGAAGAGGAGGCAGGCACACTCAGTATAATTTTTACTGAAAAAAAAAATGCACGTATAAGTGGATCCTCATAGTTCAAACCTGTGTTGTTCAAGGGTCAACTGTAGTCTTTTCCAAGGAACAAACGTTCGTTTTTTGGTGACGGACAGAAGGAGCAGAGCGTTGTGAAGTGCGTGCATTGACATCAGAGTGCTGACAAAGGGGCTGCTGGCCCTGGGGTGCAGGTGCCATTTACAGATGAGGAACTGAGACCTGGGTGGGGTTAGGAGCAGTTTAGGGGCTGGGCTTCCATCACACAGCAGGTGGGGGCAGCGTCCATACAGGAAGCACCTGGGTCCCCGAGGCACTCTCCTGGGCCACCACCGTCCATAGCGGAGCAGCACGATTACCCTCCGGCTCCCTCCAGCCTGGGTTCTTCGAGAGGGAGCAGAGAGAGAAGGCGGGGACTCTGTGAGGGGAGGGCTCGGGCGTAGGCCTCTCAAAGTCCTTAGAAGATACAGCCTGTGGTTTTAAAGCAGAATTCTAGTTTTTGATGAGCAAATGCCTTATATTTTTTTAACAATGAATTTGTCAGTGGAAAAGAAAAAAGAAAAAGGCAGGTCAATGAGCTGAATGTCTGGCTGGCAAGAATTCCATCTTTTTGCTGACATGAAATAAACTCGGAGAGGAGTTGCTGCACCGAGGAGGAGGAGCTGCCGGCACAGCTGCCCCTTCCCATGATCTTTACAGGCCCCGAGGTCCCGCAGCGACAGCGCGCCATTCAGAACCCAGCCTGACGATGAGAACACTGAGGCTTCTGGACTGTTTCACGAGACGGGGCAAGCCCACTGGAGCGCCCTCCATCTGGGCCTGGGGCTGGAGCTGGGCTGGGTGCAGGGACAGGGGGCTGGGCTGGGCTGGGTGCAGGGGCAGGGGGCTGGGCTGGGTGCACGGACAGGGGCAGGAAAGAGAGAGCAAGTCCCTGTCAGCCGCAGAGACTCTGGCTCAGACCACAGGCTGGGGACGAGAGCGCCCAGGGAGGTGGAGCCCCTGCAGAGAGAACCTTCTTCCCAAGAAAGGAAGAGAGAGCAGACATTCCTGCCAATGTGCAAACCCACCAGTAACTTTTCAGTGATGCCTGGGAACAGACCGGGCAAGGCTGCACTTGGAAAGGGGGCTGGGGAGGAGTTCTGCACTCAGTTCCACCACGCGCCCAGGCAGTCACTCTGTCCTGGGTGGATCCGCAGCCACCCACGTTCCTGCCACAGACCCCGAGCTGGCGCCCACTGGAGGAGGCAGCCAGCACCCGCACCAGTGGGCTCTTCTGTGAGGCCCTGCACAAACTGCGTTTCCCACTCATCACAGCACAGGCACACTCCTGGCCCCGAGAAAGTTCCGGGAAAAATATCCTCAGGGGCTGTCCCAGAGGTGTCTCAGGGCTGTGAATAAAGCAAGCTGCCTGAACCAGCGTTTCTCAACTATTCCCACCAGGCCGAGGCCTTGAAAACTCCTGAACACCAGGCAATGGTCTGCGCGGTGCAGGGACTTGACTGGTAACTCCCAAGCGCCTGCCCACCTGCCTGCACTCCACGACAGCACAGGGACCCTGGCGCACGCCCAAGGTTCACGCCAACCAGGTGACCGCCAGGAAACCCAAGCCTGGGGCGAGCAGCAGAGGAGCACACGGTAAGCCCGCACCTCCTCCATCCCCAGCTCTCAGGAGCCCGTGCCACACAGCCGGAGCTCTGCAGGGGCCACAGGTGGGACGAGTGCACGACGCTTTCCACCTCGGGCACCTCTGTCGGACACCCAGCTCTGAACTACGTGTGAAAATGGAAACGAAGTGCGTGGCCACACGCAGAGCAGTGCCACTCCAAGCACCTCCTCATCACACACGTGGCGTGTCACGGACTGACGACACAAGGAGGCAGACAGTGGGGGGAGGGCGGGTCTGTTGGGGACGGAGGGGGCATTGACACAGTGGATGCTACGGGGAGGCCCCGTGCAACGTGTAACTGCGGGAAGGCAAGGCTCAGCCGGGAGCATCGTCAGGGTTCCCTCATCTCAGGGTGTAACCATGCAGGAACAATGGAGTGGGGAGATTGACAGGTTGAGTGGAGACCTGGGGTTTACCCTGGGGTGGAGCAGGGCGAGGTCAGTGAAAGGGTGGAGGACCAGGACTGGGGCAGCCGGCCGTCCAGGGCAGGGGTGGCCAGAGCATGGCAGGGTGAGCGCCGTGGGGTGCAGGGGGGGCTGGGCACTGGGGAGCGGCTCTGAATGGGAGTGGCAGCAGCTGACCCCCTTAGATTTGGAAATAGTGCCAAGGAAAAAAAAGGACTCTGAAACTCTGGCATAAAATACCCATAAAGTATCTCAAATCAGGTTTGAGCGGTGGCAGTGCAGCAGGTGAGGTGGGGCCGGCCTAGAGCCCCTCAGGACAAGCCCCTGGGTCCCGTCTCAGGGCGGGGGCACGCAGCAGGGTGCAGGGTCACAGCCTGGTTCCAGCTCGAGTCTCCTCCCTGAGGGAGGCCCCGGCGCAGATGTGGTGTAGGTGGGAACCATGCAGCATGGGGCATGGGGCGAGACACCTGGGTGACACTGGCTGGGGGCTGAGAGGCCAAACAACTGTGGCGCCCCACACCCAGCCCAGCGGCTCTGACCCCCTCAGCCCCATGAGACCAGCCACACAAGCCAGTCGGCCACTCCACTGGCACCAAAGCAAAGAACACACTGAGTGGCAGGCGGCACAGAGCTGCAAAGGGTCAAAGGTCAGCGGCTTCACCTTCCCCCACACACCTGGGCCCTAGGATCCCGCCACGTGCTGTGTGTCCAACACCAATTAATAAAAAAGAGAGCGAGTGTGCATTCCTATAACTGGGTTTCTAGGCGAGTTC
This sequence comes from Homo sapiens, assembly GCF_000001405.40. Lineage (NCBI taxonomy): Eukaryota > Metazoa > Chordata > Mammalia > Primates > Hominidae > Homo > Homo sapiens. The sequence continues at coordinate 88,067,021 of NC_000016.10, read as the reverse complement.
AAAACAGTAATAAAATAATTTGCCTGGTACCTCCATCCAAAAATGTCTAGGCCGCTGTGGCAATGTGCCCCGGCCGATGGCTCTGACCTCTGCCTAGCAGAGTCACCCAGCCTCGCACAGCCACTGACAGCGCCACTGCCTCCCCTCTGCCCTGGGAGACCCTCAAGTCTCCCAAGGGAGCACGAGAGGGAGCGCCCGCACCGCTGGGAGCGGCGTTTTGAAGGCTGATGGCAAAGACACACACAGGCAATGTAGGCAAGGTTTGGCACCTTTCTGGGGGAAAAAAAAACTGAACAAAATGATTCAATGTTTTCAGTTTTTCAAGAATCTATCAACAGAAACTTCTAGTTTCCTCCTTGATTTATGGGTTAGGATTTTCTCATTTCTGCCTCAAAACTACATTTTTCCAGGCAATGTGGTTTTACTTTTTGTGAACAACACAGCTCAGCTGAAAATAAACAGAATTTTAGGCAAAAGGAGCAGGAGGCACTTGTTTTTGGGAACAGAGGCCACAGTGTCAGACACCGAGTCGAAGCTGGGTTCCTTCGAGCTCCTTCTGGCTGTGGGTGTGGCCGAGGCCCTTCACCAGGTGGCCAGGCCCGCAGTACCCAGCAATCCATAAGGCAGCAGCAGCGCCACAGAGAGAAACGACACCAAACTCCCGAGTTTCACTCAAAGTAAAATTACCGCCTGCTGGTAATGTCAGCCTCAGGGGTGAGGAATTTTCCCTGGACATTCACTTCCTGTTAATACATTTATTGGGCAGTTCAGTTCCACGTTGGTGAACCTCATCTCAGAGTCTTAAAAGCTGTGTACCTGAGGGATCCCCTGGCAGGGGACCCCTTCATGAGGAAAGGCTCTTTGGAGCCCTCGGTGCTCTAAGGAACGTGTCTGGGAGAAGCCCCGTCTGCCCTGAGGCCGCCTCGCATGGGCACAGCTCGCCCTGCACCTGCCGCAGTAGTGGGACGACAGAGGCTGCTCGGACGCTATCCCAGGCTCGTAAAAGCCACAGGCGCAGGTGCACACCCTCTCCCGTGCTCCCATCCCCACCAAGAATCCTAAGCTGGGCAGTGGGCCCAGGAGGGACAGGAAGGAGGTGGAAGGCAAGCATGGCTGGGGCCCTCCCAGAGGGGAGCTGCTCCGCTGGGGACACTGTGGGGCTGGGATCCTGTGGGCCTCCCGGGATCAGGGTGCCCTTCCATACTCGCTTTCCTTGTGCTCTACCTGAGCAAGCATGCAACCTGGTCCTGCCACCAGCCCAGTTCCCCTGAATAAAAACAAAAGCAGAGCCGGTCCCTGCTCTCCTCCCTCCTAGGTTGACCAGTTCAGCCTGAGGGAACCATCACCACTTGTGCCATCAGTTTTCTGAACAAAAGATGGCGAGAAATTCTTCCCCCGTTCCTGTTGTGTCTTCAGAAAGCACCTGGCAAGCGCGTCTCACCCCAGCTCGCTGTGCTGGGCAGAGCTACCCACCCCACAAAGACACCCAGGTCCCAATCCCTGGGCCCTGTTTAGGTGTTACTTTACATGGGCAAAGGGATCTCACAGATGTGGCTCAACTGATCACCCTCACGTGGTGAGATGACCCTGGATGGCCAGGTGGGCCCAGTGTCATCGCGGGGGTCTTTAAAAGCAGAGACTCCTCCCAGCCACAGAGGGTGGGAGAGATGGGATGTACAAAGGACTCACCTGGCCACTGCTGGCTTTGAAGACGGATGGGGCCAGGAGGCAGGGGATGCGGGTGGCCTCTAGAAGCTGGAAAAGGCAAGAAAACGAATTTTCCCCTGGAGCCTCCAGAAGGACCAACCCTGCCTTGCTTTCAGCCCACTGAGACCCAGGATGGGCTTCTGCCCTCCGGTAAAGCCACGGGGTCTGTGGTCGTTTGTTATGGCAGCCACAGGAGCCTCCAGCCAGGTCCCCAAAGGGCTCTTTATTAAAACATCAAATTCCCAAACAGCAAAAACAACAGAAACAAAAGGCCTGGCAGTCCGTGCCTTCAGGGCGGGCTGGCAGCTGCAGGGAGAGCAACCGCTTTTTTCCATTAGAAAGAGTTTGTACTGTAGGAGTTTTTAAAAGCCAAAACAAAATTGGAGGAGAAAAAAAATGAAATGTCCTCTATGACTCGTGTTCCCCTGGAGGCCACTGGGCTCTAGCCACCTCCCAGGGCCTCCTGACAGCCTGAAGGCCACGGCCCTCAGAAGCTGAGGGGTCCTGGCTGTCTCCTATCCCAGCCAGAGGAGTGCCCTGCGGGCAAGAGCGGCAGCACCCCCAACCGCATGAAGGCACCAGGCTCCCATCTGGCACTGCCAGCCATGAGAGCTCCACAGGAGCCTCTTGTGTCTGGCAAAAGCGTTGTTGTTTTTTAAGGGAGGAAGGCATGTCCAGGAGGGGTCCCCAGGCCTCCTCGGGGAGTGCCACGTGGTGCCACACAGGCGCCCAGCCTGGCGATGCCCTCTCCTCGGCAAACCCTCAGCCAACCCGATGCTGGCCTGGACGCCTAGCCGCATCCTGGGAGCATCTGTCCGTGGGAGGCAGGTGGGTTGTTTTGCTCATTCAAGGCCCACTCATTTCTTGGACCCTAAGTGAATGCGCACATCTGTCCTCCAAATAAAAGCCACTCTCCCAGCTCCATGATGCCACCACTGCTTCCAAGCATGCTAAGGGAGAGGAACCCACTGTCCCTGACCACAGGTGACCACAGGGCAAGGGTGCAAGGGACGCACAGGGTGCTGGGAGCGCTGCCACGGAGGCAGGCCCCGCCGTGGACGCACAACTGCCTCAACATCCACCGCCTCGCTGTCCACTCTCCCCCCCTGCTCCCCTGCGCCTCTCAAGCCCCCGACACCTCCTGCCCCAGCCTCGTGCTCTGCCGTCTCTGAAGAGAGCCCCCTGACCCTGGTCCCCCAGCGCCGGTGCCTGCTTGTGGTTGGCCCCCACACCTTGTTCCAAGGCAGCAACAATGTCTGTGCCTTTGTTCCCCACAAAAGCCCCGGTACCTCTTTCTTCGAATCTTAAGTGTACATTAAGTGTTTCGCTCATTTCTAAAAAACTTATCAAAACAAAATCAATGTAGAAACATTTGAAAGTCATGACTTTTCAAATGCATTCCCAGTTGAGAACATTTTCTACTTTTATTTTCATTCACCACTTGGGTATGCCTACCTTCATGGTTATTGTAAAGCTGCAAAGTTAGATTCTGAGGTTTCTGACACTGTAATTCTTCCAGTGTAATGAGCTGCACAGATCATGTGAGAAGTCTTGTCACTGGCAATGCTGGCAGAAACAACATCACGGTCAGGATGCCATGACGTGCCTTCCACAGCCAGAGGAGGGCAGAACCCTCTTGGAGATCAGCAACACGGCTTCCCAAGTCTCATTAAGAACAGCTGTGATCGGATCTGAAACTCGTCTATCAAGGGATCTTTTAAAATGTGAAGTGATTACAAAATCATCACAGGAGCTTGTGCACAGAAGGCGAGATCAGAAATGACCAGCGGTCACCCCACAGACGGGCTGAGAGTCCAGGCTGGGAGGGGACTCACTTTCTCTATGGACCTGGTGGATTGTTTCATATGTTTGCCATATGTGGATTTCATAATGAAACACTGAATTCCTATTAACTAAGCAAGGGCGCTGAGCCGGGCCACGTGGAAGGGCAGGGAGGACCACAACGACAACACAACTCCTCCTTCTGGGACCAGCTCCCAGGCCAGGGCAGAAAGCATCCACACCGGGGAGGGGAGGGGAGGGCTGAGAGGCGAAAGCCGAGGCACTGGGCCTAGAAATAAGGGAACCGGGGTCAGCAGATACCACAAGGGCAACGCCGTGAAACACGCAGAAATGAAGGCACAGCGTGCTCTGAGAACAGTCACACAGAAGGCCGCGGTGCGCCCTCCGCTTGGCTGCGCTGCTGCAGGCTGAGGGCACCTCCATGCACGGCGCAGCCTCTTAAAACACACAGGAGGCTGAGATATAGTTTGTGGATTTGGGCTTGATTTGAAATTGGTGATGAGGACAACTCAGCAGTCAGATCTTAAACGTGAAGCAGCAAAAATGAGGTCACGCCAGGGTCCCTACAGAGCGCTGCACGCCCCAAGATGAGCGCCCTGGGATCTGTGCAGTTGATGCTGCTGCCGGTAGGATGGAGCCCTGTGATGAAAAGAACCCCAAGTCTGATGCAGGCCTTCAGGGGTAGAGCAGGCTGGGCCGAATTCCGACTTAGTGCCCAACAATGAATGTGCAATCCCTTCTTTCCTCTCCCTGCCGGCTTTATGTCTGGAGCAGGGCCCCAGTCTGAGGCATTTCCAAACCAGCTCTGGAATGCAGAAGCCGCTCATTGGAACGGACGGTGTCCTGGCTTCCAGGCTCCAGGGACACTGGCCTGCGGCTGAACTTGAAGCGGACTTCCCAAAGGGCAGCACCTCGTCATCTCAAGAGAGGCTTGGTTGGGGACAGTGGTTGGGGACAGGGCTGGAGACACGTGCTACTTTCCCAGCTCCATTCAGAGGGTTTTCCCCTGAACATTTTTGAAACAGAGCCAGTTGTTTTCAGATAAAAGAAAGCGGCAGAAGGTAGAAATGGGAGCAGCCGACTGAGGGAACCCCGGCCTAAAGGCACTGCATTTTGAGCACACACATCTGGTTTCCTCTATCTACTGAGAATGCAGAAATTCTGTGTAATGTCCAACTGAGATCATGCTAAACTGCTGTAAATCTAAGGTCAACGCAAGAAGCCCAAGGACTTCTCAGTACTATTTAGATACAAAATCCTGAATCTAACCAAGAATCCACTCAGGTGCAACGCAAAACCAAACAAAAGAACCCCACCCCCCATGCCTTTAAAAGATACACTCTGAACACTGCTGAAGTGTGTGGACAGAAACGAGGATGAAACCACTAATCCACAGGTGTGCTGGAAAAGCCAAGAAGTCCTTTGTTTTTGTCATTCAGCTTTGAATCCAACTTGTTAAGGTATGAGGGCTGAGACTGTAACCAAGGTGCCTTTTTCAAATCTAGATGTTCACTTCAAAGAAGCTTCCTCATACTAGAAAAATGAGGTGCTCAGGCTGGGCGTGGTGGCTCATGCCTGCAGTCCTAGCACTTTGGGAGGCCGAGGCGGGCTGGTCACCTGAGGTTGGGAGACCAGCCTGACCAACATGGAGAAATCCCGTCTCCATTAAAAATACAAAATTAGCCGGGCATGGTGGTGCGTGCCTGTAATCCCAGCTACTCAGGAGGCTGAGGCAGGAGAATTGCTTGAACCCAGGAGGCAGAGGTTGCGGTGAGCCGAGATCGTGCCATTGCACTCCAGCCTGGGCAACAAAAGCAAAAACTCCGTCTCAAAAAAAAAAAGAAAGAAAAATGAGGTGCTCAGAGAAAGAGGCTCATCCCAGTGATGCCCCCAACTGGCCTAAAATCTTTCTCCTACGTTCCTACAAGAAATGCCGAAAGGCCACATCCTCATTCTTAAGCCTTTAAACCCACTGATGGGAATACTAACACGTGCCCTTAAATTCCATTTCTAATGCTTTTCACAAACCAAATCACCCATTAGTGGATGGTCAGAAACAGAGCACACACAGCAGGCCAGCGCAGGCAAATGCAGAAACCTGCTTCTCCTGGAGAAAAAGAAACAGCACACACAAGCTTCTTGCAGACCTCAGGGTTTAAGTCAACTGATCCAACGTTTTAGACAATCGTCCTTCAGGCCAAAAAAGGCTAAGTTTCAAAGCTAACAGGCTAAGAGCTATAAGGCAGATTTACAGCCCAGAGCGATGGCAAGATGCCCCGGGAGACCCCACATTCACACAAAGGTGCCTTGTGGCAAGCGGTAGGCACAGCAGTCTCCACAGTGCTCTGCGGCTGGCTCCAGCGTTTCAGCATGAACCTCAATCAAGCACAGCCTTGGGAGAAGGCAACACAAAGGCTAAAAACTCGAAGGAAGGGAAGTGGAGGCCTGCGGGTGCTTGCCGCCCACCCCCCCTTCCAGCAGGGCGGCGCTCCTGGGAGTGACCTTAACCATGTGTGTGTCTTGGGGTCTTCTGACTCACTGGGGCAGGGTGGGGGACGTTTAAGAACACAACCAAAGTCACCCCGAGGCCTGTGGCGCTCCCCCATGGACCACAGGCCTCTGGCTTCTGGATGGTGAGAGGGAGGGTGGGCGGGCAGGGGACGACGAAGAGTGGGAAGAAAATAAGGATGTATCTGCATGACGCGTGCACAAGCCTGCCATCACCGTGGCGCTGCTCAGGTGTCCCCAGGAAAGGGAGAAGGGCAGGTCGGGGAGCCCGGCCGGGCTGCCATCCAATTTCACACCTCGAGGGGCTGAGATGCCAGCCCAGAGCTGACGGTGAGAAGAGCCTCTCGCTCCCCACAGAAAGAGGCCACCTCCACGTGCCTCCACGCACCCTCCAGATGGCACCGTTCTCGTGGCTCTGGTCATTTCTTTAACTTGGAAAACTTACTGTATGGCACAAAAAATACGTTTGAATCCACCGTGAGAGGGCAAAAGAACGAACTTCTAAAAACATGTGCTCCAACGTTCCCACTAAGCTCACTTCAGTCGGAAGCCTCCACACAGGATCACTCGCGTGTCCAACGTCAGCTGATCTCCCTCCTAATCGTGATGGAAAAACGTGGCTTTTAAACAGAGGGTGGGCCAGCCTTTCCAATCTCAGCCCCACACTGACCATCCAAGTGGAGGAGTGACCAGCAGGCCAGGCCAGGCTGGGGAGACCCAGAGAGACCCCTCGTCAGGTGGGCTCTGCCCGGAGGGCAACGCACGGCGGTCTCTGCACACACCTCAAACTACGTTATGCTTAGAAACATACGGCCTTGCCACTCGTGCCGACAGGTGGTTGCTATGTGCTGGTGGCTAAGAGCACCTTTGCACACTTCTCACACAAGCCGCTCACACTTCGGCACCTTCGGCCACAGCAGAGCACCCCCAACTTGGGTAAGTCAGAGCACCTGCCATCTTCAGAGGAAGGCCCAGAGACAGACAGCTGCGCCAAGCCAGTCTCACCACACACTACACGGAGAACCCCACCTGTGCCAACCTCAGCCCTCCTGGGGTGTGTGTGTGCAGGTCTGGGGCCTAAATGTGACCCTTCCCCACCAGGCCGTGGCTCCAGGTGACTCCATCCCAATGCCGGGTCTCAAGTGCATCTGACCTAGGCGCACTCAGCGGGATGTCCATGACCATGCGGTCTCACACAGGGAGCAGAGGAGGGGGCATGGCATGTGTCGCGTCCGACAGTGCAGCTGGTAGGGCCCTGACAGGACGCGAGGAGTAGCACACGTCTCCGTCGGGAAGCCCCAAAGCACCCAGAACCCCACCAAACTCACATCTTCCTGCAAAAAGCTTCATCTGTGGTGCTGAGCCAGGGCTCAGCACATGCCTGCAGGAACGTGGGGCCGAGACGAGGTGATGGCCATCATTCTGCCGAAGATGGTATGGGGATGGGGAGGGTCCTGTGGCCTGAACCGTGTCCCTTAAAAAGCAACTCAATAACCTCTGATACCTGTGAACTTGGGCTTAATTGAAAACAGGGTCTTTGCAAATTTAAGTTAAAGTGAGGCCACACTGGGCTCAGGTGGGCCCGAACCCAGTGACAGGGGCCTTATGAAAAGAAGCAGATTTGAACACAGAGAAGCAGAGGAGAGGCAGAGATTGGAACAGTGTGGTATCAAGCCCAGGAACAGCAAGCACTGCCGAGAGGGAAGGCAGTGCCCCCTCTCCACACCTTCACACACCTCCGCCCGCCCCACCCCACCCCCACCTGCCCTTACAGCAGAGCCTCCAGGAGCATCCCTACTCTCCTCAAGGTCATGCCCCGCCACCAGCAGGAGCATGGACCACAGCACACCAGCAGGAGCACGGACCTCAGCACACCAGCAGGAGCACGGACCTCAGCACACCAGCAGGAGCACGGACCTCAGCACACCAGCAGGAGCACGGACCACAGCACTGTGGTACAGGGGTTCCGACCAGGCAACATCCCTGATACACACTGGGCGTGAGGGACACCACTGGAGGAGCAGCTGCCGAAAGCAGGAGCAGCGGCTCAGGGGCCCACCAGGAGGCAGAAGGAAAAGCCGGCAGGGGCCACTTTATGGGCTTTTCGTTGATCTCACTTTGGGAGTCAACGTAAACAATGCCCTGAACATTATAAATAAGAGATTGTCTACACATGAAAATAATTCTAGGTTACTTTTCTACCCTTGATGCATATTTTATGTCCAGAGCCAATTACACAATGCAGCCAAGAGCAGCCATGGGTCCGAGTTGCTTCTTAATTACAACCTCCCAGTCCCATGGTCTCAGATACCACAGGCTTCCTACAAACCCCGGGGCAGGACACACACGTTTCATCTGGGGCTGCGACTCCTTAGAGAAAATGGAAAGAACGATGGTGGTGGGTTTTATTAAACCTTGGCCACGTTCCCCTGTACTGCCTGTGTGAGAGGAAACAGCCTGTCAGGTGGTCAGAGTGAAGAGGAATCCCCCGAAGCTCTGGTCTGTGGATCAGAAATGACCCCTGTGCTTGAGTCACTTAGGAAGCCACAGCACTGCCGTGGAACTGGGCCCTGCTGCGGACCAAGCCCCATTTTTACACCTAAGGCCTTACAGGGCCCAGGAAGGAGCTCAGTCGACGAAGGCGCCTGACATCAGCACGTCCCGGCCCTGCCTGCCGTCCTCCTCGGGCCCACCTGCGTGAAACCCAACAAATCCCAAGCTCCCATTTGAGGAAGAAAGGGATCTTTGTTCGCACTGTCCTTCAGTTTCCCAAAGGCCAGTGAGTCAAAAAACAAAAGCTTCTCTTTCAGGCACCTCAACACACTTTAGCACCAGCTTCAACGTTTTAACCAGGCACGGGCACAGTCCTGCATCTACAGTCTCTAGATGAAAGATTCCTCGTAAATACACAATGAATTTAACAGCCACTCAGCGGTTCACTCTCAGAGTGAAAAAAAGGTAGGAAATTATATTACGCTTGAACCCTTTCTTCCCGTGTAACTCCGCCGTTTCATAGTTTAAGGGGGCAGGAGTGTGACTTCAATCAGGCCCACGGGCCCACACCGAGCCTCGGCGCCTGGCTTGTCGGAACACAGGCGGCCACTCGCTGCCCCGCACCGCACTGTCCGGAAAGTGCTCGCTGCGTGCCCCGCACCTCCTCACTGTGGGCATCCGGCCAGCACCACTTGCCCTGGAGTCCAGGGTGCGGGGACAGGGCCAGCGCGAGTCACTGCACGCACCCCCCCCCCCGCCCCACCCAGATGGCCCCGCCATCTCTCTTACTTGTCAGAAGTCAGACTGTCTCGCACAGTGCCGCAACTTCCCTTCTGGGATGTAAGAACCAGGACCCAAACATTGCCAACATGAAGGGTGTGAAGAACATTCTTCCAATTTTACACAACGTGGGCCAGTCAGAGTGCCTGCATTTTGCATGAGGGAAAAGCCGGGGCCTAAACAGAATCAGCATGAAGCGACCTGAGGGGTGTTTTTCACTCCTCGTTTCTTGACTCTGACGAGGTGAACACGTGGAGGGGACCGCAAGAGTCTCCAGGGCATCCCCCTGGAGAAGGCTCACCTTCAGCCACCATCCTTCCTCTGGAGGCCAGGAATCCTGGTGCAGCAGTAACGCCCAGGTTTCCTTTCGCAGGCAGCTACTCTGGTAGCCTTCCAGAAGATAATTCTTGGGGCAAAAGAGTCTACACATCCATTAGCTGCTCCCCACAGAGGCACCCAAAGCAACAGGCGCGCTGGGTGAGCTCTTGGCGGCTGGCCCGTACCCCACTTCGAAGCATCCCGTGCCAGCTGTGTGAAGTCGCTCCCCACCACAACACGGCAGGCCCGCCCACCAGAAAAGGCAGACACAGCTCAACAACGGCAACAGAAAAGTCTCAGAACACCCAAAGAATCACCAAAACTCCCTTATTCAGAAAAAGTTCTCACATTTGGATCCCACCAAAAGGATTTGTAAAGTTATTCAGAAATCACACTTTTTCTGCTTTTTGAGTTACAGAGTTTTAAATCAGTACTGTTCTATATGTTTTCATGATTAAAGATCTGGTGAACGTAAGCCGTAGTTTTAAATGGCTCAAACAAGAGTATTTCCAAATGTCTTCAATGTGTGCATCATATAACTAACTGCTAACTTGGCAACAGTTGCCATTGTATTCATTCACTCAATGATCACTCAGTGTTGCTAAGTATACTACACTGGGTATGACAGGTAAAAGAAATGAATAACCTTTTAAATATATATTTGAAAATGGTAAAATTGATCAAAAACAATCTTCGAATCATCAGGCCTGCCACCACTGTCTGACATCACAGAGTCTGATGCGGGGCTAAACAAAAGGGCCAGGAGTGCAGGGGCCAGCGTGAAGCGTGACCAGAGCAGTGGGAGCATCTCAGGGGTTGTGATAAAGACATTTCAGCTTCAGCTAACAGCGAGCCCTTCGAAGGCACCATTGTTTCAACTGAGTAAAACACTGAAAGTGTACATTTCAGTCATCATTTCATCTAAGTTCTCTCTCTAAAAAAAAAAAAAAAGAGAGAGAATACGCTTCCCAGCCAAACACTTTGTCCAGCTTGTCCTGGGCCCTTGCCTGACTTAAAGATTCTTCTACGCTGCAACCACAGACAGTGTCCCAAGAAATTCAATGGGACAAAAATGATAGTCCTCAAATTAGTACACCTATTTTACTGACTAGTCATCACTCAAGCCTGAAACTACCTTCCTTGCTGCTTGCCAAAACAGACCAAGAAGCAAAGAAGCAGAGAGTCCTTGGAGTTCCACAGCCACTCCACACTCTCAGAACACTCTGCTGCATGCGGCAAGCCTGTTAGGGGCCACAAGGACCCCTCCAGTGTCAGAGCCACAGGCAGGAGACACCACGGCCTCCCTTTGTAAGTCAGGGCCCCACCTCCCCAGACAGGGCAAGGAAGCTGAAGAGCCAGCTGTCCAGGTGGGCCTGAGCCCCCCAGCAAGGCAGCAGGAGGCATGCGGGCAGCTCCACACCTTTCCCAGGGGGTTTCTTGGGACTAGTCAACACCAAACTCACTCCACTTCAGACCTTTTATGATTTAAATTACATTTTCCACCATTTCTGGTAGAGAAGGCTTCTCCATAAGAGATTAATTCCCTAAACCACTGAGAGTCTCCAAGATTTCTGCTTGTGTTTTGGCATGTAATGCAGGAATATATTTTCTTGATGGGAGCATTTTTATTACAAGTGACATAGGGTGTGTGTCTAGGAAGGCGAGATGATCCTCCTTCTGTGACAAACCATTTAGAGTGGCCTAAAGCCTCCTGGAAATACAAGAGGCCATTTTTCAGCTATAGATAAAGACACCCTGCACACACACACTCCTTCTCCTCGCTCTCTCCAAAAAAATCCTACACGTAAAATGTTGGACATTTCCCATGTCTTCTAATCTTTTTCCCAGCTGGGTCTAGAAGGCCTTATTTCATGGAAAAAGATTCTGAAGCCTTCTGAAACTTACTCTTAAGCGAAGTATCAGGAGGAATACAAATGCCAAAGATGGGAGAGAAGCTGAAAAGCTTCAAGGTCACCAAGCCTGCCGTCAGCTGAACCCTGGTCAAGTCATTGCACAGGTGCACAGTGGGAACGCCCTGGATCCGTCACTGCTTTGCTTAACTTTACTAAATGTACACGCGTCATGTGTACGTACACATATTCAATCATTCAGGGGTGTGTGTGCGGAGGGGGTGGGTGGGTGTATGGATTACAGATGGGTTTACCAGAACATACACAAAATACCTCCTAGCTTTTCCAGTGATTTCACATTGTTTAGCCTATAAACATATATAAGCTTTGTTCGTGCACATCTTAGGTAACATTAGCTACATCTGTTTAAAAAAAAAAAGGGCAAAAAAGGGCAAAAAAAAAGTATTAAAATACACACGTACTAGAAACAGTACTAAATAATTTCATGATTCATGATCTAAGCAGCATGATTAATAATCAAGCCTTGAAAAGCTTCCCATGTGACTGAAAATCTTCCAAATATAGTGAAAGAACTGACCCAGATTTGAACATCTCAATAGATATAATACCCCCTAGGAACAGAGTTTGGTACTAACTGTTCAAACCATACTGCACATTAGATTCAATCTGCAGAATCCAAATTCAACACTGTGAAGGCTTTATCCTGAAGCAACACTGAGGACCTTCCATTTCTATCACACCTAAGCTACTACTCAAGGCCTACATAGTAAGGACAGAAGCCATGCCCACTGACCCTCCATAAATATTCCTATGAGCTAGGCAAAGGAAGCACTGTCATTTCAGTCTCGACAGGAAGAGGGTGAGAGGCCAATAAGTAGATAGATTAGAAAACAACTCAGGATAATCAGGAAATTCACTTGACCCCTTGACGGTGCTGGTGCTGGTGCTGGTGCTGTTGATGGCTGTGATAGCACTGGGAGTGGTGGGGGTGGCGGAGGTAAGGGCAACGGAGAGGGTGACAGGGACAATGGTGGTAGAGGTCATGCTGTGATAGATGTGTTGTTGGTAGTGGTGGTGAGGATGAGGGACATAATAGTGGTGGAGGTGGTGGTGGTAGTGTTTGTTAAGGTGGTTGTGTTGGTGATGATGGAGATAGTAGAGGTGGTGGTGGTAGTGGTTGTTAGGGTGGCTGTGTTGGTGGTGATGATGGAGATGACAGTGGTGAAGGTGGTTGTGTTGGTGATGATGATGGAGATGACAGTGGTAGAGGTGGTGGTGGTGGTGAAGGTGACTGTGTTGGTGATGGTGATGATAGTGAAGGAGGTGGGGGTGGTAGTCGTTAGGGTGGTTGTGTTGGTGATGATGATGATGATGGAGATGATGGTGGAGGTGGTGGTGGTAGTGTTTGTTAAGGTGGTTGTGGTTGTGCTGGTGATGATGATGGAGATGACAGTAGAGGTGGTGGTGAAGGTGGTTGTGTTGGTGATGATGATGATGGAGATGACAGTGGTAGAGGTGGTGGTGGTGGTAAAGGTGGTTGTGTTGGTGATGGTGATGATAGTGAAGGAGGTGGGAGTGGCTGTTAGGGTGGTTGTGTTGGTGATGATGATGGAGATGACAGTGGTAGAGGTGGTGGTGGTGGTGAAGGGGACTGTGTTGGTGATGGTGATGATAGTGAAGGAGGTGGGGGTGGTAGTGGTTGTTAAGGTGGTTGTGTTGGTGATGATGGAGATAGTAGAGGTGGTGGTGGTAGTGGTTGTTAGGGTGGCTGTGTTGGTGATGATGATGGAGATGACAGTAGAGGTGGTGGTGAAGGTGGTTGTGTTGGTGATGATGATGATGGAGATGACAGTGGTAGAGGTGGTGGTGGTGGTGGTGAAGGTGACTGTGTTGGTGATGGTGATGATAGTGAAGGAGGTGGGGGTGGTAGTCGTTAGGGTGGTTGTGTTGGTGATGATGATGATGATGGAGATGATGGTGGAGGTGGTGGTGGTAGTGTTTGTTAAGGTGGTTGTGGTTGTGCTGGTGATGATGATGGAGATGACAGTAGAGGTGGTGGTGAAGGTGGTTGTGTTGGTGATGATGATGATGGAGATGACAGTGGTAGAGGTGGTGGTGGTGGTAAAGGTGGTTGTGTTGGTGATGGTGATGATAGTGAAGGAGGTGGGAGTGGGAGTGGCTGTTAGGGTGGTTGTGTTGGTGATGATGATGGAGATGACAGTGGTAGAGGTGGTGGTGGTGGTGAAGGGGACTGTGTTGGTGACGGTGATGATAGTGAAGGAGGTGGGGGTGGTAGTGGTTGTTAGGGTGGTTGTGTTGGTGATGATAATGATGGAGATGATAGTGGTGGAGGTGGTGGTGGTAGTGTTTGTTAAGGTGGTTATGGTTGTGTTGGTGATGATGATGATGGAGATGACAGTGGTGGAGGTGGGGGTGGTAGTGGTTGTTAGGGTGGTTGGGTTGGTGATAATGATGGAGATGACAGGGGTGATGGTGATGGTAGTGTTTGTTAGGGTGACTGTTGGTGATAATGATGGAGATGGTAGTGGTAGAAGTGGTTGTGGTGGTATGATGATGGAGATGATAGTGGTGAAGGTGGTGATGGTAGTGGTTAAGGTGGTTGTGTTGGTGATGATGATGGAGATGATAGTGAAGAAGGTGGTGGTGGTAGTGATTGTTAGGGTGGTTGTGTTGGTGATAATGATGGAGATGACAGTGGTGAAGGCGGTAGTGGTAGTGGTTGTTAAGGTGGTTATGTTAGTGATGATGATGGAGATGGTAATGGTAAAGGTGGTGGTGGTAGTGGTTAGGGTGGTTGGGTTGGTGATGATGATGGAGATGATAGTGGTCGAGGTGGTGGTGATAGCAGTTGTTAGGGTGGTTGTGATGATGGTGGCAATTATGATAATGGTGAGGATGATGGAGATGACAGTGGCGGAGGTGGTAGAGGTGGTTGTGTTGGCAGTGGTAGTAGGTGGAGGTGATGATGATGGTGGAGCTCTGGGGGATCTGCAGGCAATGTTCAGGAATCATGAGAGTTGAGTTCTGGATGTATCCCTGACTTTAACTCCTTGAACGGTCCTAGAAAAGCTCCTGTCTACTGTCTTCATCTCCAAAATGAGAATAGCACTCAACCTAGTCACCAAATTTAATCTCATTTCTCTTCAGAAATGCAAGACAGGTGAAGACATAGGAGAAAGCAAGTCTCTAACTTCAGAGAGGGGCCCCTGAGTTAATGCAGGCAGAGCGCTAGCTTGCCACAATGCTTTAGAAGGTGTATTTCAGCTTTCTAAGGATGACGTGGATATGCCAGGGAATGTCCATATGCTACATTTGAGCTGAAGTGACCTCTTACGTATCTTTCTTGTGTTTTGTTTTGATTTTCTTTAGTAACAATTTAGTAGTAATTAGAACAACAAATACACCAGCATCTGTCCAGGAATGGGTGCCTGTCCTTGGCTGTTAAGAGTGCCCAATGAGAGAAACTCCAGATACAGTGCTTCAAGAGGTATCTGAGGGCAGCTAGTAGCAGCTACCAATTCCAGAAACATACTGATTGGGAGTATTATTTCTTGGTCATGTGAGGAAATGTTTAGGTCTTCACTTTATTTTCTTAAACTCCTCAAACAAATGAGATGAATGGAATGCAAACGATACCACAGAAATGGCATAAATCTGGATTTTTTAAATCTAGATTTTTTAATATAGGAAAGAAAACTGTAAGTCTATTTAACAATTACTATTTAATGATGCATAATTATAAAAATGTACTTATCATCAGCCGAGCTGCCCTCAACAAAGCACACAGTTAATAAATCAAGAGAAATCCTGAATTTCTCTATGCGGATTTTTATGTCAGGTGGGTGGGCTGCTATCTTCCTGAGATCACAACACTGAAGGTGACAGACCAGCCCCACAACCTGCAACTGTGGCAGGGAAAGGCACCCCTGAGAGAGGGAACCGTGGCTCACCAAATCCATGTCTACGTGGGAACACATCGCGCTCAGCACTGCAGCAGTGCCTGGGAATGGCCGCACTTCCCATGTGCCTACTGCGCGTGAGGCACCGAGGCTGAGCCCGAAGGAGGCATGGGCTCCCGCAAACCCCATACTTTCTACAAGCTCAATGTGTGCTGGGCACGGGTCCTGCCCTTAAGGAGCTCCACATCTACACATGCAGGGCAGCAACAGGCCCTGAAAGGTGCCGTACCCCACCCACACCCTGCAGGCCGCCCCACACCTCAATCTTTTCACATTCAAGATTCTGGCATGGACATTTTGCCCCATCCCTCAAGGGAAGCACAGTTTCCACAGAGGTTCGAGGGGGTCTGCGGCCTCAGCCCTAAACCACTGGGGAGCCCCCATCCTGGAGCCTTGATCTCATGCTGCGAGGCCCGCCACTACACGGGAGGGACCCGGGTGCTGCGGTCAACAGCTTGGCTGTGGCAGCAAGAGATCACGGGAGAAGAGTGACTGCTCAGCTGGCTATGCAGGTTAGCATTCTACGGGGTTCTGGGATCTCTGCAACCTACCAGCAAGCAGATGAGAAACAAGCAGGCTGGGTGTGGTGGCTCACATCCATAATCCTAGCACTTTGGGAGGCTGAGGCAGGCGGATCGCTTGAGCGCAGGAGTTTGAGACCAGTCTGTGCAACAGGGCAAAACCCCGTCTCTATAAAAATAAAAAAATTAGCAGGTCGTGGTGGTGCGCACCTGTAGTCCCAGCTACTCGGGAGGCTGAGGTGGGAGGATTGCTTGAACCTGGAGGCAGAGGTTGCAGTGAGCCGTGACTGCACCACTGCACTCCAGCCTCGACAACAGAGTGAGACTGTCTCTAAAAACAAAAAATTAAAATGAAAAAACAGCCAATACACACCCCTCACACTTATCCAAATGATGGGTTTCTGAGTGCAGATGCTCTTACACAATCAGGCTCACTCGTGCCTGGTCCTAATTCCGCCAGGTCTGGATGAGACTCCTGTGGGCTGCAACGCCACTTAGGCCGCTGGCAGTTCAAGATGCTCAACACAACCATTAACAAGTGTGTGTCTTAAAGAGGCACAGCTATTAGTTTAAAACCATCTTGTCGGCTGGGCATGGTGGCTCATGCCTGTAACCCGAGCACCCTGGGAGGCCGAGGCAGGTGGACTCCTTAAGCCCGGGAGTTCAAGACCAGCCTGGCAACATGGCAAAATCCTGTCTCTACAAAAAAATACAAAAATCAACTGGGTGTGGTAGCCCGAGCTGTGGTCCCAGCCACCGGGGAGGCTGAGGTGGGAGGATTGCCTGAGCCCGGGAGGCAGAGGCTGCAGTAAGCCAAGATCACACCACTGCACTCCAGCCTGAGCAACAGGGCGAGACTGTGTCTCATCGATTAGCTGGCTAGCTAGCTAGATAGCATCTTGGCTATGTTTAGCTGGATCTATCCCTGTTAATCTTCACTGACACATCAGGAATAAGACCGGAGGACAAGGATTCCCATCCCTGTGAACGTGACTGAGAAGCTCACCAGCCGGCCACGCCCACACACCAGCTCTTTCCTGAAGAGGGTTCTTAATTGGAAGAATATCATATTATACTCCAATTAGAACAACACATTTCCTATGCTGTATGTAATCTAAATCCCCAAGAAAACAATTGTCTGTAAAGAAATCAGAGGGAGGAGGAAACATGTTTTCCTTCTGGCACACTGAAACGCA
Source organism: Homo sapiens (assembly GCF_000001405.40). Classification (NCBI taxonomy): domain Eukaryota; kingdom Metazoa; phylum Chordata; class Mammalia; order Primates; family Hominidae; genus Homo; species Homo sapiens. Next base: position 88,049,844 of record NC_000016.10, on the reverse strand, counting down.
TTAGAGATGTCTGGTGTTCGTCGGATGCCGTGTGGCTGGGGCGTCGTGTCACTGAGCGTGTGGCCACAGCACTCTCCATTCCTGGAGTGCCTGAGTCCAGCCATCTCCCCCGTGACTCCACCTGAAAAACCCTCTGAAGAGCTGTGGTGTTTACGAGAGATACTGGTTTTGTCCCTGGTTCCTGGCCCCTAACTCCCACAGCCCTGGTTCGTCTCTTGTTATGATGCCAGGTGTGTGGACCTCAGGGGCGGGCTCTCACCCTCCTTTCACTCTAATGATCCCCCTGCTTGCTGACTGTGGGTCTTAAGACCCTCCCATGAGAGGGTCCTGCCCTAGACCCTGGGGAAGGAATGCTAATGTCACGAAGTTTCCATAAAAACCCAAGAGGGCAGGTTCAGTGAGCTTCCAGGCAGCTGGTCCAGCAGGTCCTGGAGGATGGTGCCCAGGGAAGGCCTGGAAGCTCTGTGCCCCTTCCCCCGTACCTCGCCGGGATGTGTCTCCACACCCGTAGCCTATGTAGTATTCTTTATGATAATAAACACAGTAAACAAAAGTACTTCCCTGAGCTCTGCAAGCCACTCCAGCAAATTAATCAAACCCAAAGACGGGTCGTGGGAAGCCCAACCTGAAGCCGGTTGGCCAGAAGTTCTGAGGCCCGAACTTGCAACTGGTGTGGTTGGGCGGCAGTCCCCGAGCCCTCAACCCATGGGATCCGACGCTGTCTCCGTGTCAGAACTGAATTAGAGGACACCCAGCTGGTGTCCACTGCTTGCTGTGTCCAGAAAAAACCCCACGTTTGGTCCCAGCAGTCTTTTTGTGTGTTGATGATGGTCACGGTGTGAGAGCAGAGGAAACATGTGGTCTGCAGAGCTTTGCCAACACCAGAGTCCAGTGCACCGTGCAGTCTCAAAGACCCCGCACCCCACACCTGACGAAGACACTGACTTCAGCGCCTTCAACCTTGAGGTCAGAATCTGTGGTGAGCGCCAATTCGATACCGAGAACACTGTTAGAATCGATGTCCTTTCTTTAATCTGTGGTGAGCTCCTATTCCATACCGAGAACACTGTTAGAATCCACCTCCTTTCTTTAATCTGTGGTGAGTGCCGATTTGATACCAAGAACACCGTTAGAATGGACGTCCTTTCTTTAATCTGTTGTGAGCGCCGATTCAATACCAAGAACACTGTTAGAATCCACCTCCTTTCTTTAATCTGTGGTGAGTGCAGATTTAATACCGAGAACACTGTTAGAATCGATGCCCTTTCTTTAATCTGTGGTGAGCGCCGATTCGATACCAAGAACACTGTTAGAATCCACCTTTCTTTAATCCGTGGTGAGCGCCGACTCGATACCGAGAATACTGTTAGAATCGATGTCCTTTCTTAAATCTGCGGTGAGCGCCGATTCAATACCGAGAACACTGTTAGAATGGACGTCCTTTCTTCTGGCCCCTTCTTTCCTCCATTACTGAAATCCAACCTCCCATATCGTGTCTGCGCTTTATTTAGTTCTACAATTGTGCTGCAATCTCCTCAATGAGGCAGATTAGTTATTTCTCCAAATGATTAGATGCTTCCGGAAAATTATTTTTAGTTGGCTAAGTCTTCAATCACATCAAATTAATCAGAACCATAGCAAATGTACCTCTTGCTATTTTAAACTCTGGTAAGTGACTATCCCCTATATGATATACCAAAATTCTACTCATATTTCAGTGTCCAAATTGAAAAACTGGTATGACAAAGTCACGGCCAGCTGCGGAAGCCACACAAGTCAGAGGGCCCAGCAGGCCTTGGTGCTCTTTGAGCCGGCCCTGCACGTCCCATCACCCATCAGCTTTCCTGCCCTCCCCAGGGGACAGCCCCCTAAGTCCCAGTGTTTGCTTCGGCCAAGCCCTTGCGGACCCTGCTAATCAGGGTTAAATTCAGATAGAATCTTCAAAATGTTTAAGTGACAGGACATAGTCATAGCAGTGTAAAAAGAAAGCACAGTCAAACCCAACATTTGGGTGCATTACTGCCAAGTACACCAAACATAGGAAGGAGTTCACTATGTACCACATTCCTAGCTCACTGGTATTTTAAATCCTCTGAGGACCTGAACGTGGTCTGCAGGAGTGCTCTGTGCTCTGTGGGGAGAACAGCTGTTCTGGGTGACTATTAGGAGTACACTAGGGCTGTTCCCACTAAGAACATCAGACTCCAGTGAGGCCCGGCGCCCTGAATTACTGCCCTTCTGGACATGTTCAGGAGGAGTCTGGATTTGAATAAGGATGCCACCTACAGCCATCCCAGCTCACACCCATGGGCACTGATCTTTGAGCTCCAATGAGGGCTGAAAGAACAAACATGCACCCTGTTCCATTCTACCAAGCCTGACTGATGCACACCCAAGCAGGGGGCCAAACTCAGCTTCCTGGTTTGGGGGAAGGAGCAAGGCCCATTCACTGACGTGCATGAAAATACTGCCTTGACTGACACTCTCACTACCTAACGGAGATGTGGGGAGAAACTGGCAGTTTTCGCCAAGGAACTGGGGCAAGCATTCTTGGCCCTTCCCCACCCTGGTGGTATCTTACTTTGGGCCCTTCCCCACCCTGGTGTCCTGCGTTACGTGACCCGCATCAAGCCCAAACTCCTGGCAGCCCCGGGAGCTCTGGCTTGGGATTTTAAACAACACAAACAATGCCACCTCCCACCCAGGACCGCACGAGTTCATGGCTCCCTAAGATCACCAAAACACGTTCACATGATAAGGATTTTTTTTTTTCTTTTTTGAGACGGAGTCTCGCTATGTCGCCCAGGCTGGAATGCAATGGCGCAATCTTGGCTCACTGCAAGCTCCACCTCCCGGGTCCACACCATTCTCTTGCCTCAGCCTCCCGAGTAGCTGGGAGTACAGGCGCCCACCCCCACGTCCGGCTAATTTTTTGTATTTTTAGTAGAGACGGGGTTTCACCGTGTTAGCCAGGACGGTCTCGATCTCCTGACTTCGTGATCTGCCCGCCTCGGCCTCCTAAAGTGCTGGGATTACAGGCGTGAAGCACCGTGCCCGGCCAACATGATATGGATTTTAAAGAACACAAACACAACACGGTGAAACCCCGTGTCTACTAAAAATACAAAAATTAGCCGGGTGCGGTGGCGGGTGCCTATATAATCCCAGCGACTCAGGAGGCTGAGGCAGGAGAATCGCCTGAACCTGGGAGACGGAGGTTGCAGTGAGCCAAGATGGCATCACTGCACTCCAGCCTGGGCAACAGAGCAAGACTCCGTGTCAAAAAAAATAAAAATTAAAAACATTTTTAAAAAATTAAAAAAAGAACATAAACAATGCCAACTCCCACCCAAGACTGCACGAGCTCACAGCTCCCTAAGATCACTAGAGCACGTCCACGTTATGCTGAGTATTTCTTTACCAAACCGTTTAATTCACGTGAAAGAATGAACTTTGTAGTCAGATTGCTTTACAGCGATGAGGTTCAGATGACCTGCTTTAAAAGGTTCCGTCCTGGTCATCATTTTCACAAGACGATACTTCCTAGTTAATTAACTAATGCTTTGAGTACGCAGTTTTAAAACAGTATCTCTAAAATCACACACACACACACATTCACACATGCAAAAGGCAGAAGTGAAAGGCCCACCTCCGCGTCAGGAGGCTCTAAGGGCCGCAGTCCAGTGACGTCACTCAAATGAGTTACTCCTCGTATGTGCACAGGGTAAAGCTTCTGTCTGCAGACCACAGCCCGCCTACTCACCACCTGGGCACCAGTGCCAGTGTGGTCAGTTTTTGAGGATGTGCACCGCCCCTCCCTGAGTGCTGGAGTGTGGACGGCACCTGCCAAGGGCAGCCCGGAGGCTGGTGAGTGCCAGGTGGGCCGTGTGCGCCCAGCGAAGCCCACCAACTTCCTGAGCAGGTGCTGCTGCCACCCCACTGCAGTGAAGAGGGCACTGAAGTACGAGGAAGCGACACTGCCAATCCCAAGACGACAGACACTGAGGGAGCGGCCGCCCTGAGACTGGGACACATGGCAACTCTCCCACCCCCCACCCATCCAGTTCTCTCCCAAAAGATCTGCCAACCACAGCCGGGCCCTCATCTGTGGCCAAGAAGAGTATTTGAGGAGGTGGCCTCAGGGAGAAGAAAGGTGCTGTGGTCAGGGTGGCACCACACCTCCAATTCTCCACTTTACTCACAGGCTCCCCCACCTCTGGCTGGTCTGAATGCCCGGCATAGCAGGGCTCTGTGGGGAGTGAGGGGAGCGCTTCTCTGCCGGGAATGAACGAGGGAGTCCAGCATGTTATGTTCGACAGGTGCTGCACAGGGAAGAAAGGTCCTTCCTGTTGCTGGAAGAGCCTGGGCTCTGGCCCCCAAGGGCTGCTCCTGCTGAGGCCCCTTAGCACAGCCCAGCTGCAACTGAAGCGTTCCTTTGGCCCCGGCCTCTCCTGCAAGAAACGCTCAAGTGCACGCACGGACAACTCGGTCAGAGGCTTGTGGATGGCGTAGAGGGGCATGGACAGCTGCGGCAAACATCGAGCCATCTTCCGTCCCATGCCCACCATATGACCAACAGAAGGCCAGCCATGCCAAAAACCTGACTGCAGTTCTCAGGAAAACTTCATTCTAATGCCCAAGTGACACGGATAATCCTAATTTTCCTGATCTAGATGAAAAGCCCTGAGAAGAATGCTAAACATTTTTTAACTAGCACATTTATAATCATTTTTCTTAGATTGAATGTGATTTTTTTAAAAGCTTCCCAATTCAAGAACAATTATCTTTTGATTTATCAAAATATGAGGAAGAATATTAATATTTGCAGTGTAAACTTTATATAATTGTAAATTTTTTTTTTTTGAGACGGAGTCGCGCTCTGTTGCCCAGGCTGGAGTGCAGTGGCGCGATCTCAGCTCAATGCAAGCTCCGCCTCCAGGGTTCAAGCCATTCTCCTGCCTCAGCCTCCCGAGTAGCTGAGACTACAGGCGCCTGCCACCGCACCGGCTAATTTTTTGCATTTTTAGTAGAGAAGGGGTTTCACCGTGTTAGCCAGCATGGTCTCGATCTCCTGACCTCGTGATCCACCTGCCTCGGCCTCCCAAAGTGCTGGGATTACAGGCGTGAGCCACCGTGCCCAGCCTATATAGTTGTAAATTTTTAAAAATTACTTAATTACACAGGTGAAGTGGTGCACACCGATAGTCCCAGCTACTCAATTACAACTTTTAGAACTACAAACTCTTAAGAAAGAGACATTAGCGATCATCTATTCCAGTATTTTTCAAAGTGTGGGTTGCAAAATCAATGCAATGTGTCATAGCCAGTTTTCAAAGAGACAAAAAGGAAGAGAAACAGAAAAGCAGAACAGAAAACAATAAAAAATATTAGTGCAATCAGCACGCAGTAATACCGTTCTGTGGACCTGTTCCGACCTTGTAAGTGCACACACGTGAGCGAGGGAGGAGGGCTCTGGAACCACAGTGGAAAGCTGCCTTCTCGCTGTGGCCTGTTGTCCTGTGGACCTGTTCCGACTGTGTGTGTGCACATGCATGAGTGAGAGAGGAGGGTTCTAGAACCACGATGGAAAGCTGCTTCCTGCTGTGGCTTGCGCAGATGCTGGTAGAGTCCAGCCATGCAGCCCGCGTGCACTCATCACTCCAGAGGCAGCATCGCCGCAGAATGCGAGTTGGCCTTTATAGGGAGTCTGCCCAGGTCACACAGCACTGGCTCAGGGTACCCACGGCAGCAAAGCAGCTGCACCAAGATGCGGGTATGACCAACCAGCGGTTCCCCTGCCAGCCCCCTGAAGTGGCCAACTGGTCTATCCACCTTATGCAAAAGTTCCCATGACCTCATAAAAAAACCATCAATTTTCATTTAAAATGCACTCAAAAATAAAGTCATCCACCTCCCTGCAAATTTCAATCCTTACAACTCTTAATTTTTAAGGGCTTTTTTTGTTTTTCAGAATCTTCTGAAAATCTGCACCAAATTAAAGATTCTATTATCCTTACCACTAACTGAAAATTGAAATTCCTTAGACAATAAATTATTTTACACTCCTGGCACCGTCTGTCTGAACGTACTCTCTCCCTCTATGAATCTCTGGCACACCAGACTGCCTCTCCCCGCTCCAGGGAATTTCAGGGAATTCCAGATGCCCCTGATTGTGGTCTAATTTACCATACAAGGCCTGTCCTCTACTCAAACCAATTCTGCAATCCCTTAAGTTAACCATATGGGCAATACAATAACACCTCTACCTAAATCATTCCGAATTTCTACTATGATATCATTTGATCTTCATGCCCAGGGCAGCAAATGATTAATTTCAAATACTCACTGAGCAACAAAGCCAACACTACAGGGATTGTGCAGTAAAGGAAAATGCTGCCCGGATGCCTCACACCCCCAGTGAGGCAGGGACAAAAGAAATCAGCACAGTGTAGTCAGCTGACGAAGGAGCCATTTCTCCACAACTCCACTCTCAATGAAGAAGCACCCAGAACACAGCCACAAATGCATCTAAACAGCCAAAGACCCAGGCTCAGCTCTACGCAGCTCACCCGAAGGAGCTACCCATGCCTGGAGCCATGACCAGAACCAGCCACTGCATTTTAATTTCAACTCCAACAGCAGTGGCTGTTTGGCTTCCCTGGAAGGCAGCAGATTAGGTGCATGATGAGGATGCGGCGGAGGGCAAGAGGCGAGGAGGGCAGCACAGGTCCACACACACGGGCTCTGCTCTACAAAGCCCGAGACTGAGACTCTCACTTAGGCAGCTCCCACAGTGACCTGAATGCTCGTTGTTATTCAGGAGGAAAGATAATACACAACCTTTGAAACCAGCCAAAGTGGTTCCAAATAATTTTTTAAGTATTTTAATTTTTTGAAAAACCATTGAATTGTACACTTCATTTATTTTGAGACAGGGTCTTGCTCTGTTGCCCAGGCTGGAATGCAGTGGCACAATCACGGCTCACTGCAGCCTGGGCCTCCTGGGCTCAAGCAATCCTCCTGCCTCAGCCTCATGAGTAGCTTGGGACTACAGGCACATACCACCAGACGTGGCTAATTTTTTTTTTCTGTAGAGACAGGGTCTCGCTATGTTGCCCAGGCTGGCATCAAACTCCTGGGCTCAAGCGATCCTCCCACCTCAGCCTCCCCAAAGTACTGGGATTACAGGTGTGAGCCAGCACAAAACATTTTTTTTAAATATTCAGCTGCAATTTCAATGTCAGTGTTCTAAGGAAGCCCTTCACCTTCTCTTCCCTCTCCCAGCCAGCGATGCTGGAACAGTGGGGCACGACAGCATGTGCACCTAGAGGTCAAAAAGAACAATAAAGACAGAGATAGCACTGGAGTGGAAACTGGTCATCATGGCTGGGCAGCTGGCAAAGCAGAGGCCACAGGGGCCCAGAGCTGAGAGGAAGTGAGCGCTCCTGGAGGGGAGGCTGAGACACAGCGCTGGAGGGCACAGCTCGGGGAGGAGGAAGCTGGCACCATGCAGCCAGTGCGTCCCCACACCTGCGCACCCGCCACCGTCCCCTGAACCTCATCTTCCCAAATGGCTCTTTATGAAGCCTCTGGTGCTCTGCCAATCTTTCCAAACTTCTTGCCCGCATTTGGGATGCACCATCCGCTACTGCTACCCCCCAACACTGGTCACAGGAGGCTGAGCACCGGGGGCTCCGTCTGACCTCACTGGACCCAGGTGCCCATGGCCTCCGGCCTTGCACAGGCAGTCACCCTCCCCATGGCTGTGCCATTCGCTGTCCTGAGGCCTTGGTGCAGGTGGCTCTCCCGACCCCTCCTACTGTGTCTCTCACCCTCCTACTGCGTCTCCCACGCTCCTACTGCGTCTCTCACCCTCCTACTGCGTCTCTCACCCTCCTACTGCGTCTCCCACCCTCCTACTGTGTCTCTCAGGCTCTGTGGTTCTTGCGCACTCCCAGTGTGCCCAACAGGGCCTGAAATGGACTCTAATCAGCATTCCTTAGTGCAGGCTCACACTCACCTGCAGAGCACCTGTCAGCAGACAGCCTCAGCCAGGGGAGCCCTCCCAGAGTCAACGAACAGCTGTGAGTCCCATCCTGCCTGCAACCCAGCACCAGATGTAAGCGCGCACCACGACTGTTGGCAAAGAACCAGAGGATGCGGGTGTCGTGGGCTACAGGGAAAGGAGGTCGAGGCAGCCCTCCTGGAACCTCAGTATCAGAGCAGACAGAGACGTAATGGCAGAAAGAGCGTGAGACAGGGCATTCCATCTCTCAGCAAGGAAGAAAAGCAAGGCTGCTATGGACATGAAACTGACCACATAGCTTCAAATCAGGCGATTCTTCATATTTTCTACTCAGACAGCAAATGGCAACTGTGGGATGTGACTAGAATCTCTCAATATTTAATTTGAAGAAAACATGACTCAAAAAGAATGGTCCCCTGGCAGCAGGTGCCACAGGGTCACACCAACGCAGCACAATGGCGCTTCCCAGCACCGCAGCCACCAAGGCCCTCCTGGAACTGACGTTGCTGCTGGCTGCAGACGTGGCCTCAAACCCGTCGCCCCGGCAGCAATCCACAAGCACAGCGCACAACCCTCCCTCCGTGGAACTAAGAATGGAGGCTATTTTCAGAGAAGCTGTCCACTGATTCTGAAAATAATCAATTAACTACAAGAAGTAATAGCAACAATCATCTCAGAAGTGGAATAGGAGGAGAACGGCAACAAGTGTGAGCCCAGCACAAGGAAAGGGGCTGGGGTGCAGGATGTGGGGGCACAGGGCACAGGGCACAGGCCCCAGCCCCATGACGGAAAACGGATGGCCGGAAGAGGGAAGGCCTGGCCACCCTCCCAAGAGGATTTCTAGCTGCTCTGTCAGATTCTGAGTCTACTGCCACATAACCATTCCTAAATGACAGTTGGAACTAGGGAATCAGAAGGGAATACTAAGCCAATCCTCAGTGATCTAGGAACTTAAAACAGCCGCGTCCATTTCTTTGTGTTCTCTTACTCCGGTTGGGGTGCTGTTCCTCGCCCTCCCCCAACCACCTGGAACAAGCGTGGGCTGCAGGGTCTCCCATCAATCAAGCCAGTGCTCACACCAGGGCAGGCCAAGGGCCTCCGGGACAGTACGGGGAGCTGAGCCATCTGCAGTGTCACATGAAGGATGCTTCTGAGATCAAGTCTGGCTGGAGAAGAGAGAGCCCTAGACCTGCATGCACTATCCTCCTGTGGGCATGGGGGTGGGGAGGAGAGGGAATGGGCCGTGTGACCCCCGCACTGCTCGGGGCTTCTGTAGGCACGGGGACGGGGAGGAGAGCGAATGGGCCGTGTGACCCCCGCACTGCTCGGGGCTTCTGTAGGCATGGGGACGGGGAGGAGAGCGAATGGGCTATGTGACCCCCGCACTGCTCGGGGCTTCTTAGCCCAGTCGACAACATCGAGGCGAGTGGGCTTCTCTGTGCTTTCTGAAACATCCTTCTGTCTCCCAAACGTGTGGCCAGCCCGGAGGACGAAGCCTGCATGAGCAGGGTGTAGCTCAGCAGGAATGAGAACTGGCCAAATGATGGAAAAAAAAAAAAAAAAGGATTTCCACAAATGGAAAACGAGGGGGTTCGCTACACAGATTCACCAGAAAAGGCAGCTTCAGATGAACACAGCGGTTTCTTTAAATCACACAGCAGTTTCCTTCCCAAGAGAAGCAGGGGCCATGTACCAAGATTCCGCCCGCTACCCTGAGTGGCAGCACCGGCCTCTCCTGAAGCCGTCTTTGATTTGAGGTCCCAGAAATGTGACCGATAATAGGAATCAGGAGCGTATGAGAGTTCACAAGGCGGACAAAAACAGGTGATTTATAAATTATTATTTGTTTCACATAAAAAGTGGTAGTACGGCAGCTTTATTCATTCTGCGGTAAGGCCACTTAGAGAGAGTGGGGACTCAGAGGGGCCACGGAAGACCCGGGAATGAGCAGCAGTTGCGACCCTGCTTGCAGTGCAAAGGCACGTGGGGCAGCAGCAGTGACGGAGGAACCAGAGACACCAGAACAGAGTCTTGTTCAGAGAAATCCAGACAGCAACTCCTCCGACGTCAGCCCCGAGTCCTTCCTGAACTCAGATCTGTGCTGGAGCCAACGGGCCTCCATGCCTGCTGAGAAAAGCTGGAATCTCTGTCCCCACAATAAAGTTGGGAGAATTCTGTCTACAATCATAAACAGAAGCACTGCAGTAATACAGTGTAAAAGGCTGGTTCTGTCTTTAAAATTCCAAGTGGATTTTGTTCAGGGGTAGAGACAGGAACAAGGGAATGTCGAAGGTGACGTGCCTTACTTTTCCTAGGAATTAAACGTCCAGCAGCGTTTCAACTATGATACAGTTCCACTACCAGCAGAACCATAAACCACTATGTTGCAGAAAACGAAGACGGACCGCCAGCTATGAGCCCTGTCCTCTGCTGCCCCCGTGACCGTGAGAACCACGGGACAAAGGCGCGGAGAACTGACCTGCACTGCGCCGACCGCAGCCTCATTACCCCAGTGGAGTGAGCACAAAGCCACAACTGTGGATTTAAAAGCTGCGCATTCCTTTGGCTCTTTTCCAGAGCAGCAATTCATACTTACAGACGAGCGATGCTGCAGGACTACCTGAGAAAACCTCGTGCTGATCTTTAAGATGAAACTTTCCAACTAAGAAACTCTGACATAAACCAGTTCTGGAGGGTCTGCAGCCCTTCTCCCAAGGTGCCTCTGAGGGGTCAACGGAAAGCCCACGGGAGCACATGCCCTTCTGTCCCGCTCTGTGTAAAGCACCTCGCTCTGGGAGTGCACCAGGCTCAGTCGGGTCAGAGATCCGCAGGGCCTGGCCTTGACAAAGAGAACGCATGCAGGTTTCTCGAAGGACAGTGCACTGTGGTTTTGAAAAATTAGTATTATCTTTCTACGCAGTGAGCTCTGTTTATGGTTCTCACTGTCAACTTCCCAGCTTCTGTTTTATGAAATGGGAAGATCACCCAGATTCTTCAGTGATCCAGAGGTGACAGCCATCTCCTGAACAGAAAGGGTCTTCACCAGGACCTAGGAACACACAGCCTCAAAACCACCAGCGAGTGGACTCTGTCCTGCACAGCAACACCCTCCCCAGGACCCGCACCGTCGGAGCACGTCATTTTGTAGAGACCATTCGTACTGGGGTGTTCAACCAATGGTCACTCTTTTCATCAAGGATTAGAAAGCTGGCAAGTTTGTGAGTTTGACGGCAATACACAGGAGCGAAACCACCTTTTTCTAACAGAGTTATCTGTGCAAACATGACCACCATCAACATACGCATGCGTGTGCAGAAAATAACCATCTGAAGGGGGTGGGGTGGCGGGGGTGGGAGGGCACGTTTCCGCCATAGCGCAAAAGCTGCTGAAATCCTACGGAGCAGCAAATGTAACCCCCAAGCCCTGCCCTCCCCCCTTCCAGGCCTGTGCATTGTCATGGTGAGGAAAGCCAGTCCTGCTCTGGGGCTCACACTGAGAGGCCTTTGCACCCTCGCTCCCTCCCGCGAGAGCCCCCATTCCTTGGCAGCACCATGGCCTGTATGTGAGAGGGGGACTGTGGCACTCACCTGACCATCCGCCCCCTTCCCATGAGAGCCCCACCCCTCGGCAGCGCAATGCCCACAATGACCGTCCCACCCCTCCCGTGAGAGCCCCACCCCTCGGCAGCGCAATGCCCACATGTACATGGGGACCAGGGCACTCACCTGACCGTCCCACCCCCTCCCCTGAGAACCCCATCCCTCGGCAGCGCAACGCCCGCATGTGCATGGGGACTGGGACACTCACCTGACCGTCCTGCCCCACGTGATGGATCTGGAGGTTGCCCTACAAAGAACGAGAGGAGGAGACGGTCATGAGTAGAAACACACCAAGACACCCTCAGACACGGCAAACACGCCAAGACACATCACAGGCCACTTGAGAATAACAAGAAAACCCCAGTTCTGCAAAAATTCAACCTCCAGTAGCAACAAAAGCCCCAAAACAAAATATTGACATTTCTAGGTACTATTTATTATTTTAAAGATGAACAAACAACTCAAAAAGCATTGTACTCATTCCCCTACCCTGACCCCAAATGAAAATGTCATTTTTACTTCATTTTTTATTTTGAAAGAATCTGACTCACAAAAAGTACAGAAAGTAGCAGAGAGACGTCCTATGTGTGTGTCGCCCAGCTTCCCCGAAGGGGGACGCCTTGCTGAGCTGTGCGGCATCACCACGCCAGGTCACGGGCTGCACGCAAGGAACCAACTCACTCAACCACAGAGCTACTAAGAGCTCTCCAGTTAGAAATTCATTTTCATTTGTTGTAAAAAGGAACTGTGTTGTCTGTCAGACCCTGCTAAATGTTTATTTGCAGATATCCTGTTTTAACAAAATAATTTTAAATGAACACGGTATGAATGTATGGTGACGAGACTGCATACTGTCACTCATCACAAAGCCATCGTTAGTATTATTAGCAATTTCTAACTTACTGCATTCAATTCCTATTGAAAACGAAAGACAATCACCTATACAAGATGGATTCAGTTTTGAAAACTGATGGATAAAACTAATAATAAAAAATTGAAATTCGAGTAGTCAAGATTTTTTTAGCATAAACTATAAAAAGCAAATGTGTGTTGTTTTTTTTCTTTTGCTGCTGTTTCAATTTTCCTGCATTTTCAATGACTCTAAGGAAATTAAGCATTCTGACGAACTTCATAGGCTTCCAGGTATTCAAGAACTCTGGCTGAGCTCTTTGGCAGTGAGCTTAGCCTCCCAGCCCACATCTGTCTGTGCCTTGAGAAGCAAACCTTCCCCTGCCCCTCAAAGGCAGCTCCTGCACTGGAAGGTGCTGCTGGGATCCTGCACCTCGCAGCCACTCAGGCCCCCAACTCCTGCACCTGACCTCGCTGAGCTGACAGGCGCATCTCCTGACATCTCCAAGGAGATGGTCCCTGACCCACCCACAGACACAGAACAGGGAAGGCCCTGCTCCTTCCTGGACACTCTGGCCTCCTGGGACCGTCCCCTACCTGCTCCCCGCCCTGCTGCTTCCTTCCATCCATCCATCTGACCACGTTTCTTAGTGACCTGGTCATGTCGCTGTGTGGATGAGCCCACTCATTCCCAGTCGCTCACGGCCCCCACATGAATTCGTTCCTCCCCTTTCACCTCATCCTCATTCCGCCCTCAGAACCCTTACGCATGTGCTCCCCTCTCAGGATAACCCACCGGGAACTGCTGGTGTCCAAATTAAAGCCACTGCCAGCAGACACGCCCGAGTCCCTGGTGCTCCACGTGCCACGGCGTGCATGTGTCCACAGTCTTGCTCACGGGCACTTGGGCAGGAGGCTCTGCGCCCGCTGTGAGTCCCCGATGGCAGGGCTTCTCTCTCCTCTGCTCCCCCACAGCACCTGCACCCAGCATGAGCTCCCAGGAGGCCTCGCACGCCAACATCTCCATGAGTCCCCTTGACCTCAGCACCCGGGCTTCCTAGTCTCTGCTGCTGGTGTGTGTGGGGAAGCCTGAGATCTTTGCAGCGACACACTACTATGCACCAAACACAAAGCTGGTGCCATTGTCACGACCTAGAAACAGCCATGTTCCTCATCCCCCAGAGCGCACCACGGTCACTGAGTACAACACGTGTGTGCTGCTTAGTGCCCTGTGCCTGCTGCTGCCTGTGCTGCAGGAAACAGCCCAGAGTCGAAGGACGGTCACCCGGGAGACAGTCCTGCTCTGGCATGCAAACATGGAGCATCGCAACAGGCTGGCCTCGGCTTTCCAAGAACTCAGACTGTCACTGCCGCCTTCACATTCCAGACCCCAACAGCAGCTGAGCCCGCACTTCTGAGTGCGTGGCCGGGTAGAGCTCCAGAAACTGAGACAATCACAGACCCAGCAGGTGCGTCAAGGGCTATGAGCAGCTCTCAGGACTGGCAGCATCACCTTGTGGGATTCCCCACCATCCCATGAAATCGGCACTAATCCCGTAGAGGCCACTAGGAAGCTGGGGCCACATGGCAGGTGAGGGGGTATGTCAGGTCACCTACGCAGGGGCAGACCCCATCTCGGCCACACTGGGGGCCTCCCCTGGCAGGAAGGGCAGGGCCAGACAGGGAGAGAAGGGTACTCAGAGGGCACTTCCAGCCAGCAGTAGAAACATCTACCCAGGAGATCTTTACCAAGACAGACCAGAAGCTGTGGAGACCAACGGACAGGAGGGGGAGGCAGAGAGGCCACAGAGACTGCAGGCCCGCTATGTGCACCCTGGAAGCGGAGTCCTGCAGCCCTTGCCCACGTTCCCTGTCCTGGGGGCTCCCTGCTGCCCTCGCACTGTGACACCGATGAAGGTCGGGAGCATGTGGGCACGGTGCCTGCAGGGACAGTGCTGCAGCGAGAGCTGACTCACCTCGCTGTCCTGCGTGATCTGGACTTGCTCCCCCTGCGGCACCTGGGCGATGTGGAGGTGTCCCTGTGGGATCCGCAGCAAGAAAAGACACCAAGAAGCATCAGAAGAAAATCAAAAGCAAAGGAAACAAGAAACATCTTCCGGAATGTTTGTTCTTGATTATCTGTTTACAATTCAAAAAGATAACTAAATCCTGAATAGTGCAATATAGTCTGTGGTCACTTCTTTAAATTAAGCTTTTGGTTCACAGTAGTCCCCCTCATCCATGAGGGTTTCAAGAAGCACCCCCTACCCCCACCACGTGGACGCCAGAAACTGTGGATGGTGCTGAACCCCATATATGCTATGCTTTTTCCCGCCCATATGTGCCACACAGCTTGGACATGCTGGACAAAGGAACGACTCACGTCCCGGGCTGGACAGAGCAGGACGACCAGACTTCATCATGCTACTACTCAGAAGAGTATGTAATCTGAAACTTACAAATTGTTTATTTCTGGAGTTTCTCATCTAATATTTTCAGATCACAGTTGACTATGGGTAATTAAAGCCTGGGAAAGTGGAAGCATGGGTAAGGGGGGGCTGCTGTGTAACACAGAACATTTTCCAGCACTTCACAAAGGAGCAATAGGTCCCAGGAAAGATATTTACATCTTTAAATGTTACTAAACAAGTAAATTTTAAAATGTGCATGACACACAGAAAAGAGGGGAAATAGAAAATCACAATGACACCTCTTTTCAAATGATACGTTCAGCTCTCTGGGGATACTGGGAGGCTACGCAGTGTGTGGCTGAAGCAGGGGAGCTGTTGGCGTGCCTACACTCACAACAGGGCAGGCAACGTTTTTCAAATCAAAGAAACACTCATATGACTATTTAGACAGTTTCAGTAAACACTAATAAATGTGATTCAAAAAAAATCAAAGAATCCACTGTTTATACATATGGGCAGACAAATAATTCCTATAAACCTGTAAATGAAACGAATACTCCTTATCTTATTTGAAATTCTCTCTTAGTCGAAATGGATCTTAAAATAAACTCCTGTAGAATGTTCTATGTAAGCCTTATGACAAAGTTATCTACTCTGGAACGCTTTCAAAGAACTTCTTACTAACAAGATGAGAGGAACTGCCGTTGTGAATGTCAAACAAATTAATAAGCTTATTAAATAAGATTCACTATTCATAACTGTCTCATCTCCTTTGGAAGAGGAAGGGTAACGCCCCCTCTAAAAGCCCCAGAATTTTCCGGAAGCCTTCCCTCTTCCAGACAGCATGCTGAAGCCACACTGAGATGAGAGCCACGCCCCACTCTCAATAGTGGAGGACCATGTTTCCAGGAGAAAGCCCTGGTGACACGGAGGCACACGATGACCTGTCTTCAGAGGGCCCAAGGGGGCTGGTGCCACTAAAAACATAGGCGAGGTCTAGTGGTGCATGTAAAATTTCTAGTCACTCAGCAAAGCTTCCAGAAAAGTCTTCCTTCCTTCTCAGCCACGCCCTACTCTCATGCCACAGAATCCAGGAGGTGTTTGTAGAGGGACTTCACCCGGGAGCAAGCCCCTAGGCGCATCAGGCTGACCACAGCTTGGGTCACAAAACCCCAATAGAGAACTCCGCACGGGCAAGGCAGGACATTGACTTGCTGCTGGGACAGTGCCCGCCCAACCTGGGTGTGCTGAGTAACTCCAAGGGACACGCTGCATGGGAACAATGACCTCAAGCTTTTGCCACTGATCCTAGAAGGAAATTACTCTTTCCCTCAGTAAGAGAGCGCCTGCACTTCTGAACTGAGAAATATTTCCGATGTTTCCCAGGAGCACGAGCTGGGGCAGGGACCACCGCACGGCCTGACCCTTGGAGCTGACTGCCCGCCTGCCTGCTGGCAGGACTGAGGTGAGCTGACTGAATGCCCCACCCCACCATGTGCTTCAATCCCTAGGCTCTGCAGCAGCCGCCCCCACCTGTGAAATGTTAAGAGCTCATGGCCACGATGACCTCTACTTTAAATGGGGACCTTGTGCCTCCTCCCAAGCTATCACTGTGCTCCCAAAACACAGCGGAACCGGTGGAAGCCGCCATGGCCCTGCCGTGGCCCACCCCGCAGCCCCCTTTCCCAAGGTGTGAGGTGGAGAGGGTACGTACTACTTGCACCTGTCCGTCTTCTCCGATCTGGTGGATCTGCACCTGCTGTGCGTTGGCCAGCGCGTAGTGCAGGGCCTGCGGCTGCGGCTGTGGCTGCGGGAGCTCGCTGGCAGGAGGTGGGGTGCTCATCATCGGCTCTGTGGGGGCAACAGGTGTGAACGGGGTGAACGAGAAGTTTCTTAGGCATTGCCTGGTGTGGCATGTGTGCACCCCCGTCCCCCACTGTCGACTCCCACAGCAGAGAAGAGGAAATGCTTCATTTTTCCTCGACTCACTGCATCTCCACTCTTCTGCAGAGATCACTACCAGTGAGTCTTAGGAACTGAGGCTTCCGACATGGAATGCAAAAGGGCCTGAGAGTGGCGTGATGCTGCTATGACAAAACCCCTTCTAGTCCCCAACTTATTTAAATGAATGAAGTTCTTAAAGTGGACATTAAAAGCTGTTTCAGGCTGGCAATATTTGTCCATGGGTAATTAAACTAATAGAGCAAAAGTCTCATCCGCACACTTAAAGATACATTTCCAACAAATTTTACTTGCTGTGTTTAATCAAAATGAGATACATTTGCTTTGATGTACTGTGTATTAATTTTCACTGTAATGATGTCTCAATCATAATTTTCTTAAACTCTCAGAATATTAAGAGCGCAGAAAAACTTTTTAATTTTCAATGTATACACGTAGTTTTGTTGCAGAGAATTATAATGACTAATTTTAAAAAGCTTTTAAGCATAAAAATGTAGTCCGGACACGGTGGCTCACACCTGTAATCCCAGCACTCTGTGAGGCCAAGGCAGGTAGATCACCTGAGGTCACGAGTTCAAGACCAGCCTGGCCAACATGGTGAAACCCCATCTCTACTAAAAATACAAAAATTAGACAGGCGTGGTGGTGGGGGTCTGTAATCCCAGGCACTCAGGAGGCTGAGGCAGGAGAATCACTTGAACCTGGGAGGCGGAGGTTGTAATGAGTCGAAATGGCACCACTACACTCCAGCCTGGGCAACAGAGCGAGACTCCATCTCGGGGGTACAGGGGAGGGAAGCAGTAAGATGAAATTCTGTGAGAGAAGTAGAATGTTGATATGAATGAAAGGAGAAAAATGAAAGACATAAAATTATTGATTATTAAAGAGAAGCGGGCCAGGCGCGGTGGCTCACGCCTGTAATCCCAGCACTTTGGGAGGCCAAGGCGGGCAAGATCACTTCAGGTCAGGAGTTCGAGACCAGCCTGACCAACATGGTGAACCCCGTCTCTACTAAAAATACAAAAATTAGCCAGGTGTGGTGGCACGCGTCTGTAGTCCCAACTACTTGGGAGGCTGAAGTAGGAGAACCACTTGAACCTGGGAGTAGGTGGTTACAGTGAGCTGAGATGGCACCATGGCACTCAGCTCCAGGCAACAGAGCGAGCGGGGGAAGGGACGGGGAGGGGCAAGAGAGGGGAGGGCAAGAGCGGGGGAGGGGAGAGAAAAGCTTTCCATGTATTTTTTACCAATAGCTAATGGTAGGTATTAAATTGCCATAGTACCTAGATTCCACTGAATACATTTTTTAAAGTAACAATAAAATGTTGGGTTTCTTTTTTTTTTTTTTTGAGAGAGAGTCTTGCTCTGTCACCCAGGCTGGAGTGTAGTGGTATGACCTTGGCTCACTGCAACTTCCGCCTCCCAAGTTCAAGCGATTCTCCTGCCTCAGCCTTCCAAGTAGCTGGGATTACAGGCACCCACCATCATGCTGGGCTAATTTTTTTTTGTATTTTTTTGTAGAGAAGGGATTTCACCAGGTTGGCCAGGCTGGTTTTGAACTCCTGACCTCAAATGATCCGCCTGCCTCAGCCTCCCAAAATGCTGGGATTATAGGTGTAAGCCACTGTGCCCAGTCACATTAACAGAATGTTGATACTTGCAATATGCTAGAAATTGCCTAGCTACACTAAATCAGAATCTGAAATTCATGAGATTCAAAGGAGATTCAACAAGCCCACCTGCATGCTGCATGTGGAGAGCTCGGCTCCAGCCAAAGACCCTGACTCCACCTGAGCACCTCCAGTGATGGGTCATGTCCCAAAGCAACCACCGCCAGGCAGTGCTGCGTGCTCCACGGCGGCTTCCTGTCTGCCTGAGCAGTTACGGAGCACTCACCACCACAGGTCCTCGAGCAAGCCTTGTGCACCCCAGGAAGAAAATGACAAAATCCCAGCTGGGCTGAAGCCCACCTCCGCGGAGCTGCTGTTCCTCCACTGACCCTCTTAGCACCTACAAAACCAGCCTAATTCTTTACTTATGCGCTACTTCTCCAGGCATCTAAGCATTATCAAACCTTGTGAAATCTCCATTTCTAACCGTTTCCCCAAAGACAACGGTTTCCAGCCCACTGCCACCATGACAGTCTGTCCCTGGACAGCTTCTCCCAGCAGCTCCAAAACACTCCACTGGGGCCACAGGGCAGACAAGCAAAGAATGGGTGTGCTCCAGAGTGCACCTTGCAACCACAAGGGCTCCGAGGAAGCTCCTGCCTACCAGCGCAGCCAGCAAAACACTCGGCTTCACACGCTGTTGCACCACCGTCTACTCCTGTGCAAATGCTCTGAGTCTACATTTCCAGCTGTGACATTTCAGCTCATTAAATGTACTCTTTCAAGATTCTGGTATCCTAATGACGCAGGCCAACATATCTGGCAGTCGTCAGGTTATATAACAGCAGCTTCTTGCTCACTAAGGTCCTGGCAAGTCATTTAACTTGGGTTTTCATTCCCCATTGGATGAAGCAGACCGCTAACCTTACCAAATGCACGTACCCGAAACACATGGAAGGCAAGCCTGGCAACAACTCTCCTCACTCTTCGAGTCTAGGAGTTCCATACGGTTCTTTTTTATGTCTTCTATTTCTCTCCTTGCTATGTTCCTTTTTTCCTTTAAATTCTTGAATGTAATTTTAATAGATTTCAATGTCCTGGTCAGTTAATTCCAGACAGGGTCCCTTCCTATTTGCTGATTTTCTGATCATAGGTCACAATCTCCTGCTTCCTGCTACTCTGGACTAGATACTGGAGATTGTGAATTTTACTTTGTTGGGTGTCTAGGTTTTGTTGTCTTTCTTTTAAAAGTGTTGTTACTTGTGGTTCAATGTGATCTTTCTCAGGCTGTCTTAAGCTCTGCCTTTATTCTAGGGATAGTTTAGCCTGCCAGTAGGCATGGCCTGCTAGTGCAGCGACTGATCACTGAGGACTCCGGCCAGTGGGAATCCAACCACCACCCAGCCTGGGGTGAGCTTAGGAGCCATTGAGCTCATGCCTGCCTTGGAGTCCCCCAAACACCCAAGAAGGCCCCCGTGTAACCCTCTGCTCTTAGGAACTTGATTCCACAACTTTCTGCTGCCTCAGCCTCTCTCAACTCCAACCCATCTCCTCCATGCAGTGATGCAGGTGTCTCTGCCCGGTATCTCCCTGTCCCCTCCTCTCATGTTCCTTCTCTCAGGATCACGGTCCTGTGCTGTTGCTTGTCTAACGTCTTAGGACAGCCGATTCACAGACACAAATTTTGTCCAGATTTCAATGGCAAGAGAATTCAATCTGGTTCCTGCTAGTGTGCCTGACAGAAACCTCCTCTCCTTGACTTTTTTTTTTTTTTTTTGAGACGGAGTCTTGCTCTGTAGCCCAGGCTGGAGTGCAGTGGTGTGATCTCGGCTCACTGCAAGCTCCGCCTCCCAGGTTCACGCCATTCTCCTGCCTCAGCCTCCCGAGTAGCTGGGACTACAGGCGCCAGCCACCACGCCCGGCTAATTTTTTTGACACTTTTAGTAGAGACGGGGTTTCACCGTGTTAGCCAGGATGGTCTCGATCTCCTGACCTCATGATCTGCCCGCCTTGGCCTCCCAAAGTGCTGGGATTACATGCGTGAGCCACAGCACCCGGCTTTTTTTTTTTTTTTTTTTTTTGAGATACAGTCTCGCTCTGTCACCCAGGCTACAGTGTGGTGGCATAGTCTCAGCTCACTGCAACCTCTGCCTCCTGGATTCAAGCAATTCTCCTGCCTCAACCTCCCAAGTAGCTGGGATTAGAGGCATGCGCCACCACACCTGGCTAATTTTTGTATTTTTAGTAGAGACGGGGTTTCACCATGTTGTCCAGGCTGGTCTCAAACTGCTGACCTCAGGTGATCAGTTTGCCTCAGCCTCCCAAAGTGCTGGGATTACAGGCATGAGCCACCACGCCTGGGCTCCCTGACTTTTAAACATTTTTTACAACTATAAAACTAATGCAGTGCTTATTGGAAATAACTGAGAAACTACAATGAAAGACAAAGGGAAAAATAAAAATTATCCTACTACCTAGAGACAGGCACTGTAAAAATGATCACACATAAATTTTTAATCAACTTCCACATATACCTATATATTTGCAATAAAAATGGTATCATGCCATAAGTATAGTCCTCACATCGCTCTCTGCTGCCTAGCTATGAATATTCAAGAGCAGAATTCAAGTCATGCGCAATATTCCTACAGCCGCATTTCAATAGCCACAGGTTACGCTGCTACATGGTATTTCAGTGAATGCCCTTAACCCACACCCCAGGACTGCTACCTCTCTCAAGTCCCAAGGCAGAATTCCTCATTGTAGTAGAAAGGCCTAGAATAGAAGAGCTTCTTCAACACAGGTCACTCAATAAAGCGCTGCTTTAGGGACACAACTTGTGTGGCCCACTACAGGCAGCCACCTCCCATCCTCAAGCCCCTGGGCAGCAGCTGAGGCCGAGTATCTGATAACTACCAAAACAGCCCGAGAAAACCACTTCCTGAAGTCCGGTTCAGAAAGAACCAGGCCCCGGGAGAACTCCAGGTGATCTGGTCTGCAACTCCCAGGACTTCCAGAACAAAGGGTTCCCGCCAACAAAGACTCCACTGAATAGGAGAGCTGGCCCTGCCCACGGCTGCCCTCGCATCCTGACCCCAGCCCCAGTCACAGCTCAAGTTCCAAGAGTCGCTGCCAATGCAGCTACTGTGGGGAGCTTTAAGAGAATAGTTTTCATTCAAATACTTACTAAAATATTTTGAGATGTCTTGGGTGAAAGGCAGTATCAAGTCACATTGTCATTCCTAGTGAAAATTCTCCAAGGAGAACAATCCCCCCAGCGATGCCTGAGAGGCAACTCAAAGAGAACTGTTTCCATTATCTTGTGGATAAATCCAACTAAGGCCATGAACTCAAAGCAAAAATAAAGCATAATTCAGAATCCACCCCACTTCTTCACCCGGAGTCACCCGGCAAATCGTGAGAATACAACGGCCGGCAGCCCCACGCAAAGGCCTCGGCCTCCTTGCCCCCATCCAGAAGACTTCCGGGAGGCCCAACAGGCCCTCTGTCCCTCACGGAGGAGCCTGGAGCAGGCCCGAGGCTGTCCGTGTGAAGGGCGCACGGGGCCAGGCACAGGTCCTGCGGCTCCACTGCTCCGTGCGCACCGCGCAAGCCTCTGGCCTCGGCTCCCGGCCACTGGTGGAGCCGCTGGCCACGCACTGGCTGCCCCTGAGGGTGCCACCAGGCCAGCTGCCCCGAGCGGGGGAGGGCGGCCTCTCCTGCAGCACGAGGCCTACCTGAAGGGCAGTAGGAGGACGAGTTGGGCGTTCTCCGCGAGAAGCTCTTGACCGCCAGGCTCTGGCCCCGCTGCTTGCGCCGCCACGCCGTGCGGCACTTGGAGTCGATGCTCTGCTTGATTCGGTACCAGTCGGATTCTGTGATGCCAAATTTATAGAAAAGGTGACCTGGAAGGACACATCCAAGGAGAAGCGGTGAGGCCTGTTCGGGACAGCCACCAGGAGCTGCCTGGCTGCAGGGCCGGGGCCCGCTGAAGAGGCCTCACCCAGGCACCCCAGCCCGCCAGGCCGGCCCCGTCTTCCTGCAAGGGTCTGGAAAGGCCCACTGCACAGAAGGTGCTTAGCTGGCCCACAGGCGGGGCTCCCCACGAGATATAAATGCTCACTAAGGTGTCATGACACACTCTTTCCATTTACTTAACTTCTCGATCCCTCTGACTCGGTCGGCCCACACCAGGTGCACACTTGGGGCTCTCACAAGATTCCCAGACCTTCCACGCCCCAACTTCCCTCTGCCCTGAGCTCACAGCAGCACCCAAGGTCCTGAATGCCCAGAGGGTGAGATCAGGGACCTCAACAATTGGATCAGAACTCGCTGGTCCTCTGCCTACTCGGGCCTGCTCGGCCACCGCCTTCCCTTCCTTCATGTCCTGGCTTCACCATCCCCCTGGATAACCACCTGGCCCTCCCGCCCTCCTGGGCTCCCACCCTCCTCCCACTTGTTTTGTCAGAGCACTGACCACCTTCCGGCATTTGGAGAATTCATGTGTGTATTGTTACTCTGTCCCCCTCACAAACACAGTTTCGAAAATTCAGGTGTGTATTGTTACTGTTCCCCTCGCAAACACAGTTTGGAGAATTCATGTATGTATTGTTACTCTGTTCCCCTGGTAAACACGGTTTGGAGAATTGAAGTATGTATTTTTGTTACTCTGTCCCCCTCATAAACACAGTTTGGAGAATTCAAGTTATGTATTGTTACTCTGTCCCCCTCACAAACACAGTTTGGAGAATTCATGTATGTATTGTTACTCTGTTCCCCTGGTAAACACAGTTTGGAGAATTCACGCATGTATTGTTATTCTGTTCCCCTCGCAAACACAGTTTGGAGAATTCATGTATGCACTGTTACTCTGTCCCCCTCATAAACACAGGGGCCTTTGTTGTGTCCACCCATGGGGGTCAGGCACCCAGAACATTCTGGCGCACAGTGGCTGCTCCTGTGTAAATAGTGATGACAACGGACTGCAAGACACCCTCCCATCGCTGCTCAGGTCCGGGGCTTGCTTATGTCATTCCCGACGCCTCTCTATCGTGCCTTCTCAACTAGAGTACAAACTCCTTACGGGCAGGGCCTGTGTCCTCATCCCTGGAGTCCCTATACCACAAGCCGAGTGGGCACAACCTACTCTCACTGTGGGGCCAAAGCCAGGTGCATCGTCTTCCTGGGGCTCACCGTGCACACGCAGAGAACTGTCCTGGGACCCCCAGTTCTCTACCACCTGCGCTACGGAGAGCTCTCAGCACGCCCTGAGCAGCATCCAGAGATGCCCTGTATTCAACAGGGAGAAAACTGAGGATCCGAAGGCCACGGCGGAGCAGGTGACAGGAGGGAGCCAGCGCCCCACTGCACGCCCGGCCACTTCCCACTAGGCCACAGGACCCCATCCCTGTAGCGATGACGAATGTGGGCATGATGGGAAGGGCTCTTCAATGCAGTGGCCTCTCTAGCTGGCTCATGCAACTTCACTAATTTACAGGAAAATACATGGATGGAATCCAAAATTGTAGTAATAAAAAGATTAAGCTGAAAAGTGTCCCGTTTCAACTACCAAGAGCCTCAAGTTCGGACTCTACTGCCCAAACCCTAAAAATCTGTTCCCATTGAGACTAAAATGGTGGAAATAATTAAAACAGAGGAAGAAGTGTTTGGGTTTTTTTAAGTACTCGATTAGGTATCAAAAGTCCCTCGGGTTTTGGAAACATGCCTCTTGACTTTCTTATCAGTAGATACTTGAGACACGTTTAGAATCTCTGTATAATCACAACCAACCTGTCTGTGCTGCAGACAAAAAGAAACCAGTCAGGACGGTGGGATTTGTAGGATGAGAGGGAAGAACACCCTAAAGTGGTTTCGGCAGCACATTTTCATCCTCATGCATAAAGAAGCCATACAGGAAGCAGCCGCCCTTTGGCTTCCAATTTTCGGGTCATCTCTAAAATACTCCAAGTCACCCTCGAATCTTGGCTGGGTGACTCGGGCGCCTCAGGAAGCCCCAGGCTGAGCAACTTTAGTGACTCACAGAGGAACCCAGCCGCTGGCTGTGGTCATGGGGGAACCCAACCATTAAAATCACTAGGAAATCCTTACAGGAGAGCCCAGCTGCTGCCAGAGGTTGCACCATAGTTACCGGAAAACCCAGCTTTCAAACTGCACTTCAATAGTTTCATGAGAGCCCAGCTACTGATTTTAGATACAAAGCAGCCCAGCTGCTGCCACCGGGAGGGCAAGAAAGAAACAGCCATCCCACCAGCAGGAAAACATCTTTGGAGCACGAGTCGATAAAAAGAAACATCCTCAGAACCGCCCTCCTGTGACCCTCCCACCTTCACACTCCAGGAGAAAAATTCCATAGACTTTGAAGGATGAATGAGTCCATACAAAATTTAAAAACGGGTTAGTAACAGGAAAGAAGATAAATCTAAAACACCCAGGTGTATAGGTAAGAGAAATGGGTGAAAACATTCACATTTAAATTCAACTTTGTAAAAATCAAGTTGCCAGTTCAAACCCTGACTCACACTTATTAAATAAAAAATATATATTCATCTGGTTACCCGCCACCGAGTTTCCATTGTCCTCAGACATCAAATTATCTAATTCCTTCCGTCTGCGCTCCAGGCCCCAGCCTGGGCGAATGCCCCCTGCCGGCCACAAAGGAGATCCAGAGAACGGACCAGCCGCCCAAGTGCTGCCCGCAGAGTGCAGTGGGTGAGGAGGGCGAGGATCTGAACATGCACTTACGGGTGCAGGCGCCGCCCGCAGATGCTACTGGACAGCAGCTGGGGCAAGCGCCCACGTCTGGGCAGCCCTCAGGGCTCGGATTCCTTTACCTTTTCTGACAGCACTGAGCAGCCGCACTTAACAGGGAGCGGGAAAAATCCTATCATGATGGGATCAAAAGATCACCTTGAATTTAACTGCCATTTTCCACTTTAAGCATTTGATCTCATGTTATTTGACAGACATTTTTTTTTAAAAGCCTCATGAAGTAGGAATGTCACTACTCTCATCACTTTGGTTTTGAGGCAAAAGCCAGAAAAAGGAGAAGTGATGTGTCCAAGTCCAATTACTAGTTAGGAGTGAGCACCGGCCTTAAAGTGCAAGCTTCCTGGGCCCACCAGGTGAAGAAGCAGCGGCCCTCACTGGATCCTGAGAACCCATGAGAGGTGCTCGGGGAGACGGGAAGAACACGCACAGCCCCGCACACGTGACTCTGCTGTCCTGAGCTCCCTCAGCCCAAGGCACCTGCAGCCCCTGCTCTGGGAGGCCTAGTCGGACTTCAATCGAGGCAGAAGTCTCCCCTGCAGCAGCGCCCAGGACACAAGGAGAACAGAAGTGCTCGGCATCCGGCTGCTGAGGCTCACGGGATCCCCACAGCGTGGCGTCACCTGGGAGCAGAACACCCTGTCTGGCCTCAGTCCCTGCTTTCCCCAGCCATATCCCCACACTACACCAACCGAGGCCCCTCAAGGCCGGGACGGGATTGCCTTCCAGGCTCAGCCAGGCAGCATCCCTGCCACAGTGCACGCCTCTATTTTCCTGGCGAGCTGTTCTGCAGTCCCCAAAGAGCTAAAGAGTCTCCACTACACCGTTAGCTGCCTTCCCACTTTCCAGAACCCCCGTTACTGACTCTGGTGGTTCAAATCATAAGCCGATTCCCAGCTCTCCATCTGTGGGGCCATGAGAGGCACTGTGGGAAGCGAGATGAGAGAGCCAGGAGGGCTTGTCATCTTGTGCCTTGGTGGGTGGCATGGGGCTTTATCAGTCACAAAGGAATGAAGAGCCCCACCTGCTAACACACTCTCATGTGCAAGGGAAGGCACCACAAAACCGAGTGCCAACAACTGATTTCTTCAAATTACAGACTCGACGTGACAGCGCTGCCTAGAAAAACAAAAGGCCTCTGCCCGATGGAAGCCAGCTGACATGCTCCCTCCCGGGGGAAGCATACACAGCTCACGCCCCATGCACCTCAAACGTCCAGCCTCCAGGCCAAGCCGGCCACCTTCTTCAAGCCTGCTGACTCACTCCTTTATGAGAAAAAATGATGGAGAGACACCTGTCCTCAGTCTGTTAGCCAGAGAGCCCCTCACAGCCACCTGCAGGACCACCTCCAGGTCACAGCTTCTGGGTGACCTGCTGAGAAGGAGGCTCTGCTCACTTTTCTGCCTGAAGCCCACACTGACCACACCTTCCTCCCAGCTCTCAGTCACCGTGAGGCGCTCAATGTCCCAAGATACACAGACAAACACCCACCCCTGCATGGAGTCCACATTCTGCCTTAAGGACACATATAGGGCAGCCTCACCATTTCACCTCACAGAGAACCTGGAGAAGAGACAGCACCTGACCACCCGTGTCCTGTGTCCTGGGCTGAACAGTGTCCCCACAAAACTCACGTCCTGGTCCAGGACCCCAGAATGTGACCTGACTGGGAACTAGGGTCTCTGCAGATGTGATTCATTAGGTTGTAATGAGGTCATCCTGCAGGAGAGGGAGCTCCAAATCCAGTGACTGTCCTCATAAGGAGAGGGACACAGAGGGAGACATGGGGGGAAGACAGCCGAGGGGGATGCGGCCAGAGACTGGAGGGATGCGGCCACCACCAGAAGCTGGGAGAGGGAAAGGGCCTTCTCAGGCAGCGTGGCCCTGCCCACACCTTCATCCCAGGCATCTGGCCTCCAAACCTGCACGAGAACACAAGCCTGTGTTCTAAGCCAGCCAGGCTGTGAGCTTTGTCCCCGCGGCCACAGGAACCTGAGGCACCCTGCAAGACACAACGGGGCCAGGTCGCACACCTGCACTCACAGGGACAGGTGTGGGTGAAGTGGCCCCCGCTGCTTCCCACTAGGTACCACCACCTGGGGCTTGGAGTGAATGATTTGAAAAGAACTACAATCATCTGACAGGTCAACCCTGAAAGCATAACTTTTTACCTTGTGCAAATGAATCCAGTCTTTCCGTAACTGCTAGGAGGTCTCATGGGGATCGGCCATCCACAGCAGCATTCTTTAGATCAGACGAGATCGGGTGTGTTCAGGGTGGCACGGCCTTAGACAGCATTCTTTAGAAAAGCCCTCAGATCCGGGGTCACCGGCTTGGATGCAGAGTCCAAGCAGAGGCGTGAGCGAGCCGTGGATAGAAATCCTAAGAACTAAACCAATTTCTCTTCATAGAGAAAACAGGCGAATGCTGCTGTCCTGAGAGCACATTCCTTAGGAAAATGCTCCAAGGTTTTCCAAGTTGCAATAATATGCTACTTTTGCATAAAACACACAAATTTGGTTAGCTGCCCAAATTCGGGGGGTCCACCAATCCTTGGGAACCCTAAGAAAGCCAACACCCCAAAAAGCAAATTTCTCTCTCTCCCTCTTTCAATAACCTCATTTCCTCATTTTGAGAAGGTGGTACTTAGAGACTTTACCTACTGTGTGTTTCAAAATGTAGACTTTTTTCTCCAGAAAAAGAAAGAAAATCTTTCTGCTGACAAATAAGGAGAAACTTAAATCAAAATCTTCTCCCTCGTGAGCTGCCTGGGTTGAGTGAGGACAGCCGCAGGCCTCTGACTGCTGAGGCTACAGGCGTCACTGCGGGCTCTGAAGCAACAGCAGAGAGTAAGGTGGGGCAATGCGGCCAATTCCACTCCTGCCGCTGTTCAAGCTGGGGCCTGGGAGGTTTGCTCCATGCATTTATTTCATTTGTTTTGGTTTTTTGGGCAACAATCAGCAATAAGAATGAAACTGGGCCACAGGAAGAAAAGGTAAAGCCATGCTTTTTACGTTTCAGCAATTCCGTCTAAGCACGAGCCACGCAGGCACGCCTAGCCTGAGGCGGGGGAGAAGGCACAGCCCTGGTCCATACGCAGCAGTTGCTCCAGGCCCCTCCACACGGCCCTGTGGACAGGCCAGCCTTCCTCATGCAAAGTCACCCTGAAGGTCAGCCACACCATGACCTTCCCAAAGCTCGGCTCTAGAGACCAGAATTCACTGGGCATCTCCAAGGGGCCGGGCACTGTGAGCAAGCCCAGGAGCCCCACCCCGGAGGGACTT
Source organism: Homo sapiens (assembly GCF_000001405.40). NCBI lineage: Eukaryota > Metazoa > Chordata > Mammalia > Primates > Hominidae > Homo > Homo sapiens. Next base: position 88,021,317 of record NC_000016.10, on the reverse strand, counting down.
CCAGCAGAATGACGGTGCTAGCGGACGCCCCTGCCAGGGGACCGTGCTCCAGAGCCCAGCTCAGAGCCTGGGGAGGCCGGGCCAGTGGGCCCCAAGCCATGAGGTTCAGCAGCCTGGTGAACACAGCCAATGACCTCAGCTGTCTGGAGGATGGCCCCGAAGCCAGCGGGCCCAGGGGAGAGGGTGGTGGCCCATGCCAGGCTCCCACTCCCCTCTCCGGCCTCCAGACCCCCATCGAGGTTGGCAGCACTTCCCAAGCAAGGAGAAGCTCAGCAGAGAAGGTCAACTCATAGCCACAACACGCAAGGAATCGCAGCCTGCCCCATTCTGCCCCATACAGTGCCTTCCACCGCCCTACATGGACTCCCTGAATACAGACACAGCCACCCCACCGCCATGGACTCTGCTCTGAGTATCGCCCTGCCATGCCCCTGTCACCTCACTGGAACATTCCCTGTGCTCGATTAATAAAAGAATTGCAGCCAATGCCCTGAAAGCCCGAATCCTTAGCCTGACAATCCAAGGCACCGTCTCCAAGGCAGAGCCAGCCGGCCTCCAGCTTCACATCCAAGGCCCCTGTCTTCTCCCCCGAGGAGCAGGGACTCCTCACCTGGGAACAGGGCCCAGCCCCGAATGCCACTGCCCCACACAGCACAGCACGCTCATCCCACACACCACCATCCTCTCCAAAGAGCACCCACTCCTCTCTGTCCAGGCTGCGCCTCCAACCTGTAGCCCAGCCTGACACTCCTGCGACACCCCACAATGCCACCTCTCAGGTTGCAGACGTTTCTATCTACCTGACCGCACGCTCTGCCATCAGGGCCATTTCTCATTCGTCTATATATCTCAACGCACTCCACACTGTGATCCACACAGCAAGCACCAGCACGAAGCAACCCCCGGGTTTCAAGCTGGAAGCACATCACGTGGTCTGGTGCGCAGATGTGTGCTCCTGGCCACGCCATGCCCTAAAGCAGAGGGTGGAGGGGGTGGTGGGCCTGCTGCCCGCCTCTGAAGGCAGTGTCCTGTTGGAGCACATCCACGACCATGCGCTGACTCCTCGTCTGTGGCTGCTTTCAGAGCTAAGCAGTTGAACAGAGACCCCAGGGCCTGCAAAGCCTGAAATATCTGCCGTGTGGCCCTTCAGAAGAAGGCTGAGGGTGACCCCTGCCCCATGACCCTCTGATCCTCTTGACCTGCTTTACTCCACCGCTGAGAAGCTGTGAGGAGGCCCCACGTGTGGTCTCCCAGGAGTTATCTGATACTACCCTCAGGGTCCAGGATGGGCGCCCGCTGGTGTCTGACAGCTGGGGCACACGCCTGGGACAAGACATGGCACATGGGAAGATGCCATGACCTGCTCACACGCATGTGGGTGGGACCTGGACCCACCTCTCAGCAGCTTCCAGAAAAACCTGCAGTCAGCACGACACCCCAGTCTTACTCAGACCCCATTTTCACAGCAGCTACGGAACAGCGGAGCCCTTCCACTCCCCCACTGCTCCTGACAGAGGCTCACGGGCCACACTGTGCTTCCCAGAGGAGCAAGGCTCTTTCCTGCTGGAACAGCTGGCCCTGCACGCTGAGATCCCGCACGCCCCGCCCCCCGCACGCTGAGATCCCGGACGCCCCGCCCCCCGCACGCTGAGATCCCGGACGCCCCGCCCCCCGCACGCTGAGATCCCGCACGCCCGGACGCCCCCCGCACGCTGAGATCCCGCACGCCGAGATCCCGGACGCCCCGCCCCCCGCACGCTGAGATCCCGGACGCCCCCGGCATGCTGAGATCCTGGACGCTGAATGCTCTGCCTCGCTCGCCCTGTTTCGAGATCAGATTTACATTTCACGCTCCCCTGAGGTGACTCTCCAGAGCCCAGATTGCCGGAGGCCACTGCACCCTCCCACACCCTCCCGCCAGGGGCCTCGTGTCTCTTGCGTTTGCTGCTGCTTCACTTTACATCTTCGTTAGAAGCCAGGAGGACGGCTTCTGAAGCAGACGGGCTCTGTGGAGCAAATGGACCATGGACGCTGGCAAGGAGGACCTGAGCGCCCATCAAACGCCATTGAAGGGCAGTACCGCAATCGCCACCTGGAGCAAATCCCGCTCTTCAGAGGGGACGGAGACGTCACAGGCCGGGCTGGGCACGAAAATCAGGCTTTGGAGCTCTCCTGGCTCCCATCACAGCCAGGTCAGCGCTGAGGCCCTGGCACGGCTGCTGAGGCCCAGCCCTCTCAGAAGGAAGGAGGCAGGTGGCACTCCACCCGCTTAGGAGAGGCTCAGGGGGGCCTGGGTCAGCGTGGCCAGGACAGCAGGGAAGGCCCCGGCTCTCCTCCTCCTCTCTCTTCCTCAAGAGTGGCCTACAGACAGGAGGCGAGGAGTTTTTCACCTTCTAAGGGTACACAGTAGGTATATATATGATGGGGTATATGAGGTATTTTGGTGCGGGCATGCCGTGCGTAATAAGCACATCAGGGTCAACAGCTCATCCATCCCCTCGAGCACTGATCCTCGGGCTGAGATTTCAAACCGCCTGGAGAAACGCAGCCCCGTGCCGGTGCTACTGATGCCAGCGTCCTCAGCATTGAAATGTGGGTCCTGACCCAGCTCCCCGCACACCCCAGTCCCCCAAGGCGGGGCCCGACTTACACCGGATGCCGTAGATGGTGAGCGGGTCCAGCTGCTTCTTCCCGTGCTTGCCCTGCCCCGAGAGGTTGGACACAGCCTGCACCTCGCGGTGGAAGAGGTAGTCCAGCAGCGTGAGCGCCATCTTCTCGGCCGTGCGGCAGTTGGTGCTGATGTGCAGCATGTCGGAGGGGATGATGGCGCAGCGTACCCGCATCTCGGGGTTGTTCTCGTCGCCCAGCCAGGTGCCATTGGGGTAGTCCTCTGAAAAACAGAAGACAGGTCCTCAGATGGCCAAGGCTCAAATAAGCTCACATTCAGGACAGCAGAGCGCTCTGCTCAGGCACAGTCGGGAAAGATGCTCCACGCAGGGCTGGGCAAATCCCTCGTAACTTGTGAGGCAGTCACCAAGAGCGCTGGAGCCTCCGACTGCTGCCCAAGAAAGAACTGACGCGGAACAGACACGATCCCACCACCCCCGAGAAGCGGCCACGTGCCTGTGGGGCTGCAGGGCCTCGGGACCTGAGCGCCAACACGGTCACACACTCTGCTCACCCTGGACCCGGGACCCCAGCAATACCGATATCCTTGCACACAGTTGGTACCTGCCCCAGCCACCTGCAGAGCGGAACCCTCCCCGGGGTCCCTCACACCTCACTGCCAGCCATGCTCTCCCACTGGCCAGCCACTCCCACCAAGAAAGACGCAGAGGTGAGGGGCTCTAGCATCAGCAGCCGGCCTGGCGTCGCCCCCGTGCACACAATGCCAGTCCTTGCCTCTGCACAGTGTAAGTCACAGCATGCCCTTGACGCCAGCATTCTCAGGGCAGTTACAATGCAGCCGCCCAGAGCAGCGCATTCAGGTGTGGGAATGCGCCACGTTCTGCACTGTCAGTGAGGCCACAGCAAGGACCCGTGGACAGGCCCACACTCCACATGGAGGAGACACGGTGCCCAGACACCTGGAGTGGCCTGAGGTTGCCTGCAAAGCACACTCCTGTGACGATGGAGTGGGACTTCCCACCTGCCTGCCCAGGCAGTGACGCCCGCCAGCCCCTCCACACCTCTCCGCCTCCCTCCCTCCCAAGCGTGGGCTCTCAGCTTCCTAGCTGACCCTTCACAAGTCACTAGTCTTCTCTGAACCACGGATTCCTTCTCTGTGTAACGGCATCTCCGGGTTGTCCTCAGGTTGACCAAGTACGGTATGTGAAAGGCTGCCTTTTCAAAGCCTCCCCGTGTGATGGAAGAAAGCTCCACAGATGATCATAAACGGGAAAACTCACATTCCTGCTTGGAAGCTCAGCAGCTGCCCAATCTCTTCTGACCCTGAAGTTGAACCAAAGTGAGGCTGCAAGAGTCTCCCCTCCCCCAGCACGTCCTCCCCTGTGGAAGGGTAGAAACCTGAATACCTCCCACGAGGGGCCGGGACCTATGAGGGACGCCACGCTCTGCCAGAGTCTCTGAGGCCCAGGGCTGGCTACAGTCATGCCACCCTGGGCATCGCTGCCTCAGAACGTCTGTGAGCTTTATTCTGAAATGTCCCAATATTGACTTTCCGGCTCCTACAAGGGCAGCCAGCCCTGCCTGCCGGGCCAGGAAGCCTGGAGCACAGCCGAGAAGCCTGTGGCTGCCGTGTGCTCCTAGCATACACAGCTCCCTCCACAAGCAGCCTCTCCCATTCCCTGAAATATAAGATTTCCATGAAATATCAGGGCAGGGCTGGTCACCCTGTCTTCAAACACACATTGTCACAGGGGCAGGCCAGTGTGGCTGGGCTCTTGGCTGTAGCTAAGGATAGAAGACAGCTCTAATTTTTGAAATTCAGGACACAGATGAGTAAGGAGCATCGATGCTCAGAGGTGGTTTAGAAGTACAGGGATGCTGCCAGGAACGTACGCTCAGACGTGCATTTTTTCAGAACATCCGTCGGTCGGCCACTATTACATTCCACCTGTATATGAGGAGCAAAACGGAAACACGTGACCTCAAGGCTAATGGGTGGAGTCTCATGGCAAGGGCTCTCTAAAGGCCGCAGCTGCAAAGCTTCGAGACTCCAGCTTCCGGGGATTCTACGAATGTATCTACGAATCCTTACGGGACACCCAAGGGCCTGGCGCTGGGTCTAAAGCTCCGCATCTAAGCTCTTGCTCAGAGTCACGGGTCAATGTCATCGAACACAGCGGCGCAGGCCCTGGTCAGCAGCAGTCCAGTAAGGAAGCCATGGGGAGGGGAAGGGGAAACAGAGGGGACGTGTGAGCCAAGGCAGGAGTGGTCCAGTCTCCAAGATCTGAAGCCACATGCTGGTCACACCATGGCTAGAGATGGTCATGGACTCCATGGGACCAAAGATCTAAATGGGAATCTGCAGGGGAAACCCAAGATGTGGGAGGACAGTGGCCGAGGCGGCTCTGGAGCATTGGCACCTGCACCACGCATTTCCCAGCGCCACATGCTTCTCCTGCATGGACGGGAGGCCCCAGACATAGTCCCCGCTTGTGCTGACCTTAAACCATGCCACAGATTTCCTGGTCAGATTAAACCTAAGGGGCTGAATCCTTCCCTGTGTCTGTCCTTCTGAAGGGAGGATTTTTAAAAATGTTCTGCCTTGGGGCCTGGGCAAGGGGCAGAGATTTGCTTGTGGCCCCTGGTGGCTGGCAAGCAGAGGCTGCGGAGGCCCATGCTGGCAAATGGGAACTGTCCCACTGCAAGGTCCCCGGACTCCCAAACCCAGACTGGGCGCAGGCCAGGGTGACACCATCAGATGCCATCCAATGTGAACCGGGGCCGCGGGAAACAGCCTCGATCCCACACAGATGCTGCTCAATGTGGGCTCCCAGCCCAGGCCAGCCAGGCCTCCTGGCAGCACCGGTACAGAGCCCCGGGTAAAGGAGCACGAATGGAGTGAAAGCCGCTGAGGCGCTAGAAGAGCACCTGAGTACCTGAGTCCCTGCGGCAGCTGCCTGGTAGCTCCTGGAGCGCGAGACCTCGGCCCCGCTCCTCCTGACTCCCAAGTGCCAGGGACAGTGGCCTGCAAGCGAACAGGGAGACAGGCAGGGGTAGAGCTGACCTCAGACGAGAACGGGTGACCCCAAGCAGGGAAGCGGGAAGCAGCCACCCAGGGGAAGAACTCCAGAGAACATTCCAGAGCGGGGAGCAGCATCGGCCTGGGCCAGGAGGGGCCACGTGCTCCAGGAAGGTAAGGGAACCAGCGTGGCCAGAGCAGGGAACATAGGGCAGACGAGGGACAGGAGAGGGTGGAGAACCAAGCAGGGCCCAGTCACCTGGGCAGAAAGCAGGCGCCCACGCCCAGCGTGGTCCGAGCTGAACTGGCACAGGCAGAGGGGACTGGCAGAGGGACGGGCAGAGGGCACGAGCTGAGGGGGCACGGGCAGAGGGCACAGGCAGGGAGGTACAGGCAGAGGGCATGGACAGAGGGACAGAGGAGACGAGCTGAAGGGGCACAGGCAGAGGGCACAAGCAGAGGGATGGGCAGAAGGAGCACGGGCAGAGGGCACAGGCAGAGGGGACGGGCAGAGGGCACGAGCTAAGGGAGCACAGGCAGAGGGACAGGCAGAGGGACAGGCAGAGGGACGGGCAGAGGGGACAGGCAGAGGAGACGAGCAGAGGGCATGAGCTGAGGGGGCACGGCCAGAGGGCACAAGCTGAGGGGGCACAGGCAGAGGGACGGGCAGAGAGGGCAAGCAGCTGATTACAGAGCTGCTCAGTAATCCAGGAATAGCTGAGGGCCTGGTGTCAGTAGGGCTCACAGTGAGACCCACTGTCTTTAAACTTCCCAGGGTTCCCAGCACTGAGGCTCATTTAATGGGAACTCTGGGTACATGAGGGTGGTCTCCAGCGACACCAAGCATCTCTGGACTTAGGACCTGGAGATCACAAACAGAGGACCCGAGGCAGGCAGCAGGAAGGGCAGCAGCATCCTGAGCCACCAGCCTCCCCGACCATCACCCACCCACACCGGGATGTGGGTGATGCAGGACCAGTGCGAGGATGGTGTGGGGACGGTGGGCAGGGGCTCTCAGCTGTAGCCACCAAGCTGCTAAAGATCCCTGCAGCCTCTCTCAGGAATTAACAGTGCTCAAACACACTTAGCTGAGCTCTCTGTGGTGAGATAATATTTTTAAAGTAAACACTGGACAAGAATTCAGAGTTGTTTTTCAAACAGTGAGTCAAAATCATGTCAAAGTGTCACTGAGACCCTCCAGGAGGGATGACGTGGGCTCTCCATGCCCACACCGAGAACCTCCCTGACTTAGGATGACAGCCAGCTCCTGGGGGGTGCTGCCACCCACCACCTCCGTCCTCCCCAGGCTCCACCTCAAGGCAGTGTCGGGGCAGCCGCTAAGCTCATCCTCTGGCAGGCTCAGGACTCACTGAGGGCCAGTGTGCAAATGTCCAGACCCAGTGCACCCAAGGCTGGCCGTGCCCTCCACCCCACACGGAGCTGCCCCAGCTCTGGGTGACTCCTCCTGCACTGCAGGTCACAATGAGCCCTCCCTCCACAACCAGTGGCCTCGTCCAGGCCTCAACACTTCTTCCTGGCCTTTTTCAGCACCGCAGGAGACTCTGACTCTAAACTCTGCCCCACCAGAGTTACCCCAAGGCCACCTGGCCTGTCCTCCCAGGAATCTCCCGCCTGGAGTGTCCAGCAGGACCCAGTTTGTGCTGGCCTGTGTTTGCGGCTCACAGCTCCACGCCCTGCGCTTCCTGCTCAGCACAGCCACATTATGAGTGCTGACCCACCCCAGTCTACCGGTTCCCATCCACACTTGTGTCCATGGATTTCCTGTTGACAATACCACTCCCACCTCACTCCTCTAAGTACTAGAGATTTTCAGGCATGTTCTCAGACCAGCAGCATTAGCAGTGGCAGGGAACTTGCTGAAAATGCTCTTTCTTGGGCCCAACCAATCAGAGGCTGTGGGGTAGGCCCTGCTTAGCAAGGAGGTTCTGAGGCAAGGGGGTTCTGACCTGTGCAAGGAGGGCCCCATGTGTAGAGACCATAAAGGATACCACTCCTGGAGCCTCCTGCACCAGGAAAGCACAAAGTCCTGCTGAGCTCTGACGGGTGCAGGCAGCAGTCTAAGGACTAGGCATGGGGCACGCCCACGTCACACCACACTGAGAGAGAGCCCGTCCCATCAGGCAGGCTGAGCTCTAGTGGGTGCGGGCAGCGGTCTAGGAACTAGGCATGGGGCGGGCCCACCTCACACTGCACTGAGGGAGGGCCCGTCCTGTCAGGCAGGCTGAGCTCTGATGGGTGCGGGCAGCGGTCTAGGAACTAGGCATGGGGCAGGCCCACGTCACACTGCACTGAGGGAGGGCCCGTCCTGTCAGGCAGGCTCCTGAATCCACACCTCCACCACTTCAGAGGCCTCATTTCCTCAGTCCTCACAGTAACCCCAGCAGCTAAGCCAGCCCATGATCCATCTCACGGGAGAGGCGCTCAGACGTCTCCAGAAGTGAATGACCCTGATCGAGGTCGCAGGCCAAGTGAGAGGCAGACTGGGAATGGAGGCAAACGCTCTAGGCCATGAGAGTCCCTGCCTATTAACAACCAGTGATTCACACATTTCTAGTGTCTCTTCCTAGAAAGCTGCCGATCCTCAAAGACTCTGAGTTTAAATGATGCCTTTTCTACACTGAAATGGAAGGCACTGTCTCATATCTGCTTCCTGATATAATTTGCTGTATTACTCAACTTTTTATATATTCAGAATTCCCTACTGTCGGGAAAAAGGGAAACAAAACGATGATTTAAAAATCCCAGCCTGGAATTTGTACTGTCAGACCACAGTGAATAGTTATTAATTTATCCTTTTTTCTTAGGCCGTCTATAGAAAGGAATTAACCAATAATTGAAACACAATCTTTTTAAGATCCCTCTCTCTCCTACTTTCATTTGAATGCTGACTTTCCAAGAACAGATGAAAGAATAATTCCGACAAATGTTATCTGTGTGTTGTCCAAGACCGAAGCCCTAACTTCCATGAATGTCCTGGGAAATGTAGCTCCACGGTCACTTTTCAGGCGATGGCTCAGAGTGTTCCTGTCCCTGGGATTCCACACGTTAGTCCCCTGCAGTCACAGAGGTGACGAATGCCAGATTTCCATCTCCAGCAGGATAGTGAACAAATCAGAAGGCCATCCTTTGCGAGTCACTGGGCTGCACGGTTGTTCAGAGCCTTAGAGCATGGTGTTACGTTCCACAACACAACCAACTCCATGTCAATTCAGTTCAAGGTCAGCCTCACCATCTCCAGGTAAGTCTTCAGAGAACAGATTCACATTAGATATGCCATCCACGCCAAAAATTAATTTTCATCTGGCTTTTGCAAAGGCTTACTCAAGCTGTTTATGAATTTCAAAAGCAACTCTGCATAAAATGAAATACATGGTTCCAACAATGGATAACACAGAGCAAACCCACACAGAATTCAAACCTAAAGGCAGCACCGGGCTGTGTCGTTACACACATCACGGCTCAAAATGCTTCCAGCGCCAGGACGTGATGAACCATAACTGTCAATAACTCATCTCTCCTATTCAAGGTAGAGAATAAGAATTCTATGTGGAACGCATGAGACATTTTATCTGTTGGGCTCCTCATAATTATGTGCCCCACAAGAAAATATAATGTGTTGGGGTATGCCAGGATCCTGGGGACTAGGGACACCCCATAAAGGTAAGGCTACATTTGTCCCAAACACGCCAACTCTGGCCATCTACTGGCTAGATGTCTACGATATCACATAACGGATGCTTCAAAAGAACCTCCATTCCCATCAGGTACTAGTGGATGCTTAATGAATATTTGGGATGGGAAAAGGGGAGCAGAAAGATTAAAAGGGGAGGGGAGAGGAAGAGGGGGGGTACCCTGAACAGCAAAAAGTGCACACTCCTGGAGGACAACTTTGAAAACCCGGTGGGCTCCTGATAGGGTGACCTCGCTCTAAAATCAGGGACTTTATGATTATGTGACATCGTATTTGAGAATTTTAGACACCTGTAACACTGACATTCTGCAAGCTACACATTACAGAGACCTCAGTTTACAAACTAAACACTACCATTTTCTTTCAGAATGCTTTTTTGGTGTGGGCTGCTTTTATTTTGTTTGTCTTTTTGAGTGGGCTGTTTTCCATCAACGATTCTATTGTAAAGGTTTTGCCTGTAATGCTTAAGCATTTCTTAAAGTGAAAAATAATTTAACCCTGAGTTAAAAAGGATCCTGCGCCTCCGGGTCACGCAGAGAACCTGAGTCCAACACCAGTCGGCGGCTGAGCTCTGGAGAGCTGAGCGCCTCTAGCACCTGAGAAGTTTGCTCTCCAGGCGTCTGGTCTCACAGGGCAGGGATGGAAAGGGCGTCTTTCAGGGTGGGGGAGGTGGTGGGGAGGAGCCTGGGTGAACTCCTGACTGCTCAGCACCAACACTGCCATGGATCAAGACTGCTCCCGACACCTCCATCCCGGGGCACAGGCTGTGTATCCGGAAACTCAACGCAAGCCGCTGAGACGCCATCACTCCCACTCACTTCCCCAGACAGCCCTTCCGGCCGCTCTGTGGCACTCAGAGCCATGACTGTTCTCACGCTGCTGTCTCCCGCTTCCCTTGGTTTTATTGTGGTCACTCATCTCTCTGCAATCCTACTCTTATTAGCGATCAACTCAGGACTGCCATGAAAAAATGTTTCCTGTTACCTCACACATACAGCACTTATGTTAAAAACACTTACATAAGATGAATTCTGTAAATAAATGCTCTCCTTTCCATGTGCACGAATGGCATTCCGTGCACTGCGAGGTGTGTGAATCGGCACAGCATAGCGTGGCTACACGTTCTCCTTTCCACGTGCACGAATGGCATTCCATGGACTGCGAGGTGTGTGAATCGGCACAGCATAGCGTGGCTACACGTTCTCCTTTCCACGTGCATAGCTGGTGTTCCGTGGACTGCGATGTGTGTGACTCGGCACAGCACAGCGTGGCTACATGTTTTTATTTCCATGTGCACGGCTAACATTGTGTGGACTGTGAGGTCTGTAAATCCGCACAGCAGTGTGGCTACATGTTCTTATTTCCATGTGCATGGCCGACATTCTGTGGACAACGAGGTCTGGGACAACGAGGTCAGCACGGCGTGCCAGTAGCAGCTGCAGGATGGCCACAGCTGACAGCTCTCACAGCTGCCCAACTCTCCCAGCTGTGCCTCACCAGCCTTCACTGGCATCACCAAGAGCTACCACGTAAGTCATTCTACTGCCTGGGAAGTCCATGGGACCAATTCCTGGCAATAATTCAATTAGAATTCAACCACAATCCTTCCCCCACTGAAATGAAGTACCTAACATTTTATGTATAGGATCAGTCACGTTTTGTAAGAATTATCAAATGCATACACAGCAGAAATTTAAACTCTTGATTAAGAACCTAACTAAATCCCTTAATGGACAAACAGATCCCATGCTAGGTCCATTTTAGCTCAACTTGTTTCTCTAACTCAGCTGGCAGCTTAGTCATTGAATGATGAGGCCCCACACACTTTCAAGTACAAAACAAAGCTATGAGCACACCAAGACCAAAACTACTGACAAAAGGCAAGCACAAGAATGAAGACACAGTCTACTGTTCCCTGCTTTCAACAGTCAGGAACTACCGTCCTTATTCCAATGAGACATAGTCTACTGTTCCCTGCTTTCAACAGTCAGGAGCTACAGTCCTTCTTATTCCAATGAGACACAGTCTACTGTTCCATGCTTTCAACAGTCAGGAGCTACAGTCCCTCTTATTCTAATGAGACACAGTCTACTGTTCACTGCTTTCAACAGTCAGGAGCTACTGTCCTTCTTATTCTAATGAGACATAGTCTACTGTTCCCTGCTTTCAATAGCTGAGAGTTAGCGTCCTTCTTATTCTAATGAGACATAATCTACTGTTCCCTGCTTTCAATAGCTGAGCGTTACCGTCCTTCTTATTCTAATGAGACACAGTCTACTGTTCCATGCTTTCAACAGTCAGGAGCTACCGTCCTTCTTATTCCAATGAGACACAGTCTACTGTTCCCTGCTTTCAATAGCTGAGAGTTACCATCCTTCTTATTCCAGTGGAGCGTGTGTAATGACAAACGGAATTACCTAAGTGAAAAAAACTAGAATAAAATGATATGGTATCTTTGCAGTACAATAAACTGACTCCAAATTTGATACAAAACAGCATGTCAATTCACACAAGCCATTTGGAATTCTTAAGAAATAACCGTTTTGAAATCTGTGGTTCTCTAAGACTTAAGGCACTTAAATACTTAAATAAGAAGCTAAGAACAATCTGTCTCCTGCGGCTCCTATTTCTTATCAGGGCCTAAAACAACTAAATAGAAAGACAAGCACACCCCCTTTAGCACTTCCCATATTCCTAATGCTTTCCCTCGTAGAAACTCGCTGATTCACCACCTGCCCAGGTGCTCTGGGACAGAGGGCCACAGGCAGGAAGATGCTGGCCCCATTCTCGGCACATTCGCACCCCCCATGGAAGTGCTGAAGAGAGGACGCCACTACGGGCTGAGATTAAATCTGACATAAGAGACATTAATGGATTGGCTATTTTCCCAACATTTACATACACAGCAATCATTTAAAGGTGACTTCCTCATTTTCACCAAGCCACTATGCCAAATAAGGCAGCTCAAGCAGATATTTTCATAACACCGACCCCACTGGGATATACATTCCCAAGGACAGTCAGTGAAACAGATTTATTACAAAAAATGTTTCCTCCTAATGGGATGAGAAAACAGAATGGCTCTGGATGATGACCTCTCCTTCAAAATAAAGTCAAATTTAAGATGAGAAAAAGTTCTGCAGTTCACCCCAATCCTAACAACCTGTGTTGTACAGCAAAATTATGTTTGATGAGAACAATCAGTGGTAAAGATGGCTATAAAACTCTGCTCAAAGCCTAGCTAAAGAAAAATGTCTTACACAAAACATCAAAAAAACTTAAACTCAGACACAAAGAAAATTTGTATTTTTCCTTATAGATACAGATCAATACTAAGTAAGCTCCAAATTTGATATCGTCTCATAAGTTCATTTAGATTTTTTTGTTTTTATGACCCTGGACTCCCCAGAATTACCAAGTTTTTTTGCCTTAGCTAACACAGTTTCAATCAAACAAACATCAGGCCTGAAGGGGGTGGCCAGATCTATGTGGGGATTTATACAAAATCCACATCCAAAAATAATTACAACAATTAGTCTGTCGTTACTGCAATGTGATTTTCAATTTCTATGAAAATGAAATCAGGAGCATCCCTCCTTTCCTCAAATTTCATGTGTGAAAAACTCCATTGCCCTGATCCTGCAATTAATACATACACAAAAACCTGCACCTCAACGTTCACAGCAGCATTCCTGACAACAGCCAAAAAGTGCAAACCACCCAGATGCCCATCAACTGATGATGGATCAACAGAATGAGGGCCATCCATACCTCGGCACATCACGCAGCCATGAAAAGGAACAAAGCACTGGGCAAAAGCTACAATGTGGGTGATGCCACAGGATTCCATTTAGAGTCAAGGTCCACAACAGGCACATCCACGAGGACGGAGATGAGCTGGGTGCCGGGGCTGGAGGCTGGGAGAATGGAAAGTGACTGTTGATGGGCACAGGGCTTCTTCTGGGGGTAATAAAAAATATTCTAGAATTAGTCCGAAGTGATGACTGTACAACCTTGAGAATATACTAAAAACAACTGAGACGTATGCTTTAAAACAGTCAATTTTATGGTATATAAATTAGATCTCAACTTGGAAAAAAAAAAAAGATCAACTCAACGTCTCTTTCTCTCTTCCCTCCATTCTGCCATCTGAATCCTAGCAATTTGTATTAGAGGTAAAAGCAATTTTTGTGGAAGACATTGTTTTCAATGTTTCAGATACGGTAATGAGTCTTCCTAACAGGAAAGCCTTTGTTCACTAGACAAAGCAACATCGAGTTGCTAGGAAAAATCAACAACTCAGACGCAGATGCAGAAAAACTGAGTTCTTCCTAGTAAGCAAGGAAAACACATGCTTTACAACTCCACGCACAAAGCTAAGTCTGTTTGGTTCTTTCTTTTCTCCACGCTGTAGTCACTGACAGTCATCTGGTCACTTACGGTGACAGGATGAAGGGCACACAGAGGCTCTCAGGGGAAGACGGCTCTGAAAGGCACACTGGGCAGGCCGAGGGCCAGGCGGGAGGGCACCTCAGAGCCCTGCAGGAGAGAGGCCCCCGCTAGGAGTCCAAGTAGGACAAACAGCTTCACATCCTTCCAGATCTCGGGGGAAATGGGCAATGCATCCTGTGCCATGGAACCCGTGGAAGCTGCGTCCTCTAGCCCAGCAACCTGCCTCTGAGAGCCCACGTCCAGACACTGATCCAAGAGACATGAAAACACAGCAGGCCAATGCTAGTTTCAATAACGAAAGGTTAGAGGGGGCCATCCCTGGAAAGCATCCAGACCTGATGAAATAAGCAAAACTGGCTAAAAATGACTCTGTCCATCTGCACTAACGTGGAAAGATTTCTACTGTGTAGGGGAAAGAAGTGAGTTATAAAATCATAAAATGTGCACCAAAAAACCCCAAAAGGTTTAGAGATCTCAGAATGGTGGGATCACAGTTATTTTCCCTTTAATCTTCATGTTTATACTGTATCACTATCTTTTTTTTTTTTTTTTTTTTTTTGAGACAGAGTCTCTGACGCCCAGGCTAGAGTACAGTGGTGCGATCTCAGCTCACTGCAACCTCTGCCACCCAGGTTCAAGCAATTCTCCCGCCTCAGCCTCCCAAGTAGCTGGGATTACAGGCACCTGTCACCGTGCCCAACTAATTTTTGTAGTTTTAGTAGAGATGGGGTTTCACCATTTTGGCCAGGCTGGTCTTGAACTCCTGACCTCATGATCCACCCGCCTCAGCCTCCCAAAGTGCTGGAATTACAGGTGTGAGCCACTGAGCCTGTCCTATACTGTATCACTTTTTTTTTTTTTTTGAGATGGAGTTTCCTCTATTGCCCAGGCTGGATGCAATGGCATGATCTCGGTTCACCGCAACCTCCACCTCCCAGGCTCAAGCGATTCTCCTGCCTCAGCCTCCCGAGTAGCTGGGATTACAGGCACCTGCCACCACACCCGGCTAATTTTGTATTTTCAGTAGAGACAGGGTTTCTCCATGTTGGCCAGGCTGGTCTCGAACTCCCGACTTCAGGTGATCCGCCCGCCTCAGCCTCCCAAAGTGCTGGGATTACAGGCGTGAGCCACCGCGCCTGGCCACTGTATCACTTCTTTAAAAAACAACAAAATTTCTAAAAGGCAAAACAAACAAACAATTGTACTGGCGCTCTGGCCGAGGAAAGCCGCCCTGGACGCACCTTCCGAGTTCAGGGTGATGAGCGTGACGTTGCTCCCGATGCTCTGACTGCCCGCCTGCCCACAGCTGGACACAGAGTCGCTGGCCTCCGAGCCGCTCTCCCCGTCCTCGTGGTGGCTGTCTTCTTGGCCCGGCACCTTCACCACAATGGTGTTCTGCCGACGCCCAGGCACAGCGCTAAACGGGAAAAAAAACACACCAGCCCGATGTGGTAAGAGCCGCAAGCAGCACGCGAAGGTCAGCGCTTTCCTTATCGCAAAATCTAACTCTGTGTGGACCAGTGGATCACACAGCCTTCCCATACTGCTCTCTCTACCAAGATTAATAGAAACTCCATGGGAGAAAATGGCCTGGGGCTGAAAGAAACTGTATAAAATAAAACTTAACCATTTAAAGAAAATGTTTGTATCACAAAAGGAGTAAAATCATACTCACTGGGACTCAGGCCTAGCATGCTGCCTTCTGAGTTCAGTAGTCATCCCATAAAATGCTGGTAAGAGTCTTTTTTCCGGCGAGGTTAAAGGGAAGACTAAATGAGGAAAACTGTGCCCAGAGGCCTGGGTCAATTCGATCCACGCTGCTGGGCTCGCTGGAGATGGCTCCCCCTCGCAATGCGAGCAGCACTCCCACGTACGCCCACGGGCAAAAAACCCTGACGGGGCTTAAAAAACCCACTGAGATCCCATCGGAGCTGCCATCATCCCAAGGGCTGCTGATGTGGAAGGACAGAACACTGCTAGCAAAGCAGGGCGAGGCCACCTCCACAAGTGCTCAAAAAAAAGGATGATTTAGAGACTTACTACTTCCCTTTTTTAGTGACCCTTTCAACATCCTCTACCGTGGACTGCTACGCACCAGCAGGAGAAAGGAGCACAATTTCTCTATATGCAAAGTCAAAAAAAAGGGTGTTGAAAACACTGGCCGCACCCAGAGGAGGGCGCTGCACTCTGCACTTTCTGGCCTGGATTCTCTAGAGCGCTGTCCACGCTGAACCTGATCTCAACACTGGCCATCTGCCTGGCTGACCTCAGTGCAAAGCCCCTGAGGCACAGCTGACCCTGGCACCTCCTCACCGCCCATCACCAACTCCTCTCCCTTCACCCCACGTATCAGACCCTTGCGACCACAGCTGCGGCCCTGGAGAACTGAGCTAAGACAATACAGAAAGGGGACGAAGCTGGAGGAGGAGGAATCCACAAAGGAGACTGAGAGAAAAAGCAAATAGAACTTTGTGAAGACACAGATGGGAAAGAAAAAGCAACAGCATCCTCAGGGGTTCACGCAGCCCCAGGGGCACTCCTGGGGACAGCAGGGCTTGGATGCCAGCCAGAGGCCACTGCACAGCCTTCCCCTCACACAGAGCGGGGACGGTGTCTTCTGTCCACTCCCACCTCTGACCAAAGTTCCATTCAAAATGTCTCAAGAGAAAAAGGTATAAGAAAAAAGTCATAAACTCAACATGCCTGCACCACTTAGCAACCGTGGGAGAGGGCGTCTGTTTGCCTGACACGCTCTGCACAGACAGACGTGAGGACCACTGAGCTAGGTGGGAGGATGAACGCTTTCACAGACTGCTGTGAGGAGACAGAGCCAGCCCCCTCCACAACCCCGGCCAGCACGAGACACAGAAGTCCCCGGCGGCAGCTGCCCCTGGTGTGGCTGGACTCAGCATTCAGCATCGCCCAGCCTGCCCTCCCCGACCTCAGAGAGCTGGGGCGGTGCCTGCCAGGCTCAACCCTGTGACCACAGAGATGAAGCGTGTGCTGGACTGTGCCCTGGCTTAGGGACGTTGACTTATTCTCATGGGACTCCGCACAGTGGCAGGGAAAGGTGGGGTTGGTGCCGTGCTACTGACTTGCTAATGACATTTTCCAGGGAATCCGGTGCCCTGTTGCTCAAGGGGTCTTCCATCTTGGCTACAATGGCGTTCTGCCGATCATTGTTGAGTATTACTGTAGTCTGGGGGACGACGCTAGGGAACAAAAGAATCACAAAGAAAAAGAAGGCCTTAAAACAACAACATTCATGGTAAGAGCACATAAGAGTCATTCAACACAGTCCACTCCCAGGGACCCGCACTGAGGGGGAGGCCTAAGAGTCATTCAACATAGTCCACTCCCAGGGACCCGTCCTGAGGGGGAAGGAGCCCCAAATGCTAAGGAAGAATAAACTGGAGATGGGGTTTTTAGCAGAACGTAACTTTTCCTAATTGTTGGTGATCTGTCTGCACAACTGGATAGCACAGGACAGCTGGGCTGAGGATGCTGAACTTGTGACAGAATAGACTGCAACCGCACCAGCTGTTATCGCACCCAGTTAATAAAGCTTCTAGGGTGGCACACTTGCATGAGAACTGGCTTGACATTTTCAGTCACTCCATCCCAACTCATTCCTATGGGACAGATCTAACGTTCGTAACCACGTAAGTGTTGGTATCATTCCAAAACGGTAGCGCCCTGGAAAGAAAGGGGCAAACATCACGTTGGACTTGGGATGGAAGGACACACATGCTGCCTCCAGGTCCTGCAGGAACATGTGTGAGCTACAACCAAAGGGCTCAGGGTTCTGCTTTGAAGGAAAAGATTCTACAAAAGAACAGACCATGGCCCAGAAACCAGCAAGCCTGGCGCCACCCTGGAGGAAGCACGAGTGTGTTCAGACAGGCGGCAGCTAACACAGCTTCATCTCAAAGTACAGACTCACCCACAGTTTTCAATCATGCGTTTTTAAGCCTTAGCACTTTCTGGTCACAAGGGATATCTAAGGTCCGCTTTGTTGTGGAAGGCTGGGGAGAGAAAGAACTAGCACTAGAAACACAACGTGATTATCACCTGACAATAAAACTCCATTCTTGGATTTCACTCTCCAAAAACCAACCTGGGAAGCCTGCCTTTCTGTGATCTGCACATAGGAAATTCTAGCCTAGTATCACTGTAACTGTCCCCACATTGAGTGCCAGCACAGCACCACGCCATGCTCAAGTAAATCACAGGACCACCAGGTTTTCTCCTAAAATAAAGGCATAATCAACTCCATTTCATTCAAAAATATTATTTTTTAAATTCCTCTACTTGTTATTGGTGACACCTAACGTTAACACAGCAAAACCTGACAAATGACCTATAGGTCAGGTATGGAAAGTAACCCAGGTGGCTTTTGGCTTGGTCACCACAGTCACCTACAGGCTGTGACAGTCCTATGCTCCTCAGAGATGTAGAACTGGAGAGGCTACCTGACTTGCACGAGCTTGGTATGTTCCCCAAGTGGAGGCTATGGAACACTGGTGGCCCCGGGATCCTAGGCTCACAGCATGTGGGAAGGCTGGTGTCCCCGGGATCCTAGGCTCACAGCATGTCCACACATGCATTTATTCTCTCCCCCCATGAGCAACTGAAGAAGGACGGTGCTGCTGAGAAGCCAACAGTCCCCTAATGACTATTCACAGTGGCCACTGGCACACTGACAGTCTGAGAAGAAATTTTAATAGAGTAAAATGTATTCAGGCCACCATTTGGCAAGGTCATTTGACCAAATATACCTTTTTTTTCCTTGAAGATCCTTATTAAGGTGAAGGAAATCATATTCTAAGACAACCAGCTCCCAACTGGAATAATGTGCCCCTCGGGTGCCCCACAGCTTCTGGGGGGCTCATGGATGCAAACAGCTCTCAGCAACGCAGTCTCCAGATCCCCACCTTCCAGAATGTCCTGTTGCCTAAAGATGACTCTCCTTGAGCGAGTATCTCAATGTGTGTGTTCCCTTCCACAAAGCCCTTTTCCCACCTAAAAAACAACCTCTGCTCTGAACACACTGGATGCACCATCCACCTAGGGCACAGACCCCAGGAGCCAGCGCAGGGCCACCTGAACACCAGCACGGGCGTGACAAAACCAGCACCTCACCGGCTGACTAGAAAGCCCTTGGTAAGTCAGCTGGGTTGCAATCTTTGCTTTCAACAAAATAGACAGAGATCATCAAAAACAGTTTCTGAGGACAGACCACTGAGACCCCTGGCACACAACTCAAAGAAGCCAAGGACTCCTTCCTCTCCCACATATTACCGATGGGACCCAAGTTTCCCAGCACCCAGAGTTATAAAAACCAAAAACAGCAGGACCAACATGGAATCCTGTCTCATCTAAGCAGTCAAACATAATCATCCATTGATTCAATAATTAACCAAAAAGCCCTATCCAGCTCTTCAAAAATACATTCCTAGTATTTTATTATCAAGAATTAGTTCTAAGTGGGTGACATATTCACGTTCTTCTGTTCAACCATTGTAGTTGAACAAATCTGGATTGAACCTTCAATCCAGAAGGTTTTTTTTTTTTTGTTTTTTTGTTTTTTTTTAGCACTTAGGGCCTTATGGTTAGGAACATAAATTTTTTCAGCTTCGATCTACATCCCTATTTCTGTTGCAAATGCATACGACAGCCAGGCTAACAGGATAAAATTTTGTGAGGGAAATGAAATGGAAACGAAAATTCAAAGAAAAGAAAAGTGACATAACATTCGACTGCCAAAAGCTCATTGGTGAGACGTTCAAAATCCATCATGATATTTAGATTATAATGGAAAAATTAAAAAAATAAATAAACCAGTTTTGTTTTTAAAGATCAATATTATAATATGCTGTAAAAGTAAATTATTTTAATGTTTAAAAAATGCCAGAAACTACACGCTTTCAACTAACGCGATTTAAATCAACCTCAAATTGCACAAAAGAATACTTTTTTTAAATTATGGAACATCTTTATCACATTAAGGAGGATGCAGTCCCTATCTAAGGACCGATGTGGAAAAAGTGCCACAACAATACTAAGTGACAAAAAACACAGCTAAGTCCAGCTGCGCATGTATGTGCATGGAGATGTGTCTGGAAGGACAGGTAAGTCCAGCCACGCACGTGCGTGCATGGAGACGTGTCTGGGTATCTGGAAGGACAGGTAAGTCTAGCCGCGCACGTGCGTGCATGTTGACGTGTCTGGGTGTCTGGAAGGACAGGTAAGTCCAGCCGCGCACGTGCGTGCATGGAGACGTGTCTGGGTGTCTGGAAGGACAGGTAAGTACAGCCGCACACGTGCGTGCATGGAGATGTGTCTGGAAGGACAGGTAAGTACAGCCGCGCACGTGCGTGCATGGAGACGTGTCTGGAAGGCCTGGTAAGTACAGCCGTGCAAGTGCGTGCATGGAGACGTGTCTGGAAGGACAGGTAAGTACAGCCGCGCACGTGCGTGCATGGAGACGTGTCTGGAAGGCCTGGTAAGTACAGCCGCGCACGTGCGGGCATGGAGACGTGTCTGGAAGGACAGGTAAGTACAGCCGCGCACATGCGTGCATGGAGACGTGTCTGGGTGTCTGGAAGGACAGGCAAGTACAGCCGCGCACGTGCGTGCATGGAGACACGTCTGGAAGGACAGGTAAGTCCAGCCGCGCATGTGCGTGCATGGAGACGTGTCTGGGTGTCTGGAAGGACAGGTAAGTACAGCCGTGCACGTGCGTGCATGGAGACGTGTCTGGAAGGACAGGTAAGTACAGCCGCGCACGTGCGTGCATGGAGACGTGTCTGGAAGGACAGGTGAGTCCAGCCGCGCACGTGCGGGCATGGAGACGTGTCTGGAAGGACAGGTGAGTCCAGCCGCGCACGTGCGTGCATGGAGACGTGTCTGGGTGTCTGGAAGGACAGGTAAGTACAGCCGCGCACGTGCGTGCATGGAGACACGTCTGGAAGGACAGGTAAGTACAGCCGCGCACGTGCGTGTATGGAGACGCGTCTGGAAGGACAGGTAAGTACAGCCGCGCACGTGCGTGCATGGAGACGTGTCTGGGTGTCTGGAAGGACAGGTAAGTACAGCCGCGCACGTGCGTGCATGGAGACGTGTCTGGGTGTCTGGAAGGACAGGTAAGTACAGCCGCGCACGTGCGTGCATGGAGACGTGTCTGGGTGTCTGGAAGGACAGGTAAGTACAGCCGCGCACGTGCGTGCATGGAGACGTGTCTGGAAGGACAGGTGAGTACAGCCGCGCACGTGCGTGCATGGAGACGTGTCTGGAAGGCCTGGTAAGTACAGCCGTGCAAGTGCGTGCATGGAGACGTGTCTGGAAGGACAGGTAAGTACAGCCGCGCACGTGCGTGCATGGAGACGTGTCTGGAAGGCCTGGTAAGTACAGCCGCGCACGTGCGGGCATGGAGACGTGTCTGGAAGGACAGGTAAGTACAGCCGCGCACATGCGTGCATGGAGACGTGTCTGGGTGTCTGGAAGGACAGGCAAGTACAGCCGCGCACGTGCGTGCATGGAGACACGTCTGGAAGGACAGGTAAGTCCAGCCGCGCACGTGCGTGCATGGAGACGTGTCTGGGTGTCTGGAAGGACAGGTAAGTACAGCCGTGCACGTGCGTGCATGGAGACGTGTCTGGAAGGACAGGTAAGTACAGCCGCGCACGTGCGTGCATGGAGACGTGTCTGGAAGGACAGGTGAGTCCAGCCGCGCACGTGCGGGCATGGAGACGTGTCTGGAAGGACAGGTGAGTCCAGCCGCGCACGTGCGTGCATGGAGACGTGTCTGGGTGTCTGGAAGGACAGGTAAGTACAGCCGCGCACGTGCGTGCATGGAGACACGTCTGGAAGGACAGGTAAGTACAGCCGCGCACGTGCGTGTATGGAGACGCGTCTGGAAGGACAGGTAAGTCCAGCCGCGCACGTGCGTGCATGGAGACGTGTCTGGGTGTCTGGAAGGACAGGTAAGTCCAGCCGCGCACGTGCGTGCATGGAGACGTGTCTGGGTGTCTGGAAGGACAGGTAAGTCCAGCCGCGCACGTGCGTGCATGGAGACGTGTCTGGGTGTCTGGAAGGACAGGTAAGTCCAGCCGCGCACGTGCGTGCATGGAGACGTGTCTGGAAGGACAGGTAAGTACAGCCGCGCATGTGCGTGCATGGAGACGTGTCTGGAAGGCCTGGTAAGTACAGCCGTGCAAGTGCATGCATGGAGACGTGTCTGGAAGGACAGGTAAGTACAGCCGCGCACGTGCGTGCATGGAGACGTGTCTGGAAGGCCTGGTAAGTACAGCCGCGCACGTGCGGGCATGGAGATGTGTCTGGAAGGACAGGTAAGTACAGCCATGCACGTGCATGCATGGAGACGTGTCTGGGTGTCTGGAAGGACAGGCAAGTACAGCCGCGCACGTGCGTGCATGGAGACGTGTCTGGAAGGACAGGTAAGTACAGCCGCACACGTGCGTGCATGGAGACGTGTCTGGAAGGCCTGGTAAGTACAGCCGTGCAAGTGCGTGCATAGAGACGTGTCTGGAAGGACAGGTAAGTACAGCCGCGCACGTGCATGGAGACGTGTCTGGAAGGCCTGGTAAGTACAGCCGCGCACGTGCGTGCATGGAGACGTGTCTGGAAGGACAGGTAAGTACAGCCGCGCACGTGCGGGCACGGAGACGTGTCTGGAAGGACAGGTAAGTACAGCCGCGCACGTGCGTGCATGGAGACGTGTCTGGGTGTCTGGAAAGACAGGCAAGTACAGCCGCGCACGTGCGTGCATGGAGACACGTCTGGAAGGACAGGTAAGTCCAGCCGCGCACGTGCATGCATGGAGATGTGTCTGGGTGTCTGGAAGGACAGGTAAGTACAGCCGCGCACGTGCGGGCATGGAGACGTGTCTGGAAGGACAGGTGAGTCCAGCCGCGCACGTGCGTGCATGGAGACGTGTCTGGAAGGACAGCAAGAAACTGAGAAGCAGGCCATGGAGCCTCAGGAGCCGGGTCGGCAGCACCTTCACGGCACAGACAGCAGCCCACGCAGATGGCACAGACAGCAGCCCACGCAGATGGCACAGACAGCAGCCCACGCAGAGAAGCTATTAACCTATTCAAGGCCACACAGCC
Source organism: Homo sapiens (assembly GCF_000001405.40). Taxonomy (NCBI): domain Eukaryota; kingdom Metazoa; phylum Chordata; class Mammalia; order Primates; family Hominidae; genus Homo; species Homo sapiens. The sequence continues at coordinate 87,998,372 of NC_000016.10, read as the reverse complement.
AGTGAATGGCAAAATTAGGTCTGAGGCCAAAGTCCCCCTGTGACAGACAGCTGACATTCCTAACCAAAACCACTCACTGCCCCCACAACCCTCAGCACTTTTTCATCTATTTTGCCACGTCCTTACTATGCTTTAGTTTTCCGTGTGGCCTTCCCCTGTACAGGGGTCCTTCTGTTCGTCCAATGATGTCTCCCAAAGTCCCTAGAAGAATGCACAGGACATGGGTGAAGACTGTTTGGGACACGGAGGAATTCAAGAGTGAGCTTCCCATTTTGGAGGGAAATGCCTCTCGACCCGCTGGTTCACATGCTGCTGCTCTGCGTGCCGAAAGCAAAGACTGAGAATCCCGACCCAGAGCAGAATCCACCGAGCAGGATGCCAAAAGACAGCCTAGAATGTTCTCATCCACTGTGCGGGGTCAGTTCTGAATTCCACCAGGAAGTGCTAAACTAAAGGTGACTTAAAGTCTGAGGGCTGACTGGTGGGAGCCAGCAGCCACCATGAGACCCAGCCAAGAGTGGGCACTCAGGGACTCACCAGGAAGTAACAGTCCTGATTCTGCTGAGCTCAAGGAGTACTGAGTGCTTCGTGTGCATGGTCTCACTCCCAGCCATCCTGGCTATTTCACCCACTTTACCACGAACACATGGTCTCACCCAGCTATCCTGGCTATTTCACCCACTTTACCACGAACACATGGTCTCACTCCCAGCCATCCTGGCTACTTCACCCACTTTACCATGAAGACATGGTCTCACTCCCAGCCATCCTGGCTATTTTACCCACTTTACCACGAACACATGGTCTCACTCCCAGCCATCCTGGCTATTTCACCCACTTTACCAGGAACACATGGTCTCACTCCCAGCCATCCTGGCTATTTTACCCACTTTACCATGAAGACACTGATGCTCAGAAAGATCAGGATCTGTCCCAGGTCTCACCATTTATTGGTGACAGAACCTGTGTTCAAAACTAAGTATTTCTCATGCTTTTAGTCACTTGCTGGACAAGAACAGCAATGATCCTATTTCAACCACTGCTACAACTCACCCTTTCAGTGTTTGAGTTTTTTAACTGTTTTACTTTGATGGATTTAAAACAAAACCTCTTCAGCCAGGTGCGGTGGCTCACACCTGTAATCCCAACACTTTGGGAGGCTGAAGCAGGCAGATGGCTTGAGCCCAGGAGTTCAAGACCAGCCTGGGCAACACAGTGAGACCCCATTTCTACAAAACATCTTCCACTTTGAAAGCTGTCATGGCAAACATTTTCTACGCTGAGCTTATAAAGTGGCCTTCCATTTCTCTTCTGCTTCAGGGAACCACCTCATCACAGAGCCCTAAGCACCTGCCCTGTGCTCTGGGCAACTGGCATGGCGGCCCCTGTTGCTCGTGGACCACACAAAATGGAGCACATGTGAACAGACATCAACAGGCTTTGTCCAAGTACATGCAAAACCAGCCACCAAGATACAACATAAAATTAAAAATCTTGAGAAATGAAGTATTTAAACTGTTTTCACAGATTTGTGTTTGCCATGTTTTATTACAAAAGGAAATGAAAACTAAGTTATTCTGAAGCAGAGCCTTGAAAACCTATGCAATGGTTCAGTGCAGACAACGACACAGGGAGGAGGGAAGGACGGGAGGGCAACGCTGAGGACCAGAGCCCAGCCGGCGCCCAGGACGAGGGCCCAGCAACACTCAGAACCAGAGCCCAGCTGGCGCCCAGGACGAGGGCCCAGCAACACTCAGAACCAGAGCCCAGCCGGCGCCCAGGACGAGGGCCCAGCAACACTCAGAACCAGAGCCCAGCCGGCGCCCAGGACCAGGGACCAGCAACACTCAGAACCAGAGCCCAGCCGGCGCCCAGGACGAGGGCCCAGCAACACTCAGAACCAGAGCCCAGCTGGCACCCGGACGAGGGCCCAGCAACACTCAGAACCAGAGCCCAGCTGGCACCCGGACGAGGGCCCAGCCGGCACTTCAGAGCAGCAGAACATCCAACTCATGCAGCCAGTGAGCAGAACCCGAGAACCCTCGCAGCAGAGGTTAGCATCGGAAGCCATCTCCAACTAAGTGGCACAGGCAGCTGAGACGCCAGGTGGGTCCCGGTCTCAGGCGGTGACTAGGCTCCATGAAAGCTGTCAAATGTGGAAATGACGGGGCGAGAGAGCCACCTGATCTACAGTGGTGACTCCAGACACCGCCGTCGGTGGCTGCTGGACACACACCTCTGCCTGGGCACAAATGATCACAGGACAGAGAACAGACATGACTCTGTTCTCCGCCTAACCCTCAACTGACATGGAGATGCTGAGAGGACAACCTGAGGAGAAAGCAAGCACCAGCCCTCCAAAGATGAGTTTAAACAACTTTCAAATGCCCCAGGGCCAAACCCGCTAAATGTGCGTCTAACACGTCTGCACTGAACGCTCAGCAAGTGAGAAGCGCACCCCGGGCACCGCAGGAACCCCAGCCTCCAGGGGCTCCCGCTCCAGCTCACGGCATGAACAAGGCCGGGCGCGCTGCTTCCCCTTGGCGCCCCGCCGAGCCCAAGATCTTGACCCAGAGCTTGTTACCTGTGGAGTCAATCACCGACCACTCCCATTCACGCCACAGTATCTGGCTGTTTTCTACAGCAGGGAGAGGAGGAACTCCATCAGGATATCTGATGTATATTTGAACAAGTACAAGTTTTTGTCTCCTTCCCACCCAGAGTGCAGCCTCACCACGTGACACTCTGCCGCCAGGTAGGCATCCCTTTTATAATTAAAGTAATTATCATCAAGTGCAGGTTAGAAAAGCTGATACTACTTTTCTAATTTTTATGAATTCTCTCAAGGAAAAGTATTTCAACAACAGCCAGGTAAAAAGAATTAAGTAATTTTTTCTTTCTACTTATTAGGAAAAAATGGACAGATTTCTTTTAAACTCCAGTACCTGTTCCCTAAGAACATTTTCTCCCATGGACATTTATGCTCCTACATAACACACAAGGACCGGGGCCAAATAAAAGAAGAAACTGGTTTGACGTAATGTACTTACAAAAAGAGGAGCTGCTCAGAGCTTCAGCAGGAGGAAAAGCAGGCCCCCCAAAAACCCCCAGGCCAGGGCAGCCCACAGCCTACTTCCCTGGCCGTCAGGGGCTGTCCCGGGAGCCCCCGCACATCCAGACTGCATTTCCCAAGCCCATTGTGCGCACACACGGCCCTGTGGCCAGACTCCATTGATGGACTCTAACAGGTGAGACGTGTGTCACTTCCAGGACACAGGTTTTAAAAACAGGATGCACCTTTTCACGCCTCTCCCCTTCCCAGACTGAGGACCCCCAAGGCCATAAGGTGAGCACATGATAGAAGGCTCAGGCATCAGAGGCACCCAGGGCAGTTGTGGGAGGACCAGAATCGCCCACACTGCACCCTGAACATAAGCAAGATGCAGCCTCCCACCATGCTAATCACAAGTCCAGGGGACCCTCTACTGCCATGGCTCATGTCACCTAATCAATACAATCAGCACTCAGACTAATCAAACATTTACTAAAAGTATATTTCTACTGTTTGCAGGTTTGAGGGGCTTTTTATTTTATTTTATTTTTATACACGGGGTCTCACTATGCTGCCCAGACTGGTCTCAAATTCCTGGTCTCAGATGATCCTCCCACCTCAGTCTCCCGAGTTGCTGGGATTCCAGGCCTAAGCCACTGTACCACGCTAAAGATTAAAAAGTCATAAAAACATCATCTAACAAAAAATACCCAGGGATAAAAATAAATCGGCATTAAAATGTTCTTCCTAATATCTAATGAAATAAGCAAAACAGAATATAAAACCAACCCTCCAAATAACCACTGCACCAGAGAAGCGGGACTAACCTAATGTAACAAACTTTAAAACCTCGTTGCTAAACAAAGAAAGAAGCTTCTAGCTTCTGGCAATTGGCTTTGAGAGGCTCCTGATCTAACTCCTCACGCTGCTCTCCCCAAGGAGCCATGCTTGTGCTCCAACAGAGATCTGTGACTTCCACCCAACAGTCCCAAATCAGAATGCGAGCAGCTCAAGGACGGGTATGTTTTCTTCTTCTTTCCTAGAAGCTACACAAATGACTACTAGTGAGAGAGGGAAGCAGCGTCAGGACTGACTCCACAGAAGTCAGCACTCTGCAACGGCACAGGATGCGGGGCTCCTAGGCAACATGTTTGGCTGAAAAGCCGCCCAGGGCCCTTCGCATGTTCAGAGGACACAGTGCACCGCAGCACACCGCCGCGCTCCGCATCCTGGTCTCCAACACCAGGGCCCTCCAAACACCGCATCCTGGTCTCTAACGCCAGGGCCCTCCAAACACCGCATCCTGGTCTCTAACGTCATCTTTCAATTCACGGAGAAACGGCTCATTCTAGGCTGGGACAAGCACTCACAATGAGCCCGGAGAAGCATTTGGTAGTGCTGTGCAAGTAAAAAGTGCTCAGGCCGGGCATGGTGGTTCACATCTGTAATCCCAGCACTTTGGGAGGCCAAGGCAGGCGGATCACCTGAGGTCAGGAGTTCGAGACCAGCCTGGTCAACATGGTGAAACCCCGTCTGTAATATAAATACAAAAAATTAGCAGCCGGGTGTGGTGGCACGGCCTGTAATTCCAGCTACTTGGGAGGTTGAGGTAGAAGAATTGCTTGAACCCAGGAGGCGGAGGTTACAGTAAGAGATCGCCCCACTGCACTCCAGCCTGGGCAACAAGAACAAAACTCTGTCTCAAAAGAAAAAAAGGGAAAAAAAAAAACCACTAATGATGAAACACCTACAATGAAGAGGGAATGGAGGGAATGTCAAGGGGCACGGGAGCCAACTGACGAGCTGCCAATGGCCAAAGCCGGAAGGATGTGAGCACCAGAATGAAGCAGAACTAGATTCTAACCCAGAGTGTAAAATACATCTCCATGAGCACACACTGATGGAAACGGATGAGTGAATAGGTGAATAAATGGGAAAGAAGAGACAAGGCTCCCGGGTAGACTGACAACAGTATCTGTGACACTCCACCCTCGAGGAGGCGGCACACAACTCCCCACTCCTTAACTGGGTGATGGGCATAGCAGCTTCCTTCCCAAGTGCAGGATGAAAGCTGAAAGAGTCACTTGACTGTGGAAAATGCTGAAGAGCCACCTCAGCCAGGTGACCCGCATCAGCATTAAGCACTGAGTCCTGCTGACAGTGCTGGCCTGGACAGAATGCGATGAGAAGGACTTCACCTACGTGTCCTCCCTCCCCAAAACCCGTGACCCCCATCTAGTCAGGAGACAAATTCCAACAGAGGCACATCCTACAAAATAACCGACCCAATGCTCCTCAAAAAGTCGCCAAAAACAAGGAAGTGTGAGAAACGGTCATGGATCAGAGGAGCCCAGGGAGGCCTGGCAGCAGAGCATCCTGTGGACCCACAGACACAGAAACATACAGTGGGTACCATGAGGAACAGTGTGCGGACACACTCTAGAATTTAGGGGAAAAGAAAATAATCTTGAGAGACACAAACAACACTAACTCAAGAAATTCTACATTTATTGAAGTGTTTTTTTTTTTTGAGGAGTCTCACTCTGTCTCCCAGGCTGGAGTGCAGTGGTACAATCTCGGCTCACTGCAACCTCCGCCTCCTAGGTTCAAGTGATTCTCCTGCCCCAACCTCCTGAGTAGCTGAGACTACAGGCGCCCGCTACCACACCTGGCTAATTTTTGTATTTTTAGTAGAGACGGGGTTTCGCCTCGTTAGCCAGGCTGGTCTCGAACTCCTGACTTCAGGTGATCCACCCTCCTCAGCCTCCCAAAGTGCTGGGATTATAGGCATGAGCCACCGTGACTGGCAGTTCTATATTTATTAAAATAATTGAATTTATTATTAAAAACCTAGGCTTCACTGGCAAATTCTATCAAATTTTTTAAAAGAAATAAAACTAATCTCACAGAAACATTTTCAGAAAATAGACAATAAGGGGCAGCCTCCCAGCTCCGTTGCTGAGGTCAGCATTATCCTGATAACAAAAAGACATGGCAAAAAAAAGAAAACTGCAGACTAACATGTTGCACAAACACAGACGCAAAAACTCTTCATTAAATATTAGAAAACTGATCAGTATAGCAAAAGCACAATACATGTAGATGAAGTCAGGTTTATGATAAGAGAAATGCAAGGTTCGGTTAGCATTCGAAATCGACGTAATTCACTTTAACAAAAGAATCAAGAAGGATCACCATACCATCATCTCGGAAGATACAGAAAAGGCATGTGAAAATCCAATGTCCATTCATTCATGAGAAAAAACTCCCATGAAACAAAGAATAGAAGGAAACTTCTTCAATCTGATTAAGAGCATCTGGGAAAAATGTACTGGTAACATCAGACTTAATGGTGAAATGCTGGATGCTTTCACTCAAAGATCAGGAATAAGGCAAAAATATTTTTATAAAGAAAATACACTGAAATAAAGATCATGGCCAGCACATTAAAGTAAGAGAAGGTATAGAAATTCTATAGGAAGAAGCAAAATTCTATTTAAAGGTAACATAATTATGCATATTTTAAAAAAATCCTACAGAAAATCTAAAACAAGTTCATTTAGAAATGACACAGGATAAAGGTCAGTAAAGAAAAATCTATTGTACTGCTACATCCTTCCAATGAACAACTGGATACTGAAATTTAAAATACAATACCATTTATGATAGCATCTGTAAGTATGAAGTACTCAGAGATAAATGTAACAAAATATGCACAGAAGCTGAACACTGAAAACTGTATAACATTGCTAAGAGAAATTAAAGACCTCCATAAATGGAGAGACATACCATGTTCATGAATCAGAATACTCAATACTGTTAAGTTGGCACTTCCCCCAAATTGATCTACAGATTCAATACGATGCCAATCAATGAGTTCTGAGTTATTCTAAAACTAGAGAAGTGCTCCAAATTATTAGAATGTGCATAATCATTACAACATTTAAATTTATGTTTCTCATTAGTTTGGTTATTAGATTGTATCTCTAAAGCATATGATTATGTTAATAATTCCCGAAGTTGTATGTATGTAAACTGTATCATACAATTATGTGAATAATTCCCGAAGTTGTAGGTATGTAAACTGTACCATACAATTATGTGAATAATTCCTGAAGTTGTAGGTATGTAAACTGTATCATACGATTATGTGAATAATTCCCGAAGTTGCAGGTATGTAAACTGTATGTTTTCTTTGGCTAGTACTCAGCCCTAGCATGTAGAGGGTGTCACTATTAGGTCACTTAAAGTATGCAGCTGGCTGGGCGCAGTGGTGCACGCCTGTAATCCCAATACTTTGGGAGGCCGAGGCAGGCAGATCATGAGGTCAGGAGATCGAGACCATCCTGGCTAACACGGTGAAACCCCGTCTCTACTAAAAATACAAAAAATTAGCCAGGCATGGTGACGGGCGCCTGTAGTCCCAGCTAGTGGGGAGGCTGAAGCAGGAGAATGGCGTGAACCTGGGAGGCGGAGGTTGCAGTGAGCCGAGATTGCGCCACTGCACTCCAGCCTGGGCGACAGAGGGAGACTCCATCTCAAAAAACAAAACAAAACAAAACAAAAGTATGCAGCTGTGCAAGGTAGTATAGACCAGTCAGGAAGAGAAATCACATGTACACGAAATTAAACGAAAGCAACCAAAATTCAATATTAAATAAGAAAAGAATTAAACAAAACCATCTTAGGTGAGACCAAACCATTTCTTCACAATTCACGCAGCTCTCCCTTGAGTTTGTCAGATTCTAAAGCCTATGAAATGCTATAATTTTGACTGAGAATATCAATGACCCAAAACTGAAAAAACTGGTTTACCCTGGCCAAGACCTCTTGTGCTCCCGTGCCAGAACAGAGATGCTCAGAACGAGGCCTAGCTCTACATAACACCACAACAAATATTCAATTATCCACGGGTCAACAGTCAGTTCTGAGGAAAAGAAAAATTTCTCCTTCATTGAGTCTTACATGACACATCTCTGGAAGACATACTGTAAAAGAAATCACACTTTAAAAAATTTCCAGAACTAGTCTTATACAGAAGCCTATGGTTTATAATTGTTGTAAAATTGTAGAAACATGCTAGTTCTTTAATTGTTTAATGTTCTTAAAGATAAACATCTATGACTTTAAAAAGCAGATTTTAAAATCTATTTTTAAATTAAAATAAACTAAAATAAAATTAGCTTTTTATTTTTAAAAATAATTTTTCGAGTCAGTATGTTCAGTTAATGAAAACAAAGCAGAAAATCCGGGGCTGTGAGCTGCTGTCTGAGCTGCCCAGTAGCCAACTCCACAGGTGTGCTGGGCACACAGAGCCCTGTCACCTGCCCTGTGTCCTGGATGCGCGCAGCCACGCGGGCCTGCATCCCCTGTCGCCCGCCCTGTGTCCTGTGTCCTGGATGTGCGCAGCCACGCGGGCCTGCATCCCCCGTCACCCACCCTGTGTCCTGTGTCCTGGATGCACGCAGCCACGCGGGCCTGCATCCCCCATCACCCGCCCTGTGTCCTGTGTCCTGGATGCGCGCAGCCACGCGGGCCTGCATCCCCCGTCACCCGCCCTGTGTCCTGTGTCCTGGATGCGCGCAGCCACGCGGGCCTGCATCCCCCGTCGCCCACCCTGTGTCCTGTGTCCTGGATATGCGCAGCCACGCGGGCCTGCATCCCCCATCACCCGCCCTGTGTCCTGTGTCCTGGATGCGCGCAGCCACGCGGGCCTGCATCCCCCGTCACCCGCCCTGTGTCCTGTGTCCTGGATGCGCACAGCCACGCGGGCCTGCATCCCCTGACGGGCAACACTCCATGCTCTGCTGCATCCTGTTTACACCACTATCTCTGTCCAGCTTCGAAGTACAGACAAAGGATGTTAACATTTACCTATATAAACGTGAGCATGTGCGTGCCCTGGATCCCTGCAGACCATGTGACATAACGAATGCACCAACCGAACTGTCCACACTAGCATTCAAAGGACAGGCCCAAACATCTTTAAAGTTAAAACCTCGGGTCACTACACCAAAATTACAATGAAGCAAAATCCAAACTGATGGCGCACCTGCAGGAAGAAAATAAGCCCCTACCTACAAAACTTAAAAGACCATTTTTCTTGTCCCCAAGTCGATGACGACTGTTGGATGAGGCCCATCCAGGTGACTCGCATTTTTATTACAATGATTCAACTTTAGCTTCAAATAAGAGGGGCTTTCTTTTTCTTTTCTTTGTTCTCGAAGTTATTTAAAGAATCTCATTCAGGTGTAGAACCCAAAAACCTGGATCCAAAATGCCAAGCGAGGCAAGCAGTACTCCACTGCCTTCTTGTGTTCCAGAGAGTGAAAGGAAAGAATAATCAGCTCTCAGCACTGATAGTACAGACCAGTCAGTTTTAATGAGAAAGAACCAACAGGTGGGGTGATTTCAACACACAGAGAGGGGGCCTTAGTGACGCCCCTGCTGCTGCAAGGCTGTGCCCGCCCTTGAGGGTTGGGCTGGCTCTGAGCAGATGCAGCCGCTCTAAACAGAAGGGCATGTGATACCGCAGGGGGCAGCTTCTCGCACTCTCTCCGGGGGCCTCGTCACAACTCAGAGCCCCTTAAGGTGTCTGCATCTGTGCTGCAAGATTACACTCGGACTCCCCAGCTAATCCCTCACAGCAAGGAGTGAGCCCTGGGAACCCCGGGCTATTTTAACAGCATATGATTTGGAGGTAATACTCTCTGTGACTTACATACTTCTAATCTTCATTCAAAATATTTGAGTCCCGGCCGGGGGCGGTGGCTCACACCCGTAATCCCAGCACTTTGGGAGGCCGAGGCGGGTGGATCATGAGGTCAGGAGTTTGAGATCAGACTGACAAACATGGTGAAACCCCATCTCTAATTTAAAAAAAAAAAAAATTAGCCAGGCGTGGTGGCCTGCACCTGTAATCCCAGCTACTCAGGAGGCTGAGGCAGGAGAATCACTAGAACCTGGGAGGCAGAGGTTGCAGTGAGCCAAGATCATGCCATTGCACTCTAGCCTGGGCAACAGAGCGAGACTCCATCTCAAAATATCTGAGTCCCAAAATAAATAATCCATAGAAGCACCTTATTATTCAGAATGCTAATCAATTTTTAACTTTGGAGACTTTTCCTTTTCAATGTTCCACTGCCCAATTTTAGACAGACAATTCTTATTCATTCATATGTGTTCACAAATTAGTAACTTTCTAATTTAAACATACTTTTTTTCATTGACATACTGGGATTATGTTCTTATCTGTTATTTCTCCCCTACAATTTTCTGTCAACAGCTTTCAACTGTTGGCAATTTTTATTTCTAATTTTCAGGACTTGTATGGAAAGATGCCCAGCCTGTACAACATGGCAAAACCTCATCTCTATCAAAAACAAAAATTAGCCAAGCATAGTAGCGTGCACCTACAGTTCCAGCCACTCGGGAGGCTGAGGTGGGAGAATCGCTTGAATCCAGGAGGCAGAGGTTGCAGTGAGCCAAGATTCCACCACTGTACTCCAGCCTGCATCACAGAGTGAGACTGCCTTTTAAAAAGAACTTACATGGAAAGAAATGTCAGACATAATAACATCCTTTTTTTTTTTTTTTTTTTTTTTTTTTGAGTTAGGGTCTCGCTCAGCCTGGAGTGCAGTGGCAGAGTCACAGCTCACCATAGTCTCACCCTCCCAGGCTCAAGCAATCCTCCCACCTCAGCCTCCTAAGAGATTACAGGCGGGTGCCACTGTGCCCAGCTAATTTTTTTTATTTTTTTGTGCAGATGGGGGTCTCACTACGTTGCCCACGCTGGTCTGGAACTCTTGGGTTCAAGTGATCCTTCCATCTTGGCCTTCCAAAGTGCTGGAATTATAGGTGTGAGCCATCGCACCCAGCCTCCTTCTTTAAAAGTCATTCAAATATACCACATTTAAAACTTTACTATGAAAGGAAATCACTCCACTAGGCGTGGTGGCTCACGCCTGTAATCCCAGCACTTTGGGAGGCCGAGGCAGGCAGATCACCTAAGGTCAAGAGTTCAAGACCAGCCTGGCTAATGTGGCGAAACCCTGTCTCTTCTAAAATTACAAAAATTAGCTAGGCGGCGTGGTGCATGCCTGTAATCCCAGCTACTTGGGAGGATGAGGCAGGAGAATTGCTTGAGCCTGGGAGGCAGAGGTTGCAGTGAGCCAAGATCGCGCCACTGCACTCCAGCCTGGGTGGCCGAGCGGAGTCTCAAAAAAAAGGAAACCATTCTTACATTTTCTTGTAATTCTGAATAGGATATATTTTAAATAGGATTTTAAATAGAATATACTTTTATCCTATTTAAAACTATGAGAAAATAGCAGAACGATTCTTCTATTAATCTTAATTTTTACAAATAATGGTTTTATTAGCAATATTAATAATCCCCATGCTGATATACAATAAATATATTCTACAATAGGTTGATTTTGCCTTGCCAATACAGTTCTTTCAAACCGGAAGATCTCACACATCTGGGTTAACTGGATTGTGCATCTGAGTCAGTATTAGGCAACTTTACTCTTATTTCACTGCTTGTTGACAAGTAGACAGACAACCACCGCAGGTCTGTGAATGATATCATTTGCCCCCAGCAGAGGGAAGCATGGGGGATTTCTGCCACGGCAGGTCTGTGACTAACATCACATGTTTTCATGAGCACAGACACTGTTACCCTCAGAAAGCAGGAGGACCCTGGGCCAAAGCAGCCCCAGAGGAGCTCCAGGTCCTCTTCCTCTTATCTTAAACTAGAAACTCAGATGGGAATGAATGCGTGACTTGGCCGAGGTCACCTCAGTGTCTGTCAGGGCAACTGTGACAGTCAGAGGCCCAAGCTCCGCCCTGTGCAGATGGAATCCAAGCAAGGCACCCTCAAGGCCAACCCACTACAGAAACTACACTCCAGCCTTTGGAGTTCTTCACAGAGGAACCTCTCCCCCCATCACACATTGTCAGCGGTGGAATCTAACGACCAATTTTGTCAACGCTTTTCCCAAGTGGTGACAATGACCTGCCCAGCACTGGCACAACGTGACAAGTGACAAGTGACACGTGATGGGCAGCTGTCCGCCAGCACGCAAGGCTCCGGGGACAGGAGAGGTTCGTTCATCCTTGTGTTTAATTCCTTAAAACAGTGGTTCTCAATGCAGGTGCCCAGGGGTGCTTTGAGATCCCGTGGGACATCTTTGGTGGTCAAGATTCAGAGAGTACTGGAATTTGGCAGGCAGAGGTAAGGGAGGTTGAGACGTCCTTCAGTGAGTGAGACAGTCTCACCCAACAAAAACTCTCCACACACATAACTTACAATGAACCAGAGCTTCATGAGTGGAAAACATGCTTCTAACTCTCTGAACTCAGAATCTTACTCTATTCAACATTTACACACAAAACATTTTTGCACAGTCTTACTATGACTTGAATTTTCCATGAATTCAACTATTACAAGTCTAGAAAAAATTATACTTTGCTTTATGTGAAAGTTCATTAGGAACTGCTCACCATTCTGTAATATTCTATCACCAGCTGGGGGCTGAACTCCCAGTGTCACACCTGGGTCCGTCTGCAGGGACTGCCCCCCGGTCACCAGGACGCAACATACCAGGTGGGACGTCCGGCTTTTTCACAGCCAACCATCATCATGTTGAAATGTGTTGTCTTATTACACAATACTATCACATTCATTCTCTATAGCTAGGACAGTCTAATAACTATAAGTTATAAATTACATTTTCTTTTTTTTTGAAACATAAATTATATTTTCTAAGAACTGCATTTTAGGGTAAGAGGACATTACCCCAAAAAACTATCCTAAAAAAAAAGGCATTGGGTCTAACAGCTTTGCACACCTGACCTGGGAGCCCAACAGCGTCCCTGCACAGAGGACACGGTAAACAAACTCCTGCTGGGGGGAGACACGTGAGTGACAGCATTTGTGCAGGGTGAAGGCCCCATCTCAGAGTAACACGTGAACGATCCCCAGCTCCCGCCTGCGAACTGAGATGCCAACTCCACCACCAGCAGCGGAGCTCGGAAGACGGCCGGGTAGCGTTTCCAAAAGCCCCGGCATGCCCGAGAGTTCAAAGAGGCACCACTGCTTCGGCCAGCACAGCAGCCGTCATGTGGAGCTGCCCCCAGACTTCCCACACCCCCTGGCGAGGCCCACAAAGCACCTAACCCAGCGCCAGCCACCAGCACACACGGGCAGCGAGGTCACAACAGTCCCTCCAGGCTTGTTGCGGCTCCCATTCCTCGGCGTCCACATGTCCTCCCCGGCGCCCCCGCTGCCGTCCCACCATTCTCTCTCCTCCCAGACACACCGGGCAGAAGGCTACAGCCAGGCCAGGGAACCTGAAGTGAGTAGCGCTCAGTCAAAAGGCCCCTCGTCAAGCACAAAGCCGTGCCGTGTCCACTGCCTCAAGCAGGACTTCTTTCTGGCCAGGCGTGGGGAAGGCTAGCGACACCAGAGCCTGCGCTTCAGCACGAGCTGTCGGCTGGAATATCTGACAGGAAGCCTCGGATGAGTGGACACCAAGCAGGTCCGAGACTTTCTAAGACATCATAAAGGTTCTACTCAAACAGTTTGCAAACTACCACACAGCTTTCTAAGATTAGACTCATTAGACTCTACTTTTTAAAAATAAGCAAAATAAAAACTGCAGACTTGAATGAAAAGTTTGATATATTCATGTGAAATGTATAAACACCACATACGAAGAAAAACATATGTAAAGACTAGCCAGGTAGAGTAGGAAAAAGGAAAGAAGCACATGTACATTTTCTAAGATCTGGTGGGTTAGTTCCAAAGAAAAGGTGCATGGGTCGGCTTTATGTGGAAAGGAAACGTGAGGATGACTTCAGGTCATCCTGGCAGGATGCCATGTGTTCGGTTTCGGTCTAACTAAAAGTCAGCTTTAGTTAGAAACTGCTGAGACTGCTGAGGCAGACACCGCGCATCTCCAGCAAACTGAGCCACTAAGCTGCGGGCCTGGGCGAGGAGGTGACGCGCTTCTCCCCAAGTGACCTGAAGGCCCCGGCACCCTGGTCTGTTCTTACCATCGCACTTTGTTGCACGTCTGGGTTGCCCCGAGAGGGGAGCCGGCCACCATGGGGACCTGGATGGGGCTGTGCTGCTTGTTCGTGACCAGATCCAGCTTTTCTTCTAAGGATTTACAAGTAGCCTCCAGGGCTTGCAATTTGGCTTCAATGCTATCCAACCGCAAGCAGATTGTCTGGTTGATGGAATACAGGAATGACTGGAAGTGAAAAAAGACCGGCTTTAGGAAGGGTCTCCTGAACTGTAAGAAGACAACCCCAAGAAACACCAAACAGCTATTTCCTGATCTCAACTCTATCTATTCAGACAGAACAATCCCCACACTGGAAATAGCCCGTGAGCTATGAGCCAGAAACATGTGAGTAACACGTCCACATTTTACACACGAGTCACACGTCCTGTTTCAAATGTGATGATTTAGTCATGGTTTCACTTCTACGTGCAGTTGCAATTCTTGGTTAAGCCCATTTAATTTTAAAAATGTACTTTAATATGTTATTATTAATCAGTAAATTTACACATAAAACTAGTCAAATCTTCTCAACAATAAAAACAGATTACACCTAACATCGACACAGCATAAAAGCCACAGGCCACGCACATTCGCCTCACAGCCCGCTGCCTAATGGGAAAAGGTGACGGGACCCCCTGTGGCCCTGACTTGGGATTTGGTCCTGAGGCTCCCGTGGGGCTCTTGAGCGGCAAGCTTGCCACCTAGTGGTTGGCAAAGCCGGGCTCCACGTCTGACCTTTCCGGCTGAGTCTCCTCCGGATTCCTAACTCCAAGTAACCAGTGAGCAGTCACGTGCCGGACCCCAAACCCAAGAAACAGAGAAACACACAAACCAGAAAGGGAAGAATTTCATTTCCCCAGCTGCCGTCCCAGCCAGGAGCCACCATGAGCACACGTGGAAACGTGTTAATCACACAGGAATTGCACTGTGCAAAAGAGACACCCTCCACCAGGTCTCACCAGCAGACAGAAGGACACTCCTTCAGGTCTAGGGAGGGACAGGTTGGGGGAGCGCCCACCAGCCCTGCTTAGTACTCAGGAAGGCTGGCACCTGCCTTAAGAATCAACAGCTGAAAACAGCACAGAATTCGTGTTTCGTCTTTTCTCTCTCCTTTCCTGCCCATGACCTAAAGAGCGTGGGGTCCAAAGTGTGCACATCAGAAGGAAGGGGGAGGTAGGCTCGAGACAGCAGGGGTGGCACTGAGGCAGCCACTGAGAGCGGGCCGTGGAGCTCGCAGCACAGGGGAGCGGGAGGCCGGCCCACATTGACAGGGGAGCGGGAGGCCGGCCCACATTGGAGCCGGAACGGCTTTCCCAATAACTGCAGCTGACCTACAACACTGCTTATGCCCACTCTCCTTTCTGATCTCAAGGGAATCTGCAGAATATCAAAACTGCAGTGATATCATACATCATGTAGCTGGCATGGAAACCTGGCGTACACAGTGGCAGGGACAGCCCTGCAGGAGGGAAAATCCACATATTGCCCAACAACTCGCCTTTTCTCAGGTCACCACCTCTCCTGGCAAGATTCACCACTGGGCGCTGATATAGACAGGAGCTAAAGAAACCAACTGAAACTCACCCTCCCTGACTGACTACTCTCTGTTGAAGGCGCGTGTGAGAGAGGGAAGGAGCCACGGCGTCAGGTGGACTCAAGCCCACGTGATGACACTCAATCAGCTTACCTACAAAGGAGGCACGGTCCCTGGCATGACAAACATGCATCGTCGTGAAAAGCAACAATAGGTGGCTGAATCCCTGAATGGCCACTGATAACGCCGCTATTTTCAACAACCGGAGAACATCAAATGTTTGGCTCTCAAATTCTTTACACAGTACACCCATGTTATTTTAATTCTGAATTACAAATGATTCTGCCTGGGGTTTTGGGAAAAATCACTCTTATATACCAATAAAACAACCTAGAGCCACGCACACGACTCTACGCAAGTCACATTCAACCGGGGGCCCACCCTCTTCTCAACAGTGGGACAAGGAGGAAGGCAGGGCCACTCCCGTGCCCACTTTATACATTTCTGTTCTATGTGCAACAGATGTGTGTTCTGTGATAAAATCAGAGCTGCGTTTTATTTAGGGAATGATAACGCAGTGTTTACTAACAGAGCCACATCCTATCCATTGGTTGGAAACAGGCATTTTACAGTCAATTTATTTGTAAGTTTTTCGTACACATTTACACTGCTTCTCCTTGTTAACAAAACAAATTAAATATTACCAAATAGACACCCTGTGTAAGTAGAAGAATTATATGAAAAGTGACTTTGGTTTTGTGTTGCTCTCATAACCTTCTCACATGTGCCGATATTTACCTCGGTGACTCTGCAAACACTGGAACCAACCAAGCAAATTCAAAGATCCAAAAATAATTCACTGAATGAGCAGTTCCCAAGAACCCCATCTAGTAAACTTTAGAATCTAAGTGACTTAAATGGCAGACACAGAAGTCATTCATCACTGGTAGAAACTTCACTTTCCTTCCATCCAAAATGGGCCTGCAGGTGTGTGGGAAGATGCCTCCTTCAGCAGCATCTCAAGGTAAACAATTCTTACTCTTTGTGCTCTTCAAGAGAAAAAATGGCTCACACTCTTCTGTAGCGGGCTGCCTGGTGATATAGCCACATCCTAAAGTGATATACCCACATCCTAACCGCCAGAACCTACCCATGTGGTCTCTTTGGAAACTGTGCAGATGTAATTTAGAAACTCTTTGGGTCTGTGTAGATGTAATTTAGTCAATGAGATCAACCTGGATTAGGGTGGGCCTTAAATCCAATGACAAGTCCTTACTAGAGGAGAGAAGGGGAAACAGTCACAGACACACAGAGGCGGCCGCAACATGAAGAGGAAGGCAGAGCTGGAAGGAGCCCCACAAGCTGAGGCAGGGCCGGAGCCACTAGAAGCTGGAAGAGGCAGGAAGGATCCACCTTCTAGAACCTTTGGAGGGAGCGAGACCCTGCCTGCATCTTGATTTTGGATCTCTGGCCTCCACAGCTGAGAGGCTACATTTTGAAGCCATCCCATTGATGGTGATTTGTTATAGCAGCCCTTGAAATCTGCAACGCACTACACACCACAGAACAGAGTCAGATTTTTACCTTTATAGATGGATCCTGGCAATTGATTTCTAGTCGCTGGCGTTTCAAAGCAGGTTCGTCTTCATCTGTCACTACATGATTCTCCAAAACAACTGAAATCAGTGACAGAGAAAAAAAATGTTTAACATGAAAAGTTTTACAGAATTATTTTAACATTAAGATAGTAAACAGTGCTGACACCTTAAGGTTGAAGGAGAAACAGCAGAACCTATCTCATATTTCACCTTTTTAAACTTATTCTCAGTCAGGCAGAAAAACAGGATAACTCCTTAATCCCAAGAAAAGCCCAGACACTGGGCAATTAATGTGCCACTGAGTCAGTCCTAACTCCAAACCTGCAAGCTTCTGACTTCTGACTCCATGCTCTGCGGGGCTGCCCTGTTTGGTTTGAGAAAACCCACGATAAAACCCAATCAATAATAATGATTTCTTCCCAACTTTAAAATAAAGTTTTATCTGTTGGTCACCTCATTCCAAAATCAAAGCCACCCTATCTGCAGGTCCAGAACTAAAAGGGGAAAAAATACACTGAATATCACATTGCCATAGGTGCTGATAATCAAAACAGTGTCAATCTTAACACACTAAGTGACAGAACCCCGACCCTCCCAGGCACAGCTGAGACCAGCTGCCCCCATCACACAGCAAGCGTCAGGTGATCGTCACGGCTTCCCGCAGGATAAGCAACTCGGCCCCAGCTCAGGGCAGCCACAGTGTGGTCCCAACCTCCTTCCTTTTCTCTAAAACTGATTACAAAAACAACGTCAAAGATAACCTCAAAATCAAAGACCAAAATCGGCCACAATTGCCTCATCTCTGCAAATCACATTTCTATCTGTCTGTGACCCTTCTAGTCCTTTTCCTTAGACCTAGTCAATTTTTTAAAATTTACACATTTGCAGTTATAGATAGAAGTTCAAGGTCAACAGTTCTTGTTAAAGATTGTACATTGTGTCATGAGTGTTTTTTCTTCTCATTTCCTTGCCTGAAATGACAGTGTGAACTGTCTAGTGCACTCCTACCGTGCTCTACTCTACATGCTCACACATTGAGATAAACAAACGGCATACATGTGGGAGGTGCGAGACCATCTGCCTCATCAACAGGTTTGTCTGCAGCCTTCCTCTTCACTGAGCAACAAATATGGACTCTGGGTTAATATTAATCGTTTTGTTTGGTTTTTGTTTTTGTTTTTTAAGAGATGAGGTCTTGCTATGTCACCCAGGCTGGACTCAAATTCCTGTACTCAAGGGACCCCCCACCTCAGCCCAAGTAGCTGGGACTATCCAGGTTAATAGGTTTAAGTTTTTAACAGTAATACCAGTGTGTGACTATTTACAAAAATGAATGCCAGTATATAAGAATAGATATTATATACGTGCATACATATGAGCATGCGTATTGTAACACTTCTGATAGAAAAAAATCAGAAATCTGAATGCTGGCCGCTGGGAATGCCCTTCAGCACATGCACACCTTGGCACACCATCTGCTTTCAAGGGCACCAACACCACAGCCAAGCAGGATGACCTCACTGTGGCCAGATGACACCTGCCCCGCTCTGCTGGTGCTGTGCCCCAGCCCTTCCCATACTGCCAACCCTCCAGCCACCTCCACCAGGGAAATCTAACAACCTTCTGTCCAGCCCCACTCAAATGCCGCCTAGTTCGGGAAGCCGTTCCTGGAAGGGCCTCAACTCACACCGGTTTATACTGTGACACCAACAAGGTCACAGCACCCACCCCACAGCAGACCACCCTCCCAGCACCTTACACACAAGGCTGCCCACCGATGTGGGTGAAGCACTCCTGGCTGGCATTCAGATTCTCCAGGTGCTAGAGGAAAGCCAAGTGCACAGGCCTCTCTGGTCCCTGCCTCCACCTCCACCAAAGCAACTCCCCTCAGACGTGTTACATACATTGACATTCCGAAGATCTTAACAGGAAAACAAAAAAGACTGTCCATGCCTTTAAGCCTGTACACACTAGATGATTCCTCTCAAAACTCTGAAACTTAAAGATGCTGAATCGTCCTGCAGTTCTAACAGGAACCTCTCACAGGTCCTAGGCAAAAGCAGTCAAATCCGATCTACCTGGTGGGAAATCATCCAAAGCCAAGGACCACTGTCGACCGATTTTGGTCTTTGATTTTGAGGTTATCTTTGACATTGTTTTTGTAGTCAATTTTAGACAAAAGGAAGGAGGTTGGGACCACACTGTGGCCGCCCTGAGCTGGGGCCGAGTTGCTTATCCTGCGGGAAGCCGTGACGATCACCTGACGCTTGCTGTGTGATGGGGGCAGCTGGTCTCAGCTGTGCCTGGGAGGGTTGGGGTTCTATCACTTAGCGTGTTAAGGCTGAGACTGTTTTGATTATCAGCACCTGTGACACACTGGTCACACACTGGTATTACTGTTAAAAACTTTAAGCTATTAACCTGGATAGTCCCAGCTACTCAGGGGCTGAGGTGCGGGTGTCCCTTGAGTACAGCACACGGCTATGCCTTCGGCCTCATGACTCCTCACAGGCAGGGAGCGCATCAACCATCTCCACCTAAGCCTTTGCAGATGAATTCTCACTTAATGAAACTTTTAAAACTCCATGCCTACAAGTGCCTGTGGTTAGTCAAAGGTTCTCAGGACCTCAGTCAAAGGCTCTACTCTCACTGGAAACCGGTCATCACACAAGGCCTGGAAGAACAGAGAGAGACCCTCGTACTCATTACTCTAACCTTTTAGTTTGCTGAGAAGAAAACAAGTCCAGGAAGGTTATGGGACTTCTCTGGGGTCACAGAGCTAGTTTCGTCATAACAGCAGAAGAGAGGCGTGCAGTAACTCCAGTAATGACTCCACAGGTAGTGGGACAGCAAGTGACATTTATTTTCTTCTTTGTACTTTGCTGCTTTTTGTATGTGTTCCTTTCTATAATTCTGTATGCATTACTTTTAGAATTCGACAAAAGAACTCCTTGTTCATTTTAAAGATATCACAATCAGGCTGGATGCGGTGGCTCACGCCTATAATCCCAGCACTTTGGGAGGCCGAGGTGAGTGGATCACCTGAGGTCAGGAGTTCGAGACCAGCCTGGCCAACATGGTGAAACCCCGTCTCTACTGAAAATACAAAAATTAGCCGGGCATGGTGGCGGGCACCTGTAATCCCAGCTACTTGGGAGGCTGAGGCAGGAGAATCGCTTGAATCCAGGAGACAAAGGTTGCAGTGAGCTGAGATCACGCCACTGCACTCCAGCCTGGCAACAGAGCAAACCTCTGTCTTAAATAAATAAAGATATCACAATCAATCAACTGCAGTGACAGGCCTGATGCAAGTCACAATTTTTGCATTCAGACAGGTAGAGTAAGCGCAAGCCATAGTTGGTACACGCCAAGTCAGATGATCCTAGAAGTCTTTCTTTTAAATAAAAATAAGGAAAAATTGGAAAGACATACACGTCAACAATTTAAAAGCTGCTACAACCAGTAGAATTATGGGAAATTTTTATTTCTTCTACTTTCTTGACTATCCTGTTAAACTTTATTAGATGCCTACGTTCAAGACAAGGAAAGTACTTTAAACCCACTATGAATGCAAATGTGCTTGACACATCAAGGTACCTGCAGCTGCGCACACCTTCTCCTGGGTCAGAGACTGCAGGCTTTGTACTGGGGCAGGCCTCGGAGCTCTGTGCACAGTAGGTTTTGTTTTTTTTTTTGAGACGGAGTCTCGCTCTGTCGCCCAGCCTGGAGTGCAGTGGCGCGATCTCAGCTCACTGCAAGCTCCGCCTCCCGGGTTCACGCCATTCTCCTGCCTCAGCCTCCTGAGCAGCTGGGACTACAGGCGCCCGCCACCACGCCCGGCTAATTTTTTGTATTTTTTTGTATTTTAAGTAGAGACTTCACCGTGTTTGCCAGGATGGTCTCAATCTCCTGACATCGTGATCCGCCCGCCTCAGCCTCCCAAGGTGCTGGGATTACAGGCATGAGCCACCATGCCTGGCTGACACAGTAGGCTTTTAACAAATACTCAAGAAATCGCAGTTCTTAGGCATTTAAGGAACAGAGTTGGAACAAAATCAAGATTCAAAATTATTTCTCTAAGCCTTCTTTGGACCACAGTCTACAAAGAGAGATTTACTGGGGAAGTAGGCTGTCAGAACTTTAATGGTTCTGAAATCACCAAAAATGATGTAACTGGAACACTTTCATTTTACAAGATTACAGTGTTATGTTTTCTAAAGAAACTGTCATTTGCCTTCTGAACTAGAAACAGGGATTTGTAAAATAATATGCAATGATGGTGTGGAAAACTAACCAGCAGCACTCCTGAAATGCTGCCTTCGTGTTCCCCTGGGACTGCTCACCTCACCCCAAAACTATTTCTACTGCCCTCCCCTTCCATGATACAACTAGTCTCCAAAGGTAGTTTTCTCGACTAACAAAGCAAACAGATCATATGAACGGACATCAGACTTTCTTAGGAGATTTCTGAAAATTCTCTCTTCTGGGGGAATAAATTGTGAGCATTTCAATTCAAACATTCCTGAAAGAATAACCAGGCAACTGAAACACTCAGTGACTTAACTGTGGTGGGCTGGTCACTTCAAACTTAACAGAACAATAAAACATATACTACTTTATGGCCAAAAAAAAAAAAAAACTTTTTAAAACAATAAGTGTGGACAAAGTGTTATCACAGATGAAGAGATGAAGTTCCTGAAATTTAGGGTTTCATTTCTCAAGGGTCTCCTTTAAACAAACAAACAGTTATGATTTCAAAGTAGACATGTGCCTTTAACACCATTTTTAAAAGATACCAGCCTTAGCAAAGGTGTAGAAAAAACTTGTTCTCAAGCACTGTCCGTGGAAGAATTAGTAAAACATTTCTAGAAAACCTGTCACCGTCTTAAAAAAATTTAAACACATGTAGCAATTCTACTTCTAGGAACTTATCTATTTGCCAAGATATATATGCAAGGATCTTCTCTATAGGGTTGTGTATAAAGGAAAAATCAGACAGACTATGCCAGGAGCCCTCTGAAAGAGAAGAGTCAACTGTGGAGGGGGCACCTGTGAATGAATCCTGCAGAGCTGCTAACAGAGCAGACTTACACACACAACATGGTAAGGTTCCATGACACCACACACAGGGGATTACACACACCACATGGTAAGGTTCCATGACACCACACACAGGGGATTACACACACCACATGGTAAGGTTCCATGACACCACACACAGGGGATTACACACACCACATGGTAAGGTTCCATGACGCCACACACAGGGGATTACACACACAACATGATA
This sequence comes from Homo sapiens, assembly GCF_000001405.40. NCBI lineage: Eukaryota > Metazoa > Chordata > Mammalia > Primates > Hominidae > Homo > Homo sapiens. The sequence goes on along the minus strand of NC_000016.10, from coordinate 87,975,823 downwards.
AGGTTCCATGACGCCGCACACAGGGGATTACACACACAACATGGTAAGGTTCCATGACACCACGCACAGGGGATTACACACACAACATGGGAAGGTTCCATGACGCCACGCACAGGGGATTACACACACCACATGGTAAGGTTCCATGACGCCACACACAGGGGATTACACACACAACATGGTAAGGATCCTGGACGCCGCACACAGGGGATTACACACACAACATGGTAAGGTTCCATGACGCCGCACATGGGATTACACACACAACATGGTAAGGTTCCATGACGCCGCACACAGGGGATTACACATACAACATGGTAAAGATCCACGACGCCGCACACAGGGACGCGGCAGGGGAGAGAGTGTAGAACACACGCATACCCCCAAGGAGTGGGAGCAGGGATGGCCCTCGAGACAAAGTGTCACAGGGGCCCCCTCCAGAAGGGACGTGGGGCTGAGGCTGCAGGGGCGAGGGAAGGGAGGGGCCGACAGTGTTCACATCTCTAGGATTCAAACTTTTCATACGCAGCATGCATTACTTTTTCTTCTGCTTAAAGGAAAGAAAATAACTGGAGCAGCTTTTGGTTTTTGAAGAATAAAGAGAATAATATTTCACCTACTGTCCCACAGCTCTGTACCTGGGTGGTCAGGGCTCAGGTCTTCCACTGCAATCTGAACCACATCGGCCAGGTCGTGTTCCGACATCATCCAGAGCACGGAGAGTGGCCGGTCAACACGAAAGAGTTCAACTCACAGTGGGGCTGGCTTTTGGTCACCTACCAAACAGAAGCAAAGGAGGAGGAGAGGACATTAACCATCGCTACACGTGAAATTATGAAAACCACGAGCCGAGCACGTGTATGCAAGAGGCCGCGAACGTCTGTGGAGTTTTACATGCAGGGTTCTTCTTGCCTCAAACCCCCAAAAGGTTAGTTTCTTTGAAAATTAACAAATAGTTGAAAACGCCACCCGCTGCCTCTTTCCTTAACCACTGGACGAGCCACCCGGGGCCTCTCCGTTTCCACTGTGTTCCTCATGCCCTTCCAAAGCCACCTTCCCAACACTGGCTTGGAAACGTCCTCTCCCTCAGCCCAAGTCTCCAGTGGGGCCTGACTGACTACAGCAAACGCTCTGTCGCTTCCTGCTCCCAAGGGGCCTCAGCCCTGCTACACTCACCACACCCCAGAAAGAAGCATCCCTTCCCACCCATACCACTGGTCTCCGTGGTGATACGCCACCTCTCCTCCCAAGTTTCTCCCAGCTGCACGCATCCATCTAGACTACAACCCATACTCCGTTTCTGCTACCCCACAGGCCCGGCGGAGTGGCAGCACCTCTGTTCTGCTTTCTTTCTGCTCTCAGGTTCTGTCCTGAGCCCGAGCAGCATCCTGCCACCATGACCAAGGAGGAACCATCTGTCCTGTCCACAACTGTGCTGTCCAGGGCGGGGCTGTCCCCGAGCCTCGCACAGTGTCTGAAACACAGTCAGGGGCTTTCCTCCAGCTCCTGTGACACTCTGATTGGGCTTCAAGAGAACTTATTTTCCAAAGTAAAAATAAGGCTGCATCATTCAAACTATGGTCTATGGACACACAGATCCAAATATAGTACTGCAAAATAGGATGCCGTAGAAATGAGGAATGAATGTGACCATCATGTTTTTATCAGATTATACTTTATATTTTAATTATTGACACATAAATGGTATAAAGTAAACTGTCTTCCCTGAACTACACTACACACTTCCTGAGGACAGAAACCCTGTGCCCAGCTCTGTACAGCACAGCCCTTCATCAGGAAGAGTCCGTTCACTGTCCCTAACCACAACCCCCATCGCAGAAGGAAAAGTAAGGTTTTCAGGTCACATGGTTTCAACTCTTGAGTCTATTCACAACTTCTATTCATGGATAAGTCCCAACAGGAATGAAATTACATAAGCAGGCCTCACCCGTGTCCTTCAATCCAATAAATAATGCAGTTCCTCCTCTCCTTTGTCTAGATTTAAATTTTACAGCTTAAATGGCAACTCTAGAATTTTTTTCTTTTTTCTTTTTTTTTTTTTTTTTTTTTGTGATGGAGTTTTGCTCCTGTTGCCCAGGCTGGAATGCAATGGCGCAATCTCGGCTTACCTCCACCTCCTGGGTTCAAGCAATTTTCCTGCCTCAGCTTCCTGAGTAGCTGGGATTACAGGCATGCGCCACCACACCCAGCTAATTTTCTATTTTTAGTAAGACGGGGTTTCTCCACGTTGGTCGGGTTGGTCTTGAACTCCCGACCTCAGGTGATCCGCATGCCTCGGCCTCCCAAGGTGCTGGGATTACAGGCGTGAGCCACCGCGCCCGGCCTCAGCTCTAGAATTTCTTGGGGATAACAATTTGTGGAAGAAGGAGCCAAGTGCTGTCTTAAATCTTCCTTTATAGAGTAAAGGCAATATTTTTCATAAATGTGTGATCAAATATACGATCAATAAAATAGCAAAGGTGTTTTTATTCCCACATTATAACTTTACACAAGATTAGATGAACTGAGGAAACATCAATCAACTGTCCCTAACAAAAAAAAAAGAGCTGATGACAAATAACTGGAGGGGGAGACACAAAGCCTCAGAGGCACCAGCGCTGAACCTCTAAAAAGTCCAGCTGGGAAAGACGGAATGAGACAGATGTTTAATCTCCCTAAATCCTCCCATACAGACACACAGACCTCCAAGGATAGCAAAACCAAAATCCAAGTCAACACCGACAACAGAACGAGGTGACAGCATATTCCTCAAGAACCCCAAACACAAGCAGATGGGGACACTGGAAGCCACAAGGTCAGCATGGCACACGGGCATAGGATGGAGGAAGCAAAGGGAAGCAGGAGCCAGGCCGAGAGCAGCAGCTGCAGGATCCACCAGGAGAACCACACAGGGGCCTGCAGGGCTGACCCAGAGGCCAGAGTGTTCTGGACCCCAAGCCCTCTCAAAACGCATTATCCAAAGCTCCCTTTTAGGCCAAATACATTGAAAAGAAACGGCTTGGAACTGAACACAAAATGTGCAGGGCACGGAAACTAGAGACAAAGGAACATGAAAGCTCATTAAAGGTGGGAGGGGAGAACAGAGCCTAGAGAGCTGAGAAAAGAAGCTGCTGTATTTTTAAAACTTCCTATAAACAACACAGGAAAGAACCCAAAACACTGAAATTAGAGAAACGATTCTAAACCAAGCCTCCCTTCTGAGCATTCAGAAAAGCAAAAATCATATAAAAATGAGCAACAGAAACTACTGAGGCCAAATATCATGCAAAAATCATGTATTTCTTAAAAGAATAAGAAGCAAAATAACATCACTGCAGACAATGAAAACATTCTAGAAACATATATCCCCCAAAAAGACGAAAACTAAAAAGAAAAAAAAAACTATACCCTGATAATTCAAAACAAACTGAAATACATTAAACACATAACACACATTAACCAGAAACCAGCATTAGAAAAACTCAGAAACAAGGTGCTAGAACTCAGAATATATTAGAAACAAAAGAAAAAGTAACTTCAGAAATGAAGATTAAACTAGAAGAACCTTAGAACAAATAAACACAATGGTGCCTTAAGAAAAATAAAATGACAAAATTTTCAAGAATAAAAAAGAAATGAAAGAGATGAAAAAAGCTCAAGAAAAAGTAGCACATAAGACAGGAAAAGAAGACCCAACATATGTATAATAGGAGATGCTAAAGATGAAAACTGGCCAGGCACAGTGGCTCATGCCTGTAATCCCAATACTTTGGGAGGCTAAGGCAGGAGGACCATTTGAGGTTGATAGCTCAAGAGCAGCCTGGGCATGTACCGAGACCCCGACTCCATAAAATATTTTTTAAATTAACTGGGTACAGTGGCACCTGCCTGTGGTCCCTGCTACTCAGGAGGCTGAGGTGGGAAAATCACTTGAGTCTGGGAGGGCAAGGCTGTGGCAAGCTGTGATCGCACCACTACACTCCACCCTGGACAACAGAACGAGACCCTGTCTCGAAAAAAGGAAAACTAAAGCAATGAAATGGAATACCAAAAACTGTAATTCAAGAAAGCTCTCCAGAAAACAGGACGGAGGGTGCTTGAAACTACTCGTTAAAATAATACACTACAACCTAGGGGGAAAAAAACAAAAACAAAACCACCAACACCAAGACACAACACCAAGATACAACACCAAGACAGAACACCAAGATACAGCCCAATAAAAACACTATTTAAAGAAAAATTTTTTAGCCATCCAAGCAAAAGACTAGGTGACTTATAACGGAAAGAAAATTAACTATCAAACTCCAACAGAAAAAAAAAAGGATTAACGTATTTAAGACACACAAGGAAAGATATGTGAGCCAAGAATTTTATATCCAGACAAAATTACTTTCAAGTATAAAGGCAGCATCCAGTCCTCAGAGAACAGTATTCCCAAAAATTCCCTCCTGAAGGCACTGGCAACAAACAAGCTTCGGAAAACCAAACCACTGGAGAGGCATTGGGAAGAGCGGCTAGCGGAGCACCCTATCTCCACGCAGGACTGAGACAGAGGAGATGAAGGCTATGTGCTAAACGCAGACACAATGTAACTGCTTGAAACTGGGAGGAATTGGGAGTACATATAAAAAACAAATGTAACAACTTTCAAAAACAAAAACCAATGTTACAATGTTCACAATGTTCAATGGCTATAAGGAGTGGTAGAGTTCTTTCTGAGCAATTTTCAAAAACTAACAAAAACAAATGTTACAATGTTCATTCAGTGGCGGTAAGAAGTGGTAGAGTTCTTTTTTTTTTTTTTGAGATGCAGTCTCACTCTGTTGCCCAGGCCAGAGTGCAGTGGCAGGATCTCGGCTCACTGAAACCTCCGCCTCCTGGGTTCAAGCGATTCTCCAGCCTCAGCCTCCCGAGTAGCTGTGATTATAGGTGCCCACCAGCACACCTGGCTACTTTTTGTATTTTAGTAGAGACGGGGTTTCCCTCTGTGGCCAGGCTGGTCTCAAACTCCCGACCTCAGGTGATTCGCCCACCTCAGCCTCCCAAAGTGCTGGGATGACAGGCCGAGCCACCGCGCCCGGCCGGTAGAGTTCTGTCTGAGGACGCCTTGCCTTGTGTGCAATTCTGTCATCCCTGATGCCCTTGTGAACAAGAAAAGCAGACTATCAACAACGGTAACAACTTCACTGGGTTGAAAGGGAAATATTTTTAAATTCATGAGTTAATAATATTATTAAGCCTTTAATTTGTTTAATGGTAATAAAAAGAAAAAATCAAGCATTTATTCTGCCTTTCTATACAAATCACGTCACTGAAAAACCACATCATAAGCAATAGAATGTTTCTCTGTATAAAAGCATTCTAACAAAAGAACAGTCATCGTTTTGCAATCCCTGATGAATTAAGAATCTAGGTAACAGAGTTACCATCAGAAAAAGAAAAACACACACTATCTGCCTCATTAATGAAGAATTCAGCACCATCTATGTGGGAGGCTCCCCTACCGAACAAACAAAAATGCTGAATCTAATTAAGCTTCTAGAATCCTAACATTTCCTAAGTGACAGGATATACAGAGGCCAGAAGAACATGCTAAACTATACCACAGAAATGCAAATAGGAAAATCAAAATCAAGACTAGGAAACTCACATCTGTCATCCCAGCACTTTGGAAGGCCAAGGCGGGTGGATCACCTGTCAGCCTGGCCAATGTGGCAAAACCCCATCTCTACTAAAAATACGAAAATTAGCAGGGTATGGTGGCACATGCCTGTAATCCCAGCTACTAAGGAGGCTGAGAAAGGAGAATCGCTTAAACCCGGGAGGCGGAGGTTGCAGTGAACTGAGACCGTGCCACTGCACTCCAGCCTGAGTGACAGAGCAAGACTCTGTCAAAAAAAAAAAAAAAAAAGACCAATCAACCTAATCAAAAATGAGCATAAGGAAATGAAAATGAATTCACAGAAAAACAAGTTATGTAAAGATAGTCAGGCCAGGCGTGGTGGCTCATGCCTGTAATCCAGCACTTTGGGAGGCTAAGGTGGGTGGATCAAGAGGTCAGGTGTTCGAGACCAGCCTAGCCAACATGGTGAAAGCCCGTCTCTACTAAAGATACAAAAAATTAGACGGGGATGGCGGCGCGTGCCTGTAATCCCAGCTACTGAGGAGGCTGAGGCAGGAGAATCGCTTGAAATGGGGAGGCAGAGGTTGCAGTGAGCTGAGATCACGCCATTGCACTCCACACTGGGTGACAGGGGGAGACTCTGTCTCAAAAAAAAAAAAAAAAGTCAATCTCGATGTGTAATCTTTTTAAAACAATTTAAACAAGACAACATTTTTCACCAATCAGATTGGCAAAAATCACAAAATATGACACACTTCGCCAGAAGATATCAGAAAACATGGCTGTTGCGCTTTTGCTGGGGGTGTAAATGGGTACAACCTCTTTGAAGGGCAATAGCTATCAAAATGCTAAATGGCCACAGCCCTTAACCTGGCCATGCCCCACACAACATTCAGCCAGCACAGACATTCACATATGTGTGCAAAGACCTACATACAAACAACAACAACAACAACAACAACAACAAAACAACGTAAGGCATTGTTTTTAGCAGCAAAAGAATGGATGTCAGCATTGCATAGCTAAGAATGGAATATACCACGCAGCTTCAGGAGTCAACAAGAGCCCCCGAAAAGCGGCTCCCAAGGTGCAGGATCCCGTGAATATCAACTGGGCAGGGCAGTGTGGACGAGGGCAGTGCAGACGACATGCTTTATTTTTAAGAAGTATGTCAGATATGCACAGAATATTTCCAGGTTAAGATACAGAAGACCTACAACAGCCTGGGGCATGGGTGAAAAGGAAATTATTTTTCACTTTTCATCCTCTAATAATATTTCCATTTTTATCCTGTGCATTTATCACTTTTTCAAAAAGAAAAAGAAGTATACTTTTAAAAAATGATCGGACAGGAAAATATGCAGATCTAAGCTGTGGGGGGAGGGTCCATTCCAACTCCACCTACGCACGCTCATGTTCTTCAAACACTGGTGCTAGGATCAACACTGGGATCTTGCTCAGCCTTCGGAGCTGCTCCAGGGAAGCAGAAACCACATAGCCTGACTGAGGGGCCCTGTCAGGCGCAACTAGCATGAAACTTATGTGGTGACACTAAACCTGCGTCCTCTGAAGAGGATCTTTCAGCTCAGAGTCGTCAGTAGTCAGCTTGAAGATCAAAGCTACATGTCATCAATACAGCCTTCTTTTTTCCAGAGTAAGAACCAGAAGCAAAGATTATTAAAGGGATAAACTAAACTTATTTTTTTTTTTTTTGAGACAGAGTTTCACTCTTGTTGCCCAGGCTGGAGTGCAATGGCACGATCTCAGCTCACCGCAACCTCTGCCTCCTGGGTTCAAGTGATCCTCCTGCCTCAGTCTCCTGAGTAGCTAAGACTACAGGTGCACACCACCATGCCCGGCTAATTTTGTATTTTTAGTAGAGATGGGGTTTCACCATGTTGGGTCAGGCTGGTCTCGAACTCCCGGCCTCAGGTGATCCACCCACCTCGGTCTCCCAAAGTGCTGGGATTATAGGGGTGAGCCACTGCACCCAGCCAACTAAATTTCCTAATGAAACCAGTAGTCTTCAGTCAAAAGCCACCCAGCCAACCTTGGCATTGGTGCATTTAAAACGTTTTGGGGTCACAGATTGCTTTCAGAACCTTTAAAAAAAAAAAGGCAAAAAAACCTGTAGAACCTTTTCTGGCCAGGCGTGGTGGCTCACGCCTGTAATCCCAGCACTTTGGGAGGCCAAGGCGGGTGGATCACCTGAGGTCGGGAGTTCGAGACCAGCCTGACCAACACGGTGAACCTGTCTTACTAAAAATACCAAAAAAAGGCCAGGCACGGTGGCTCACACCTGTAATCCCAGCACTTTGGGGGGCCAAGGCGGGCAGATCATGAGGTCGAGAGTTCGAGACCAGCCTAACCAACATGGTGAAACGCCGTCTCTACTAAAAATACAAAAATTAGCAGGGCGTGGTGGCACACGCCCTGTATTCCCAGCTACTCGGGAGGCTGAGGCAGCAGAATCACTTGAACCCAGGAGGCGGAGGCTGCAATGAGCCAAGACTGCGCCACTGCACTCCAGCCTGGGCGACAGAGTGAGACTCCATCTCAAAAAAAAAAAAAAAAATTAACTGGGTGTGGTGGGGCATGCCTGTAATCCCAGCTACTTGGGAGGCCAAGGCAGTAGAATCACTTGCACCCAGGAGGCAGAGTTTGCGGTGAGCTGAGATAGTGCCACTACACTCCAGCCTCAGTGACAGAGCGAGATCCGTCTCAAAAAAACAAATCAAAAACCAAAAAACAATAAAATAAAATAAAATGTACAATTAAATTATTATTGACGGCCGAGTGTGGTGGCTCACATTTGTAATCCCAGCACTTCGGGAGGAGAAGGTGGGTGGATCACCTGAGGTCAGAGTTGGAGAGCGGCCTGGCTAACAGGGTGAAACCCCGTCTCTACTAAAAATACAAAAAAAAAAAAAAAAAAAAAAAAAAGAACCTTTTCCAGGAAAAAGTACAGACAGACAAAACTTTGCAAAGTTTCTGAGGCTCCCCTAATCCCAGAGAGTCCTAGCTGCCGGTGCCAGTACCTGCTCTCCCCAGAGCTCACGGAAGAGCCCACGACAGCTGTGGGTGCGGGGCATCAGACACGGACTTCCCTTCCCAGCCTGTCCCACAGCAGCCCCCTGGGAAACCTCCTTCAGGGGCCCTGGCCTCTGGCCTTGTCCCTTCTTCCGTGCTCCTCCTCCCGCTGGTGCCAGGCGTGGAAGGAGGCAGAAGGAGCTGGCGCGGAGGAGCAAAGCCCTGGAAGGAAGGAGCCCAGGCCCCTCCCGTCCAGGGAGCTGCCACACCAGCCCAGGCTGCCTGCCTCAGACTTCCTCAAAGCAAAGGAAAATAAACAACTACCTGGTTCAAAACAGGGTATTCTGGAGCCCACCACGTGCAGCCAGACTAAACCCAAGGACATGCCGAGGCCCTTCCACAAACAGCCCCGGGTCCAGAGAGTCCAGGTTAAACTCCTGCCTCTCTTAAGGGGCCAGTGGAAATAGTTTTAAATGCCCAATTCAAGCTTTTTGCTAGTTTCTAAAAGCTCTGCAAGTGGCTTCAGAAAATGCTCTGAACTCACCATAAAATCCTGAATCCTAACCTCTTCCAAATGAGGACACCACACATTATTCGAGTTGTTTACTCAAAATGCCTCTGTTGCCAGGATCAAGAGTCATTTAAAATTCTGCTAACAGTAAAGATTTCAATAGAAAAAACTAGGGCAACAAGCCCAAGAAAACTGGAACACAGCAATGCCTGTGGTTGCTATTTTGGCAAATTAAATTTGCCATTTCTCAGAAGTCCTGGGGATAGTCCAGTCTTAATACAATAAAACAGCTGGACTGAGACTAATGCTCAAGCAAGCCTCTTACTCTGACGACTATTCAGAACCCTACCAAGTCCACCAAGAGATGCAGGGCTCAGGGCGCATATGGGAAAGCAGGGCCTACAGCCCAGAGTAACACCCTGAATGTACAGCAGAACAGGAGTGGTGAAGAATCCACGCCCATCCAGATTGCCAGACACCACCAAGTCATTCACATGGATGAGACTGATTTAATTACATGAACCAAAATGGAAAGATCTCCAGAATATGATAGCAAAAGGAAGGCATACAAATGGAAAGCTGCACAGCGGTGCGGATGATATGATCCCAATTCTGCTTCCTAAACATGGTGTCCACGTGTGGTCATCTGTCCAGGTGTGCCAACACATCCAAGACAGTTGGGGATGACAAATAGCAAACCTCAGGCTACCCAGAGCAGGGACGCTCCAACTGCACGAGCCCCACTCTCCTGTCCACTCCGCCCTCCTGGACTGCTGAGCTTTCCATAGGCCTTATTCCGTAGGCCTTACTTATTTATTACCTGTGAAACTGTTTCTACAACCAAGTGATGTGTCTACAGGCAAGGCCAACTACATCAAATCTTGATAAACTTTACAGAACCATCTTTAACCTGGCCTTAAATCCACTTCTCAGCCACCAAGGCATGGGGACCCACACATTCGGGCAGGGATGGGGAGAGAATCCACATCCAATCAACCTCAGGTGCGCCTGATGCTGCAAGCCCCGCCCAGCCCCGCCCAGCCCCGCCCAGCCATGCGAACGCTCCCCTACTCCTGGACCCTCTGCGCCTCGGGCTTAGTGGGTGATCCTGCTCTCCTCCCTCTCACTTCCCAAGAATGCCCACTCCTGCCTCCTCGGGCATGTGCCCCACACCCAGTCAGCACCCCTCCCTGGTCCCTCAGCATCACCCTTGCACACCCTTCCCCCACGGTGCTGCCCTCCCTCCTGCCCCTCCAGCCCCAGCCCCATTTCTCTGTTCCCTTTCAGATAAAATTCCTCAGAAGCCCCGCCTGTACTTGCGGTCTCCATTTTCAGTGCTCACATCCCCTCCAGATCCCACCCATCGGGCTGTCACTCAGTTACTCCCCCAAAACTGCTCCAGCCCAGATGCTGCCCCCATTCTCCCCACCACAGGGCCTGATGGGGCTCATTCCGGCTCCTCCCCACGCTGTCCTCCCTGCCTGGCCCCCACTCCTCTGTCTCTCTGCTGGTCCCACATCCACTTCCTGACTTGAGGATGCATGCCCAGGGCACGGCCCTGGAACCTTTGCTCAGCCAGCACTGACCCAGCGGCTCATCAGTCTGTGGCTTCAGATACATCTCCACGCCAATGGCGCCTATCACCCTGCCAGCTCAGACCTCGCACATGAACTCCAGGCCTCACACCACACCACCTACTAGGTGTCTCCCCTAAGGGGTCGTCTCAATTCTAACATGTCCAAACTGAGCCCCTGTCACCCACCCCAAACCAACCTGCTTCTTCCACACTTTCCACCTCAATTTAAGGCAACACCTACTTCCCAGATGCTCAGGCCAAAACCTCAGGCCTCCTGGGTTCTCCTCTCCTTCACCCTGATCCGGCCTCGTCTTCCCAGCCTGTCACTCCCAACCTGGACCCAGGCCGCCCCTCAGACCTGCTCACATACGGCCGTCTCACTGTCACCTGCACCTCTGCTGTGATCACGATAAAGAGCGCTCAAGGCGTCACATAAAAACACGTGCCAGGCTATGCCCCTCATCTGCTCTAAGCCCTCCGAGGGCTTCCCATCTCACGGGCCCTCTGCAGCCCCTGGGGCTCTCCTCCCCGCCACGCTCACTCGGCCCCTGCATTTGGGCCTCCCCATGCTTCTCAGGGATACACTCAGCTCAGGGTCCTACCACGGAGCTGGCCACCCCTGCACGCCTCCTGCACGCCTCCTGGACGCCTCGGCAACGGTGACGTGCACAGCAGCCTTTCCTGCTCTACTGTCTGACTTACTACACATCTGAAAGGTTTCTCTTGCTTAGTGTCTCCTGCTAGAAGGTGAGCTTCACAAGGGCAGGAATTGGCATGGCTGTGTTCTCAGCAGGGCACCGGGCCTGGCCCGCACCGCATCCAGTGAATACGTCTGTGATGAGTCCAGTGAGAACACACCACTGACGTCATTCCCCAATGCACAATGATGAATGTCAGAAATGCTATTTAAAAACCATGGATTAAGGTTTTCAAAGTGTGTTGTGCCCATGTCCTGATTTCAATAAGGACTGTGCTATAATTAAGTTACTAATCTAACTACTCAGTTCATGAATGTGGAATCAGGGTGATTGACACATCTGATGAACAGTGCCCATCCACTGTCAGCAAAGGCTAACGGTAGCTGGTCATCAGGAGAAACGGACAGCTGCAAAAGTATTTAATTTTGCTATTACTATTTCAAAAATATTGGACACCCATAAAACAAAACCACAAAGCCATTAAAAGAGGACTAAAAGGAAACCCACTGTAACTGGGCAGAAAACTTGGCTTTAACAGTCAAAGTTAAAAAACAAACTGCTATAGATTATCAGCATCACATGAAAAACAGCAGCAAGAAAAGTCAAGCCAGGCTTCCTGTATTTAACACTAGGGCTTCCTTCAACACCAGGATCTTCTCTGTCGCTACCTAAGCCACATCACATGCATCATTAGGGGTGTCACAACGTAACGGGTTTTTTCCCGTCAGTATTTTTAGGGCAGACATTCTTCATAGAGCTGTTTCTTCCATCAACCCTTAAGAAAAGTCCTAAGGCTGCATCTGATTTGGACGCAGTCATTTCCACAGGAAGTGGAACAATATAGCCCAGATGTGTCACCTCCCAGAGCGGGGCTCTGACGTGGTGTGAATCACAGCACCTACCCGTGATCAGATCCATGCAGAGCGGCCAGTCTAAAAAGATGCATTCCACAGCCATAGATACTCCTTACATGTCTTGAAGGGGCCTACCTCACTTTACAGATGGCAAAAATATGAACTGAGTATATTCCCTGCTGTAAAAAGTTAGCACAGGGCCTGGCCTGCACTGCACTTGGGAACTGAGGGTGGGGAACGCCCAGAACAATAAGCTCACAGCGCGTGCGACCAGGGAGAGAAGACGCTTGAGACAGTAAAGTGACAAGAAGGGACCACGGCCACCAAGCTCCCAGCCCATCCCCAGATCGTCCTGGCGCCCTTCTCCTCAGACGGCTTCTGTGTGGAGACTCCCAGGCCACCCGAGCTGGAATGGCAAGTCCAAAGAGCCATAAAAATTAGGACAGGAACTCCCACTTAAAGATGAGACTAAGTGGTACCTGGTAAAAAGCTAAATCTCCCGAAACGAGGAAACTGCTAAGAAATTAATCATTCCATTTAGTCAAATCCTCTCGGGATGTAAGTCTAGAAAGGAAGAAATAATGAGAAAGGCAGGATGAACTGACATGAAGAAGTCAACTTTTATTAAACTGAGACATGTGAAGAAGTCTCAGCCTACTTCTTTTGCCCGAAATCAGTCTGAAGTGGAACGTACAAGAATGAGATGGGAAATAACTGGAAAGAAAACTATAAATGACTGATCGGATGCTAGATAGGCGGGAAATCAGAAAGAAGCAAGAACACTTCTCCCGACGGCTCCCACTTACTCTTGGGGTCATTCAGGCAACACTGCTTTTTCTTTAAGATGGCCCCCCAAATGTGTGCTTGCGGGGGAAAGGGAGGAAAAATTCAAATTTGTAAGTAAGTGGTCAAATTCCAAACCTGAATATATTAGCATGCATAATTTCACCTGAGCATGCATAATTTCCAGGGACACATCTTAAGAAGCGTCTAGGCTCTAAGGCAGTAATTCTGACTTTCTGGCCTCAGGGTCCTCTTCACCATTCTAAAGCTACTGAGGGTCCTGAAGAGCTTGCACCTGTACAGATTCTACCTATCGATATTTACCATATTTGAAATTAGAACAAAAAATGTTTGAATATTTTTTAATTCATGTAAAAATCATACAAATTAACACATTACATATTAACGCTGTCTTACTCCGTTTTCTGTTGCTATAACTGAGTATCTGAGACTGGTAATTTATTACATAAAGGAAAAAAATGTGCTTTCTTTTTTTTTTTTTTTTTGAGACCAAGTCTCGCTCTGTAGCCCAGACTGGAGTGCAGTGGCATGATCTCGGCTCACTGCAACCTCCACCTCCCGGGTTCAAGTGATTCTCCTGCCTCAGCCTCCAGAGTAGCTGGGATTACAGGCGCACGCCACTGCACCAGGCTAATTTTTTGTATTTTTAGTAGAGACAGCGTTTCACCATGTTGGCAGGCTGGTCTTGAACTCCAGATCTCAGGTAATCCACCCACCTCATCCTCCCAAAGTGCTGGGATTACAGGAATGAGCCACTGCGCCCAGCCTAAGAAATGCATTTCTTATAGTTCAGGAGGCTGAGAAGTCCAAGGTCCAGGGGTCCCATCTGAGGAGTGCCTTCCTGCTGGTGGGGATATGAGAGACACCCAAACTGGCTTTTATAACAGACGCCCTGTCATGATCACTAACCCACCACGAGGAGAGCCCATTAGTCTATAAATGCACTGAACGCATTCCTGAGGGCTGAGCCCTCATGATCCAATCACCTCTTAATACTGTGACACTGGGGACCAGCTTTCAACATGAGTTTCAAAGGGGACAAACATTCATGGTACATACAAAACATGTTTTATGAAAAATAACTATAGCTTCCAAAGAACAACAAAACCTTAATGAGAAGAGGGATAATATTGTTTTACATTTTTACAAATTTCTAATGCCCGGCTTAATTGAAAACAACTAGAGTTTCCTATCTGCTTCCACCGGTGGTCTGCTCCGATATGTTGTTTTGGTCGATGCATATGACAAAAAGGCAGCCTCACCAGGGGAAGTGGCTCACGCCCGTAATCCCAGCACTTTGGGAGGCCCGGGGGGGTGCAGATTCTGTGAGTCCAGGAGTTCGAGACCAACCCGGGCAACACAGCAAAACCCTGTCTCTACAAAAAGTACGAAAAAATAAAATAAAATGCAGCCTTACAAGGAGATGCAGTTAGACAAGGGAAAAGTATCTTAATAGGCTCTTCAGATAATTATGGAGATTCCTCTTTGACACCACACCAACACGCAACAAGTGTGTTTTATTTTTCCTTAAAGGCTGTTTGCAATATGGAATGTGAACTGTATCCATGAGCTTCTGCACTTTATGGCTTTAAGATCCATTGGCTTGACTTGTACTCTAAATGGATCTTTTACCCAGGCGTGATCCCGCATCGACCATCTGGAAAATGTTGCTTCACCGAGTTAGGCAGCTCTTGCAAATGTTGTTCAGTCTATAATATCAAAAGCATACGGTTCATCAGCATTAGCACTGGCATCTGATTTATTGGGAGCTCTCGGGCTCACGGTGGCAAAGACAAACTTTCCAAAACTCCAACTTCACTTGACAGCTCAAACTTTATCACTGGCAACAAACACTGTTAGCTGACTTCTTTGAGGTGAGAGGCTAACTTCACTCATTTAGTAAGAGATGTCAGTAATCTGTAAATTATTTTTTTATAGTGTTCCATGAAAAGAGCAGCTAGTTCAACTACAACTCAAATAATCCCTCAACAACCACCCAACTTCAAAATACAATGAAAGTGCTTTCCGTGGACTTGCCATTTTATCAGAGCAGAATCACTGATTTTGTGAAACAGCTCATCTGCTGAGTTGGCCGGGGCACACCCAACACTGTGCCATGAACTGCTGTCATGCGTCTTGTTAGCAACGGGAGAAACTGGGTACCAGGCACAAGGGCACTCCCTATGCTATCTCTGCCACATATGTATACATCTCAAAATGTTCCAAAATAGAAGGTTTGCAAATAAGTATGTCTTTAGGATAAAAATAACAAAACCCTGCCAATACACGATGTGCCCCACCTGCTACCACCAAATCCTTGCCTGCCAACCTCTTTAAGCACGTTCCAAACCCTCACCCAAGCCCATCCTCAAGTGTGGCTCTTCCCAAGAGCTGCTGAATCCCAAGCAAGCCATCTGGGTCCAGATCCACCATCAGACTGAAATTCATCTCCCAGGTGTCAGACAAGAGCCCCACAAGCAAGCTCCTGACTGCGTGGGCACCTGCCACGGCCAGTGTTTCGCATCTCCCCTCCCTGTGGCCATCCTCACGGTCCGCGGGGCCTCTGCTCTGCTCCAGAAGCCCCCAGAAGGTGGGCAGGAGGTTTGGCTGGTGTGCATGAGGGCCAGCCCCCAGTGAAGGTGCCCCTTGGGACT
The DNA here is from genome assembly GCF_000001405.40 of Homo sapiens. NCBI lineage: Eukaryota > Metazoa > Chordata > Mammalia > Primates > Hominidae > Homo > Homo sapiens. The sequence goes on along the minus strand of NC_000016.10, from coordinate 87,960,070 downwards.
GTCTCCCAGGGTGGGGGTAGGAGGTGCCGGGGACACCTGTCACCCCCAGGTCTCCATCTCCTGCCTTGACCTCTCACCGGCACTTTCTTCAGTCCAGGGTTTAAACCCCGTCTAGGCCATGGTCACTCGGATCAGCCATCCCAGCACTTCCACAGCTGAACCCTCCTCACTTCCCTGTTATCTTTCTCCCCAAGAATACTACCAGGAGTCCCGGCCACCTCCCTGCGGCCCCACCCTCATCGCCCTGCTCTCGCCCTTCCGCATCCCGAGGCTCCTCCCTCTCTGACTCCCCCTCAGCCCACCCCCTCACCCGGGACCTGGGCTCTCACCGAGTACCCTGGCACCCATCGCTCCGAAGGGTGGCATCGCCCCTCTGCCACACACACTCCGATCTGGCCGTCTCTTTGTCCTCCAATGCTCCATGTGTCCCTCCCAAAACCACACGGGCTGCAGCAGGAAGACCATGGCCGCTAAGCCCTTCTGTGGCTGACGCCAGCGCTGTTCCTCCAGGGGGCCTCCTCCCCGGAGAGCCTGCTAGTACCAAGCCTGGTCAGCCGCCTCCCTCGCAAGCAGCCTCACACCTCAGCTCCTCTGTGCAGGGCCCAGGCCTCTCCCCATCCAGCCACTGCCTCTCTACACAACCTCGTCTTATTCCTTCCCAGGGCAAACACACTCTAGGTCAGGGGGTGGCACGTGAGGGCCCACAACCCAGCCCAGCTCTCCACCTGCTTCTATGCAGCCTGTGAGCCAGGAATGGGTTTTACATTTTAAAACAGAAAAATAACAAAAGAACAATATTTCATGATGAGAAAATTACATAAAACTCAAATGTCAGCGTCCACAAACAAGGTGCCTGCTTCTCAGCCCAACAGCAGAGTCGAGCGGCTTCACAGTGGCACGAGACATCCCACGCCCCACAAGGCCAGAAACACTTACACTCTGACCCTCACAGAAAAGCGTGCCATCCCGTCCTGGGCCTCTGGGATCCATCAGTGAACTCCACAAAGATCTCCACCCCTGTGGGCATGCACGGTGTCACCACCCAGTCCCCAGTGTACGTGCCAACATCATGCTGAGGTTGCTCCCCTCACTGCCAAGGCGCCGCAAGGTCCTCCCTCCCCCATGAGAATTCTCTATGTCTGCAAAGGATGGATCCCGAAGCCTCCACGCATTCTGGGCCTTCCCCTCTGCAAACACTGCTGGGCTGTGAGTTTGTGCCGCTGAGCTCACTGGTGGATTTTCTACTGTGAGGTTATTAGTCTGATCTCCATAGAGATTAAAATCAACTTGGATGAGAAGCCACATGTTCAATCACAGTCACCCCTAAGCAAGCGGCTTAACGGGAATAGTTTTTGCTTGTTTTTTCTTGAGACAGGGTCTCACTCTGCCGCCCAGGCTGGAGTGCAGTGGTGCAATCATGGCTCACTGCAGCCCTGCAGCCTCCAATTCCCGGGCTCGAGTGATCCTCCAGTTTCCGCTTCCCAAAGCGCTGGGAGCTTTGGGCCACCATGCCTGGCCCAGTGGATGGCCTTTTAAAAAGTACTTTATACACTACATCCAGAGTTACCCAAATTCAGTCAAATGCTGTGCATAACCACCCGCTAGTAGACACACATCACAGAAGAGTGGTTTCCACGCTCTCGACTGGGGCCTACGATGGTAAGTTCATACACTCATCACTGCAAGTTTCCTGAGTCGATACCTACCCGTTAGCCACTCCGAACCATGCTCCTTTTATCCAAGGCATGCTCCATTTTATCCAGTATTCTTAACACTGGCCATGGCCCACTCAATTGATGTGGGTTCAGACCCAAAGTTTGAAAAATAATGCACTCAAAATAAGACCAATGTCAGTTTCTAGGGACTCAGAGTTCAAGAACATGAGGGAACGTGGCACAAACGACCAAGGACCACCACCTAACATGACCTACACCACAAAGAGGAGAGCCAGAAATTGTAAGACAACAGGCCAATTATTGCAAACTGTGTTTGCCCACTGACAGTCACAACTGTTGGCTGGGAAACAGGGCACCCAGCCTTCTAAAAACACTTAGGGTGTGAACTTTCTCAATCTCAGGGACGCATTTCGGCAGAAAACGCAGACTGGCAGCGGCAGCACTCTGCTCAGGGACCCACCGCCAGCTCCCACCGACACAAGAGCTGAGCTCACTTGAGGACACGTAGCGGCAGGGGTTGTCCGCATCCTGGCCACCAGCGCCCACAGAGCTTGCAGCATGCCATGATGACAGCAGGGACCGTGGCCCAATTCCCCCCGCGTCATCTGGTGAAAGGTGAAGGCGTTCTGCCATATTTACGGGAAGCGCATTCACACCGGCAAGGAAATGCCAAGCGCGCACCCAGTTCTCCCTCCCGGCTCCATCCAAACGCGTTTCTACTTTCAGAAAGATTAAGCTTTGCTTCCAGATATTTGATGACTTTTCATCTCAAGGGAAAAGGAAAATCACTACAGGCCACAACGGCCTTCTCTCAGACACAGAAGGTAACTGGTCACTAGCGAAAGGTTTGTCAGCGCAGGGCCCTGCGGCAGGCCTCCGTGAGCTTGCCTCAAAACCGCCCCAGGTCTCCTGACAGGACTCCACACCAGCCCACCCGGTCCACACAGGATCCGGTCTCAACCACGACAGAATGTGGACACAGACGAGCAGAGGGGAGGTGACTGCAGCCAATACACACCCCCGATCCATTCTGCCCAGCCTTCCTCAGGTGTTTCACTGCAGCCTCCTCTCAGCCTTTCACCTCCTCAGCCGCCTCTGCTCCATGTGTCCTTCCACAGCTCCCACGCTGTAAGCTGGCGACCTGTGGGTTCCGAATGGAGCACCGCGCCATCCTCCACCACCACTGACCCCTTCCCCAGAGAGACACCTCCCATGGGAGCAGCGAGTCGTGGAGTCTGCTCCACCGTGAACGCTGACGATCCAGAATGTTTAATCAAATTGGACGGTTCTTGACGAAGTGTAGACGCGAAGGATTGCAGAGTGGTTCTTTCCAACAGGAATCAAGTTCATGTGACTTCACAGTATCTCGGCACACCATCTGCTGGCAGCTTAGGAGTTAACACTTCCTGCACATTTTAACCAAAGACACTCACAGGATTCTGCCACGGAGGCCCCGGGGTGCTCCTCTCTCTGAGACTTACGGCACCCCTGAGAGGGGGCTTCTGGGACAGCACTTCATCCTCTGCACGGGGGTCAGGATGGAGGGTGGCGGAGAGTGTTTCTCTACTTCCTGAGGATGGAGACATCGTCTCTTCCAAAGGGGGGGCCAGAGTGGAGTCTTGTACAACAGACAAAGGGAGTCCCAGGCGAGCCCACCGGGACGTGCAGAGGCGGAAACCTGAGCTTGTCTACGACTACAACCAAAGCAGGCTGAGCTTGCCTATGATTACAACCAAAGCAGGCGGCTCTGCAGGCTGGGAAGGCCACGTACCAATCACTCGCCCCATTCTTCTCCTGCAGGGGCTGAAGGGCCCCAGGTGCAGCTGAGAACAAAACAAGTGTAGCTTTTTCAGAGCAAATTGCAAGTGTGTGATTCCACCCAATACTGTTTTCAACTTCCTGAAACTCCTCCCCACGGCCCCCAGGCCCCCAAAGTTCCGGATGGTTCAGAGCACTTCTGCTGACCAAGTCAGATGATGTCATGCTTTCACCACCGTCACCCGTGTGAAGAGAAAATACAGATGTTTATCTACCTCAGGCACAGGGAGGACCTTCTAAAGCTTTCATCTCATTCTCATTCAAACCCTCAAATTGACTTTCCCCAAGAAGTCTTTCCTTCAAAATGAGGAAATGTTTAGTTTCTCTAGATTGCAGTGGCTAAACTGGTGCTGTGAGTTACAGTCATTTTCAAGTCAGCCTTGCGACTCCATGTCATGTCAATCACTTAATCGTGTAACTGGAGTTTTTGGGATTTGTACAGTATCACTGCAGACGAGGAACCCAAAGGCTAACAATCCTGACGGGGGAGCTGCAAGACCACTGAGGCCCACTGCCCAGCACCTGTGCCTGGAGCCCCCAAACCCCTACTCCCTCACCTCCCTCAAGGTTGTGGGAAGGCCTTCCGTGTGGACCAGGGTGCACACACATCACCTGGCCACCTGCCTGCAGGAAATTCTGAGCCTCCCTGTCTTTCAAGACCTGGACACTTGAGACGCACTGGCCAGGACTGTGGTGAGCATCCCTCAGTTTGGGTGCAGCATTTTCTCATGATGAGACTGCATTTCTGGCAACACTGCCAGAGAAGTGATGTGTCTCACTGGGTCCTTGGTGTCAACGTCTTATGACTGATGGTGTTACCCCGATCACTTGCTTCACACAGTATCTGCTGGGTTTTTCCACCGAGAGGCTACAGTTTTATTTTTCCCTTTGTGACGTGTATCTTGGGGGAGATACTTTGTGACTATGTAAATATCACAGACAGAAGGACATTAAGGAGACAGGGCGGCCACACGCACCAGTGTGGGGTCCCGGAGGGGATCCCGAAACAGCAAGAGGACACTGGTGCAAAACCGAAGTTCGAATAAGGTCTGTCATTTACGCAATAATGCTGTGAACTTTCTGGCGTTTATATGGATGCCTGGTTACATAAGACGTCAACATCAGGGGAAGCAGATGAAGACAACAGGGAAGCTCAGTGAAATATTTTTTGCATCTTTTCTGTAAAGTCAAAAACTATCTGAAAATTAAAAGCTGACCAAGCTGCAGTCTGATTCTGCACGAGAACCTGGGTAGGGCCTGAAAGTGTGCGTTTCTCACAAATACCCAAGTGATGCTGATGGACACAGCTGGCCCCTGGACGCTCGGCTGGCAAGGCTCTGGCAGACAGAGCCCACCGCACTACACACAACCTCCCAGTGACAGTCAGCCACCATGCAGAAAGATCATGCTCCCAGTACGCTCACCACTGCTTCACTGCAGGCCCTCCTGGACCCCAGCAGGGCAGACGGCCCGCTTGGCACACTGACCCAGCGAGGAGCCAAAGTCAGGGTCTTTGCTACCACACGGGTCTGCCGGGCCTTGCCCAGGTACGCTGGCAGCCCTCCAAGGCCACAGGGCCAGAGCCACCAGCCCACGCTGCAATTCAGAGGCGGCTGTGGAACGGCGGCTTGGCACCTCACCCCGTTGACTGTGGGCAATTACCAAGGCCACAAGGAAGCAGGAAGGTGGAGTGAATAGAACAGGCTTGCAAATTCCTGCTCAAGGGGAGTGACTGGCCGTACGGGTGACCTCCTCTCACTCCATTAACATCATCTTTAATAGGGTGTTATCAACCCACAAGAAAGAACACACTCCTGACAGATGCAGAGGACCCGATCAGGGCAGAGGGAAAGCACCGGGGGCACAGGCGTGGGGCTCCAAGCCTCGCAGAGCCCTGCGGGCAGGCCAAACCCGCACCTGCCAAGTCGGTCCCGCACAGGAGAGCTAACTCCCCCACGGCCAGCAAAGGGGCCTTCCTAAAGAAGCGGAACAGCCCAGAGAAAATATCTGCAAGTTGGTGCTCCAGGTCCCACGGTGACAGGCTCCCAATCACCCGAGGGGAAACTGGACTCTTTCAAAAGCACCCCACAGACCCGGGGCTCTCCGCCAGCTTCCTCCTGCCTCAGACAACAGTAAACATCAGTATGGAGGACTTGCCATAAAGAGGAAGAAGCCAACACTTTTTTTAAGTGACATTAGTGGAAACAAGAAATCAGAACAAAGGAGAGCTGGGAAGAATCCTTATTAGTTTCCTTAGAGTCATGGAGATGAGGCACTTGTGTAACAATAAGCTACTATGAAAAAGAAACAAGACAAATACATGCTTGGACATTAAAAATTTGATTGTGAACACATATTAAAGCCCTCTCCCAGAATGAGAATAAACGAGACACAGAAGGAAGGATAAAGACGCAACTCCAGGGCTCCACCTAGAACGTCCATCACAAACAGGAACTCCTAAGACAGAAGAGCAGAGCTGGAGAGGAAGAACTTCTCAGACAGAACAAGGGAACTTCCCAGAGCTGAAGGACAAAGCACCAGAGTCAGAGTCCCCGGCGTAGGAATCCACACACCTCAGCACACACAAGGGTAAAACATCATTAACACCAAAGAGAAGATCCAAGAGCGTTCAGGGAGGGAGAGGGGTCTCCACAAGGAGGAAGAGCACTTGCCAGAGGTTCCTGTGGAAACGAACAGAGCCAAGATGAAAACATTCCTGAACATACCCAGCTACAGAAGAAAGGAAAATATCAGGCTGGCTCGTGTGCAAGCTAACCCATCCAGATGAGAAGGACAGGGGCTGAAGGAGAAAGGGGACCTGACACTATCCTTGAGAATTTAAAACAATGTAAGGAGTCGATGGGAACAGAAAGTGCCAAGAGAAAAGCCATGACTAACAGAAAAATCCACGCTGTACAGGAAGGGAAACACTCAATTTGTCCGTGAAGAGAACAGTATTTGCATAGGCCTAACACAGACAGTCCAGGGGATAGAAGAGTTGGGATATGACAGAAGGGCTCCATCACCCCATCGTAATAGAAAGACAAGGCTGTGTAATACAAAATATCAGCTTAGAGCTAGGTGCAGTCACTCACACCTGTATTAGCGGCTACTAAGGAGGCTGAGGATCACTTGAGCTCAGGAGTTCGAGTACGGCCTGGGCAACATCAGGGGATCCTATCTCAAGAAAAAAATAAAAAGGATCAGCTTACTCAGAGCTGTGGAGAATGACCTAAAGAAACCACTCAAGATGTAAACCTCTTTGAAGAACGGGGCTGAGAGGTGGGGCAGGGGACCATTGCTTTTCATTGTAAGTCTTTCATTGACGTTCCTATTGTATACATTATATTGATTAAAATACTAAATATATGGGCTTTTTTTTTTAAGAACATAGGCTTCAGACAGACTGAATTCGAACCCTGGCTCTGTAAATCTGAGCAAGTCCCTTAGTGTCTGCGGGCCTAGTCACCTCATCTATAAAGTGGACGCAGCCTCTGCCTCCTGGGTCATGATGAAGCACCCGAGATGTTGAGCTGCCCCCACGCAGCGTGGAATCACAAATGGAAGCTCTTTTTTAAAAAGATTAAAGCCCCAGGCTGGACAACAAGGCGAAACCCCCTCTCTACGAAAAATACAAAAATTAGCCGGGGTGGTGGCGTCTGTGGTCCGAGCTACTCAGGAGGCTGCGGTGGGAGGATCACTTGAGCCAGGGAGGCCGAGGCTGCAGTGAGCCAAGATCACGATACTGCATTCCAGTCTCGGGGACCGAGTGAAACCCTATCTCCAAAAAAATAAAAATATTAACGCCAATGATGACAGAATCCAACATCGCAAGAATATATTCTTATTTTAATCGCCAGACACGGGAAGTGGACCCACATACAGAATTTTACCGCGTTTTGGTGTTTTCTTCTAGCACTGGATATCTGCGAGCTGCGTGTTAAATGACCAGATCCAGTTTTTATTTGACGTTTCCTGAGCTTACTCAGAACCACTCACTACTCCAAGTTATTTTTCTGTCCCCTAAGAACTTCCAGCTAAAAGTGAACCCTACAACTGCCTCCTCTTATCAATTATTTACTGTAGTGCGAGTTCCAGCATCGCCATCAGGCCCTGGAGTACATTCCTGGGCAGAACAGGCAACTCCAAACAGGGCAATTACCTGTTCCACATCAACAACTGTGTGACCCGGGCCCTCCCCGGTCAGGGTGCAAGCTCGCTACCCTTCAAAGCCCACACTCGCTCCACTTGCTCACAGTTCTTCAGGGATGATGTATTTCTCCAATAGCAAGACAACCCCTACCATCTCATCAGTGAAAAACATCAGTCCTCTATCAAGGCAATCTCTCCAATTTGCTCACACAGTGTGGATGGAATGTCATCTACTTTCTGCATCCTAGGGGGGAAAAAGAAAACGGCCACCTTCCTTAAGGACTAGATCACAGAAATCGCACAAACGTGCTGGGGAGGGGGCACCCCGAGGTCCTCGTTCATCGGGGCCCCTCGGGGGACGGGCTGGGGTCGTCGCCGAGGTCTGCGGTCCCCGAGAGCGCCCCTTGCGTGTGCAAGTCCTGGGCTATGGGGCTCCGGTCCACAGCCACGGAGGAGGCACAAAAACGATGCCTGTCGCTCCCGCCTGGCTGGCAGGAGCGACCCCCTTGGGAGACTTCGGGCCCCAGAGGAGCCCGGGCGCGGTTCTAGGCCTTTCCAGTCTCCCCGCCGTGGCTCCGGGTCCTTCCCGCGGGGCGAGGCCCGGGACAGAGGTCGGGAGCGCGAGGCCCCCGGGCCGGGCTGCGGCAGCCGCGGCTCAACGGACGCCGGGCGCGGTGGGGCCGGGGGTGCGGAAGCGAGGAAGCGGGAGCCCCTCTTCCGGGGCGCGGCCGGGGACGGGGAGCGGGGCCCGGGGGGCGATCGCCCGGCCCGGGCGGTTGGCGGCGGCGGGGCTGCGGCGCGGGCGGCCCGGCGGGCGGGAGGAGGAGGGAGGAGGGAGATCTCGCTCTCGCTCTCGCCCCGCGGGAAGGGGGAGGCGGAGGCGCGACCGGCTGCGGGAGCTGCAATTACCGTGTGGGCTGCGGAATTCTCGTGGTGTTTGTCGGGGAGATGCGATAATGGCGTCCGTCCTCGCGAGAGAAGCCGCCGCTCTGCGCAGGCGCCGCGAGCCCCTCCCCGCGACGCTCGGCCCCCGCCCTCCGCGCAGGCTCACTGGGCGCGCGGGCCCGGGGGCGGGGCACCCCTGTGGCAGTGAGGCCAGCTGCGCGCGCTTTTCCCGCTCGGCCTCCTGGTGAGCATGCGCAGGCGGCCTTCTTCCGCGACGGTACCGGCTTCCCAGGGCTTTTTTCCCCCCGTTTTTCGCCCACGCCCATGGCCTGCGTGAGAACAATCACCTCAGTGGACGGTCTGAGGAATTTGCATCTTCTTTGAGACGGAATGAATACGCATTAGCTCCCTCAACTACTACACCTCCCAGGGTGCCCTGCGCAAGCTGGGAGCCATGCATTCGGGGACTCGTAGTCCCTGCGTCTGGGCCATGCCTGCCGGGACTTGTAGTCTCTCCGGACTCCGGTGGCCCGTCCTGTCCCCGCACCAAGGGTTGCTGGGACTTGTAGTTACGATGTCTCAGGTGGGCTGTGCGCCCCCAGCGGGTCCTACCTGCTGCTGCGGCGGGTCCTGCCCTGAGGTTCCGGAGCGCTTGGTGGCGTTTTCCCTGACATAAGTGGTCAGGGGTCCCCAGTGTCTATCCAGAGGGGCCTGAGTGCACGCGCGCGGGACTTAGCACACGCGGCAGTGATTATGGTCTTAGATAAGTCCTATAGGTAACACATAATATAAATAAGTGATGGCGGCCGGGCACGGTGGATCACGCCTGTAATCTCAGCCCTGTGGGAGGCCAAGGCGGGCGGAACACCTGAGGTAAAGGGTTCGCGACCAGCCTGGCCAACATGGCGAAACCCTGTCTCTACTAAAAATACAAAATTATGCCGGGCGTGGTGGCGGGCGCCTTGTAATCCCAACTACTCGGGAGGCTGAGGCAGGAGAATCGCTTGAGCCCGCGAGTCAGAGGTTGCAGTGAGCCGAGATCGCGCCACTGCACTCCAGCCTGGCGACAGAGCGAGACTCTGTCTCAAAAAAAAAAAAAGTGATGACGTGAATGTGCACACGTAGAATAAATGTGCAAATGTGCGTTTGTGGGTAATCACAGGAAAAAATTCCCAAACCATAGCGCAGTTCCCAGAAATGTCATTCCTGGTTATCTCCCTCTGCTAATCTAGGATTACCTTGCCTTTCATTTTCTTCTTTATACTCGCCTCTGTTTCCTCAATTATTTGCAATGAGCAAGAATGCCTTTGAGCTCCCAAACACAGGGCGAGGCAGCTATTTTCACTGGGAAAAAGAAAATGCTGGCCGGGCGCGGCGGCTCACGCCTGTAATCCCAGCACTTTGGGAGGCCGAGGCGGGTGGATCACGAGGTCAGGAGATCGAGACCATCCTGGCTAACACGGTGAAACCCCGTCTCTACTAAAAATACAAAAAATTAGCCCGGCGCGGTGGCAGGCGCCTGTAGTCCCAGCTACTCGGGAGGCTGAGGCGGGAGAATGGCGTGAACCCGGGAGGCGGAGCTTGCAGTGAGCCGAGATGGCGCCACTGGACTCCAGCCTGGGCAGCAGAACGAGACTCCGTCTCAAGAAAAAAAAAAAAAAAAAGAAAGAAAGAAAAACAAAATGCTTTACCTTGAATTTCCTGCCCAACTCCCTTTTGCCAATAATAAAAACAGGATTCAGCGCAGTCATGGGCTATGCGACCTTGGGCAACCTTACCGAGTTAAAGTCTCCTCCAGAATTAGGCTTGGAGGTTCCACTGAGGCTGGTGGCTGGGTTACTTCGTGGCAAAAGTGCCTTACAAACACTCCAAGGAGGAGCCTTGGCAAAATGGCAGCGCTGGGACAGGTGTTGATCTGAAGATGGGACTTGTCCTTTTTCAACATGAAGATCAGCTCCAAAGAGATTAGAAAAATTGTCCAGCGAGGCCACAGGGCTGGAGAGAGGCACAAGCTGAGTTTGCAGTCCAGAGCGCCTTGCTTAGAGTGTGGAGTCCACTCACATGGAGGGAAAGGGTGCGTGCGATAGCTGACACAGAATATTCCCTCCGGCAGTGGGGACAAAACATGTTCTAGGGACGCACGCCTTTTGTCTCCACCTCCACCTCAATCACGGCTGCATTCAAATATTAATACTTGCCCATGTAAGAATTCTTAGCATCCACGCCGGAATATCTGGCTTGAAAACACAAACCTAGGGTGATGTCGTTCCTGTTGTTTCAAAACATTCCCAAGTCCGTGTCTGGAGCTGCACTTCCCCTATCCCCAGGCCTTGTGCAATGCTGGGCTCGGCGTCATGAACAGGTGTGAGTGGACAAGAGGAGGAACTTGTGGGCAAAGGTGAATCCATCTGTGACCATCCAACAAGCTACAGTGAGGTTTGTTGAAGGCCACTGCTGACTAGGCATTATCAGAAATTAAGCCAATCAAAACTATGATTGTGCTGCAGTTAGTGATTGTTTTGTTTTGTTTTGTTTTGTTTTGTTTTGTTTTGTTTTGTTTTGTTTGCATCAGGGTCTTGCTCTGCCATCCAGGCTGGAGTGCGATGGTACAATCAGAGCTCACTGCAGCCTCTACCTCTCGGGCTTAAGTGATCTTCTCGCTTGAGCCTCCAGAGTAGCTGGGACTGCAGGCATGCACCACCACCATTGCCTGATTTTTTTTTATTTTTTGTAGAGTCAGAGGTCTCAATATGTTGTCCAAGCTGGTCTTGAACTCCTGGACTCAAGCGGTCCTACCGCCTTAGCCTCCCAAAAAGTGTTAGGGTTACAGGCATGAGCTACTACACTTTTTTATTTTTGATGGTTTTGATTTAGTTTTTATTTTGCTGCTCAGGAAGCTAAAAAAGGAAGGCATTGTTCAATATTGGCATATAGTTGATTCACCGTAATTTTAAAAATGAAGTAGCTAGTCATCAGCAAAGACAGCTGTCTGTAGTGAAGGTTCGCTTACTCACCAGTCGGTACAAGGATCCAATCTGGCCTGGAGTTAATGAAGTTACAGTCACATTAGTGAGGGCATTATAAGAGGAGCGGGAAGTGCACTCTGGCCTGTGTGGCACCAGATATGGGGGCCACTTACAAGTGTGTGCACTAGGCCATAAGTAAAGGTCACAGAGGTCCTTTTGTCAACACCTCGAAATGCCCACATCAAGAAAACCCTGGAACCTTCCGACGGTTCCTCTTTCTGAGAATGTCACTAGGGTAGAGAAAGAGAAAGTAAACACGATGCACTCGGTGGCCCAGGAAAAGCCCAGGAGGCCGAGTGGAATGCTGGAACGCTGAGCCTGGTTGTTCTTAAGTGCGAGGACTTGGAGTTTGCCCGGCCAGGGCTAGAGTCTGAGCCTTCCCTGGGCAAGTTGCTGAGGCTCTCAGGCCTCGCTTCCCACTCTGGGAACTGGTGTTTAGATCTCACAGCTCACAGGGATATTGGGAGGGGTCCATGGCATGGAGGTGATGAAGCGTTTAGTAGAGAGTCTGATTCCGGATGTGCTCATGTTACCATGGGCTGGGTGCCCATGAGCCAGGCACATTTCACTGTAATTCCTATTCTTTGTGAAGAACAGGAAGACACGAGAGGTTGAGCAATACACCTGGGGTCACACAGCCACAGTGGGGGTAGAGACGAGAGGAGGCAGGTGGTGAGATGTGGCAGCAAAGGTAGTGAAGGCACAACTGCGTCCTTGTCAGCGAGGAAGGGGTGTCGTCTTGCTCCTGAGGCAATGGGGAAGACTTTACAAAGTTTGGGGCCAGAGTGGGTAGGATCAGATTTGTGTTTTGAGAAGTCCATCTGGCGGCCTGGCACAGTGGCTCACACCTGTAATCCCAGCACTTTGGGAGGTCAAGACGGGCAGCTCACCTGAGGTCGGGAGTTCGCAACCAGCCCAACCAACATGGTGATACCCCGTCTCTACTAAAAGTACAAAATTAGCCGGGTGTGGTGGCGCATGGCTGTGATCCCAGCTACTCGGGAGGCTGAGGCAGGAGAACCGCTTGAACCCAGGAGGTGGAGGTTGCGGTGAGCCAAGATCGCGCCATTGCACTCCAGCCTCGGCAACAAGAGCGAGACTCTGTCTCAAAAAAAAAGAAAAGTCCATCTGGCTGGAGTGCTGGAAAAGGAATGGGAGGAGGAAATACATTATCCTGCATGAATTTGAGGAGAGCAGTGGAGAAGGCTGTGACAGGCTCCAAGTGAGAGACGGAGGCTTGCTGCAGGGGGTTGCAGTGCAGACAGGATGAAGAGAAATGGACAGATTGGAGAGGTTCCACAGAGTGAAATCCACAGGACTTGCCCATGAGCCCGATGCTGGGGACTGCTAAGGGAGAGGGAGTGTCCAGGTGCTGTACTGGATGGTGGATGCACAGCTCCAGGAGATGGGAGACCGGACGTCATGGCTACCGCCCACGGTCGTGAGGACTGTCCCTGAAAACACATCTTTGCAATTGTTCCCCCCAGGGGGGCTCCTTCTGTAATTCATCCTCCACTCTCCACCCCTCCCCTGACTTTGCCACTTCATGCAAGGGCACTGTAAGGGTTTGAAGGTCTCACTGGAAGAGGTCAGCTTTGGGGTGAACTAGAGCCCTGAAAGGAGACCCCACTGGAAAACAAGATGATGATCCAGGGGTGATGGGAGGGGGTGGCAGTCAGCACCACTCAGCCCCTCCTGGCGTGGATCCCACCCTCTCCGGGGACAGGCCACACACTCTGGGCTGTCGAGAGAGACCAGGACCTACCCAGTCACTGCTGTGTGGATACGGTGCCCTCTGAAACTGGAGAAACAACCTACGCTTCCTGTACCTTACCTTCCTCACTTGTAAAGTGGATCAGCAAGGCCTCAAATATGGGGGCCGCTTACACGTGTGTGCACCAGGCCATTTGTAAAGGTCACAGAGACCCTTACTATCTGCGTAGTAACATGCATTTGAAAGAGAGAGGAGAGAGAGAGAGTGGCATTGCTTAGGCCCAGCAATTTGGCTGATTTCTCCTTTGTCTTGGCCAAACATATGGCCAAGCAGCCTTCGTGGTCACTTCTCAATCTGGGCTGATATGAGACCCTCTGAAAACACCAAAGCCTGCACCTCCAGGAGTGGGGCCAGGTTCAGTGGCTCCAGAAACCCCCGGGAGTCCACTGCACAGACTCTCTCATCTCTGTCTCTAACTCTGTCTCTCTCTCTCTCCACCCCGCCCTTCCCATCTGTGGGCTTGGTTTTTCCCCATTTTTTTTTTTAGGCGGAGTCTCGCTATGTCACCCAGGCTGAAGTGCAATGGCGCGATCTTGGCTCACTGCACCCTCCGCCTCCCAGGTTCAAGTGATTCTCCTTCCTCAGCCTCCCGAGTAGCTGGGATTACAGGCGCCTGCCACCAAGCCTTGCTATAATTTTTGTATTTTTTTGGTAGAGAGGGAGTTTCGCCATATTGGCCAGGCTGGTCTCGAACTCCTGGGCTCAAGTGATTCTCCCACCTACTTCATCTGAAAGTGCTGGGATTACAGGCATGAACCACCTCACCTGGCTGGTTTTTCCCCATTCCTGAGCAGGATCTCATGAAGGGGTCCCCGCAACTACCAACAGGTTTTTCCAGTTCAACCATTCCCTGGGAGAGAGAGGGCCTCTTTTCTCATCATTCCAGCAAGGCTCCCGGGGGCGATGCTTACTGGCCAGACTGTGTACCCGGCAATGACCCCCACTCCGAGTGGCCAGTCCTGAGACATGTCTGGGGGAGGGGTCAGCCTGGCCCAGCCTCGTGGAGGGCGGGTGGGGAGGGCTGGTCTCCCAGAGCAAACCCAGCAGCTGCCAGGGAGAAGAGCTGGGTGTGCGCAGGCAGAAACAGCACCAGTCCCCAGCGGGGTCCCTCAGGGCTCTCCTCCTGCACACGTGAACGCTGACGTCAGCACTGACGTTCTGTCCGGCTGGCAGCTCTGTCCTCCTGTCTGAGAATGGGAGCAGCCGTTGATGCGAACTCCTCAGGAGAGGCTGCGTACGGTGCAATTAATCCAGGCCACCCAAGCCAGACAGCTGATTAGCATCTCAACAGGGGCTACTGAGCGTTTGAGTCCTTATTAATGAGAAGTTGCCGCTGTGAAGCAGGTGGGGGAAACAGGTGTACAAACCCACGCAATCAGTAAAAAACGCCTGCGGGAAATGGACCCATAAAAAATCCAGCAGCAGTGACGGTAGCCCAGCGTGCCAGGGAACCGTTGCTTTTCCGACTTGCTTTCTTCCTGGCTCTGTCGGTGGTCGGCATGGTCCGTGGAAATCAACGAGAACTTGCCCGCCAGAAAACATGAAGAAAACCCAGGAAATTAGCAAGCGAAGAAGAAAAGAGGATAGCTTGACCACCTCTCAGAGAAAGCAGGGGGACTCTGAGATCATGCAACAAAACAGGAGGCAGTTAATGAGAAATCTATGCAGACGAGAAAAATGATAACTGGCTATTTGGAAAACCTGGATGTTACTGCCAACTGGGTGCCTCATAAGCCCTAAGATTAAGATTTTGTAGAGTGAACAGTCATTACATATAACTTATCCTTTAAAAAGATTTTAAACTTTACCTTTCAGATTGACTTGGCGCGATGTTTTAGAAGCATTCTTCAAAGAATAAAACACTAGGCCGGGCGCGGTGTATCATGCCTATAATCCCAGCACTTTGGGAGGCCGAGATGGGTGGATCACCTGAGGTCGGGAGTTCGAGACCAGCCTGACCAACATGGAGAAACCCCATCTCTACTAAAAAAAAATACAAAATTAGCCAGGCGTGGTGGCACATGCCTGTAATCCCAGCTACTAGGGAGGCTGAGGCAGGAGAATGGCTTGAACCCAGAAGGCAGAGGTTGCGATGAGCCGAGATCGCGCCATTGCACTCCAGCCTAGGCAACAAGAGCGAAACTCCATCTCAAAAAAAAATAATAATAAATAAATAATAAAAATAAAACACTAACCATGGAAAAAAAAAAGTCCAGTGGCTCAGCAAAAGAAATTACTGTGACCAAAACTCGTGCAGAAACTTCTGTGTGTTTTGAAGGATTTTGTCCAATGCAAGTTTTTCCTATTTGATTTTTTCACCTAAAATAGCATTTCTTCATGGACAGTGTATCATTTTGAGATCACAGAGTACTATGGAGCGCAGGCAGCGCATTTAGAAATGACTTTCAACTTCTGGCCGGGCACGGTGGCTCACACCTGTAACCCCAGCACTTTGGGAGGCTGAGGCGGGCAGATCACCTGAGATCAGGAGTTTGCAACATGCATTACATCGTTTCTTACTTTTCAAAGAAAAACATGTTTTGCAACTTGAGCAACATGGAGAAACCTCGTCTCTACTGAAAATACAAAATTAGCCAGGCGTGGTGGCTCATGCCTGTTGATCCCAGCTACTCGGGAGGCTGAGGCAGGAGAATCACTTGAACGCGGGAGAAGGAGGTTGCGGTGAGCCGAGATTGCACCACTGCACTCCATCCTGGGCAACAAGAGTGAAATTCTGTCTCAAAAAAAAAAAAAAAAAGAAATGACTTTAAATTTCTATCACATGAGAATAAAGCCCTATTTCAAAAAGTGATGCAGAGAAATTTGAGGGTTCTCAGAGAATGGTGGGCTCTAGGCCTCTCTCACTCACTCACACACACTTGCCATGAACATGTATACATGTAAATTTACATCTGTGTGTTAGGTACTAACGTAGTGTGTGCTTTACGGAACATATGAAAAACAGAAAATCTTAATAGGTGAGAAAAAAATAAGAATAGAAATTTCAGTCTTCTGCACGTGGAAGGGTTATCTGGGTACACGTGGTCCATTTTAGAAAAAAGCAGTTAAAGAAGGTTTGACTTAAACATTTTGGGTTCAAATATGAAGAATGTTTGTAAACAGGCAGAGAGGAGCAGTTTCTTGATCTCCTACCTTCTAATTTAAGAAATGAAGGCCGGATGCAGTGGCTTATGCCTGTAATCCCAGCCCTTTGGGAGACCGAGGCGGGTGGGTCACGAGGTCAGGAGTTCAAGACCAGCCTGGCCAACATGGTGAAACCCCGTCTCTACTAAAAATACAAAAATTAGCTGGGCATGGTGGTGGGTGCCTGTAATCCCAGCTACTCGGGAGACTGAGGCAGGAGAATTGCTTGAACCGGAACCCGGGAGGCAGAGGTTGCAGTGAGCCGAGATCATGCCACTGCACTCCAGCCTGGGCTACAGAGCGAGATTCCATCTCAAAACGACAAGAAAAAAAAAAGAATGAAAAAATCTCCTTTAGTTATGGATTTTTATTAACTCCTGTAAGGGTCTCCACAGAAACAGACCAACAGGATGTGTGTGTGTGTGTGTAGTGTGTGTGTGTGTAAGTAAACCTACACCTAGCTACCTATCTATCTATACATGGGGAGAGAGAGGGAGATTTGTCAGATTTATCTTGAGGAATTGCCCTATGCAATTGGGGAGGCTTGACAAGCCCCAAATCTGACGAGAGAGTCGCAGTTCAAGTCCAAAGGGCACCTGCTGGCAGAATTCCTTCTCAATGGGGGGTGGGAGAGGGGGTTTGGGGGAATAGGGAGGGAGGTCAGTCTTTGTTCTATTAAGGCCTTCAACTGATTAGGTGAGAGCCACCCACATTGTGGAAGGTAATCTGCTTTATTCAACGTTCACTGAGGTATAAATGTTAATCACATTCAAAAAACACACTGATGGAAACATCTAGAATAATGGTCCACCAAATATCTGGGCACCATGGCCCAGCCGGGTTGACAAAAGTTACCATCATGACTCTGCATGAGAAATTTTCAACTCTGGCAGAAAATTACAGACTATACGGTGTTTTCTGTGGGAGGTAGAAACTAAGAAATTAGGAAGTGTTGGGTTGGATACATATAAGACATTTTGGCCCAGAATACAAGGTGAGCAGGTGAGAGCACAATCCCTTGCCTGAGTAACTTGGCACATCTATCAGCAGTTCAGTGGATTTACCCTTTGACCTATGTATGTCAAACCTAGGAATTCTATTCAAGGATATTCAGTGCAGTGTTAATTTTTTTGTTTGTTTGATTTTTGTTTTTCAGGGTTTTTTTTTTTTTTTTGAGACGGAGTCTTGCTCTGTTGCCCAGGCTAGAGTGCAATGGTGCAATCTCGGCTCACTGCAACCTCCGCCTCCCGGGTTCAAGCTATTCTAATGTCTCAACCTCCCGAGTAGCTGAGATTACAGGTGCCACCACTGCGCCCGGCTAATTTTTGTATTTTTAGTAGAGACGGGTTTTCGCCGTGTTGGTCAGGTTGATCTCGAACTCCCAAACTCAGGTGATCCGCCTGCCTCAGCCTCCCAAAGGGCTGGGATTACAGGCGTGAGCCACTGCACCTGGCCAAGTGCAATGTTAATTATAAGACCAAAAAAAAAAAAACCATAAAAACTAGAAAAACAGCTTGGCACAATGGCTCACACCTGCAATCCCAGCACTTTGGGAGGCCGAGGCGGGCAGATCACTTGAGGCTAGGGGTTCGAGACCAGCCTGGGCAACATGGTGAAACCCCATCTCTACCAAAAATACAAAAATGAGCCAGGTATGGTGGGCAATGCCTGTAATCCCAGCTACTTGGGAGACTGAGGCAGGAGAATCACTTGAGCCTGGGAGGCCGAGGTTGCAGTGAGCCTAGATCGCACCACTATACTCCAGCCTGGGCGACAGAACAAGACTGTCTCAAAAAAAAAAAAAAAAGGAAAAACACTGTAAGATAATTAATTTAATAAATTATGAGATATATATATATTTATTTTTATTTTTATTTTTTTGAGACAGAGTCTTGCTCTGTCACCCTGGCTGGAGTGCAGTGGCACGATCTCAGTTCACTGCAACCTCTGCCTCCCAGGCTCAAGTGATTCTCCTGCCTCAGCCTTCCAAGTAGCTGGGATTACAGGCGTGCGCCACCACACCCGGCTCATTCTTCTATTTTTAGTAGAGACGGGGGTTTCACCATGTTGGCCAGGCTGGTCTTGAACACCTGACCTCAAGTGATCCACCCGTCTTGGCCTCCCAAAGTGCTGGGATTACAAGCGTGAGCCACCACACCCAGCTGGTACTTATTTTAGTGGAACATTCTGTAGTTATTTCTTTAAAAGAAGAGCTATGTACACCATCTATAAGAGAGGTAATTTAATAAATTATGGTAATATGTCAGTGGAATATTTTGTAGTTATTTCTTTAAAAGAAGGGAAGAGCTATATACACTGATATAAAAATTATTCCGGATAAATTAGTAGGTGGCATATATATGTGTTTCTATAAGTACATATCCTCTATACATAATTATTTCCTGTATTTAAAAAGAGAATACATATGTAAGAGATTTCTGATATGGAAATTCCCAAAAAGAACCATAAGAAACTGCTAACCGGCCGGGCACGGTGGCTCACACCTGTAATCCCAGCACTTTGGGAGGCCGAGGCGGGCGGATCACGAGGTCAGGAGATCGAGACCATCATGGCCGACATGGTGAAACCCCGTCTCTACTAAAAATACAAAAAATTAGCCGAGCATGGTGGCGGGCGCCTGTAATCCCAGCTACTCGGGAGGCTGAGGCAGGAGAATGGCATGAACCCAAGAGGCGGAGCTTGCAGTGAGCCGGGATAGCGCCACTGCAGTCCAGCTTGGGCGAAAGAGTGAGACTCCGTCTCAAAAAAAAAAAAAAAAAAAAAAAAAAAAAGATATTTATTATTTAGGTGCACCGGCCCAGTCGGATTAACATCCAAAGGACTGAGCCCTGAACAAAGAGCTTAAGTTACCTTTTAAGCATTTCGTGGGGTGGAGGGAGATCTGTGTAGGGGGAAGCACGTTGCAGAAGCGAGAAACAAAGACAGTTATTCAATTAATTGAGACATGCGTTACATCATTTCTTACTTTTCAAGGAAAAACATGCGTTGCGACTTGAGTTTATCTGTTTATGACCTTGCAGCTGCACGGCTAGAGAAACAGGGTCTTCGCAATGCCTGGGAAAGGGAGAGAGAAGGCTCACTAGCCACAGAAAAACAGGCAGTTAATTTTAAAGGACTTCAGCACTTTCTCTTTCTCAGGGGGAATTGGGTTTTCTTACATACAACTGAGTTTCTGCTTACATATTCTTTAATTTGTTTTAATTCCTGTTCCACCTGGATGTGGGTGGCACCATCCAATCTGCTGGGACCCAGAGAGAACAAAAACAGAGAAAAGGTGAATGTGTCTGTCCATCTGCCGGACTGGGGCGTGCGCTTCCTCTCCTTCCCTTGGACAACGCCCAGCTCCCCGGCCATGGGACTCCAGGACTTACACCAATGCCACCCTCTGCCCCAGGGTTCTCAGGCCTTTGGCCTTGGACTGAGAGTTACACCCTCAGCTTCCCTGGTTCTGAGGCCTTCGGACTTGGACTGAGCCATGCTACCAGCACCCCAGGGTCTCCAGCTTGCAGTGGCCTGTCCTGGAACTTCTC
Organism: Homo sapiens; assembly: GCF_000001405.40. Taxonomy (NCBI): domain Eukaryota; kingdom Metazoa; phylum Chordata; class Mammalia; order Primates; family Hominidae; genus Homo; species Homo sapiens. Next base: position 87,940,044 of record NC_000016.10, on the reverse strand, counting down.
AGCCTCCATAGTCATATGGGCCAATTCCCCTAATTAATGTCCTCTCATTCATCTATCTATCTATCTATCTATCTATCTATCGATCTACCTATCATTTATCTCTTTATTTCTATCTATCACCTACCTGAGGCGGGAGAATAGGGAATGAGGGTAACCCAGGTTTAAGGCAGAAGCAAAAGAGCAGCAGGAGCAGCCGGTTCCAGGCAAGATTGGGCGGCACACGGGCCACAGTCTCACTACTGCGGTAACAGAACAGAAGCCTCCACTTCTGCCTCTGATTGGTCAGGGGCCAATCCTTCATAGGATGTAACCAATTGGAGCCCTCTAAAGGGCACCTGGGGGTGTTACCAAATTCTTTTAGCTTAATAAAAACCCTGAAGAACATGGTAATCAGGGTTCTTGAGCCACTTGCTTGTTCTTTTCTTGCTTTGTTTGTGTGTTTTGCTCAATTCTTTAACACACCAAGAACCTGGACAACTCGAAGTTAAGACTTTCCATCTGGTAACATGTCTACCTGTCATCTATCATCTAGCTCTCATCTACCTACCATCTATCTACCTACCAATCATCTTTCTTCATCTATCCATTATCTACCATCTATCTACCTATCTATCTACCTATCTATTGTCTGTCATCTGTCTACCTATCTAGCTATCATCTCTCTCTAATCTATCATCTATCTATCTATCTATCATCTCTTTCTCTCTCTCTTTCTCTAATCTATCTATCTGTTTGTCTATCCCATTGGTTCTGTCTCTCTGGAGAACCCTGATTAATACACTGGGGCTGGTGATATTTTGTAAGTAAAGCAGAGTCCTGCCATGGGGCAGCAGGGAGATGAGGAAGACAGGGAGACCCCCAGCCCACGGGTACTGCTGCAACGCAGTCAACCTAAACTGGGCAGGCTGAAGAGGGCAGGACGGCTGAGGATGGCAGAGGACATGCCCCAGGAGCCTGTGGGGCATCATCGGCTGCCCAGGTGAGTGTACTCAGGAGATGCCCCTGCTCACATGGGGCTGGCAATGCCTGGGGTGGGAGCTTGGCCTGCAGCAATGAAAGTGCCGCTCTAAGGACATCACTTGTGTCAACAACAGCTCGACAGAGTGTTATCGTGTATGATGGAATCCTAGAATCTTCCCTACTTTACAGATGAGGAAATGGAGGCAAAAGCCAATGAATTAATGAGTGAATGAATGAATGAGTGAATGAGTGAATGAATGAGTGAATGAGTGAATGAGTGAGTGAATGAATAAGTGAGTGAATGAGTGAGTGAATGAATGAATGAATGAGTGAATGAATGATTGACTGAGTGAGAGAATGAATGAGTGAGTGAATGAATGAGTGAGTGAGTGAATGAGTGAGTGAGTCAATGAGTGAGTGAGTGAGTCAATGAATGAGTGAGTGGGTCAATGAATGAATGACAATGAATCAGACTTCCCAAGAGTGGGTGCATTTCCACCATGACTGTGTGGGAAGGAGAGAACATATCATCCAGACTTGGTTTTTGTTGCTCAAAACAAATGCAAGCAAACTCTTGGGCCCACCAGAGCAGTGGCCGAAAGCCGCAGACCCTATCCATTGTGTGGGGGATTTCAGTGGGATTCTTGGGCTTTCAGGAGCCTACAAGTGGACTCGCATTTCAACACCTGTGTTCTGTAGGGTTTTCTAGATCTAAGATTCCAGGATTCTATGAAAAGTTATGATAGCCCTGCCCCCTAAAAGATTGTAAGTTTAAACAACAACAAGAAGTCACAAACTGGTGCATCCCAATCCCATGGGTTCCATTTCACAGGTAAAAGGTGTCTGGGTGAATAAACTGCTGTGCCGCTCAAAGGACCCAAAGGAAGGTTCTTTGTGGGTTGGCGTCTGCAAATATCACCAGCTGCCTGGCTAGAGTGACCAGCTAACATACCCATGTGGACCCTGGGCATGAAGGGAGGTACCAGGCCAGGGGCAGTGGCTCATGCCTGTAATCCGAGCACTTTGGGAGGCCACTCTGGGAGGATTGCTTGAGCCCAGGAGTTCAAGACCAGCCTGGGCAACATGGCGAGAACCTGCCTCTACAAATAATTTTTAAAATTAGCTGGACATAATGGCATGCACCTATAGTCCCAGCTACTTGGGAGGCTGAGGAGGGAGGATCACTTGAGCCTGGGTGATTGAGACTGCAGTGAGCCATGATGGCACCACCGCACTCCACCTTGGGTGACAGAGCAAGACCTCACCTCAAAAAAAAAAAAAAAAAGAAAGAAAGAAAGAAAGAAAGAAAGAAAGAAAAGAAAAGAGGCTGGACGCAGTGGCTCATGCCTGTAATCCTAGCACTTTAGGAGGCCGAGGTGGGTGGATTGCCTGAGCTCAGGAGTTCGAGACCAGCTTGGGGAACACAGTGAAACCCCGTCTCTACTAAAAATACAAAAAATTGGCCGTTGTGGTGGTGTGTGCCTATAATCCCAGCTACTCAGGAGGCTGAGACAGGAGAATTGCTTAAACCTGGGAGGCAAAGGTTGCAGTGAGGCAGGATCACGCCATTGCACTCCAGCCTGGGCAACAGAGCGAGACTCCATCTCAAAAAAAGAAAGAAAGAAAAGAAAAGAAACGAAGAAAAGAGGCTGGGCGTAGTGGCTCACACTTGTAATCCCAGCACTTTGGGAGGCCGAGGCAGGCAGATCACCTGAGGTCAGGAGTTCAACACCAGCCTGGCCAACGTGGTGAAACCCCATCTCTACTAAAAATACAAAAAATTAGCTGGGCATGGTGGTGGGCGCCTGTAATCCCAGCTACTCAGGAGGCTGAGGCAGGAGAATTGCTTGAACCTGGGAGGCAGAGGTAGCAGTGAGCCGAGATCACGCCATTGCACTCTAGCCTGGGCAACAGAAGTGAAACTCTGTCTAAAAAAAAAAAGAAAAGGAAAGAAAGAAAGGTGGCCCTGTTAATGTTTATGCCAAGACAGCAGGCATGACCTGGAAGTGTCCGAAGCCACAGGGCATCTTGCTTCCGGGGAGGATGAATGAATCAAATCGCACCTATTTTAAGGCAAGCAAGGACTCCATGACTTCAGGAGCCCTGGTGGGTGGACAGAAGCTCCCTGCTCCCCTGGCCTGTCTACCCAGCAGCGCTTTGGCCAGTCCCATTCCTGTACTTCTGAGCCTGCCTGCCAGTCCCTCCTCACATGCACACCATGGCTTTGTGCCTGGTATTGAGTGTCCCGGAGCCCCAAACCACACGGTCAACCCCATGAAAGAAACAGGGACTCTGCTCTCATCCACTCGCCCCCGCCTCCCGCGTAATCCCCTGGTGCTCACGCAGCCCCACCGTACAGTTTTTCTAGCTCCCTGGCAGACTTGTGCTCCTGTTTGCCAGATCAAAGCCCAGTGACCTGAGTGGCCTGTCCCCAGCAGAGGCCACTAATCCCTGTGGACCCACCCTGTTGGGAAAGGCATGGGTTGAACTTTAACCATTAGGCTCAGGGGTTGGGATGAGTTTCTACAAAAAGAGGTGGGTACACGCCAGTCCACAGTGGTCCTGATCAAAGTGAGAACAGACAGCAGGGAACATCACCCTCTTCAGACTGGAGTCAGTGGGAACAGACCCAAGATGTTGGGGAGGAACACTTGGAAGACCTCAGCTTTCTCCTTCTTGGTTGAGCAGATGTGGGCCCCTCTCTGGAGTCGTTCGATGAGGCCAGGGCGATGGTGTTCTCAGCGTTCCTGTGCATGGCAAACCAGCAATAACACTTGTAAGTAGAGCCTCAAATTTCCTAAGATGCGACTGGATCCTTGTCTTAGCTGATGGGGTCTTTCGAGAGGAGAGAGGAGAGACCGTCCCGAGCCAGATGGGTTCAGATTTCCACTCCGTTTTTTTTTTTTTTTTTTTAAGATGGCGTCTCGCTCTGTGGCCCAGGCTGGAGTACAGTGGCGTGATCTCAGCTCACCACAACCTCCACTTCCCGGGTTCAAGCGATTCTCCTGCCTCAGCTTCCTGAGTAGCTGGGACTATAGGTGCATGCCACCACTCCTGGCTAATTTTTCGTATTTTTAGTAGAGACAGGGTTTCACTGTGTTAGCCAGGTTGGTCTCGAACTCCTAACCTCGCGATCCGCCTGTCTCAGCCTCCCAAAGTGCTGGGATTGCAGGCATCAGCCACGGCGCCCGGCCCTCTTTTTTCTTTTTTTGATGAAGTTTTGCTCTTTTGCCCAGGCTAGAGTGCAATGGCATGATCTCGGCTCACTGCAACCTCTGCCCTCCAGGTTCAAGTGATTCTCCTGCCTCAGCCTCCAAAGTAACTGGGACTACAGGCACCCGCCACTGCACCCAGCTAATTTTTTGTATTTTGGTAGAGATGGGGTTTCACCATGTTGGCCAGGCTGGTCTCGAACTCCTGACCTCAGGTGATCCACCCACCTTGGCCTCCCAAAGTGCTAGGATTACAGGCGTGAGCCACCGCGCCTGGCCACACTCCGTTTCTCTTGTATTTGGTGACCTTGGGTGAATCATTTAGCCTCCGTTTCAGGGGTCCTGGGGAGGGCAAGATGCTGGGAGCAGGCGGGTAGTCCGTGTTCGCACGGGACACACTGGCACGACTCACCATCCAGACCCGGCGGAATGGGCTGCACTAACCAGTCACGATCGCTCCTAAACTCTTCGGCAGAGAACGCTTTCAAGCAAACCTGTAACAAATAAACCACTCAGCCAGCTCTGCCAAGAAACTGCCCCGTGCCAGCCCCTCCTGGCTTCATGGTCAGTGCCTTGTGACCTTGAACGAGGCCCTTCCTCTTTCTGGGTCTCAGGTGCTTCCTCCGTAGAATGAGAGCCTGCTTTGGCAGCTGCCAAGTTCTCTTCTAACTGAAATCTTCCATGCATTCCATGTTTGGGCCATTGAAAGAGCATGGGCTTAGGAGCCAGACCCCAGGCATGCAGTCCGACTGACGCTTGCTGAGGTGGAGCCTCGGCAGGTCTTCACCCCCAAGCCTCTGTGTCCTTATCTCGAGATGGGGGTGGCCAGACTTTCTCTCCAGGGCCATGGAAGGATGACACGATGCGTGTAGAAAGCCTGGCCCACCCCAGACTCTGAGTGAGCTACACTCATTCCTCCTGTTGGGGTCCACACCTGTGGACTGGAGTGCAGTGGTGCGATCTCGGCTCACTGCAGCCTCTGCCTCCTGGGTTCAAGCGATCCTCTTGACTCAGCCTCCCAAGTAGCTGGGACTACAGGCGTGTGCCACCACGCCCAACTAATTTCTGTATTTTTAGTAGAGATAGGATTTCGCCATGTTGGCCAGGCTGGTCTCAAACTCCCGACCTCAGGTGGTCTACCTGCCTCGGCCTCCTAAAGTGCTGGGATTACAGGCGTGAGCCACTGCACCCACCCCCCTTTTTTATTCTTAGTACGACCGTCAAGAGCGCTAGCCTGCCTAGATTGGAATCTTGGCCCCACTGCTCTATGGCTGTTGCCCCTCTGTGACTTTCCTTTATTTTTTGAGACTAATTTCTGTCTTGTTGCCCAGGCTGGAGCGCAGTGGTGCGATCTCCAGCTCACCGCAACCCCCACCTCCCAGGTTCAAGCAATTCTCCTGCCTCAGCCTCCCGAGTAGCTGGAATTACAGGCATGCGCCACCACATCCGGCTAATTTTGTATTTTTAGTAGATACAGGGATTCTCCATGTTGCTCAGGGTGGTCTTGAACTCCCAGCCTCAGGTGATCTGCCCGCCTCAGCCTCCCAAAGTGCTGGGATTGCAGGCGTGAGCCACCACGCCCAGCTGTCCCCTCTGTGACTTTCTTAACTTCCCCCAGCCTTGGTTTTGTCGTCTGTAACAGGGGGTTGATAATGGTGCTTACGGCACAGTGTCGTTGGGAGAAGGGTCCGAGGTGGGGCCTGCAAAGGCTGGGGACAGCACATGGCTCCAGGAAGCCCTTGCTAGACGCCAGCTGCTGCTGTTGCTAACACAGGCAGCGGTGGGTGCCCTGTGTCTATTTAAGCATTTCCCTGTCAGTGGGCAGCAGGTAGCATTCCATTTCTTACTGTGGCAACATGTCCTCTTACATCGTGTGCTAGAGAGAGTCATATTCTGTATCGGCACCTAAATCCATTTACACCATGGTCCTCAACCTGTTCCCAGTGAACAGAGGGCTCTGCCAAATCATTTCAGAGTTCCACAAAGAGCAGAATATTCTGCCAAGCAGAGAAGATTGGAACATCATAAGGAATTCATCCTTCTATGTCGGTGTTTTATTTATGGGCATTCTGAAGATTATTTCACTTGGAAAAAGAATATTGTTACTAAAAATTATTGAAAAATCACTGGTGGTTTGGCCTTGAGAGAAAAGTCAAAGAGTTACAAAACGCTCAGTGATAATTTTAGAACCAGGCATGGGGGCTCACACCTGTAATCCCAGCACTGTTTTGGGAGGCTGATGTGGGAGGACAGCTCAAGCACAGGAGTTCAAGATCAGCCTGGGCAACATAGCAAGAACCCATCTCTAAAAAAAAAAAAAAATTAAAAAATTAACTGGACATGGTGGCACACACCTATCATCCCAGCTACTTGGGAGGCTGAGGCAGGAGGATCACTGACCCCAGGAATTTCAGGCTGCAGTGAGCCCTGATCAGGCCACTGCACTCCAGCCTGGGCTACACAGCAGGACCCTGTCTAAGAAAAAATAATTTTAGGGATCATTTAATGTTTTCTAGTCATGTTTCAGGGTGTGCACTGGCAGTGCCCATCTGTTCCTAAGTGTGTGATCAGCAACGTTACGTTGGTAACTTAAAATTGGCCATGGTGAAAGTATTTACACCACAGTCATTGGCAAACCCTAGAAATCAAAGATTCTAAATTCCTGGGAGAACGGCTTATTAAACCTCAACCAGCACACTGCTGCACATTTTTGGACATTTTACTGGCTATTTCCTGCTCAGGTGTGTGTGAGTCTTCTTGCATTTGGCTCCCCCCGGGCTGACCGTGGTTGGGCTGGGCTCCCCACTCTGGGTGGGTGCAGGCCTGCTCACTGCATCTCTCATCCTCCCTTCGCAGCCACCTGAGGCCTGTTCTTCTCACGGCGGAGGGCAGGCACTCACAGGGCGAGGCCAGCGGTGCCCATGTATTCCAAGCTACTGCTCACGTCATGTCTGCTAATGTCCCAGTGGTCAAAGCAGGTCACCAGGTGGCCAAGCCTAGTGACAATGGGGGAGGGGATAGCTCCTCCCATGGAGGTCAAGGGGGAAGGAATTTGAGATTTGCTGAACCACCATCAAACCTGGAGACTGAGAATGCATCGGGGAGATGGGGTCTCCTTCCAGACTGCGCCCGTGTGAATTAGGGGCAAATACTGGCCTCCTGGGGCAGGGGACTTGGCGTCTTTGATTCCATGTCCCCTGCACCTGGGCCAGGGCTTGACCCATAGGAGCAGCTCTGTAAATATTTGTTGACTGATTGAAAAAGAGGATAACATTTGTATTGCCTCCCATTGGAGCCCTACTGGAATTAGCACAGAACCTACGTTGCTGGGCACCAGGGTCGGCTGTGTGGAGATTGGAAGCCTATTCAGCATCCAGGTGGCGTCGCCTCCGTGCAGGTGGCAATGAGCCCTTTTGTTGGGTGACACACGCTGAGTTCAATGCGGGTGTTTCATTGTTGGTGGGCCCGTTGGTGCAGCTCAGCAAACAGAACCTAAAATTACCCGCTCTTCCCACAACCTGTGTCTCTGTGAGCCAGGGAAGCCTGCGTCTCTGGTCTAGATGAGCACCTCCTCTGTGGCATCAGTGGCTTTAGGGTTCTGTCTACATTCAGGTCTGTGTAGCCATGTTAAATGCCCCTTGCCCGGCAGGTAGGACTGGAGGCAGCGGCCGTGGGAGGGGGGGTAGAGTGCACTCAATCCTGCTTCCCGTTGGATGCAAGGGAGATTTGTGAGGCCTCAAAGGGGCTTTTTTTTTTCTTAGACGGAGTCTGCCTCTTGTTGCTCAGGCTGGCGTGCAATAGCGCAATCTCAGCTCACTGCAACCTCCACCTCCTGAGTTCAAGTGATTCTCCTGCCTCAGCCTCCCAAGTAGTTGAGTAGCTGGGATTACAGGCAGGCACGACCACGCCCAGCCTCAGAGAGGCTCTTTGGAGAGAACAGTCAATGGAAGTTCAGGGCTGCTGGTGTCGTTCTGAATTAAAGCAGATGCTGGGACAAAGGACACACAGACAGAGGCCCCTGTTGTGGCCGCCGGCTCCCGCGTCCATAGTTGTCTATCGCGTGAGAGAGAACAGAACGCATCTGCAGGATGCCGCAGGGCCCACTGTTTCCCAGCGCCGGCTTAGTCACTGCTTTCCGGCACTTAGCGAGTTCTGTGTGTGACCGCAGGGTTGTGCTGGGCTGTAAGGCAGGGGCAGGGAAATGCATCCTCCCCGTCTATCATGCGTGGGAAGGCACTCCAGGCCTTCCCCAGCGCCAGCGAGCTTATCTTCTCAGCAAAGCTGCTGTGATTCTACTCCCTTATTCTCCTTCCTGCAGATATAGAAACTGAGACTGGGAGAAGGTGGTAAATAATATGCCAGGTAACTCGGAGAGTGAGTGGGGAGAGCCGCCAGGGTTTTGGCCCACAGATGTGTCTTCCCCACTGCACAATGTGTAAAACTTAAAAAATTACTTGGCAAGGTCAGGCACAGTGGTTTATGCCTGTAATCCCAGCACTTTGGGAGGCCGAGGCAGGTGGATCACCCGAAGTCAGGAGTTCGAGAACAGCCTGGCCAACATGGTGAAACCCCGTCTCTACTAAAAATACAAAAAGTAGCCGGGCGTGGTGGTAGGCACCTGTAATCCCAGCTACTCGGGAGACTGAGGCAGGAGAATCACTTGAACCCGGGAGGCGGAGGTTGCAGTGAACTGAGATTACGCCACTGCACTCCAGCCCTGGCAACAGAGTGAGACTCAATCTCAAAAAAAAAAAAAAAAAATTACTTGACAACACCTGAACGTTGGGACACCCTACCTGAACATCTGTATTTCTATCTTCTCTTTAAAAATCCAGGCTGGGCGCAGTGGCTCACGCCTATAATCCCAGCACTTTGGGAGGCCGAGGCAGGCAGATCACAAGGTCAGGAGATCGAGACCATCCTAGCCAACACGGTGAAACCCCGTCTCTACTAAAAATACAAAAATTCCCCAGGCGTGGTGGCACATGCCTGTAACCCCAGCTACTTGGGAGGCTGAGGCAGGAGAATCGCCTGAACCAGGGAGTTGGAGCTTGCAGTGAGCTGAGATCGCGTCACTGCACTCCAGCCTGGGCCACAGAAGGAGACTCTGTCTCAAAAAAGAAAAAAAAAAAAAAAATAGATCCAAAGATCTGGCAGCAGAGGGCTCCCTCTCCTGCCCAGTGGGGTAGCAGCAGCCCCTCTCAGAACCACCCTGTGCTGTCCCCACGCCGCAGTCCCCACCGCTCTCTCCTCCCCACCCAGCCTGACAGGGAGGGCCCGTTGCCCACAGCAGCTTTACTCGTCAGCATCCTCTGCCCTCACAACACGTCCACTTTAATAGGGAAGCCAGGCGCCTGGGTCTGATGTTGATGGGATTCAGGCCTCAGGTTCCACTGGGGAAGGGTCCGGAGGGGGGAGGTCCTTGCCACTGGTCTACAAAGAACAGAGGAACACTCTGGAGACCTGGACACCAGCCTGGAGCAGCCAGAAGCTCTAGCAGAGACTCCCAGAGGCCAGGATCTCAGTTCAGACTGCAGCGAGCTTGCTGGATGTCTTGGAAAAGTGACTCCAGCCCCCGGCCCTCTGCTTTCCCACCTGTAAGGGGCAGGGGCAGTTAATCCACACTAGGGATTATTCATTCAACAAACATTCATAGTGCCAGATGCTGTCGGAGCACGGGAATGCACGGGCCAGAAAAATGACCAACCCCCTGCTGAGATTCTGGTTATGAGACAGACAGCAGACCCCTAGCAGATGTTACCATGCACGTTGATGGGGGAGAGAAAAACCAAGAGAGAAAATTAAAATAAACAGGCACACAACCATCCTACTATCTATCATCACCTTTATCTCCCATAGGGCTTTTTAACACTGACGAGTAGAAAAGATGCGATTTTAGAACAAACATTCTGCGATTTTGCAATCTTTAACTTAAAAATGTATTGTACATTCTACTGACTTCTGATGGTTTACTTATTTTTTTTTTTTTTTTTTTTTTTTTGAGACGGAGTCTCGCTGTATTGCCCAGGCTGGAGTGCGGTGGCGCGATCTCGGCTCACTGCAAGCTCCGCCTCCCGGGCTCACGCCATTCTGCTGCCTCAGCCTCCCGAGTAGCTGGGACTACAGGCGCCCGCCACCACGCCCGGCTAATTTTTTGTATTTTTAGTAGAGACCGGGTTTCACGGTGTTAGCCAGGATGGTCTCGATCTCCTGACCTCGTGATCCGCCCACCTCGGCCTCCCAAAGTGCTGGGATTATAGGCGTGAGCAACTGCACCTGGCCTGATGGTTTACTTATTAAATAACAGCTAAAAATTTTTTCAAGTTGATTAAAGAACAAAACACAGCAATGCGCTAACCATTTGACCTAGGTGGAGACGCATTTCTGACAGGACTATATATCTTTTTTTTTTTTTTTTTTTGAGACCGAATTTGCTCTTGTCATCTAGGCTGGAATGCAGTGGTGCCATCTCTGCTCACTGCAATCTCCGCCTCCCAGATTCAAGCCATTCTCCTGCCTCAGCCTCCCCGGTAGCTGGGATTACAGGCATGAGCCACCACGCCTGGCTAATTTTTGCATTATTAGTAGAGACAGGGTTTTACCATGTTGGCCAGGCTGGTCTCAAACTCCTGACCTCAGGTGATCCACCCACCTTGGCCTCCCAAACTACTGGGATTATAGGCGTGAGCCACCGCGCCCAGCCAGGGCTATACATCTTTATCCTTGTTTTCTAGACTTCTGTTGGATGCACCCTTTGACCTAGTGATTCTGTGGTTAGGAATTTGTAAGAAGAAAATAATCCAAGGCTGGGCGCGGTGGCTCACGCCTGTAATCCCAGCACTTTGGGAGGCCGAGGCGGGTGGATCACAAGGTCAGGAGATGGAGACCATCCTGGCTAACACAGTGAAACCCCGTCTCTATGAAAAAAATACAAAAAAGTAGCCAGGTGTGGCGGCGCGTGCCTGTAATAGAGCTACTCAGGAGGCTGAGGCAGTAGAACCACTTGAACCTGGGAGGCACAGGGTGCAGTGAGCCGAGATGGCACCACTGCACTGCAGCCTGGGCGACCGAGTGAGACTCCGTCTCAAAAAAAAAAAAAAAAAAAAAAAAAACAAAGAAAAGAAAATAATCCAGATGAGAATACAGAGAAAGAACAGCAACTTCATCACAGCTTTGTTTAATTGCAAGAAGTTGGAAATAACCTAAATATCATCACCAAATAATGGATTTTAAAAATTGTGTCGTAACTGTACAATGGAAACGTGCCACCATTAAAAAGAATTGTATATATATATTTTTTTCACAAAATGAGTTCACAATGTTAAATGAAAAAAGGCAACTTACAAGATAATATACACAGTAAAATCCTTGTTCATTAAAATAAAAAATCCTGGCCGGGTGTGGTGGTACACACTTCTAATCTCAGCACTTTGGGAGATGCCTGCCTCACTTTGGGACAGGCAGGAGAATCACTTGAGGCCAGGAGTTTGAGACCAGCCTGGGCAACATAGTGAAACCTCGTCTCTACAAAAAATGAAAAAGTTAGCCAGGCATGGTGGTGTTTACCTGCAGTCCCAGCTGCTCAGGAGGCTGAGGTGGGAGGATCGATTCAGCCTAGGGGTTCAAGGCTGCAGTGATTGACACCACTACACTCCAGCCTGGGTGGCACAGTGAGACCTGATCTCAAAAACGCACTATTCCATTTAATCCCTTTTAAGAACTGGTTTAGCTCAGGCCTGTGAAGGTGAGGACAGGAGCCACAGGACACGCCAGGCCTCTGGGGTGACATCCCCAAGCAAGGGGACTCTGTATTTGGAAGTGCTCTAAGGTTTCAAGAGCAGGATATCCCGAGGATCCTGTCTCTTAAGGAAAAATAAAAATAAAAGATCCAGCTTTCTCTTAGCATGAGGTTATTGCACAGAGAACAGGTGGGGCAGACACACACCAGGGGGTGCAATCATGGGACAGCTGCTTCTTCACTCATAAGCTTTTCTGCATTTTTTTTTTTTTTTTTTTGAGGCAGAGTCTCTGTCCCCCAGGCTGGAGTGCAGTGGCGCGATCTCGGCTCACTACCACCTCTGCCTCCTGGGTTCACGCCATTCTCCTGCCTCAGCCTCCTGAGTACCTGGGATTACAGGCGCCCGCCACCACACCCAGCTGATTTTTATATTTTCAATAATGATGGGGTTTTGCCATGTTGGTCAGGCTGGTCTCAAACTCCTGACCTCAAGTGATCCACCCACCTTGCTTCCGAAAATGCTGGGATTACAGGCGTGAGCCACTGTTCCTGACCTCTGAACTGTTTTCGATTAATGGCTCTTACTTTAAAAATGACAATCAAAGCAGTTTGAAATGAGCCTCGAGGAAGTAGGTAGAGGGGCTGCCACTCTGCTTAATTTTCTCCACACTGGGGTCTCATTTCCTCCTTGCCAGAGGGCTTGGAGAGTTGGGCTTCCAAAGCAGCTCCAGTTTCCACAGGACCACTAGGTGGGGTACCTGGGAGTGGGAAGGGAAGTTTCAAGCCCTTCCCGAGAGACAAGAGCCCCACTGCACTCAGCCTGCCTTCCCCACAGCGCCCTCCTCCACCCACCTGCCCTCCCCAAGGTCTATCCAGACTTCCTGTGGCTACTCTGTGACGAGGGCAACACAAAAGTCAAAAACCCATCAACACAGGTGGCATGGGCCCAGAGGGAGTTGCTTCCGGGTGGGAAAGAAAGTCCCCGAGTGGTGCAGAAAGGAGAGGAGCAGGCGAGTACCCTGTGGGCGTGCGTCGCTGCGCAGGGGCCCCCACGCGCCCGTTTCCCGTGGGTCAGTTTCCCATGAGCCAGGACGTGAGGGGTCTCGTGCGGCCGGGTTTCTGCCCTGTCCGTCCAAGACACAGGATGAAGCTCATGCCTCACTCAGGGTCTCCGTCTCTCTCCCTGCAGTGCACCCACTCTGGACGGTCCCGGTCTCCGTGCCAGGGGGCACCCGGCAGTCTCCTATTAACATCCAGTGGAGGGACAGCGTCTATGACCCCCAGCTGAAGCCACTCAGGGTCTCCTATGAAGCGGCATCCTGCCTGTACATCTGGAACACTGGCTACCTCTTCCAGGTGGAATTTGACGATGCCACCGAGGCATCAGGTGAGTGCCAGCTGGGGCTCGAGGGCTTTGTCCTCTCCCGTTGTTCTGGCAGCAGGGTCAAGAGCTTCGCGGAGAAGGGGGAGGAGAGCAGGAAGGTGCTGCTTTCCTTGTGCTGCTGGGGCAGGGACAGAGACTCGCTTGAGGGAGGACACACCTGGGGGATGGTGTGAAGGTTCTCGAGGGGACAGGAGCCTGGTGCTCACTTTACAGATGAGAATACCGCCGGCACCTGCATGCACACAGGTGCACCTAGCAAAGAAAATCCCCTTCCCGTGGGGCTCGCCTTGCAGCGGGTGGGAGGAAGAGACAAGCTCATTGAAATGCGAACACTTTGCGCGTCGGAAGAGGAACTCAGAAGGCAGCGGTGGCTGGACGCCCACGCTGGCCTTGATCATCTAGGCAGAGGCCTGCAAGGAAGTTGGGTCCACAGCAGGGCAGGGGCATTGGGAGCCTGGAAATGAGACCACTGCAGGCTTCAGCAGGCAGTGACCTGGCCGACATTTTATTTTATTTTATTTTATTTTATATTGAGACAGAGTCTTGCTCTGTCATTCAGGATGGAGTGCCATGGCGCAATCTCAGCTCACTGCAACCTCTGTCTCCTGGTTCAAGTGATTCTCCTGCCTCAGCCTGAGTAACTGGGATTACAGGTGTCTGCCACCATGCCCAGCTAATTTTTGTATTTTTAGCAGAAATGGGATGTCGCCATGTTGGCCAGGCTGCTCTCGAACCCCTGACATCAGGTGATCTGCCCACCTTGGCCTCCCAAAGTGCTGGGGTTACAGGCGTGAGCCACCGCGCCCGGCCCTCGCTGACCTTTTAAATGCATCCCACAGCTGCTGTGAGGACAGACTGAGCAGGCGGCTGGAGGGGAGCAGGGGTTAAATAGGAGGCAGTCCGGGGAGATGCAGGTGGGAGACGGTGGTGGAGGGACGGGGTGGGCTGGGAGGTGACTTGAGAGGTCCTGAAAGCCACCAAGCCCTTACTGGGTTCCAGCGCTTGGCCAAGGGCTTCTGCGGATCATCTCTTCAAACCTTCACCATGATTCTCGGAAGTTCCAGGCAGATGCTCTGAGGTATGGGAAGGTTCTCTCTATGCCTATTATGTTTGCATTTTTATCAGGACTGGCTGCCAGGTCCTACCTGGTGTTTTCCCAGCACCAGCTGGTGTCACTGTAAGCTGCTTTCATGCGGAACGCCTGCTCTCCCTCCTGCTGCGAGTCTGGAATTGGGCCACGTGCTGGGTATCAGGTGCCTATGTGAACAGCTCCCAATAAACCCTTGGGCACTGAGTTGCTAGTGAGCTCCTCTGGTACAGAACACGTCACACTGGTTCAGTGTTGCGGCTGGTTTAGGGGAGAATTAAGTCCGTCCTGTCCGTCTTCCCTGGTGAGGACTCCAGAAGCTCCTGCCTGGGGCCCTCCGGACAGCCCAGACACCTCTTCGCGTGGCTGATCTCGCTCTGCGTCCTTTTGCTGAATGTAGCTTAGCTCTGAGGGTGGCTCTGTGCTGGACCCAGTGACTCTTCCTGGGGAATCATCAAACCTGGGGGCCCCAAAGCAGCCGCAGCCACAGCTCCACATCCTCTCCGGCAGGCATCCCATCTGCCTCCTCCCGGGTGCGTCCCACGTGCCTGGGGATCTTGCTCACTCACTGTTGCTCCCATGAGGATGTAACTCCGCTGGGGCAGGTCTTTGTCTTATTTGATATTTTATGCGCCAGGCCTCCTAGGCACTCAGCAAATTGACGGATGAACAGAGTTGAAGGCATAAATGAGCCTCCTTTTCTTCCTCTGTGATTGGGGAGAGAAGGGATGGCCACTGCAAAGGCTGCAGGGAGAGAATCGAGGCCACCCCAGGCCGGCACTCAGCACCACATCTGCCCAGAAACTCCCACATGGCTGCCAGCATGCCCGGACCTGCTTCCACGCTTCTGCGTTATCCAAGCGGGACCAACAAGCGGGACGCTGCCCCCACGCTCACCTTCATGCCCTCTCGCTGTGCATGCGGAGGCAGCATTCACCTTCCTTACACTAAACATGCTCACCGGGGCTTCCCCAGCTCCTGCTGTCACGGGGAGGTCTGCCCAGCTGCGTCCCAGCTTCGTCATGACATGGTGCTTGCATTTCAGCCACTTAAATCTGCATATGCCTAGAAATTCTCAACACAGGGGACCTCAGTGAGCAGGCACGGTGCCCACGGATGAGTGCGCTGAGCCGTATGTGCAGGCCTTCCTGGAGCCCGGGGAGAGGCACCCCATGGAGAGTAGAGGCCCAGCCTGAGCCTGCTCCTGCCTCTAATGCACCTGCTGTTGGGGGCAGGGCGTGAGAGCTTCTTCTCTGTGCCAGGCCCTACACAGTGCATCGCAAACACCACGGCTTGGTCCTTCCAGTGTCTCTCTCTCCTTTCGAAGGTGAGAAGGAGCCACGCTGCCTGTATGCTCAGTGCCATTCACGGTTGCTTCATCAGGCTCCACTGCAACCCCCGCGGATGCTTCCCGTGTGGGGCTTGCTGAGTGCCAGCAGCAGTAACCCCAACTCCAGCCAACGTAAGCAAAGTGCAACTTCTTGGAAGGACAAGACCAGCTCGGAGAAGAAGAGGGAAAGTGGGACAACCAGATCTTGGGAGGCACAAACCAGGCCAGCTTCGGGGACCAGGGAGCAGGGATTTTTGCATTCATTTATTCAGTTGCCAATGGTTTTTCTCCCCTTGTTGGTCTGTTCCAAGTTCAAATGCCCAAGAAGCAACTCAGATTGGCTTTTCAGTTTTAATGTGGTTATATTATTTAAAAATTCTTCATGCAGCCACTTCAAAATATTGAAAAACCAAAAATAGTTCCTGAACTTTTAATTGTTTGGGTTAATATTTGTGTGAATGTATTAGTAATTTTGAGAACAATAGTTGTCATGGATACAGATGAGTTGCTATGGGATTCATATTCCTCCTGGATAATTTTTAGATGTGGCTGTGGGTCTCACTGATATTTTAATAACTGATTTGTTTCCTCTAAGTCGTAAAGTATAAACTTTGAAGGTTATTTTGGACTTTTGTTTGTTATTTTACAAAATAAATTCCCAAGGCAAAGGGTCTGGTGGCTGACCCTGAGCTGACACCCAGCCCTCAGCTGGTGGAGCATCAGGCACCCGGCTAATGTCCTCACCAAGACCTCATGCAGTGGGGAACAGGGGGCCCCAGGGGAATCCTGATACTACTCCTAGAAGGAGGAAGGTATGTGGACAGACCCCCTTTAAAAGCACTGCCAGGCTGGGCGAGCTGGCTCATGCTTATAATCCCAGCACTTTGGGAAGCCGAGGTGGGTGGATCACCTGAGGTCAGAAGTTCAAGTTCAGCCTGGCCAACATGGTGAAACCCCATCTGTACTAAAAATACAAAAATTAGCCAGGTTGGTGGCGCACACCTGTGGTTCCAGTTCCTCGGGGGACTGAGGCAGGAGAATCGCTTGAATTTGGGAGGTGGAGTTTGCAGTGAGCAGAGATCGAGCCACTGCACTCCAGCTTGGGTGACAGAGCGAGACTCCATCGCGGGAAAAAAAGCGCTGCCATCTATGAATAGCAGCATGGCACAAAACAGAAGCCACTAGAGAGAGTATTGCGGGACCCTCATTTTACGTAAGAACAAATGAAGGCTCAGAGAAGGGGCGACTGCCAAGGGTGAGTGACCTAGTACAAGGAGCCGGCTTCCGTTCCGACTGCAGATTGTAGCCCTTCACCAACTCACTTCTCCTCACCAAGGGCTTCACTTGCACCACTGCAGTCTTCCTTTCAACAGTCGTGGGAGATACAAACCAGTCCCCATTTTACAGATGTGAAAAAGAAGGCTTGGGGAACTCCTCGGCCAGAGGCCACAGAGGCCTCCCAATGGGACTCCGTGCTCTGCAAAGAAGGGAATCTGGGGAGCAGGCACCGTTTAGAGAAAGAATCTGCATCCAACATTCACAAAATCCAGCAGGAGGCCATCAGGAGCTGACCTCCATGCAGAGAAGGAAGCACCAGCACCCTGGGTGAGTGAGGCCAAGGTCACAGTCGGTCCCCAGGAGAGCCGGCAGCTGGCCCAGGGCCCAGACGGGCCTCTGGCTCAAGCCCAGCGGAGGCTGTGTCCAGTGGGCCTTGAGGTCGGCACGGGAGGCCCGTCCCTCACCCCTCAGGGCAAGAACAAACCCACGCCCCAACCCTGTTGGCGGTGGAGCAGGGACATCCCTGCAGTGCTTTAAGGGCACACTTGTCATTTTCTGTTCAGCTCATGGCAGCATGTGTGCCTTGGAATCTAGATGTTTCTGTATCCCCAAGGGAACCCAGGCTCAGGCTTTAGGCTGGAAAACAAGACAATTGCAGATGGTAATTATCCCCCAGGATCACAAGTCAAAGCCTGCTTTTGGTCAAGAATCTCAACCTGCGTGCCTGTCTGTGTGGCACACCCTCCTCAGGAACAGCCTCGCAACTTTCCCTGGAACCTCCCCTTCCCCACCGCACCTGGTCCTAGCGAGGATATTATTCACATCAGTGAATAAAATGCTAATTTTATGGGGGGCTGACAAACAGTTCTCACACACCAGTGTGCACCAACATCCCCTGGAGAGTGTGTTAGAGCACAGACTCCTGTCGGCCCGGCGGCTCACACCTGTAACCCCAGCACCGTGATAGGCCAAGGTGGGAGGGTAACGAGAATGCATCTCTACAAAAATAAAAATAAAAGAATTAGCTGGACGTGGTGGTGCATGCCTGTGGTCCCAGCTACTCGGGAGGCTGAGGCAGGAGGCTTGCTTAAGCCCAAGAGATTGAGGCTGCAGTTACCTGGGATTGTGCCACTTAACTCCAGCCTGGGCAACACAGCGAGATCCTGTCTCTCAAAAATAATAATAATAATAATAACAATAACACACAAAGGAACACAACCTGTGCTTCCTCTAGACATTCTGACTTGGCAGGTGCAAGGCAGATCCAAGAATCTCATGCCAGCAGGCTCCCAGGTGCCGCTGATCCCGCCAGTCCGTGGCTTTGTAAGGGCATCTGCTGTGTTGCTGGCTGGGCTTCCATCCTCCTGCCTCCTGGGTCCAACATTCCTGTTTTCCTTGGGAGCGAGCCCATCCCCGACTCCCATTCACGGGGTCCAGAAACAGGAGTGGGTGGGGACCTGGGCGTGGCCACTCAGAACAGCCCTGTCACTGGCTGCAGCAATTGGTACAGGCATGGGCACGTGACTCAAGACCGGCCAATGAGAGCCAAGGAGTTTTTTTCTAGGACGTATTTAAAGAGATTATTTCCATGGCTGTGCAAAGGCCAGCTGTGCCCCGCAGCAGGTGAGGGCCCTCCTGAAAAAGTGCCCACACGGGAGGGCAAAGCCAAGAGGGGGAGAAATCAAGGCCCAAGCCAATTTCGGGGCCTCTGAATGTAGCTGTACCTGAAGCCAAGTCAACCCCTGTACTAATAAGCCTCTTTTTAAAATCAGTTTAAGTTCCTATCACTTGCTTCCAAGAGTCCTGATAAAAGCAGACAAATAAAAGTGGCCAGGCGCGGTGGTCATGCCTGTAATCCCAACACTTTGGGAGGCTGAGGCAGGTGGATTGCTTGAGGTCAGGAGTTCGAGACCAGACTGGCCAATATGGTGAAAGCCCATCTCTACTAAAAAATACAAAAATTGGCCGGGTGCAGTGGCTCACGCCTGTAATCCCAGCACTTTGGGAGGCCAAGGCAGGCGGATCACCTGAGGTCAGGAGTTCGAGACCAGCCTGACCAACATGGAGAAACCCCATCTCTACAAAAAATACAAAAGTAGCCAGGCGTGATGGTGCATGCCTGTAATCCCAACTACTTGGAAGGCTGAGGCAGGAAAATCGCTTGAACCTGGTAGGTGGAGGTTGCGGTCAGCCGAGATCGTGCCATTGCACTCCAGCCTGGGTGACAAGAGTGAAACCTGGTCTCAAAAAAAAAAGTAAAAATACAAAAATTAGCTGGGCATGGTGGCAAGCACCTGTAATCCCAGCTACTGGGGAGGCTGAGGCAGAAGAATTGCTTGAACCTGGGAGGCGGAAGTTGTAAGTGAGTCGAGATCACGCCACTGCACTCCAGCCTGGGCAACAAAGTGAGATTTAGTTTCAAAAAAATAAAATAAGTGACTAAATTGGCCAGGCGCAGTAGCTCACGCCTGTAATCCCAGTGCTTTGGGAGGCAGAGGCAGGTGGATCATCTGAGGTCAGGAGTTCCAGACCAGCCTGGCCAACATGGTGAAACCCCGTCTCTACTAAAAATACAAAAATTAGCCGAGCGTGGTGGTGCATGCCTGTAATCCCAGCTACTCAGGAGGCTGAGGCAGAATTGCTTGAACCCAGGAGGCGGAGGTTGCAGTGAGCTGAGATTGCACCACTGCCCTCCAGCCTGGGCGACAGAGCGAGACATTGTCTCAAAAACAAACAAACAATCAAACAAACAAACAAAAAACAGTGACTAAACTGAGAGCAAAGAAATGGAAGGGAGGGAGCAGGAGGATCATCAGTTTCCATCCTTTTACTGCGTGCTCAAATGTAATTTGGCTGCAGGTGAGGTCTGTGCAGACCTCGGGTGAGGGGTGAGTTGGCTATGGCCTGTTTAACTCCACCTGTGCAGACTGCAGCTCAGCCTCGTCCATGCTTCGTGACTCAGCCTTGTCCTCAGGGAAGCTGGGGCTGGTGCACCTTTCAGAAGTGGTCCCAGGTAAGCCCGGCCCTCCTGAGTCCATGGATGGGGAATGCTGGTACAGGCCTAGCAGCTGGCTTTCCGGGGCTGGGTGGAGGGACGAGAGCGGTGATGTGTGGTGTTCGCCACTTTCCATGGTGCAAATACTCCTGCACGGCCGAGTTCAAGTTTTGAAGGTGCAGTCACCGATAGTGGAGTTGGGAAGAGATTTGCAAAGTCAGCTCCAGAGCCAGCATGAGCCATCTCCCACCCGCCGCTGCCCCCTGCCTTCCTCTCTCTTGTCCATGCAGCCTGGGATCTCACTGCTGCTCTCCAAGTGAGGAATTCCAGTAAGCCGTCTTAAGACTTCTTTTTGGTTTACCTGGCAGAACCCCACCTCAAAGTGGCTTAAGCAAAGAGGGAGATTTGCCGGCTCCGATCCTAAAGAGTCCGGGCTGCAACCGGGTGCAGGGGTCGTCGACTGCCAGGGCTCTGAGTGCTCCCCCAGGCTCTGCTTTCCTGTGAGTGCTCCCCCAGACTCTGCTTTCCCCAGGGGACACTCACGGGGGTTCCCTGATGGGGCGAAGGTGGCCGCCCGAGGCTGTGGCTTGGCTTCCAGTGGAGCGATGTCGCCTCTTTCCCGGCAGTTCCAGCCACCATCCCATGGCTGATTCTCAGGGGCCCGGCTTTGGCTGCTCGTCTGGCCAGCCCGAGGGTGACCCCGCCTGGAGCAAGGTGTGTTTGGAGAGTGGGAGGCAGCACTCCCGCAGGACAGCCGAGGACGCTGTTCCCAGAGTAAGGATGGGGCGCCCTCCTCACTGGACGTGCACCCTGGCCATGGACCCCGAGCTGACCTCGGCCCCTCCCTGACTCGGTTGCTCTCAGGTCCAAGGCCACTGCTGCTGTCTCTGTCTCCCAGCGTCAGCCTCTGACCTTGTCCCGACCCCACTTTTGGCTTCCCCACCGGCTTCACATCTGCTTAAAGGATCTAGGCCCTCCCTGCCACAGACTGAAAGAAGGATCCGGTGTGTCTCCCGGGCCATGGAAATGAGCTGGGTCATCCCTCCTTTGGCTCCCGTCCACGCGGGCCAATCTGGTTTCACTTTGTCATTTTCTCCAAAACCCAGTTTCCTTTTTATTTCTCTCCCACTCAGCTTCACGTGCTCCCGGTCCCCTCCCCGTCTCTGCAGCCCATTTTTCCAGGTTCTCGGTCCTCTCCTTCACAGATTTTCTGTCCTCTTTGTTCACCTGGATTGGGAATCGGGAGCCGCTGGGGATGGAGGGAATGAGAACCTCAGATGAAGGACAGGTAGGGCTAGAGAAAGGTTTTCAGAGAGAAACAGAGAAGAATGAGATGAAAACACAGCAAACCCTGCATGGAAGGAGGGGCAGTGCCCATAAGAGAAAGGGAAGGGAGCGGACAAGGTGCAGAGAACTGCACACGGACAGGCTCCCGAGGCCTGGGCCATGCCGTGGCAGGGCCAGAAACAAAGCGAAACAAACGGACAGGCCAAGGAAATTTCCGTCGGCGTGGACACTGCCAGCAGTTTTCCTAGGAGCTGGGGGTGCCAGCACTTGGAGCAAGCATGGGCCAAGGACGATGAGTAACAGAGGTGGCGGCAAGGGCTCTTTCCAGGGAGCGTGTATGGCCTTGAAGGCCAAGGAGGAAAGGCTGGGGGAGCAAAGCGGGGGGAGGAGGGAAGGGGGAGAGGAGAGGTGCCAGTCACAAAGGAAAACAGCAGCCAGATCCACGCGCTGCCACACTGTGCCTGTCCCACCTTGAGTGCCCCCCACAGACAGCTCAGCTCATTCCCTAAAGGTGCGGGAGGGCCCAGCTCATTGGGCAGGGCTGTGTGAAGCACTTGGCACCATTCTGGGAGAATTAAGCATTTAGTAGACAATAGCTTCCTTCAAAATAAATCCAAACGAGGCCTGAGAGCCCGGAATTGGGGGGTGCCTGCCAGGCTGTCCGCATCAGAGGAGGAGGCTCTAGGGACCTCTTGGCTCCTCTAGTGGGGCACAAATCGGCAGCTCCAAGATGAGAGACAGGGGAAGAGTGAATTCCTTGGAGGGGAATCCTGGCAGTGTCGGGACTGGGACTGTGGCTGTGCGGTTCAAGGACGACCCCTGGACTGAGAGGAAACGATGTGAGCATCACGCTTATATCCTGGGAAAGTGATTTATCATCACAAGTTCATAAACTGGCAGTCTAGTTCCTAAAGCGACTACATGTGTGTGCACGTGTGTGTGCATGTGTGTTCGTGTGCATGTGTGCACATGTGCACTGTGTATACATGTGTGCATGTGTGCACATGTGCACTGTGTATACATGTGTGCATGTGTGTTCATGTGTGTGTGCACGTGTTCATGTGTGTGTTCGTGTGCGGGTGTGCATTGTGCACTGTGTGCATGTGTCTCTATGTGCACGTGTGTTCATGTGTGTGCGCACATGTGTGTTTGTGTGTGCACATGTGTGGTGTGTGCATGTGTGCACACGTGTGTTTCCATCTCCATTCTGTATGTAGCTCCTGTTTCTTCCCTCAGGCCTGGGTGTGAATATTTTTGGGGAAGTTAGGTAGAAGTCAGTGTCCCCTCTCTCTCTACAGATATTTTCTCTGCTTTCTGGTCCTCAAGACTGAAAAATGAAAACGTACCAAACAGCTTCCAAAGTTTACCTGTTAGAGATTCAGCCACTGGGGAGCCACTGTTCCTGTTCTTGCTCACTTCCAATTCTAAATTCCCAGAGCAGTGACTCTGATTGGCCCAGCCCTGCACTAATTAGGAGCGGGACTGAGGAAGAGGCTCTGATTGGTCCAGCATGGTTTGAGTGCCCATCCCTGTCCAATCAACTGTGACCAGGGGTGCGATCATGTTGGACAAAATGTCAGGCAGTGGAGCCACTGTTGTTATCATTTGGATCCAGAAGCCCATTTCTTTTTTCTTTTCTTTCTTTTCTTTTCTTTTTTTTTTTTTTTTTGAGACAGACTCTCGCTCTGTCACCCAGGCTGGAGTGCAGTGGAGCTGTCTTGGCTCACTGCAACCTCCGCCTCCCGGGTTCACACCATTCTCCTGCCTCAGCCTCCCGAGTAACTGGGACTACAGGCGCCTACCACCACGCCTGGCTAATTTTTGTTTGTATTTTTAGTAAAGACGGGGTTTCACTGTGTTAGCCAGGATGGCCTCGATCTCCTGACCTCGTGATCCTCCTGCCTCGGCCTCCCAAAGTGCTGGGATTACAGGCGTGAGCCACCATGCCCAGCCCAAAAGCCCATTTCTGATCGTCCAGCTTCCCAGACGCTTCCCAGGTGCACCGCGACCCCTGTGTGCTGTGTGGTCTTTTGTAGGGAGGAAGGATCAATCAAGACAGTGAAACCCCTGCTCCCATGGAGCTTGCCTTCTGGTGGGATAAGAAAATTAGTAAACATTAATTAATAAATAGGTACTTCTCTACACAAGTTTACAGAAAAATAAACGAATATGTACATAAGAAAGAAGATGGTTTTGGATAGTGATAAGTGCTGTGATGAAAATGAAAGCAGGTGATAGGCCAGCGGTGACTCCACTGAGGGAGGTTGTGAGCATTACACAACATGGTCAGAAAAGACCCCACTGGACCCAAGTCCCAGCTGGTAAGAAAGTGCCAGCTTCATGACGGTGGGGAGGAGCATTCCAGCATCACCGTTTTAAAATACGAGCATCCTAAATATTACACAAACCATACTTATGCTAAATATTTGGGATCTACACTAAAAATGTAGTGTAGTGTAAAAATGGGGTTTCACCATGTGGGCCAGGCTGGTCTCGAACTCCCAACCTCAAGCTATCCACCCACCTCAGCCTCCCAAAGTGCTGGGATTATAGGCGTGAGCCACTGCACTCAGCCAATCCGATGGTTTTTTGTTTTTTTTTTTTTTGAGACGGAGTCTTGCTCTGTCACCCAGGCTGGAGTGCAGTGGCGCGATCTCTGCTCACTGCAAGCTCCACCTCCCGGGTTCACGCCATTCTCCTGCCGCAGGCTCCCGAGTAACCCCTTTTGCTTGGTTCTCATTCTGTCTCTTGGCTGCCCCCATGCAAGACCTGCCTTTCGCCTTCTGCCGTGATTGCGAGGCCTCCCCAGCCACGTGGAACTGTGAGTCCATTCAACCTCTTTTTCTTTGTAAATTACCCAGTCTCGGGTATGGCTTTATCAGCAGCATGAAAACAGACTAATACACTGTTGTTTCTTATTAAATGTTATTGGCTTATTTTGAAAACAAAAGCTTACCAAATACATGTGGTTATGGGAAGGGGCCAGAAAGTTACACTGCAAGTAAAAATATCAGTAACTATGTTTACTGGGTGGTGATGGCATAAACAATAGTTTTTCCTTTTTTTTTTTTTTTTTTTTTTTTTGGAGACAGGATCTTGCTCTGTCGCCCAGGCTGCAGTGCAGTGGTGCAATCACAGCCCACTGCAGCCTCGACCTCCTGAGCTCAATTGATCCTCCCACCTCAGCCTCCTGGGTAGTTGCATCTACAGGTGTGAGCCACAAAAAAAAAAAAAAAAAAAAAAAAAATTTTGACACAGGATCTGGTACTGTTGCCCAAGCTGAAGTGCATCTGGGCTCACTGCAAGCTTCTCCTGAGCTCAAACCACCCTCTCACCTTAGCCTCCCAAGTAGCTGGGACTACAGGCTCACTCCACCACGCCTGGCCTTGTTTTTCCTTTGTAAACATCGTTCTACAATGCTGTGGGTACATCGCTTTTTCAATATAAAGTTTCCTTTGGAAGTTTATAAATCCAGTTTGGGCCTTGGAGGAAAGCAGTCAGTGATAGAAATTTCGTGACTCTGAGGGAGTTTGGTGGAGCTTCGAATTGTAGATTGTTTCCCAGGGACCGCTGCAGACACAAAGCCCTGACCTCTGGATCCCCAGTGATAAATGCGATCAAAGGCGAGTGTGGTCGGACGTGCGCTGCAACGCGAGTCGAGGTTTCATCGAGCCTCATTCGGTGGCTCCTGGGGCAGTTGTGTGGATGAAGAGGGCCATGTCCGTGAAACGCTCAGGATGGAGCTGGTGGTGCGGCGGCCATGCTGGCCCCATCGCTCACACCCCTCACCCGTCAACTCGGTGCCCGGCGTTTTCCTTAGCTCCTCTGTGGATTAACTCTCGTTCCGAAGACGGGAGGCCGAGGTTTCATCTCAGCTCTGTTCCTGGCTCATGGCTGCACTTCTCTGTGCCCATCCCCTCCCCTGACGAGGGGAATGAGAACCTTGCCTAGGGAAACACTTAGGGGACGGTGGCCCGTGACTCCATGCCAGCCCCTCCCAAGCCCAGCCGCCAGCTGAGGTCCTGACCACCTTGTGGACTGCCCGGTGCTCCCGCCCTGCGCCCGCCCCCACGTCCTCCCTCCTGCTCTCCGTGGTTCCCTCGTGTTGCTGTGCCAGTAGCTGAGCCCCCATGCCCACCCACTGCAACTGCCCCTTCCCTCCCTGCTGGCTTCCCCACTGCGTTGCTCCCCTGCAGGGGCCAGTGAGTGGCTCTAGCTGTGTTCAGACGGCTCTGTGCCTCCTCCTCCTCCCACCCCAGTTCCTCAGCCTTGGAGACAGACGGGGGTGCAGCGGGGCTGAACGGCACTGCAAGCTCGTGGGGCTGGGGGTCCGCATCTGCACCCGCCGCGTGGCTAGCACCCCCTGAGTGTTTTGGTCAATATGCCATCATCCCACCCCTCAGTGCTGCTGGCGGTTGCCTGACGAAAAGCTGCACTTAATAGAAATCACTGTGGATGCAGGAGATGGACGGTGATGAGCTCAGGACCAGCCAGCAACCCCATCAGGCGGTAATGCCTACCATGGTCACCCGTGACTTCCTCTCGCCACTGCTCGGAGCTCCTGCAAAGCCACAGGCAACAACACATTTCTGCTCCATACGAGAAGTTCCTATTGTAAATCGGTGACATGGCTGCAGTTTTCTCTCAGCAAATATTGAGCAAACACTGACTGTGCCAGGTGATGTGCTGGGTCCCAGACCCTTCCCAGACCCAGCCCTGGCACTCACGGAGATCCAGCTAGGAAGTCCGGGAAAAGGTCATCGGGGAAATAAGCGACGTCAAGCACAGTGGATGAACGCGCTGCCGCCGCTCCCCACGCCTCTTGTGGTGAACATCACTTACGCTTCCTCGTGGTAGACGTCACTTAAGCTTCCTTATGCCCTCCCAGATGACCCCCCTTGGGCCACTACACACGGCTGCACCCAGCAAGAGCAGACAAGGATGGTCTACTCAGCGAGCCTGCAAGGCTGGTGTGCAGGACGGGCCAGCTACGCTCCCCAGGTGTGTGCAAGACCGGGGACGAGTCAGTCACTGGGAGGTGAGGTGCTCGGGCAGTGTGGGGTGGAGGAGGAGGGAGGGAAGCTGAGTGTGGGCTCTTCGTATTGGAGAGGAGGGGGGGGCCACGGCACAGACACTCAGATGGGAAGGTGCAAGAAAGAGCAGAGATTTCAAAGGAGCTACGGTGGAGGCCCACGGAAGAGGAATGCTGAGGCTTTTCCATCTGAAATGCTGAATAGACTCTAGCACACGCAAAACAGCCCACCACAGTGAGCTGCAGGATTCTTCCGGGCTTTTAACAGTGGTCTTGTAAAAAAAATTAGCCGGGCATGGTGGTCCCAGCTACTCAGGAGGCAGAGAGGGGAGGATGGCTTGCGCCCAGGAGGTTGAGGCTGCAGTGAGGCATGATCACACCATTGCACTCCAGCCTGGGTGACAGAATGAGACCCCTGACTCAAAAAAAAAAAAAAGACTGGAACATTCAAAACCTGTTGATGGGCCAGGTGTGGTGGCTCACGCCTGTAATCCCAGCACTTTGGGAGGCCGAGGCAGGTGGATCACCTGAGGTCAGGAGTTTGAGACCAGCCTGGCCAACATGGTGGAACCCTGTCTCTGGTAATAATACAAAAATTAGCCAGTTGTGGTGGTGCCTGCCTGTAATCCCAGCTACAGGAGGCTGAGGCAGAATTGCTTGAACCTAGGAGGCGGAGGCTGCAGTGAGCCAAGATTGTACCACTGCATCCAGCCTGGGTGACAGAGCGAGACTCTGTCTCAAAAAAAAAAAAACCATGTTGCGGTTTGTTGGCGAAGGCCCCACTTCCTTTAGCCACCACCGGCGCCGACCCTGTTGCCCCTGTAATCCCATCTCCTGCTGCCCCTGACAGTGCCTTCGCCGGCTGGTGCTTCCGCCTGTTCCGTTGTGGTGGCTGCTGTCACCAGGGTCCTTTCCGCTGGTCGTCCCTTTCTGCCTGGAGCCGCCATTATCTTCACCTGACAAATAGAAACCCATCTTCAGGGCTCCACTGAAACGCCGCTTCCACGGGGGCCCTCCTGGGCGTCCCAAGCAAGTTTAGGGCCCCAAAGCCCACACTCTCACCTCTCAGACACACAGCTTTTTATCTCTACCACCGTCTGCCCCTCCTGGATTCCACGCTCTGCGAGGGCAAGTCTGAGCCCAGAGCCTCCTCCCTCTGTCCCTTGTACTGAGCGTGGTGCCCGGCACGTGGGAGAAAGTCAGTGGGTGTTTTCGGATGAATGAGGGACTTTTCTTCTTTTATGCTTGCATGGTTGGCAAAGCCCTTTCTTATGGACGTGTTCTTAAGACATATTTATCTTTCGACGTCTTTACGTGCAGGTCTCACCTTGAGAATCGTGGTATCTGCTTCAGGGGACTGCGGATCTCTGCCGTGGTGAGATGATGGTGATGGCAGTGAGGATAGCAATTTTAGTTTATTTTATTGTTTATTTATTTATTGAGATGGAGTCTCCCTCTGTCGCCCAGGCTGGAGTTCAGTGACACGACCTCGGCTCACTGCAACATGCACCTCCCGGGTTCAAGCGATTCTCTCACCTCCGCCTCCCAAGTAGCTGGCACTACAGTCGCGTGCCACCACGCCCAGCTAATTTTTGTATTTTTAGTAGAGACGGGGTTTCACCATGTTGCCCAGGCTGGTCTCAGACATCTGACCTCAAGTGATCTGCCCGCCTCAGCCTCCCAAAGTGCTGGGATTACAGGTATGAGCCACCGTGCCTGGGCGATGACAGTAATTTTAATAATAACAATAACACCAGTCATAATAATAGTAAGTGGCTACCATTATTTGAGCTCTCACTGCGTGCCAGGGACTGTGAGGGAGGTACTTTGTAAGCATCACCGTACTCAATCCTTGCCATGGGCCCCTGAAGTAGGCATCATTATCCTTTTATAAACGTCTAGTCTGGGCCACAGACCTATAAAACAACTTGCAAAGCCCCACCGTGTGAAGCCAGGATTGGAGCCCACATTTGCCTGGCTTTCAAACCAGTGCCAATATGTGATGGTCTCAGAGGCTAACTTCCAGGGAGCAGTCTAGGTTCCATCGTCGCGGAGTTCTGTGGGCAGGGGCTTGCAGTGGCTGCGGCCCCTGCCTGCCTGGGGAGGTGGCACACAGAAGCCCTCAGCCGTGTCACCCTTTACAGCTTGGGAACGTGCACTACCTCCCAGAGTGGCACCGGAAGCAGGCCGGTCCTTTGCAGCATCATGTTATTTGAAATTTCCAGTAATTAGAACATCTCAAACTTCTCGTGTACTAATTTTAAGCCTTCAAACAACCCGTGCCTGCCAAAAGCCTGCTCATCTTGGTAAAAGCCCCGAACTACAAATAGATGGCTATTAACAGCATCTGTTGTAATAGCAGAGACAATATTCTCTGGGGCCAGCACGTCACAGCCTGGAGCCGGCCCCAAACGTCATCTGTTATTATGTTTGGAGAGTCTGGCACGCGCTGAGGCAATCGTTCAATTATATCTCCATGAGCCGGTTCTGACGCACCTGCTTACACAGAACGCTGAGGCAACAGTGGCCAGTGCTGCCCGGTGGACCAGCCCTGCTGATAGCAGAGTCCGGGGGATGGGGGCTGGCAGCTTAAAGACCCCTTTTCGTGAATTGGGCTTGCCTTTTTTTTTTTTTTTTTTTTTGATTAAGGAGAATACCCTGACATTGTATTGTCATTATGAAAAGTCACTTTAGGCTGGGCACAGTGGCTCATGCTTGTAATCCCAGCACTTGGGGAGGCTGAGGCGGCAGATCCCTTGAGGTCAAGAGTTCAAGACCAGCCTGGCCAACATGGTGAAACCCCGTCTCTACTAAAAATACAAAAATTAGCTGGGCATGCTGGTGGGTGCCTATAATCCCAGCTACTCGGGAAGCACAGGTGAGAGAATCGCTTGAGCTCAGGAGGTGGAGGTTGCAGTGAGCCAAGATCTGGCCATTGCACTCCAGCCTAGGTGACAGCAAGGCTCCATCTCAAAGAAACAAAAACAAAAACAAAAATTAGTGGGGTGTGGTAACACATGTCTGTAGTCCCAGCAACTCAGGAGGCTGAGGCAGGAGAATCACTGGAACCTGGGAGGCAGAGGTTGAAGTGAGCCGAGAGCACCCCACCGCGCTCCAGCCTGGGTAACAGAGTGAGACTCCACCTAAAAAAAAAGAAGTCACTTTGAGATTATTTTATCCAGGTCTGCAGCCTTAAATTGGGTCCCTAACTTTACTGGCAAGGCAAGTAGCAGAGTTTGGCCTGAACCCTACTACAAAAGCTGAGGGCCTGGACCGTCAGACCTGGGTGAGGTTGCCGGCTAAACTGGGGCAGGTGACCGAACCTCTCTGCGTCTCAATTTCCTCATCTCAAAGTTGGACTCACAGGACCTGCTCTGTAGGGCCATTGTGAGGAGTTCATCCTGGGAGGAACATAAAGTTACCTCGCAATGCCCAGCAGGTAGCAGGTGCCCAGCGAACGCCAGCTCCTCCGCTGCACTCTGGTACACACCAAGCCTTCTCCATCACGACAACGACGTGAGCTCATGGACAGGATGCGTGGTGCCCGGGACACGGCAGAACCTGGCCAGTGAGAGCCTTTGCCCCTTAATCAGCTGTTTCACCCCATGAAGGCTTCAGTGGCTTCCAGTTCGTTGTTTTTTGTTTGTTTGTTTGTTTTAGAGTGCTTCCTTTACGTCAAGCGTTGTGCTAAGGACTTCGTATTTCCCATGTGACTTAACCGTAACAGCAGTCCTATGGTGGGGGTTCAAGGATCATCCGCACTTTACAAATGGGGAAACTGAGGCTAGAAGGGGTGCAAAAGCTGGACCTAGAGCACACAGTTTGGGAGTGGTGGCCCCAGCTTCTGAACGTGCGTCCGACTCCAGACCCCACTCCTGACCCCATGCTGTGTTGTCTACAGGAAGAGTAACGAAACACGGCTTTCCAGTTTTTAAAGAAATACGCTTGGCATTTTGCTGGTGGGCGGTCTTCGCGGCGCAGGTCTAATTTCGGAATTTACAGTGGGATTTAAAATTTGCAGTGAGATTCTCTGTTTCACCTTGAAAGAGGCTCAAGGTGTATGAATCCCACACTAGACTGATGCTGAAGAGGAGCCTGTGGAATCCACACCCGCTGGCATTTCCAGTAAAAAGGCCTCTGTGTCTTCCTGAAATGCGTGCGCCCCGCGCGGGCTACGTTGCTCTTCACCGAACTGCCACCAGGGGCCGCTCCAGCCCAGCCCGAGTGATCCATCGGCCCCTGCACCTGCTGTTCCCGAAAACGCAGCGGCCCAGCCTTCCTTTGCAGTTATCCTCTTAGAAGAACGAACGTTTCGCTTCCCTCCTCATTTGCGTATCATAGAGCCAGAGAGACCCAGTAGCCTTTTTGGGTTTTCCCCTGAGCGTGCTTGGTCCCCAGCCCAGGGTGGCCGCCGTTTCAAGCAAGTCCCTTGTTCAGGTACAGGCGTGCAGATGCCCCGAGCCAGCCTGAGGAGGGGCCGCATGTCCCGAGGGCCCCATGGTTCCCCTCAGGAGGCAGATTGGAAAGGGCTGACTTGTCTCTTACTCCAGTGAGTAGAGAGGCGGGGGATCCGGCCCATCAGAGGCTGCTGCAGTAAAGAATTCTGTGAGAGGCTGGGCACAGTGGCTCACGTCTGTAATCCCAGCACTTTGGGAAGCCAAGGCAGGCGGATCATGAGGTCAGGAGATCGAGATCATCCTGGCCAACATGGTGAAACCCCGTCTCTACTAAAAATACAAAAAAAAAAAAAAATAGCCGGGTGTGGTGGTGCGCACCTGTAGTCCCAGCTACTTGGGAGGCTGAGGCAGTGAGGCAGGAGAATCTCTTGAACCCGGGAGGTGGAGGTTGCAGTGAGCTGAGATCACGCCACCGCATTCCAGCCTGGGCGACAGAGTGAAACTCTGTCTCAAAAAGAAGAAAAAGCAGAAGAAGAAGGAGGAGAAGAAGAATTCTGGGACAGCTCGGGGTCGGGAAGGATGAAGAGATGCCTGTGGGCTCCAGCCCTGCTGGAAACCCTTGGGAAAGTCTTCCAGCCCCAGAGTTAGCACAGCACCTTACCCTGCAGAGGCTCAGGGCTCACAAGTCCCTTCCGGTCCCAGCAGCTCCCGTTCCTGGCCCTTGTTGGTTGGCCACAGTCTGGAGGGTGACTTTTCTACTAGGTTTTGTGGGTGGGGATCCGGCAGGCATCGGCTGTCAGTGGACTTATGCCTCATGCAGTTGGCGTCGCTCTCTTTGGAACCCTATTTATGTGCCTACGTAGAACCCTAGGGTGCTTGAGCTGGGACCAGGAGAAACGTGTAGTAACTCTCTTTACACAGACGAAGCTGCGGAGCCCCTGAAGGGTGTGCGATGCGCAATCACCACCACTGCCATCATCAGACAACACTTTACAAAATGCCTCCTGCCTTGTCTCCATTTATCCTGCCCGCCCTTCTCATTTAACAGGTAGAGAGGCTTAGGCTCAGAGAGGCTAAGCTACTTGCCCAGGGTCACACAGCAAGTTAGAAGCAGAGCTGAGTTGCAAATCCAGGTCTTTAACTATTTCTGTGTTCTGTGGACTTTCCTAGAGATCCCAGGCGGTTCCCCAACTGCCGTGGGAAAGGCTCGATTCCACTGTAACACACAGAGCTGCTTACCGACCAAGTGATTCGATGAATAAATCAGTGGACTGACTAATCCCATTCGTTCCTGTATTCATTCATCCCATGAGGGTTCGTTGTGTGCCTTCGATGACCCCTTCCTGCACTAAGTCCTGTTGATACAGTGATGGTCCAGACGGAAACAACCGCTTTTGTTTGTTTGTTTGTTTGTTTTTGAGACGGAGTTTCACTCTTGTTGCCCAGGCTGGAGTGCAGTGGCGCTATCTCGGCTCACTGCAACCTCCGCCTGCCAAGTTCAAGCAATTCTCCTGCCTCAGCCTCCCAAGTAGCTGGGATTACAGGCACCTGCCACCACACCTGGCTAATTTTTTGTATTTTTAGTAGAGGTGGGGTTTGACCATGTTGGTCAGGCTGGTCTTGAATTCCTGACCTTGGGTGATCTGCCTACCTTGGCCTCCCAAAGTGCTGGGATTACAGGCGTGAGCCACCACACCCAGCCTAGAAACAGCCTCTGCTCTAAGAGTGCAACTGGATGGGACTTAACTCAGTCTTACAAATGGCATCTACCAGGCTGGGTCCAGTCTAATTTGTCCATGAAGCATCCATCATCCCTGCCTTCTAGGCATTTCTATTCTAGAAGAGATGATACAGACATGCGTGAATTTCCACACAGTAAACTTATCATGAGTGAGCCCATCCCAAGAGAGAGAGGCAGACCCCCTGGGAGGCTCCACCCTCAGTCACCCATCAATGCACTTTGATGCTGCTGGGGCTGGTCGGCTGCAAACCCCCTTTCCCCCACAGACACAGGCCGAGGCAGAAGCGAGCACAGAGCTCACCGTGCTCCCATTTTGTGGTTCTGTAAGTTCCTTAGATTGTGTTTTGGAGGCCAGGCACGGTGGCTCACGCCTGTGTTTTGTTTTTGAGACAGAGTCTCACTCTGTCGCCCAGGCTGAAGTGCATTGGCGCAATCTCGGCTCACTGCAACCTCCACCCGCCAGGTTCAAGCGATTCTCCTGCCTCAGCCTCCCAAGTAGCTGGGATTACAGGCACCCACCAATACACCTGGCTAATTTTGTGTATTTTTAGTAGAGATGAGGTTTTATCATGTTGGCCAGGCTGGTTTCAAACACCTGACCTCAAGTGATACACCCGCCTTGGCCTCCCAAAGTGCTAGGATTACAGGCGTGAGCCACTGTGCCTGGCCTAACAAAGTGATTTTATGTGCTTATTGTGGGAAGGACTCTTTCTGTGTATTTTTAAAAATTGAGATGTAATTCATCTGTGTATGTTTAAGGAGAATAGAAGATTTGCTCATAATGGTAGAATTTTAAAACTAGATATGACTCTGAGGTTGCTCCAGACCAACACTGAGATTTTGAGTGAAGAGGGGCAGTGAGCAGCTCTGTGGCTTGGTCCAGCACTTGCCTAGCCCCTGACTGGACTAAAGCCAAATCCATTTTCCATTTTCCAGTTTACACCTTGGTGCCTCCAACTATGAGTACTTTTTTTTTTGAGACTGATTCTCACTCCGTCGCCCAGTCTGGAGTACAGTGGCACGTTCTCAGCTCACTGCAACCTCCGCCTCCCAGGTTCGAGCAATTCTCCTGCCTCAGCCTCCCGAGTAGCTGGGATTACAGGCACCCGCCACCACACCCAGCTAATTTTTGTATTTTCAGTAGAGATGGGTTACACCACGTTGGCCAGGCTGGTCTCTAACTCCTGACCTCAAGTGATCCGCCCGCCTCGGCCTCCCAAAGCGCTAGGAGTACAGGTGTGAGCCACCACGCCCAGCCCAAGTACTTCTGGTGTCGGGAAACCACCAGGAGTCAGCAGTGTCAAGCTCCCCAAGGCATTCATCACGCGCTCAGTGCTTTCCTGGCTTTTGCCACAGCGGGAGGTGACATGAGGCTCCTCCACAGCTATGGGAGGCACTCGGGCCACCCTGAATTCGGGATCAGTGCTCCAGTTCTGCTGGCGCCTTCCAGCCTTGCCCAGCCATCCCAGGAGCACGCTGTGCTGCTTTCAGTGAAAACGTGTGGAACGGGTACCCCATTTGTAGCAGCTGCTGATGGAAATCTGTTAGTGACAAAGTACTTAGACACAGGAGAAGCCACCCACATCCGAACCCCTGGGGAGCTCGTTAAAAGGCAGACTCCCAGCACTACCTGGACGTGGGAATGGCAGCCATGACTCTGGGGGCCAGAGCCAGAGGCCTCAGCGAGCGATGCTTATGGCTGAGCCCCACATGTCAGGAGAAGCAAGCTCCTGGGAGGCTGCACCTGGCACTGTGCCATGGAGAGGGGCACCCCGAGGCCTGCAGGTAGAGAGTGCTGACTCCAAGGTGAGTGTTTAGGGTGACTTAGGAAGGAAGGAGTGTTCCAATAAAAGCTGGCCCTGTGGTGGGCCTAGATTAAGCAGGGACTGCCAGAGATCAGGACTGATGCTACAGCTCAGGGTCTTCTTATTTAAAGACCTTGCTCACCCAGGAGCGGTGGCTCACACCTGTCATCCCAGCGCTTTGGGAGGCAGAGGCGGGTGGATCACCTGAGATCAGGAGTTTGAGACCAGCCTGGCTAACATGGTGAAACCCCGTCTCTACTTAAAATACAAAAATTGGCTTGGCCTGGTGGCACATGCCTGTAATCCCAGCTACTCAGGAGGCTGGGGCAGGAGAATCACTAGAACCCAGAGGTGGAGGTTGCAGTGAGCTGAGATCATGCCATTGTACTCCAGCCTGGGCAATAGAGTAAGATTCTGTCTTAAAATAAAACAAAACAAGACAAAACAAAAACTTTGCTCATTGTGTGTTATTTTATAATGTTATTTGGTGATAGGATTTAAGCTGCTTTTAAAAAATATTTGGAAGACACCTTTTTTTTTAATTAAAGTCTGGAAATCTTATAGGACAGGCAGGCATCACAGAAACGTTCTTTACGGATTTCTGCCTGCAGGGAGTTGAGGCCCTCACCACCACCCAGTGGCAGCACTGGGACCCTGCCTTCATTCCACATTTACTGTGAACCTCTGGGCAGGCGCTGGGCTGGGGGGGGGCAGAGTGAATGGGACAGACAGAGCCCACCTTTCACGGAGCCCACCTTTGGCTTGTCACTTCAACCATACAGCAACCCCTTGCGAGTGAACTCATATAACCCTAATGTAGACAATGCCTCAGGTAACACCACAGCTCAACAAACAGACAAAATGACACACACGTCTCACTGCCTTTATTTCCAGGAATTAGTGGTGGGCCCTTGGAAAACCACTACAGACTGAAGCAATTTCACTTCCACTGGGGAGCAGTGAACGAGGGGGGCTCAGAGCACACAGTGGACGGCCACGCGTACCCCGCAGAGGTTTGTAGACGTGGCCTAACAGCACATATCTGCACACTTTCCATGTCTCCGGCTCTATGGTGGGGGGTGAACAAGCCATGCGCGCCGCTCAGATGTGAAGGATTTCCTGGGGCCTGGGACTGTCAGTGCTCAAACCAGAACCGTCGGCCGC
The DNA here is from genome assembly GCF_000001405.40 of Homo sapiens. Classification (NCBI taxonomy): domain Eukaryota; kingdom Metazoa; phylum Chordata; class Mammalia; order Primates; family Hominidae; genus Homo; species Homo sapiens. Next base: position 87,904,634 of record NC_000016.10, on the reverse strand, counting down.
CCCACCCGTTTAGTCACACCTCTCCTACGAGGAAGGCGCTGTAAGTTCTCTCTCATTTAACGGAAGAAGAGACTGAGGTTCTGAATGGTTACGGAACTTGCCAAAGCCAGACAGCCGGGATGCAAAGTCAGAGCTTGAGCTCTTTGCCGCACTTCACTCAGCTGTGTGCTTGCAGCTGTAGGGACTAGCAAATCCACAAGGCCCTCTGCTGAGAAGCTGAACATCTTTGCAATAGAGATCATCTTCTTTTGTTTGTTTGTTTGTTTGTTTTTTGGTTTTTGGTTTTTTTTTTTTGAAACAGGGTTCACTCTGTCACCCAGACTGGAGTGCATTGGTGCAATCTTGGCTCACCACAACCTCCGTCTCCCAGGCTCAAGCGATTCTCCTGCCTCAGCCTCCCGAGTAGCTGGGATTACAGGTGCGTGCCACCAGGCCCTGCTAATTTTTGTATTTTTAGTAGAGATGGGGTTTCGCCATGTTGGCCAGGCTGGTCTCGAACTCCTGACCTCAAGTGATCCACCCACCTCAGCCTCCCAAAGTGCTAGGATAACAGGCGTGAGCCACCGTACCCGGCTAAGATCATCTTAAAGCAGTCTTATTTTCAACCTTCCAAAGTGGGAGTCAGTAGAGAAAATCAGTGCATATCAATGTTGGGAATTGGTTTTTGTAGTTTTTTTGGGGTGATAAGTGATGCCTTATAGATTTCCCCAAATATTTCATTATGAAATTTTTGCAACATACGAAAAAATGAAAAGAAATGAACGAGAAGAATCTACGAGTTTGATGTCTCAGTCCTGTGATGATCATTTTTGCCATATTCACTTTATCACACCTCTGCTCACCCACTCACCTAACTTTTTGATGCTTTTTCAAGCTGAGGACTCTTTCTGTTTTTTGAACTTGTTGTTGTTATGAAAGTAATGCTGCAGTTAATGTGGAACTAGAGTCCACCCAAACCAAAAAATGAAAATTGCTTGTAATCTCACACCCAGAGGTGACCTCCGGACATTTTATAAATAGGGAGTGATATCTATTGTCATCATCATACACATATTTATAAATTGTTCCAAGAATGAGCACAACAATGGCTTCTGTGTGCTTCCTTTCATTTAACAACATGACTTTTATTTTAGTATCTCTATCTGCAACTTTGTTTTTGATGAACAGATATTTTATTTATTTATTTATCTGTTTTTGAGACTGAGTATCACTCTGTTGCCTAGGCTGGAGTGCAGTGGCGCTATCTCACGATCTTGGCTCACTGCAACCTCTGCTGCCCAGGTTCAAGTGATTCTCCTGCCTCAGCCTTCTGAGTAGCTGGGATTACAGGCACCTGCCACTGCGCCTGGCTAGTTTTTGTAGTTTTAGTAGGGACGGGGTTTCACCATCTTGGCCAGGCTGGTCTTGAACTCCTGACCTCGTGATCCACCCACCTCGGCCTCCCAGAGTGCTGAGATTATAGGCGTGAGCCACCGCGCCCAGCCGAGGCCTGAGTTTCTTCTGGTAATTCTTGTCCAAGGATAACTAGGAAGTAGAAAATAATGAAACCACCCATTTCTATTGGATGAGGTTAACATGATCCTCTCCTTTCCCCCCCCACCAGGAAGACTGAGGCTGTTCCTTCCTGTGGCTTCGTCAAGGGCCTGGGAGCTCAGAGGTGCTGCTGGTGCTGGGATCTTACTCATCTGGCTGCAACAACTTAGTTCTTTTTTTTTTTTTTTGTGAGATGGAGTCTCGCTCTGTCACCCAGGCTGGAGTGCAGTGGCACAATCTCAGCTCACTGCAAGCTCTACCTCCTGGGTTCACACCATTCTCCTGCCTCAGCCTCCTGAGTACCTGGGACTACAGGCTCCCGCCACCACGCCCAGCTAATTTTTTTTTTTTGTATTTTTAGTAGAGACAGGATTTCAGCATGTTAGCCAGCATGGTCTCGATCTCCTGACCTCGTGATCCACCCGCCTCCGCCTCCCAAAGTGCTGGGATTACAGGTGTGAGCCACCGCGCCTGGCCATTTCATTATGATTAAGTGGACACATAGGTCAGCCATTCAGAAGGGGAAGTGACTGTCTTATTTCTTGCTGATCAATTTAAGTTCTCTTTCCATTGTGTTTCAGCTGCATTTAGTTCACTGGAATTCTGTGAAATACCAAAATTACAAGGAAGCTGTCGTGGGAGAGAATGGTTTGGCTGTGATAGGCGTGTTTTTAAAGGTAATCACTTGCTCGGGTGTAGATCTAATGAAGAAAGTGGTGATCCATCATTAGGATTGCTTTTTTTTTTTTGAGACAGGACTCGCTGTGTCACACAGGCTGGAGTGCAGTGGCACAGTCTCGGCTCATTGCAACCTGCACCTCCTGGGTTCAAGTGATTCTCCTGCCTCAGCCTCCCCAGTAGCTGGGACTATAGGAGTGTGCCACCACACCCAGCTAATTTTTGTATTTTTAGTAGAGACAGGGTTTCACCATATTGGCCAGGCTGGTTTCGAACTCCTGACCTTAGATGATCCGCCCACCTCGGCCTCCCACAGTGCTAGGATCACAGGCATGAGCCACCGCACCTGGCCTAGGATTGCTTTTAAAACGTGGTGTATTTACAGTGGAGTGAGCTTCCCCCCCCATCCACTGCCTTTGCAGCTAACCCCTCCTTTGTCTGCCATGCAGCTCGGGGCCCATCATCAGACGCTGCAGAGGCTGGTGGACATCTTGCCGGAAATAAAACATAAGGTAAGCTGCATATTTGAAATCAGCAGGCCGGGCGCGGAGGCTCACGCCTGTAATCCCAGCACTTTGGGAGGCTGAGGCAGGTGGATCACGTGAGGTTGGGAGTTCGAGACCAGCCTGACCAACATGGAGAAACCCCGTCTCCACTAAAAATACAAAACTAGCTGGGTGCGGTGGCACATGCCTGCAATCCCAGCTACTCGGGAGGCTGAGGCAGGAGAATCGTTTGAACCCAGAGGTGGAGGTTGCAGTGAGCTGAGATCGTGTCATTGCACTCCAGCCTGGGTGACAAGAGTGAAATCCCATCTCAAAAAAAAAAAAAGAAAAGAAAAGAAAGAAATCAGTATAATCTGACAAGCAAAATTGTTTAGTGCAGCGATTCATTTGCAAGGAAAAAGAAATGGCGTAGTGGAAAGAGCCCCGCCAAGGGGCTGTGGTTCCAGTTCTGGAAATGGGATTCCGCAGGGTTGATGCTGGTGTGTCCACAGCTAGGTCTCTCTGACTTCGAATGCATCACCACTGCTCTGGGACCCTGTTTCCTCCTCCATAAAATAAGGGTGTTGAGCTCAACAGAAGTTCCCAAAATTCAGCCATGCAGGCGAGATCCTGAAGACGTTTGACATATCTGCCTGCCAATGGGACAACTTTCTACTGAATATTTTTCTTTTCTTTTCTTTTTTATTTTTTCGAGGAGTCTCCCTCTGTCACTCAGGCTGGAATGCAGTGGCGCGATCTTGGCTCACTGCAACCTCCGCCTCCCGGGTTCAAGCAATTCTCTTGCCTCAGCCTCCCATGCGGCTGGGACAATAGGTGTGCGCCACCATACCCAGCTAATTTTTGTATTTTTAGTAGAGACGGGGTTTCACCATGTTGGCCAGGCTGGCTGGTCTCAAACTGCTGACTTCAGGTGATCCGCCCGCCTTGGCGTCCCAAGGTGCTGGGATTACAGGCGTGAATCACCGCGCCCAGCCTAGTTAATATTTTTCTTTAAATTGATTAGCTCGAAAAATTTTTAGCCTTGTCCTGGGTGATGGTATTCACTAATGATAAAGTTTGTTTTAAAACAGATTGAAACAAAAACCTCAAATCCCTAACTAATAACATTTAAGAATGTTGACTCATGTACCACCCAGCACTCTCCTTGAACGTCCCTGTCCGACCCCAAGCCCAAGGGCGGAGAGAAACCTGCCCAAACCGCAGCTCTCCGCCCAGCGATCCATAGGCTTCCCTGTATCCAGCGCAGCTCGAAAAGATGGTGGGGACAACAGTGTCGCCTTTCTCCAAGATCAGCTGAGAAAAGGCTTTGAGGGAGAAGGAGAAATTCCAAAGAAATGTAGTTTATTTATTCAGCAGCATACAAAAGAATTCCAGGGCAGAAGGAGTCAACGCAAGCCTCACATGTGCGGACGGATGAGGCTTCAACCTGTGTTAACAATGGTGGAGGCTGGTCCAGATGGAGCTGGGACCAGCCCTTCCTCGCGGTTCAAGGAGACGTTTGATCTGTACGTGGCCTTCGCCTTGATGCTGGCTTCGGGGTGGCCTCCTGGGACTGGGACCAGATCACCCCCTGCCGCCCCATCTGCCTGCTCAGGAACTTCACAAGGCCACGGTTCTGAGAGCTCTGACGCCCCATCCTCTTCCTCCACGCGGCTCCACAGCCAGAGGAAACCTGGGCAGGGGTTGTTTTCCCAGCCAGCCTCCACCTCCCACACCAGGTGGTCCCACCTCTTGGTGGGAAAGAAAAGAGCTGATTGTGAAGGACCCTTTACCCAAGGGCTGTTTTCCTCCCGGGGAAGGTTCTGGAGCATTTCTTCTCCATGGGGTAAGTCAGAATTTTCTAGGCAAACCACAGGGGAGGAATGATGCCCGGGACAGGGGAGGAAGTGCCACCGCGGACTGAGCTCTGGTCCTGATGCTGATCTCTGGGCTCATCCCCTCAGCTGAAAATAAAGAGTTAGACTCTTTTTTTTTTTTTTTTTTTTTTTTTTTTTTTTTGAGATAAAATCTCGCTCTGTTGCCCAGGCTGGAGTGCAATGGTGCGACCTCGGCTCACTGCAACCTCCGCCTTCCAGGTTCAAGTGATTCTCCTGCCTCAACCTCATGAGTAGCTGGAAGTACCGGCGCCCACCACCATGCCTGGCTAATTTTTGTATTTTTAGTAGAGACGGGATTTCACCATGTTGGCCAGGCTGGTGTCAAACTCCTGACCTCAAGTGATCTGCCCACCTTGGCCTCCCAAATTGCTGGGATTACCGGCGTGAACCACCGCACCTGGCCGAGTTAGACCTTTGAGAAATTAAAAGACCTTAAGAGGCTGGGTGCGGTGGCTCACGCCTGTAATCCTAGCACTTTGGGAGGCCAAGGCGGGCTTATCACTTGAGGTCAGGTGTTCAAAACCAGCCTGGCCAACATGATAAAACCTCATCTCTACTAAAAATACAAAAATTAGCCAGGCGTGGTGGCGGGTGCCTGTAATCCCAGCTACTCAGGAGGCTGAGGCAGGAGAATTGCTTGAATCTGGGCGGTGGAGGTTGCAGTGAGCTCAGATTGTGCCACTACACTCCAGGCCGAGTGACACAGCGAGACTCATCTCAAAAAAAAAAAAAAAAAAAAAAAAAAGACCTTAGGAGGTAAAAGGCCCAGCCTTGGGAGCAAGAGTCTGTGCTTCATGGGCCAGGGAATGGGAAGAGACTTGAACAACTCTCTCGCCTAGAGGCTCCTAGCCTAGGACTTCTGGGAGCTTCTCCCATAGCACAGTGTATCAGAGAGCCCCACAGTTGGACTCCTGGGTTCAGAGCCCAGATCCACCACTCCTGAGCTGCGCACCTCTGAGCCTCAGCTTCCTCGCCTGTGAAATGGAGATATTAAACATCCACAGTAGCCCAGGTATGGTGGCTCACACATGTAACCCCAGCACTTAGGGAGACTGAGGTGAATAGATCACCTGAGGTCAGGAGTTCAAGACCAGCCTGGCCAACATGGCAAAACCCCGTCTCTACTAAAAATACAAAAATTAGCTGGGTATCGTGGCACACTCCTGTAATCCCAGCTACTCAGGAGGCTGAGGCAGGAGAATCGCTTGAACCCAGGAGACGGAGGTTGCAGTGAGCCGAGATCGTGCCACTGCACTCCAGTCTGGGTGACAGCTCGAGAATCCGTCTCCAAAAAAAAAAAAAAAAAAAAAATCCACACTAGAGCAGCATTCTCACCATGTAATGGAATAAGGAGCATGTCTGGTTCTTGGTGAAATGTGCAGTTGAGTTTAAGGCCCAGCTGTGGCCAACACTCACACACTCAAGTCTGCTGTGGAAGGCACAGGCTGCTGCTGCCCGTCACGAAACGAAAATCCACCAGCCCAATCACTAAGGTTAAAATCGCTTTTTGTTGCTGCGGGTGCTTTCTGTCAGGTGATTCCCAGAGAGAGCTATTACCTTCTGGGAGCCCATGAAATTTTAGAATGATGGCCTTGTGATGGAAAATGCTAGAAGTGTGGTTGAATCTAATTCCTGATTGGTGGGCAGTGCAGGGCAGGACAGGGCCATGGTGGCCTCAGGCTCAAGGGCAGATGGCCTTGGCTTCAAATCCCAGCTCTGCCACTCCCCCGCGGACTCAGCAGTTCTCACCCAGGGACGGGCTCACCTGCAGCTTCTGGGCTGCTTTCCTGGTTTCCTCCAGTTAAGGAACAAGTTGTCCTGAATTAGGGCAGGAAAGACCAGAGTCACGTAGTCCCCATCATCTCTCCTGGTTCCAGGCTGGTCCGGGCCCTGCTGTGGGACTGACTCGGCAGAGACCCTCCAGGAATGCCTGCCACGGTCACTCCCTGGGGACCCAGCTGGCTTCTATGCAGTGCTCAGGGCTCCAAGGGTGCATTTCCAGAAAGAGCCAGATGGACACGATGTCCTTTTCTGCCCTGGCTTCCAGAGTCACAAAGCACTGCTCCTGCGGCATCCTGTTTACCACTCCCGTCAGGAGCACCTGCCCAGGCTCAGGGCAAGGGGACATCACCCTACACCTCGGCGGAAGGGGTTCAAAGAAGCGACAGCCCTCCACATAAATTATCACACTGAATCTTCCAATCACTCCACGGGGCAGGGCCTGTGATTCATCTGTCTTGCACACACAGGAAAACCAAAGCTCAGAGAGGCAGAGAAGGCCTTGCCCGAGCACACAGCTGGCAGGTGAAGAGCCCGTTTTTAAACCCAGGAAGTGGGTCCACGCAGCCTGAAGTCCCAGTCATCCTGGCGCCCACCTCCCGCATGCAGTCAGAACCCAGGCTGAGCTCCAGCCCCTGCTGCACATTTCTGAGCTTTTCAGCAGCTTAGAGGGAAACACAGGCAGTGTCTGTAACCAAAACCACATCAGGCGCTGCCTGGAAGCCTGGACCCCCACCCCCACCCCCAGCACCATCCCATCTGCACAGGCCCCTACCAGTGCCGACCTGTCACTATGCACTCAGCTCCCAGCACGCAGGCACAGCCCCAGTGTGGTCCTGGTGACCCCGGGCAGACAATTCCAGAATGGAGACCTCAAGGCTTCGCCTTTGACCCTCTCACCATAGCCAGAAGTTTTGGCAAAAACTGCCCACAGAGGGTCCCCACCCTCCATGCCTGGACAAGCCGCAAGCTCCTCAGGCTGCTGGGGTCCCCCCTCCTCCCTGCCTTCGCAACAGTCAGAGCTACCGGGGAATTGGCTGCCTTGTGGAGGTGGAAACAGCCCACCAGGTCCAGGGGATCCAGGGAACGGCTCTGTGCCCTGTGGGGGCTCTTCTAGCTTTGGCAGCAGCAGCGGCAGCACCTACTGAGCCCCACGCCCACGTGGCAGGCACTGATGGAAGCCCATTACCGCCACCACACTGCCTGTCGTACACCTGGGGAAACTGAGACTCTAAGAGGACAAAGCAAGGGCGGAGTTAGGCTGGGTGGGGCTTGACGCTCATAAAATGTGGGGTCCTGTTTAAGAGAAAGAAGACAAAACCAGGAACAGAGCGTGGCTCACGCCTATAATCCCAGCACTGTGGGAGGCTGAGGCGGGCGGATCACCTGAGGTCAGGAGTTTGAGACGAGCCTGACCAACATAGAGAAACCCCATCTCTATTAAAAACAGAAAAGTAGCCAGGCGTGATGGCGCATGCGTGTAATCCCAGCTACTAGGGAGGCTAAGGCAGGAGAATCGCTTGAACCTGGGCGGTGGAGGTTGTGGTGAGCCGAGATCGTGCCATTGCACTCCAGCCTGAGCAACAAGAGTGAAACTCTGTCTCAAAAACAATAAATAAATAAAAGAAAAGTGGAACAAGTCACCAACCCACTTCCACCAGCAAAGGCTTGTGGTGCTTTCCACAGGTAGCTGGGCCATCCGTGCTCAGATAATGGATGTGATGGTCTTCAGCCTCATTGGTGTGCTCACCGGTGTCCCATTCTAGCTGCCTGAGGATCACCACATGCATAAAGGAAGGGCCCTGATTTGCTTTGGGGGCCCTGAGGGGGAGCAGTTTTCTGTAACCACATGGCTGCTCCAGCCCTCATGCATCTTAGAGACAGGACAGGAACTCCTGGGGACGATGAGGCAACACACAGGCATCCTCTTCTCAGCCCAAGGCAGAAAGCTTAATTGGCAAGAAACCTACCCGCAGTGGCATGGCTGGAGCCTGCCACTCCCCTGACTGATTCCTGCAGCCTTGGGGAGGGAAGGAAGAGCCCGCACCTCGGAACGGGCCAGGCCTCAGTGGCCCTGACTGGCAACGTGGCTTTGGGCAAGTTTTTTATATCTGTCTGTCTATCTTCATCAGTAAACTAGAAATACTTCTCAAAGGGTTGTTCTGAAGATTTGAAGTAGTTGCTCAGAAAGTGACTGGCACATCTGTGCCCTGGGGATGTGTGGCAGGCAGGAGGAGACGGACGTCTCACTGCACACCCGCCTGTTACCCACGTGCACCAGACTGATGTCTCACTGCACACCCGCCTGTTACCCACATGCACAAGCAGTCTGCTCCTTCACAGCCCAGCTAGAGCGTGCAATGGGATGTCAACCCAGCTAGACCATGCAGTGAGATATTACTTGGCAATCAGAAAGGACACAGCTCTAACTCATGCTGCGGTGTGGGTGAGCCTCAAAAGCGCCGTGCTGAGTGAGAGACACAAGACACAAATGTTCCACATGTTACATGACTCAGTTCCTATGAAACCCACAGAGACAGAAGCAGCAGGGCGGGGGTGGGGACCATAGCTAAAAAGTACCAAGCTTCCCCCTTGAGGTGGAAGTTCTAAAATTGACTTGGGATGGCTGCACAACTGTGAATATACCCAAAACCATAGAACTGTACCCTTCAATTTTTATTTACTTTTTTTGTTTTTTGTTTTTTGTTTTCTTTTTGAGATGGAGTTTCACTCTTGTTGCCCAGGCTGGAGTGCAATGGCATGAGCTCAGCTCACTGCAACCTCTGCCTCCCGGGTTTAAGTGATTCTCCTGCCTCAGCCTCCCGAGTAGCTGGGATTACAGGCATGCGCCACCACGCCTGGCTAATTTTGTATTTTTAGTAGAGACATGGTTTCGCCATGTTGGTCAGGCTGGTCTCGAACTCCTGACCTCAGGTGATCCATCCGCCTCGGCCTCCCAAAGTGCTGGGATTACAGGCGTGAGCCACCGTGCCCAGCCTATTTACTTATTTTAAGAAAGGATCTCACTCCGTCACCGAGGCTAGAGTGCAGTGGTATGATCACAGCTCACTGCAGCCTCAACCTCCGGGGCTCAAGCCATCCTCCCACCTCAGCCTCCCAACTACCTGGGACCACAGGCGTGCACCACTGCACCTGGCTAGTTTTTGTATTTTTTGTAGAGTCAGGGTCTCGTTATGTTGCTTAGGCTGGTCTCAAACTCCTGGCCTCAAGCAGTCCTCCCACATCGGCCTCCCAAAGTGCTGGGATTACAGACATGATCCATTGCGCCCAACCAGGCTGTACACTTTAGATGGGAGAGTTGCATGGTATGTGAATTCTATCACAATAATGCTGTGGGTTTTGCTGCTGCTGCTGTTGTTTGAGACAGAGTCTCTCTCTCTGTTGCCCAGGCTGGAGTGCAATGGTGCCATCTCGGCTCACTGCAACCTCTGCATCCTGTGCCAAAGCAGTTCCTGTGTCTCAGTCTCCCGAGCAGCTGCGATGACAGGCACCTGCCACCATGCCTGGCTAATTTTTGTATTTTTAGTAGAGATGGGGTTTCGCCATGTTGGTCAGGCTGGTCTTGAACTCCTGACTTCAGGTGATCTGCCTGCCTTGGCCTCCCAAAATGCTGCGATTACAGGCATGAGCCACTGTGCCCAGCCTATAATGCTGTTTTTTTTTTTTTAATTAACTGGATAATTATAAACGTGAACATGCGTGCATAGAACTGATGCATGTGTCTGCCAGTGTGGACACTCCCGGGCTTCCTTCTGGTAGCTCAGCCACCTCTCTTGACCCTGACCCTCACTGCTTGATGTTAGGAGACAAGCCCAAGGCATCTGGGTTGCCAGCTTCCACCTTGGAAGGCCAGGGCCCAGCAAAGTCAAGGTGATGTGATGTGGCTGAGCAGGGAGGCCATCTTCCTTGCAGACAGGGACTCTGTCACTTTGGACTGGACTCTTGTCCCACAGTGCTGGCCAGGGGCAGGTGCAGAGCTATGCTTGGTTGGCATGGGACGCTGATGAGGGCTGTGTTGCGGCCAGGCCCAACCACCGTGAGCTGAGATCATGCCACGGCACTCCAGCCTGGAAGACAGAGTGAGACTCTGCCTCAAAAAAAATAAAAAAAATAAAAAGTTATAAATAGAACTACCCTATGATTCAGCAATCACACACTTCTGGGTATATATCCAAAAGAGCTGGCTGGGCACAGTGGCTTATGCCTGTAATCCCAATATTTTGAGAAGCCAAGGCAGGAGGATCGCTTGAGCCCAGGAGTTGGAGAACAGCTTGGGCAAGATGGCAAGACCCCCTGGCTACAAACAATTAATTTTAAACCCTGGTGTGGTGTCCTAGCTACTTGGGAAACTGAGGCGGGGGGATCGCTTGAGCCCAGGAATTAGAGCCTGCAGTGAGCTATGATGGCATCATTGCACTCCTGCCTGGGTGACAAAGTAAGACCCTGACTCTTTTTGTTTTTTGGCTGTGAGTGTATTCAATGCAAAATAATCCTCTCTGATTTTACTGAGGTAGCTGGCCATGTCCACGACCAAATCTGCCTTTAAACTGGAATTCGGTTGCTGACCCAGCCCGAGCCTCGGCTATCTTGTCGGCACCAGGGGCACAGCACTCCGTCTGTAGGTATGTCTGTCAGCTTCCCCTCTTGTGAGTCTTGCAGGTCGCCCACCCTCCAGACCTTTAGGCCGAGGCCTGCCAGTCCCTGGACGGCTGCAGCATAGGGTGGCAGGCACAGTTTCCAGGGACAGATGAAGGTAATCACGGAGATACTGGATGCCCTCATTGGTAAGGTAGCAGTAGAAATGTCTCCAGGCAAGCCGGGCGTGGTGGCTCACGCCTGTAATCCCAACACTTTGGGAGGCCGAGGTGGGCAGATCACGAGGTCAGGAGATCGAGACCATCCTGACTAATATGGTGAAACCCCGTCTCTACTAAAAATATAAAAAATTAGCTGGTCGCGATGGCGTGAAGATGTAGTCCCAGCTACTAGGGAGGCTGAGGCAGGAGGATCGCTGGAACCCAGGAAGCAGAGGCTGCAGTGAGCTGAGATCGCACCACTGCACTCCAGCCTGGAGACTCTGTCTGAAAAAAAAAAGAAAGAAAGAAAGAAAGAAAGGAAGAAAGAAAGAAATGTCTCTAGGCAAACTGTTCCTTCAGGCAGCCTCGGGGCTTGAGAGACTGCATGGCCTTCGTGACATGAAGGTTGGGCACATTCTTGTCTGCCATCTCCGGGTGCTTAGGCATGTGGACATCCTTCTTGGCCACCATGACTCCCTCCTTAAAAAGGAGCCCATAGGCCGGGCACAGTGGCTCACCCCAGCACTTTGGGAGGCCAAGGCGGGTGGATCATCCGAGGTCAGGAGTTCAAGACCAGCCTGGCTAACATGGTGAGACCCTGTCTCTACTAAAAATACAAAAATTAGCTGGGCGTGGTGGCAGGCGCTGGAGGCTGAGGCAGGAGAATCGCTTGAACCTGGGAGGCAGAGGTTGCGGTGAGCCAAGATCACACCATTGCACTCCAGCCTGGGCAACAAGAGCAAAACTCCATCTCGAAAAAAAAAAAAAAAAGGTTAAGATGGTAAATTTTATGTTATGTATATTTTATCACAATAAAAAGTAATATTTTTTGCAGCCAAGGTATGCTAAAAGAAATGGCTTTATTTTTATTTTTATTATTAATTAATTTATTATTATTATTATTATTATTATTATTATTATTATTATTATTATTTGAGACAGAGTCTCACTCTGTTGCCCAGGCTGGAGTGCAGTGGCATGATCTCGGCTCACTGCAACCTCTGCCTCCTGGGCTCAAGCGATTCTCCTGCCTCAGCCTCCTGAGTAGCTGGGACTACAGGCGCCCACCACCACATCTGGATAATTTTTGTATTTTTAGTAGAGACAGGGTTTCACCACGTTGACCAGGCTGGTCTCGAACTCCTGACCTCAAGTGATGCACCCGCCTCGGCCTCCCAAAGTGCTGAGATTACAGGGGTGAGCTACTGCGCCCCAAGAAATGACTTCAAAAGGAAAAATGTGAGCACCAACGTAAGCTGGTGTAATGTAACGTAATTCCCACCAATGTAAGTTGGCAGGAATCCTTGCTCTGTATAGAAGGGTCACATTTTCTCATCACTGCTTGCAAGTGTGACAGCAGTGGCCTCATGGCCTTATCTGGGGGAAAGCACTTCCTTCCAAGCACCATGAAGGCCTCACGTGCTGAGACAAGATGGAAGCTCCTAGTCTCCCCTGAGGACTGACACGTCCTGTGCTTCTCGGTCTCTCAGGACGCGCGGGCGGCCATGCGCCCCTTCGACCCCTCCACTCTGCTGCCCACCTGCTGGGATTACTGGACCTACGCGGGCTCGCTCACCACCCCGCCGCTGACCGAGTCGGTCACCTGGATCATCCAGAAGGAGCCCGTTGAAGTGGCCCCAAGCCAGGTGAGCCGTGCCCGTAACTGGCACGATGGCGCTTCATGGAAGGCGTCCCTCTTGCTTGGCAGCGTCACTAAGATGCTGCATGAGAGCGTTGTGGAGTTATATATATTCTTTCATGCATTTGGGGCATTCTTACACAAGAAGAAAATTCCAACTGAAGTAGGAGCTTGTTGAGATTGGACAGCGGTTCCAGTGATCACAGCAAGCATGTCCTGAGCAACGCCCTAATCTATCACACACAGACACACGAGGCATCCATGGGAGTTGTCCCAGGGTCATGGGTCTGCATGGTTTTTGTTTTCTTCCTTTTTCTTTTCTTTCCTTTTTTTTTTTTGAGACAGAGTCTCGTTCTATCGCCCAGGCTGGAGTGCAGTGGTGCGATCTCGGCTCACTACAACCTCCACCTCCTGGGTTCAAGCGATTCTCCTGCCTCAGCCTCCCAAATAGCTGGGATTACAGGCACCCATCACCACGCCTGGCTAATTTTTGTATTTTTAGTAGAGACGGAGTTTCACCATGTTGGCCAGGCTGGTCTTGAACTCTTGACCTCAGGTGATCTGCCCACCTTGGCCTCCCAAAGCGCTGGGATTCCAGGCATAAGCCACCGAGCCCGGCCTCCTTTTTCTTATCTAAATAGTTTCATTGCTTTTTTTTTTTTCGAAAATTAATTAATAATATTTGTATACACTTTTTAAAGTTATACTCTTGGGCTGGGCGTCATGGCTCATGCCCATAATTTTAGGACTTAAAGAGGCCAAGGCAGCCAGATCACTTGAGGCCAGGAGTTCGAGACCAGCCTGACCAACATGGTGAAACCCCGTCTCTACTAAATCTACAAAATTAGCCAGGCGTGGTGGTGCATGCCTGTAATATCAGCTACTTGGGAGGCTGGGGCAAGAGAATAACTTGAAGCCGGGAGGCAGAGGCTGCAGTGAGCTGAGATCACGCCACTGCACTCCAGCCTGGACAACAAGAGCAAAACTCCATCTCAAATAAATAAATAAATAAAAATACAAAAATTAGCCAGGCATGGTGGCGTTTGCCTGTAATCCCAGCTACTTGGGAGGCTGAGGTAGGAGAATCACTTGAACCTGGAAGGCGGAGGTTGCAGTGAGCTGAGATGGCACCACTGCACTCCAACCTGGGTGACAGAGTGACACTCTGCCTCAAAAAAATAAAATAAAAAATAAATAAAAGTTATACTATCATTTTTTTCTGGAAATCTTAAGAATCTGTAGCAATTCTGTCTGTCCAAGGCAGTTCAGAGCCACAGACGTGCTGCCTATGCCCCGCCCCCGCCCGGCAGACGTTTCTCAGCAGTCGCAGCGCGACTTAGCATCTCTGGCTCATCTCTTTCCGAGGGCTCCAGGTGAGCTCTTAGAGGGTCTTTCAGTCTCCCGGGCCTGTGAAAATATTCCCTTATATACAAACGGGGAAGGCTTTTGTTGAAGGTGGCCCCTTGTCAGCAAGGCCCTTATGCCACTCAACAAGCATATATGTGACAAGTGCCCATTCTGGGTCTGTGCCACCAAGAGAGGGTGGGAGGGGGGCAGGTGTGGAGGGGCGGTACAGGAACAGGGCATTCGTCTCAGAACACTGCTGTATGGCAGGAAAGTAGAAACGAAGCCAATAGTATTAAGCCAGGGTGGCCGGTGTCATATAAAAATGCAGGGCAGGAGCCCCTTATCCTGAGCAGGGGAGCCAGGGAGGCACATGTCCTGGAAGGCGGGGAGTTTTCCAGGGGAGGAGAAAGGCTGCACAGTCAACAAATGTGCAGACCACAAATGTGGATGAGCACACCGTGGTCACGGCCCAGGAGGCCACGTGCACCATGCGCGCAACTCTAGGGGGCGCTGCATCATCACGCAGGGCTAACTGGACCAGTATGCTGTCAGCATGTAGACATAATCTCACTTCTGAATGTAATCAAATGCGTGAGTTGCCTCACAGGGTTCATAAGTATATTCTGTGAACAAGTGAGATAATACATAAAAAGTCTTTTTTTATTTTTTATTTTATTATTTTTTTTTGAGATGGAGTTTCCCTCTTCTTGCCCGGGCTGGAGTGCAATGGCGTGATCTCGCTCACCACAAGCTCCGCCTCCCAGGTTAAAGAGCTTCTCCTGCCTCACCCTCCCAAGTAGCTGGATTACAAGCATGAGCCACCACACCTGGCTAATTTTGTATTTTTAGTAGAAACAGGGTTTCTCCATGTTGGCCAGGCTGGTCTCAAACTCCTGACCTCAGGTGATTCACCCACCTCGGCCTCCCAAAGTGCTGGGATTACAGGCGTGAGGCACCACATCCAGCCATAAAAAGTAGTCTTTTAGTTCCTTCAGTGAAAAGTAAATTCAAATGTTACTTTAGCATTTACATTATAGGTGTTAGTTATCTATTGCTGTGTAACAAATAGCTCCAAAACATAGTGGCTTTAGAAAACAATCATTTGAGCCGGGTGCAGTAGCTCATGCCTGTAATCCCAGCACTTTGGGGGCCTAGGCAAGTCGATCACCTGAGGTCAGGAGTTCAAGACCAGCCTGACCAACATGGTGAAACCCTGTCTCTACTAAAAATACAAAATTAGGCCTAGCACAGTGGCTAAACGCCTATAATCCCAGTACTTTGGGAGGCCGAGGCAGGTGGATAACCTGAGGTCAGGAGTTTGAGAGCAGCCTGACCAACATGGAGAAACCCCATCTCTACTAAAAATACAAAATTAACTGGGCATGGTGGTGCATGCCTGTAAGCCCAGCTACTCAGGAGGCTGAGGCAGGAGAATCCCTTGAACCCAGGAGGCAGAAGTTGCGGTGAGCAAAGATCACACCATTGCACTCCAGTCTGGGCAACAGGAGCGAAACTCCATCTCAAAAAAAAAAAAAAAAATTAGCCGGGCGTGGTGGCTTGTGCCTGTAATTCCAACTACTCAGGAGGCCGAGGCAGGAGAATCGCTTGAACCTGGGAGGCGGAGGTTGCAGCGAGCTGAGATCTCGCCAATGACACTCCAGCCTGGGAAACAAGAGCGAAACACTGTCTCAAACAACAACAACAAAAACCAATCATTTATTATCTCCCATAGTTTCCTTGGGTTGTGAATTTGGGTGGCTCTGGCTTACCATCTTTCATGAATTGTAGCCCAGTGTCAGCTGGGACTGTAGCAATCTGAAAGCTCAACTAGGGCTAGAGGATTCATTCCAAGGTTGGCCCTCTCGAGTAGCTAGCAAGTTGGTGCTGGCAGTTCGCTGGGAGCCTCAGTTCCTCTCCCTATGGGCCTCTCCTCGGGGCTGCTTGAGTACCCTCCCAATATGGCGACCAGCTTCCCCCCAGAGCAAGTGATCCTAAAGACCAAGGCGGAAGCGGCAATGCCTTTTATAATCTGGCCCTGCACACACCATCACTTCCACCATATTTATTGATCATTTCGGGCCATCCTGATTCAGCATGGGAGGGGACCACATAAGGCCTGAGGGACACCCAGAGGCTGGCTCACCCTGCACTCATACCAAGCTCACCCTGGCTGCCCTCTATTCCAGCTCTCTGCATTTCGTACTCTCCTGTTTTCTGCACTTGGTGAAGAGGAGAAGATGATGGTGAACAACTATCGCCCACTTCAACCCTTGATGAACCGGAAGGTCTGGGCGTCCTTCCAGGCCACTAATGAGGGCACAAGGTCCTAGAGACATTAGGTCCACATGAATAGCAGAACTGACTTTGAAGGAAGGAAGCGTTGTTTCCCAAGTTTCACAATGTGATTGTACATGACTTCTGAAATTAAAAAGAGAGCATGAGGTTATTGTTTTAGTCGAAGTACTTTTCAGCTGCAAGTGAAAGAAAGATGTGTAAGTACCGTGGGGAACATAACGCTGGGATGGAGGGGTGTGCCATGGCACCCAACGCAAGTGCAGGGTGCTTAGTTTCACTGTAACGAAGTACCACAAACTTGGTGGATTAAAACAATGGAGATTGATTCTCTTACGGTTCAGTGAGCCAGAAGCCCGACACCAAGGTGTCCTCACGGCTGCTTCCTTCTGAGGCTCTAGGGCAGGATCTTTTTCCTTGCCTTTCCAGCTTCTGCCTCCTCCTTGTAAGAACTGGCGGGGTGCATTGCCTCATGCCTTTAATCCCAGCACTTTGGGAGGCCGAGGCGGGCGGATCACGAGGTCAGGAGATCGAGACCATCCTGGCCAACACGGTGAAACCCCATCTCTATAAAAAACACAAAAATTAGCTGGGTGTGGTGCTGCATGTCTGTAATCCCAGCTACTTGGGAGGCTGAGGCAGAAGAATTGCTTGAACCCGGGAGGCAGAGGTTGCAGTGAGCCAAGATCACACTATTGCACTCCAGCGTGGGCAACAAGAGCAAAACTCTGTCTCAAAGTAAAAAGGAATTCTTGTGAGGCCAGGCACCGTGGTTCACGCCTGTAATCCCAGCACTTTGGGAGGCCAAGGCAGGCAGATCACTTGAGGTCAGGAGTTTGAGACCAGCCTGGCCAACATGGTGAAACCCCGTCTCTACCAAAAATACAACCAAAAATAATCTGGCAGGATAAAACCAGAAAACATACACAATTTGATGTCAAGACCTACTTCAAAAGCTGTAGTAGGCCAGGTGCAGTGGCTCATGCCTGTAATCCCAGCACTTTGGGAGGCCGAGGCGGGAAGACCACCTGAGGTCAGAAGTTCGACACCAGCCTGACCAACATGGCGAAACCCCGTCTCTGCTAAAAATACAAAAATGAGCTAGGTGTGGTGGCTCATGCCTGTAATCCCAGCTACTCAGGAGACTGAGGCAGGAGAATCGCTTGAACCCGGGAGGCAGAGCTTGCAGTGAGCCGAGATCATGCCACTGCACTCCAGCCAGGGTGACAGAGCGAGACTCCATCTCAAAATAAATAAATAAATAAAAATAAAAAGCTATATTAATTAAGATAATGTGGTACCTGTCAGAGAAGGACAAATCAACCAATGAAAAAGAATAGCGTGTCTAGAAGGTTCCACACATTTGTGATCCCTGACTCATGCTGTAGGGAATGGATGGGCTCTTCTGTGAATAGTTTTGGATCATTTGGATATCTATTGATTGATCTATCTATTGATTGATCGATCAATTCATCAGTCGATCCATGGGGTCTCACTATGTTGCCCAGGTTGGTCCTGAACTCCTGGGCTCCAATAGTTCTCCTGCCTTGACCTCCCAAAGTGCTGGGATTACAGGCATTAGCCACCCCACCGAGCCAACGGGATATCCAAATGGGGAACCATGAATCTTTTTTCTCACCATACCTCACACCCCTACCTCACAGCACACACAAAAATTAATTCCTGACAGATTATAGATCTAAACAGGAAAGGTAAAACAATAAAGCTCCTAAAAAATAACAGGAGCTGGGCGCTGTGGCTCACGCCTGTAAACCCAGCACTTTCGGAGGCCAAGTTCCAGACTAGCCTGACCAACATGGAGAAACCCCATCTCTACTAAAAATACAAAATTAGCCGAGCTTGGTGGTGCATGCCTGTAATCCCAGCTACTCGGGAGGCTGAGGCAGGAGAATTGCTTGAACCCGTGAGGCGGAGGTTGTAGTGAGCCGAGATCGCGCCATTGCATTCCAGCCTGGGAAACAAGAGCGAAACTTTGTCTCAAAAAAAAAAAAAAAAAAAAAAACTTGATCCAGAACTCAATGTTGGGTCTGAGTGTGGCTTTTCTGTCTCTCTTTCATGATGTTGTCTCTCTCGGCAAGCTCATTCTTTTGGAGGAAAGAGAGCTACCACTCGTGCCAGGATGGTTTCCATTAATTCATGTAACATTTATTGAGTGCCAATTACGTGGCAGGCTCTATTCTAGACTCTGGGGACGGAGCCTAGACTGTTTAAGGTCTGAAGAGCCTTTGCCTCGGAGCTCACATTCTGATGGAAGGAGGTAGACCATGATGCATCCACACAGAAAGTCTGGAGTGGTAAGTCACAGGAAGAGGACATGGCTGGGTGGGGAGGTCTCTTCTACAGGGGCCATTTGGGCAGAGACCAAAGGAGGAGTGAACCACGTGGCTACCCAAGGGCAGAGAATTCCAGGCAGAGGCTGGAGGCAGGAGCGCCCTTCTGGTGTTCAAGGTGCAGCCCGAGGGTGAGGGCAGCCAAGTGCAGGGGTGAGGAGAGAGGCATGGGAGGCAAGGGTGGGTACTGGGGCCCCACAGGCTGGGTGGAGACTTTGGAGCTGCTGCTGGGTTCTGAGCAAAGGGCATTTTCAAGTGGAGAGGCTCAGTTCGGCTGTGCTGCCAAAGAGTTTTCCAAAGTGGTCATTCCTGTCCTTGCCAGCAGGTCATTGTGTGCTTTCTGGAGGGTGTGCCCAGGTGTCTCCTGTGGATTTAATTTGCACTTCCCTAATGATTCATGACGTGGAGCACTTTGTGCAGATTCATTGGCCGTCTGCATATCCTCTTTCACCAGATACCTGCTTGAGCCATTTGCCCATTTTTCTCTTGGGCTGTCTGTGGTTTTCTTATTGATTTTTAGGAGTTCTTTATATATTCCAATTATAAGGCCTTTGTCCATTTTACAAATCTCTTCTCCCACTCTGGGGCTGCCTTTCACCCTCTTTTTTTTGTTGTTGTTGTTGTTTTGTTTTGTTTTGTTTTGTTTTGTTTTTGAGATGGAGTCTTGCTTTGTCACCCAGGCTGGAGTGCAGTGGCGCAATCTTGGCTCACTGCAACCTTCACCTCCCGGGTTCAGGTGATTCTCCTGCCTCAGCCTCACAAGTAGCTGGGATTACAGGCATACACCACCGTGCCTGGCTAATTTTGTATTTTTAGTAGAGACGGGGTTTCTCCATGTTGGTCAGGCTGGTCTCGATCTCCCGACCTCAGGTGATCCGCCTGCCTCGTCCTCCCAAACTGCTGAGATTACTGGCATGAGTCACTGAGTCGGGTCTGGATCAAGCTTATAGCAATGGTTGCACCTGATCAGTTACACAAGCCAATAGGTGCCCTTTCATGTAAGCCAGTTTGGGTTTCTTTTTACCTATTACTTGCTTGGAAAAAATCCAAAATCAGTACAGTGTTTTTCTTTTCCTTTTTTTTAGATGGAGTGTAGCTCTGTTGCCCAGGCTAGAGTGCAATGTCACGATCTCAGCTCACTGCAACCTCTGCCTCCCGGGTTCAAACAATTCTCCTGCCTCAGCCTCCGGAGTAGCTGGGATTACAGGTGCCCGCCACCACGCCCAGCGAATTTTTTTTTTTTTTTTTGAGACAGAGTTTTGCTCTTGTCGCCTAGGCTGGAGTGCATTGATGCGATCTTGGTTCACCACAACCTCTGCCTCCCAGGTTCAAGTGATTCTCCTGCCTCAGCCTCCCAATTAGCTGAGATTACAGGCATGGGCCACCACGCCTGGCTAATTTTGTATTTTTACGAGAGACGGGGTTTCTCCATGTTGGTCAGGCTGGTCTCAAACTCTCAACCTCAGGTGATCTGCCCGCCTCAGCCTCCCAAAGTGCTGGGATTACAGACGCGAGCCACTGTGCCCAGTCTTTTTTTTTTTTTTTTTTTTTTTTGCATTTTTAGTAGAGATTCGGTTTCACCATGTTGGTCAGGCTGGTCTCGAACTCCTGACCTCAGGTGATCTGCCTACCTTGGCCCCCCAAAGTGCTGGGATTACAGGCATGAGCCACCGCGCCTGGCCCAGTATTTTTATTTTCATAGCATTAAAAAATATTCCCGCCAGAAGAGAGAAAGTTTTACAATAAACCTAATTACATTATCTTCCAACATTACCTTACAGTCAGATGAGCACAGAAAAATAAGCAGATGCTAATCTGTTTCCCAAGGTGATAAAGGCCATTTCATTCCGGGGAGATAAAGAATAAGTAGGTTAGGTCAGGCGCGGTGGCTCACGCCTGCAATCCCAGCACTTTGGGAGGCTGAGGTGGGCAGATCACCTGAGGTCAGGAGTTCGAGACCAGCCTGGGCAAAACGGTGAAGCCCCGTCTCTACTAAAAAAAAATGCAAAAAATTCGCTGGGCGTGGTGGCAGGCACCTGTAATCCCAGCTACTTGGGAGGCTGAGGCAGGAGAATTGCTTGAACCCAGGATGCAGACGTTGCAATGAGCCAAGATTGTGCCACTGCACTCCAGTCTGGGCAACAGAGCGAGACTCCGCCTCCAAAAAAAAAAAAATACGAAAAGTAGGCCGGGTGCGGTGGCTCACGCCTGTAATCCCAGCACTTTGGAAGGCTGAGGCAGGTAGATCATGAGGTCAGGAGATCAAGACCATCCTGGCTAACACGGTGAAACCCCGTCTCTACTAAAAATACAAAAAACTAGCCGGGTGTGCTGGTGTGTACCTGTAGTCCCAGCGACTCGGGAGACTGAGGCAGGGAGAATTGCTTGAACCCAGGAGGTGGAGGTTTCAGTGAGCCGAGATCGTGCCACTGTACTCCAGCCTGGGCAACAGAGTGAGACTCCATCTCAAAAAGAAAAAAAAAAAAAAACTAAGGCTAGGCGCGGTGGCTCACGCCTGTAATCCCAGCACTTTGGAAGGCTGAGGTGGGCAGATCATGAGGTCAGGAGTTTGAGACGAGCCTGGGCAATATTGTGAAACCCTGTCTCTTCTAAAAATACAAAGAAAAATCAGCCGGGCGTGTTGGCACGCACCTATAATCCCAGCTACTGTGGAGGCTGAGGCAGGAGAATTGCTTGAACCTGGGAGGCAGAGCTTGCAGTGAGCCGAGATGGTGGCCACCGCACTCCAGCCTGGGCGACAGAGCGAGACTCCGTCTCAAAACAAAACAAAACAAAATCTAGCCAGAAATCGCTTGAACCCAGGAGGTGGAGGTCGCAGTGAGCTGAGATTGTGCCACTGCCCTCTAGCCTGGGCAACAGAGTGAGACTCCACCCCTCCACGCCCCCCCAAAATAAAGCGTCTGGCTCTTTAAAGGAGATCACACTTGGTGGCGATGCGGGTGAAAGAGGATTGGGTTGAAGGAGTCGAAGTGGAAGCGGGAAAGCACCAAGCGGGGAAATGGGCACGTTTCTGTTCTGCTCTAAGCTGCTGCGCCTGACTTCGATTCCATCGATCAAGAGGAGTCTGCTGAAGGACAGGGTGTACGGCTGCCTCGCCCGCTCCTGAACCAGGCCCGGGTGAAGTGTGTTGTGCACATTCAGCAGCTCCAGCCCCGCTGTGGGTCGCACTGACATGTTGGGCCCAGCCCACGCCCCAGAAGCTCGCAGCGCCGTTGGTCTGGGGAATGGTGTTTTAGGAAAAACTCCCGAAGTGACAGGATGGTGTCGTTGGGCGTAAGGGCCACGGCACTCCCATTGAGTTGCGACAAGTTCCACAAAATCGTCCCTGGTTTTTAATAAGGAAACTGAGGCTCACTTGAGAAGTTAAGAAAGTTGTCGCTGACCCGCTAGGCCAAGGGATACGCAGCATTTCACTCTTGCCTTCTCTGATTTGTGCAATCAGTCAAGGAAAAAGCGCAGCAAAGAGAGAAAGTCCTGAACCTTAAAACCCAGGAGAAAACTTATCCTACAATGCCGGGCAGTTCACGCTGATGGAAGCAGCAGCCAGAGGAAGGCACTTGTCTGGGCTTCCTGCAGCGCTCTGAGAACAGCCCGCTCCTCTGCTGGGGAAGGGGTGACACAGTCAATGGAGGGGGTGGTCTCTGAACCTGGGGCTTGGGATGGGGGCAGAGAGCAGCTATTCAGCCATTCTCCATGGGCTGCCCATTTCCAGGTGGGCTTGGGGACAGAGAAAGGCCCAAGCGGCCAGAGGGGCCCTGGGCTCCAGTTCTACCGGCCCCATGTTGACATCGTGTCCAACAAGACACCAAGAGAAGCAGGGAGTGGCTGACCTTCATTTTCCGTATCAACACACAGGGGGCCCTCTGCACCCACCAACATCTTTGTCTCCTGAAAAATGGCCTTTGTCAGTTATTTTTAAAAACTGGTGCTAATCCTGAGACACGGAGATACTCCCGGGAAGCCATCCGAGCCTGGACACACTGAGATGAAACCACAAACACGCCGAGAGGAAAAGACATTGATTCCAGCCCTCAAAGCAACGGGACAAAAAACAAACAGGAGGCTTCCCTCCCGCCCCAGGGGCAGCGGCCGGTGTCTGCGGCTCTGCGGGAAGGGCTCTCACTGTGACCAGATTGTGGCTTCTGATTGTATTGTAGAATTTCTGGCCCAGCTTTTAAGGTTCAAGGCTTCCTCCCTTTGCTTTTATCTTATTTTCTTGTTTAATAAAGATACGCCTGTGTGAGAAGCATTGCCTGTTCCCAGCTGCCACCGCCTCCTCCTCCTCCGCTTCCTCCCCATCCCCAGCACGTCCTTCCCATCGACCCTCTAGAGAACCAAGCTCAATTCAGAGCAGACCATGTGCCCAGCTACATCCCCTCAGCCTTGCCCCCTTGGGACAGAATCCACATTCCTGCCCCTCCGCCCCCGCCCTCTCCTGGCAGCCCACTCTGTGCCGACCAGAATATCGGCCCCCTCCCACCCCAGGGCTCTTGTGGCTGTTCTGATGGACCTGAGGGCACCCTTCCCCGCCCGCCCCATACCACCTGCTCAACACCTGCTCCTCCTGTTTCCTCGGCCTGAGCTGAGCCCCCAGATGGCACCTGGCACACAGCGGTGCCCAGCAGTAACGGAGTGTCTGCTCCATTACTCCGTTAACGGAGCAGTAAGTGTCATTTTTTGACACTTGTCCCTCCTGCTGAAAGGTGGGCTGTCCGTGCACTGCTGCGTCCCCAACTCTGTGCCCACCAACCCCGTCTTGATAAATGGTTCCTCCATCCACCCGACGCCACAGGCAATCTCGGGAGCCCCCTTGGGACCTCCTCTCCCCTCACTCCTTGCACCCAGGGCAGCAGCAGGCTCTGCTGGAGGACCCTCAAACTGCCGCCTATTCCAAGTCTGTCCACTTTTCTCTGTCCCTTCTGCTGCAGCCTGAGTGACAAGCTGGCCTTCCAGTTTAGCCACTTTCTTTCCAGCCTCTTCCCCTCTTCCCCCAAATCCATTTTTCTTTTAACAGTGGGTTTTTTTGAGAAACCGACACTTGGCCATTCTGCTGCCCTGTTCAAAACTGAGGCTTTCCACTAGGCTTGGGAATGAGCACGAGCTTCTCCCAGCAAGATTCGCAGCCTGGCCCTCTTCCACGTCACCTTGTGTGTGTGGGCCTCTGGCTGGGGTTGCTGTCCCCAAGGCTGCTTCACAGTCACTCCTTTCCATCCTCAACCAGTTCTCAGACACCTGCCCCAACCACGGTCTCCCTGTGTCCCCTCCCCAGCTGTTGGCATCAGGCACGTGTTGCTGCATGATGCTTGCATCCCCCTCTGGAATGTGAGCCCCCAGGGGCGGGATCCTCAACTGTTCTGCTTGCCCACAGCACACAATAAACGTGGTCGGGCGCCATGGGCTGCAGTGCTCCCACTTGTAAGCTCGGGGACTGCTGTGCGCTGCCGCAGGTCCTCTAGGCGCTGCTCCCTCTCCTGGGCTGTCCTCCCTGCTCTGCTAGATGCACTTTCTCCTCTCTGCCAAGGCCCAGCGCAGCCCCTCCTCTCCACCACACCTTCGTCAGTGCCAGCCCCAGGCAGCAGCATCCCCTCCCCCCGCACCTGGGCTCCTGCACATCCCCTGTTATCACAGGGGTGCACATGAAAGGGTCACCCGCAGGCTGGGGTGTCATACGGACACACATTCTCACAAAGCCAGGCGTATGTCTAGCTATCGTGAAATGTTTGCTGAGTCAATGAATGAATTGCAGGATACTAGATGGATCTGGCTACAAATATTTAGAAACTACCTTAAATCTGGGTAACTGGGGGCTGTCATCATTGAGAAGTCTAGACAAAATGAGTGACAGGGAGCAGGTGTGATCAGACATGGAGCAGACATGGATCACACATGGAACAGACATGGCTCACACATGGAACAGACACAGTTCACACATGGAACAGACACAGTTCACACATGGAGCAGCATGGACCATACATGGAACAGACACAGATCACACATGGAACAGACACGGTTCACACATGGAGCAGCATGGATCTCACATGGAATAGACACGGTTCACACATGGAAGAGCATGGATCACACATGGAGCAGACATGGTTCACACATGGAAAAGACATGGTTCACATGTGGAGCAGCATGGATCACACATGGAACAGACACGGTTCACACATGGAACAGACATGGTTCACACATGGAACAGACATGGTTCACACATGGAACAGACATGGTTCCCACATGGAGCAGCATGGATCACACATGGAGCAGCATGAATCACACATGGAACAGACACGGTTCACACATGGAACAGACACGGTTCACACATGGAACAGACATGGTTCACACATGGAACAGACATGGTTCCCACATGGAGCAGCATGGATCACACACGGAGCAGCATGAATCACACATGGAACAGACATGGTTCACACATGGAGCAGCATGGAACACATATGGAGCAGCATGGATCACACATGGAACAGACACAGTTCACACATGGAACAGACACGGTTCACACATGGAACAGACACAGTTCACACATGGAGCAGGCACCACGCACGCATGCCGTAGCACGCATCAGCCTGGTTTTCGGGCTCACGCGATAGAAGTCATTGTTTTGGTGGTAAACAATATCCACCTGGATATTTTCCAAGATGGAGAACTGAATTATAACCTACAAACTTCCATCCTCACAGGGAAATTTGACCTGGTTGGGTGGCATCTGCCCTGCAGCCACTGCCCAAAACAGAGGCGGGGCAAAGTGGCCGAAGAGAGCAGCGCTGAAGCTGGCAGCTGCAAAGAGTGCAGGGCCCTCCAGGCTCTACAAAATTCACAGCTGCTTCCAGCCTCATGCTGGGACATGGGCTGAGCAATGAATTCTTCTTGTAATCCAGGGCAGAGTGGAAGAAAGTTCAAGGTGAGCGTCAACTCATTCAATCACTTAACAATAGGCAGGTTTGGCTCATAGTGCAGAGGCCCAGCAGGAGAACCTGGCTCCCGTGTCTCTGGAAATGTTAGAATGCCTGTCAACAGGAAAAAAAGATCTGTCTCTGCCATCCTGAAGGTAAGTTTGCCACCTACAGCACTAAAGATTAAGGCCATATTTTTTCAATGTTGAGATTATTCCCTTTGTCCGCAAACAGGGGCTTAAGACAACAGCCCTTTTGTTCTCTCACAGTCCTGGAGGCCAGAGGCCAACTTCAAGGTGGTGGCAGGGCCAGGCTCCCTCGGGAGGCTCCAGGACCCCTCCTGCCTCTTCCAGCTTCTGGGGGCTACAGGTGTCCCTTGACTCAGGGCCGCCCACTCCCATCCCCGCCTCCATCTTCACACTCCAGCCACTGAGACCACGCCCGACACAGCAAGTGTGGGCTGCTGCGACCGCTGTCCCTCCGTGTTCCCTTCGCCCACATTGGAAAGAAAGTCTGAGGGTGGAAGCCAGGCATTCGGCCGGCCCTGGGAGCACAGTTCTGCAGTGATGGCAACACCAGCAGCTCAGGGTCCTCCACCTGCTGGCCCCGGGAGCACAGTTCTGCAGTGAGGATGACACCAGCGGCTCAGGGTCCTCCATCCGCCAGCCCTGGGAGCACAGTTCTGCAGTGACAGGGACACAGCAGTACCTCAGGGTCCTCCACTGGCTGGTCTTGGGAGCACAGTTCTGCAGTGATGGCAATGCCAGCGGCTCAGGGTCTTCTACCTGCTGGTCCCCAGGAGGCAGGCACAGGTGTCTCCCTGCTTCACAGAAGAGGAAACTGAGACTTCGAAAGCTGAGCCGAGTCACTCGCCTGGTGCCACCAAGTGGTAGAGGTGAGATGTGAACCCAGGACCGTTCGATTCCAGGCCTGAACTGCTTTTATCTTTTGGATGTATAGTTCACACATAACATCACATTAACCGTTAGTCATTTAAACACGTACAAATCCGTGGTGTTTAAGTCACTCCCAGTGTTGGGCAACCATCCCCATCATCTAGTTCCAAGACATTTTATCACCCCAAAGAGAGACCCCATCCACTCAGCCCTCACTCTCCATCACCCCTTCCCCCCGCCCTAAGCAGCCACGAATCTCGTCCATCTCTCTGGATCCGCCTGTCCTGGACATTCGTGCACTCGGAATCATACAACTCGTGGTCACTGACCCTTTCACGCAGCCCAGTGTTTTCAGGGGTCCTGCACGTTGCAGCGTGTCTTCCTGTGTGCGGCTGAATGACGCTCCAAGGGATGGCGGACTACACTGGGTTTATCCATCATCCACGGATGGACGGGCCTGAACTCTGACCCCGGCTCCTACTGTTGCTTCCATGTCATCTTTTTTTTTTTTTTTTCAAGACCAGTCTCGCCAGGCGCGGTGGCTCAAGCCTGTAATCCCAGCACTTTGGGAGGCCGAGGAGGGTGGATCACGAGGTCAGGAGATCAAGACCATCCTGGCTAACACGGTGAAACCCCGTCTCTACTAAAAATACAAAAAATTAGCCAGGCATGGTGGCGGGCACCTGTAGTCCCAGCTACTCAGGAGGCTGAAGCAGGAGAATGGCGTGAACCCGGGAGGCAGAGTTTGCAGTGAGCCGAGATCGCGCCACTGCACTCCAGCCTGGGTGACAGAGCGAGACTCCGTCTCAAAAAAAAAAAAAGACCGGTCTCGCTCTGTCGCCTAGGCTGGAGTGCAGTGGCATGATCTCAGCTCACAGCAGCCTCAACCTTCCTGATCTCAGGTGATCCTTCTACCTCAGCCTCCCCGGCAGCTGGAACTACAGGTGCACCACCACCACGCTGGGCTAGTTTTTGTATTTTTTGTAGAGACGGGGTCTCCCTATGTTGTCCAGGCTGGTCTTGAACTCCTGGGCTCAAGAAATTCTCCCACCTTGGTCTCCCAAAGGGCTGGCATTACAGGCATGAGCCACAGCGCCCAGCCTCCAAGTCATCTTTGACACGCAGAGCACATCTGAGAGCAGCAACAAGACTAACGTTGGGGCCAAAGTTAAGAAGTGGGGCGGAGCCTCCCTGGTGGCCGGTCATCAGCCCAGTGCCTGAAATGCATGCAAAGTCTATTTTTATTTTACCTAGTTGAACCTAAGCAAAAAATCTGGCCCTACAATCCCTAACCTTGCTCCTAGCTGTTACTGAGCAATCGCAGGGCTTCGGATTTTACTTGCAGGCATGGACACTGTTTACCGTTCCCCCATACGAACTTCAGGAAACGGGTGGGGGGACTACCCAAGTGTTCAAACAGAAGCTAGAAGGATTCGGTGAAGGAAAGTCATGAGTGTCTTTTCTTTAACAAGAATGGTGGATGTTTCCAGTGAAGAGGCAATGAGGCTTTCAAGGTGCCACCAGGGGCAGCTGAAATGAAGTTCTCTTTTTTTTGTTGTTAGATGGATTCTCAGTGTGTTGCCCAGGCTGGAGTGCAGTGGCACAATCTTGGCTCACTGCAACCTCTGCCTGCTGGGTTCAAGCAATTCTCCTGCCTCAGCCTCCCGAGTAGCTGGGATTACAGGTGCCTGCCACTGCGCCAGGCTAATTTTTGTATTTTTGGTAGAGACGGAGTTTCACCATGTTGGCCAGGCTGGTCTTGAACTCTTGACCTTGTGATCTGCCCACCTCAGCCTCCCAAAGTGCTGGGATTACAGGCGTGAGCCACCGCCCCCGGCCAAAATTCTCTTTTAACTGGGAGAATCCGCATGCTTATGAATCTGGCTGCCTATGTAAGTGGCGCCATCAGCGTGGCAGTCAGCATTGCCACGAGGATTAAAGGCCTGCCCTGGGTCTGAAGCTGGGCTTGGCCACTTACTGAACTGCCCTTTTTCTCCAACCATAAATGACAACTAACTATAGTTGCTGCAAAAATTAAATGGCATAGAGAGTGTGAAAGGAACATAAATCCTGGGACCCCACACTTGCTAACGAAAGGGAAAAGTGAAGCTGGTGACCGTGTCATGGGAACCAGCCTCCTGTTTCGGCTCCTAATTATTTAACAAACAGCTACAGAGATGAAAAGTTTGGCTGGGCTTGGTGGCTCACCCCTGTAATCCCAGCACTTTGGGAGGCCAAGGCGGGTGGATCACTTGAGGTTAGGAATTCCAGACCCGCCTGGCCAACATGATGAAACCCCGTCCCTACTAAAACTGCAAAACTTAGCCGGGCATGGTGGCAGGCGCCTGTAATCCCAGCTACTTGGGAGACTGAGGCAGAAGAATCAGTTGAACCCGGGAGGCAGAGGTTGCAGTGAGCTGAGATCGACCCACTACACTCCAGCCTGGTGACAGAGTGAGACTCCGTCTCAAAAAAAAAAAAAAAAAAAGATGAAAAGCGACACACCTCCCTCACATTTTGCCCATAAGGAAATTCCTTGTGGGCTCCAAGATCTTTACCCTAAGCGCTTCTGTTAAAGTTCACCCTGGCAATGTGAACCGTTAGCTTATCTTCACAGGTGCTGGGACGAGGGGCAGAACTGAGTCATCCCTCCGCCCACCTGAAGCAAATGCATATCTCATTGTTTCCGCTGCCCTATCGTCTAGGGTATCTTACGTGAAACGGCAGAGTCACTAAACCAGACAAAAACTTGAATTTTCCCCTACCCCCTTCACATGAAAATTGTGTACTGCCCAATATCCTGCCCTTCCCCCTTTCAATATTGAAGCCCTCAAAATCATCTTCGGAGAAAGGCATAGACCAGTCTCTCAGGTGCGCGTCCCTAATGTTGGCATTTAAAGCTAAAATGACGGAGACTTGCCTCGGTCGTCTTCCTTGACTGGCAAGAGTCTTTAAGGCCGAACACTGACTGAGTGGCTGCCCTACACACCTATCTGCCTGGAAACAGAACGGAATTTCTGATCGTACTCAGGGCAGCCCCACCTTGTCAAGCATGCAGATAGGAAAAGCTCACCTCTGAGCATAATAAAAGCATGGCTTTCAAAAACAACCTCCAGAAGAAGCAAGGACCCTTGCTATGTTAAAAGATGCAGGCATTTCTCCCCTGTGACTGAGAACCAGCCCGGCAGGGGACTCACAGGAGAGAGGCGGCCCCAGGAAGCCCCACTTCAATTAAGGGTTGTGAAGCCAGCAAATCTGAGACAGGCCTCCTTTAATTTAGAAAGCGTATTTTGCTAAGGTTGAGGGCGCACCCGTGACACAGCCTCGGGAGGTCCGGACCGCATGTGCCCAAGGTGGTTGGGGTGCAGCTTGGTCTTATACATTTTAAGGAGACATGAGACATCAATCAAGTACATTTAAAAAATACATTGGTTTGGTTCAGAAAGGCGGGACAACTCAAAGCAGGAGGGGGGCTTCCAGGCTAGAGGTAAATGTAAACATTTTCTTTTTTTTTTTTTTTGAGACAAGAGTTTCGCTCTTCCACCCAGGCTGGAGTGCAGTGGCACAATCTTGGTTCACTGCAACCTCTGCCTTCTGGTTTCAAGCGATTCTCTTGCCTCAGCCTCCCATTACAGGCGGTGCACCAACACGCCCAGCTGATGTTTATATATATATATGTGTGTGTATATATATGTGTGTGTGTGTATATATATGTGTATATATGTGTATATATACGTATATATGTATATATGTGTATATACATATATGTATATATATGTGTGTATATATGTGTATATATATGTGTGTATATATGTGTATATATGTGTGTATATATATGTGTGTATATATATATATATATATATATATATTTTTTTTTTGAGACGGAGTCTCGCTTTGTCACCCAGGCTGGAGTGCAGTGGTGCGATCTCCCGTCACTGCAACCTCCGCCTCCCACGTTCATGCCATTCTCCTGCCTCAGCCTCCCGAGTAGCTGGGACTACAGGCGCCCACCACCACGCCCAGCTAATTTTTTTGTATTTTTGGTAGAGACGGGGTTTCACCATGTTGGCCAGGCTGGTCTTAAACTCCTGACCTCAAGTGATCTGCCTGCTTCGGCCTCCCAAAGTGCTGGGATTACAGGCATGAGCCACCGCACTCGGCCAATGTTTATATTTTTAGTAGAGATGGGGTTTCACCATGTTGGCCAGGCTGGTCTTTAACTCATGACCTCGAGATCCCCCCGCCTCGGCCTCCCAAAGTTCCCAAATCGCTGGGATTACAAGTGTGAGCCACCGCGCCCAACCAATTTAAACATTTTCTGGTTGACAATTGTTTGAGTTTGTTGTCTAAAGACCTGGGATTGTTGCCGAGCATGGTGGCTCACGCCTGTAATCCCAGCACTTTGGGAGGCCGAGGTGGGCAGATCACCAGGAGTTCGAGACCAGCGTGGTCAACCTGGTGGAACCCAGCCTCTACTAAAAATACAAAAATTAGCCAGGTGTGGTGGCAGGTGCCTGTAATCCCAGCTACTCGGGAGGCTGAGGCAGGAGAATCACTTGATCCCGGGAGGCAGAGGTTGCAGTGAGCCAAGATCGTGCCATTGCACTCCAGCCAGGGCGACAGTGAGACTCTGTCTCAAAAAAAAAAAGAAAAACACAAAAGACCTGGGATCAGTAGAAAGCAATGTTTGGAGGCCGGGCACAGTGGCTCACACCTGTAATCCCAGCACTCTGGGAGGCCAAGGCGGGCGGATCACGAGGTCAGGAGATGGAGACCATCCTGACTAACACGGTGAAACCCCGTTTGTACTAAAAATACAAAAAAATTAGCCGGGCGTGGTGGCAGGCGCCTGTAGTCCCAGCTACTCTGGAGGCTGAGGCAGGAGAATCACTTGAACCCAGGAGGCGGAGCTTGCAGTGAGCCGAGATCGCGCCACCACACTCTAGCCTGGGCGATAAGTGAGACAAGAAAGAAAGAAAGAGAGAAAGAGAGAAAGAGAGAGAGAGAGAGAGAGAGAGAGAAAGAAAGGAAGGAAGGAAGGAAGGAAGGAAGGAAGGAAGGAAGGAAGGAAGGAAGAAAGAAAGAAAGAAAGAAAGAAAGAAAGAAAGAAAGAAAGAAAGAAAGAAAGGAAGGAAGGAATGTTTGGGTTGTGGTGAGGCTGTGGAGATGAAAGCTGTATCATGCAGATGAAGCTTTTAGCTAGGAGGCTTCAAAGAGAACAGGCTGTAAAATGTTAATCTTTAAGTCTGATAGACTTCAAGTATGTGTTGGTGTTAGTGCTGGAGAGGTCTAAAGAGGCCGTCCAACCCCCGATTCTCTTCCTGGCCCAAACCAGTCTTTCAGGTTAAATGTTAAGAGCCCTGGCTGAGGAGGAAGTCTGTTTAGATGTCTGGGGTGGCCCTTAGAATTTTATTTTTGGTTTACAGGGTTTACCAGGTAAGTCGTTTTCCTGGGAAAAAGAACGAGTTGAAAGGAAGAGCAAGGATCCGCTCCGGACCTCACTCCTATATTTTGCTGAGATGAAAACCACAATCCCTGCACTGCGAGACTCATCTCATAATTAGAAAACAAAGGATTATCCACCGGGTTCTCTCCCCTCGCCCTGTGGCCTTGCTGCTCCCCTGCAGTTGCTCCAAATGACAAAATAATGACGGGTTCGCCTTGTGAGAGAGGGTGGCCTGCTCAACTCCACGCTGGCGCTCTGAGGGGGGCAGAAGATGCCTCGTCTCATTTATGTTGCAAACAGCCTTAAAAAGGACCTGCAGGGCGCTGGGCGTGGTGGCTCACGCCTGTAATCCCAGCACTTTGGGAGGCTGAGGCGGGCGGATCACGAGATCAGGAGATTGGGACCATCCTGGCTAACCCCAATTCTACTAAAAATACAAAAAATAAAAAATTAGCCGAGCATGGTGGCGGGTGCCTGTAATCCCAGCTACTCCGGAGGCTGAGGCAGGAGAATTGCTTGAACCCGGGAGGCGGAGGTTGCAGTGAGTTGAGACTGTGCCACTGCACTCCAGCCTGGGTGACAGAGTGAGACTCCGTTTCAAAAAAAAAAAAAAGAAAAGAAAGTATTCTCCCAACCAGCTCAAGCGAGAGTGCCACAACTTTTTTTTCTTTTCTTTCTTTCTTTTTTTTAACCTCTGAAAATACACAACATGTGATAAATTACTGACTGGAGCTGAAAAGACCATTGTCCTGCCTCTGTAAAAATCAAAACGCTGCCGAATCTTTCCAACAGATGGCACTCTTTGCTAAGATTCTAGAGTCATAGCTTTCAGGCGAAGGCGTTTCAGGGCCGGCATCAGGGACGTCTGAGAGGAGTAGATTTGCTGGATAAATCTAGAATGTTGTCATATGAAAACCCAGTAAAAACCGACAGAGGTGGCGTAATAGCTGTGTGACTTGAACACGCTCATGGCTGTTGTCACCCTTCCTGCTTAAGGGCTCCAGCACTTGCCAGGAGCCTGGCTCTGGGGGCACCAACCATGACTTGCACCAACTGTGCAGGGCCCCCTCTGTGCCGGTGGGGACCCCTGCACCTCCCTTATTAATTCTCACTCACCCTGGGCTCTCAGCTCCAGGTACCACCTCAGAAAAGTCTATCTGGACCTGCCTGGTCCCTGTCGCTGTCGCTGGCTCACCCTGTCATGTCCTTGGCTTATCATGGTTGTAATTTTATGCTTTGGGGTATGACTGTTGGTTGCCTTTCTTGTTACTCAAAGAAGAATGGTGGAATGATTAAAAGTACCATATAAGTTCAGAGTCAAAAGGACAGCTCCCAGGCTACTTGCTGGCCGGACAAGCGAGGTAACCCTACCAAGCCTCAGCTTCCTTATTTGCAAAATGGCTCTAACTGGCACCTACCCTATTGCATAAGAAGCTGTCTAGGGGAGGACTCAGTGAGCACTCGGTGAGTTTGCCCAGCCATGGTGGTACTGTCTCCTTCCCTCTGCAGGCACAGCGGGAAGAATAGGGCAGATGGAGGGGTCTCTGCACCTTCCACAGCCAGCAATGTGGACGGCAGATTACAAGTTAGTATCTGTGTGACCTCCGCACTCCCCCGCCTGTGGCTGCCTGGGCTGCTGAGATTTCGCTCGGTTTTATCACCGCAGAGGAATGCCCGACATACCGGGGGGCGAGCAAGGTCCAGAATGACAAGCCCTGGCATTCCTCAGCCGCCCCCTCCCTGGGGTGGGGCCTGGACATTCCTGGCTGCAGCTAGAGGTCCCAGCACGACAGGGATTCTGACCCCCCTCCACCACGGCTATTGTTCAGAATTCTGTGGATTCCAGAGGCATCTGCCCAGCAGACTGTCTTGCTGTGAACACCCAGCTCTGCAACCGGTGTTTGCGTGTTTGCCCTGGGAGGCTGAACGCTCACCCAGAACAAAGGCCTCCCCACATGCCTGCTGTGAGCTTCCAAGGACTCGTTTGCACACACGCCAAGGAACCCCGGGGTGGGGTGATACTGAGGAGCTTCCTCCCTGACCCACACACACCCTTTGAACAGGTCTTTGGCCGCTCACCAGTCTGGTCAATCTCGGGGCAGTATTTATATTCCTTCCCATTTCCAGGCCTAGGAGCCTTGGCATCCTGCTCTCGCCTCTAACTGAAATTACCTCTCAACCCTTTTTAGCTAAGATGCCTCTCGCATTCCCTAGGAATAACAAGCTTTAAAGCCCCTTCACACTGAAGCCTGCCTTTGAATTCCCCAGGTAGATTTGGGGGTGGGGGTCTTATGGCTCCCAGCGAACCCCCGGTTCTGTTGATTAAATTGAGCTCAGGCAGATTGCTGGCTTCCCAAAGCCTGTGTTATTACTGCTTCTCAAAGCTACGGGCACCGGATCGCCGTCTTTGGCAAGATTCTTTTGGGATACAATGGGAATTACTGGGTGGCCTCGGTTCGGTTCTTCCCTCGTCCCAGTTCGCGGCTCACCAGCCCCACTGATGCAGCCCCCAGGCTGGAAGGAGGCTGCAGGAGCTTCCCCTCAGGTCATCCTCTCATCCCTCCCCCGTGCCCCAGGAGCTGGTTGTGGGGGCGGTTCCATCCCCTCGGCCCATCCGGGACAGGAGCCTAGGTTCCCTTCGGGGGGTACCCCAAACTCCATCCTTGGCCTCAGGCCAGCCCTGGTGCACTGCCCGCTCCCAGGCTTGACGAGAGGCTGCGGGCCAGTGGGTGAAGGGGCGCGCCCTGACTGCCAGGCCCCGCCCAGGCGCATCCGGGAGGACGGGCTGGGATGACGCGGGCGCCGGGAGGGGGGAGGTCGCGAGGCCGGGGTCTCCATGGCGCAGGAGGACTGGGGCCTTCGAGGACCACGCGGGCCTGGGAATAGCCCGCCAGGCTGGGCCGGACGACGCACGTGCTCCGAGCTGGGCCGAGGGGGCGGGGCTGAGGGACGGGGCCGGGCCACGGGGCGGGGAGGAGCCGCGGACGGTGGGCGGGGCCGGCGGGCCGGGGCCTAAAAGGCGGCGCGGGCGGGGTTCCTGACGCAGCTGCGGGCGGCGGGCGGCGCGCACACTGCTCGCTGGGCCGCGGCTCCCGGGTGTCCCAGGCCCGGCCGGTGCGCAGAGCATGGCGGGTGCGGGCCCGAAGCGGCGCGCGCTAGCGGCGCCGGCGGCCGAGGAGAAGGAAGAGGCGCGGGAGAAGATGCTGGCCGCCAAGAGCGCGGACGGCTCGGCGCCGGCAGGCGAGGGCGAGGGCGTGACCCTGCAGCGGAACATCACGCTGCTCAACGGCGTGGCCATCATCGTGGGGACCATTATCGGCTCGGGCATCTTCGTGACGCCCACGGGCGTGCTCAAGGAGGCAGGCTCGCCGGGGCTGGCGCTGGTGGTGTGGGCCGCGTGCGGCGTCTTCTCCATCGTGGGCGCGCTCTGCTACGCGGAGCTCGGCACCACCATCTCCAAATCGGGCGGCGACTACGCCTACATGCTGGAGGTCTACGGCTCGCTGCCCGCCTTCCTCAAGCTCTGGATCGAGCTGCTCATCATCCGGCCTTCATCGCAGTACATCGTGGCCCTGGTCTTCGCCACCTACCTGCTCAAGCCGCTCTTCCCCACCTGCCCGGTGCCCGAGGAGGCAGCCAAGCTCGTGGCCTGCCTCTGCGTGCGTGAGTACGGGGCGCGGGCCGGGGGTTGGGAGGTCGTAGTCTCTGGGTCCCTGCATCCTTGCATCACTACGCCCCTGGCTCCCACATCTCTACATCTTTACGTTCCTGGACCATCCCGGCAGTTCTAGGCTAAGGTCATTGGTCCCAGAAACCACGTGCGTTTCTTTCATTCATTCTTTTACACTTCTCCCCACAGGCTGGGAATATCTTCAGTGACGGGACAGCAGGGTCCCTGCCCTGCCCTTCGGTGGGCATTCCATTCCCCCACTTAAGCGGTTTAGGCAAGTGCCACCCTCCCGTTGGCCCCGCTGAGCAATACTCCCAGCCTCTTGCGTGGCACCCACGTGGAGTAACTGAGCAATCGGTTTACTGTTAGAGCTCCGATTGCTGACTGGTTGGTGAGAAGGAAATTGCAGTTAAAAAAAAAATCATTCATTTCTGCTCTCCACACCAGCTCGTCAGGAATCAGTGACACGGGCTGACTCATAAGAAAACAGTAGTAATAACATCGTGTGCGGGTAGTGACTGGTGCTGATTTAGGCTAAGGGATCCCCCCTGAGGGTTCCCAGTAGTGAGAGAGCGGAGCTTGGCTGCAGATTCAGTCTGTGTTGCAGTGAATGGACGTGCGGGTCCCAGGTTTCTCTGGGAAACAGCCATGGGGCTCCTGTTTTGGTGGGCATGGTGCTGGTGTGTTCTTCACCAGGCCAGAGATAACTGCTTTTCAAAATAGTTTTCTTTTTCTTTTTCTTTCTTTTTTTTTTTTTTTTTTGACACTGAGTCCCGCTCAGTCGCCCAGGCTGGAGTACAGTGGCACGATCTCGGCTCACCGCAAGCCCGCCTCCCAGGTTCATGCCATTCTCCTGGCTCAGCCTCCCGAGTAGCTGGGACTACAGGTGCCCGCCACTACGCCCGGGTAATTTTTTTTGTATTTTTAGTAGAGACGGCGTTTCACCGTGTTAGCCAGGATGGTCTCGATCTCCTGACCTTGTGATCCGCCCGCCTCGGCCTCCCAAAGTGCTGGGATTACAGGCGTGAGCCACCGTGCCCGGCCTCAAAATAGTTTTCTTGTGGGATTTCAGGGGGAAAATCACTTGTAGCAGATGCCACATGATTTGGTTGGGTGGCGTGGGAAGGTGGGTCTTGGCAATTCTCAGATTCATCCCATGGCATGGATCGGCCTGCATCTCAATAGTGTGTGTACACATTCAAGGTGGGAAGGGCTAATTTATAGTTGGGGTCTTGAGCCATGAAATCAGGGGAGTGGCTTCTGACTGGCAGGACCTGTTGGCGCTGTTTTCTGCCACACCGTACTTTGGGGGGGAGGGGGAGGGGGAGGCATTTCTTCATAAATGTGAGAATGCCCCGAGGGCAAGACTCAGCAGGGCTCTGTGTGGTTTCTCTGAGGCTCTGAGTCGAGCAGCCGCACCACCATGCAGGTCAAAGCCGGGAAAAATCGTAGCAGGACAGCAGTGGGGAGAGCCTGTGCCTTCCAGCTGGGCGTTGGAGATGTGAATGTAGGGGATGACTCTGATTTCTTTTTTTGTCATTAGAATTTCACTGGTTCAGTCTCCCTCCCGCCTAGGTACATGTCGGCCCGGTATGTAACGACATGGATAGTAGCTTACGCAGCCTGCACTCTTATCTTTAAAAAATGAACCCCTGGTTGGCTGGGTGTGATGGCCCACGCCTATAATCCCAGCACTTTGGGAGGCCGAGACGGGCGGATCTACCGAGGTCAGGAGTTCGAGACCAGCCTGACCAACATGGTGAAACCCCATCTCTACTAAAAATACAAAAATTAGCCGGGCAGAGTGGCTCACGCCTGTAATCCCAGCTGCTTATGAGTCTGAGGCATGCTCCGGGATGTGGAGGTTGCAGTGAGTTGAGATCCCGCCACTGCACTCCAGTCTGGGTGACAGAGCAAGCCTGTCTCAAAAAAAAAAAAGCAGCCCCTGGGTGCTGAGTCTCTGACTTCCTGCTGGTGCCAGGAGTGAGTCGTGGGAAATGCTTCATTGGCCACCAGGAAGGAGACGTAGGATGGGGCGCTGCCTAGTTTTCTCTTTCTAATAAAAATCACATCAGTCATACATGAATTCATCATCATTTAAAAATTCAAACCAGCCAGGCACTGTGGCTCACACCTGTAATCCCAGCACTTGGGAGGCCGAGGCAGGCGGATCACCTGAAGTCAGGAGTTCGAGACCAGCCTGGCCAACATGGTGAAACCCCATCTCTACTAAAAATACAAAAAATTAGCTGGGTGTGGTGGCAGATGCCTGTAATCCCAGCTACTCGGGAGGCTGAGGCAGGAGAATCACTAGAACCCAGGAGGTGGAGGTTGCAGTGAGCTGAGATCGCACCACTGCACTCCAGCCTGGGCAACAAGGCGAAACTCCATCTCAAAAAAAAAGCAAAAATCAGCTGGGCGTCATGGCGCACACCTGTAGTCCCAGCTACTCGGAGGCTGAGGCAGGAGAACTGCTTGAACCAAGCATGGTGCCACTGAGCTCCTGCCTGGGTGACACATTTCTCCTCCTTTACCACCCCCGACCCCCAGAGTTTCTGCGGCTGACAGTGTATGCTTCCGGAGCTGCTTCTGTTACAAATATATCGCTGGCCTATTTATTTAAAAGATCATAATGTACAACTTGTTCTCCACCTTTTTTTTAAAGCCTAAAATGGTTTTGCCATGTTCCCAGGCAGTACGCAGAGGCTGCCCTCTTTAGCTGCTAAGAAGACTTCCCTGTGTCGGCAGGAACAAGTGTGCTCACCGCACCCCCGCCCCCCCATAGAACCCTGTGGAGGGCATTTGGGGTTTCCCAGCTTTGTGCAAATGGGAAAAGGGTATGTGGTTTTTTGCTTTTTGTTTTTGATTTTGTTT
Organism: Homo sapiens; assembly: GCF_000001405.40. Taxonomy (NCBI): domain Eukaryota; kingdom Metazoa; phylum Chordata; class Mammalia; order Primates; family Hominidae; genus Homo; species Homo sapiens. The sequence goes on along the minus strand of NC_000016.10, from coordinate 87,866,003 downwards.
TGAGACAGAGTCTGTGTCTGTTGCCCAGGCTCGTTGCTCACTGCAACCTCTGCTTCCTGGGTTTAAACGATTCTCCTGCCTCAACCTCCGGAGCTTAGATTACAGGCATGTGCCTCAGCCTCCCAATTTGCTGGGATTACAGGCATGAGCCATCGCACCCGGCGGGGTGTGGATTCTAATGTAATAGCTAATGTGCCTTCCAAAGAGGCTGTACCAAGTCACGCGTTCCTGGATTTATTTTGTGGTAATAGGGCTTTAAAAAGTATTTTTTAAATTTATTTTTATTTTATTTTATCTTTGAGATGGAGTTTTGCTCTTACCCAGGCTGGAGTACAATGGCACGATCTTGGCTCACTACAACCTCCGCATCCCGGGTTCAAGCGACTCTCCTGCCTCAGCCTCCCGAGTAGCTGGGACTACAGGTGCCCACCATGCCCAGCTAATTTTTTGTATTTTTAGCAGAGACGGGGCTTCACCATGTTGGCCAGGCTTGTCTTGAACTCCTGACCTCAGGTGATCCACCCGCCTCTGCCTCCCAAAGTGCTGGGATTACAGGCTTGAGCCACCACACCTGGCCTAAAATAGCTTTCCAAGCAGTCCTTTTGGTCCCAGTAGGTAAAGCTTCAAGGCAGGCCCTAGAGTGCCAACCCTCTCTGACCCAGAGGTGAGGGTTAATGTTAATAGGGTCCCTTTCAGCGAAAGTTAGGGCCACACTTCTCATGTCCCTAAGCCATTTGTACTTGTTTTTTTTCTCTGACCCACCTGTGTGTGTGGTGAGTATGTGTGTATGTGTTGCTTTTTTTTTTGGAAAGTGATTTTCAGTAACAGAAAGGGATGTACTCTCTGCAAGAGTGAATCTATTCTTGCCCCTGTGTGTAAGGCAAGAAAGAGAAGCTGTGTTCTCTGAACAGGCAGACCCTGCTGAGAGAGGGAGGTGTGTTGGGGTTCAATCATTCTGGTGGGAAAGATATTAGAGATAGTTATAGAAATAGACACAAATCTTGGAAGGCCGAGAAGTTGGCATAACTTCGGTAATTAGCTCTGGCTGAAGGCGGCCTGATCCCTTTACCTTTAATTAAACAAATAAAAATAGTGATAAAAGAAAGGCAGCGTAGTTTACCTAGCTAGCTTGTTTACTCGCATAATCTTAAGACCGTGGGTGTTTAAGTGCTTTTTACTTGGGAAGTCCACAATGTCTGTTACATTCTAATGGTGTTGACTCAAGCTTTTGTTAGTTAATCATACTGAATAAATGCACGTCTGACTAGCTGATCAGGGCCAAGTAGCAACTGTTTACAGGACTCAGCAGGGAGCCTATAAGCGGCTGGGACCCTCAGCTGGACTGGCAGAGCAGAATATCTGTGTGTCTGTACTTTATTCATCTGTCACCGGGTCAGGGGTCTGCAAGGAGTGCTGTCGCAGAGGTGGGCTTTGCTGAGGCTGGTAGAACTCCAAGCTGATTCTCAGGTCATTCTGACTTCAGCTCGGAGAAGGGCAGTGGATGTCCCGGGAAGGGAGACCCTGCCCTTATAGGGGGGCTTCTGACAGGTGCAGGGGGCAGCCTGGAGCCCGGACCAGTGGGCAGGATGGGCGCTCCAGGGTGTGAAGGAGAGGCCGGGCGTTTGATCTGTGGACATTGCTCCTGGAGCAGTGAAAAGCCATAGAAAGTGATTTATTTTACTTATTTATTATTTATTTATTTATTTATTTTGAGGTGGAGTTTCGCTCTTTTTGTCCAGGCTGGAGTGCAATGGCACGATCTCGGCTCACTGCAACCTCTGCCTCCTGGGTTCAAGCGACTGTCCTGCCTCAGCCTCCCGAGTAGCTGGGATTACAGGCATGCACCACCATGCCTGGCTGATTTTGTATTTTTTAGTAGAGACAGGGTTTCTCCACGTTGGCCAGGCTGGTCTCGAACTCCTGACCTCAGGTGATCCGCCCACCTCGGCCTCCCAAAGTGCTGGGATTACAGGCGTGAGTCAGCCTACTCGGCTGATATATATATATATATATATATTTTTAAATGATCACACATAAGGTTGGGTTCTGGAATTTTCTGCTTAGGAAGGGAAAGGGCACCTTTTACCCCCTTATTCCTTGAGCCTGATCCTACAGAAGGTACAGTGGCTTTCGGGTCTGGATCCTCAGCCCTCGGGCCTCTGAGGCTGCCTTGGGAGAGGGTATAGATTTGAGAACAAGGTTCTCAGTTTTGCTGGCTGTCTTTTCAGTCGCCCAGGCACGTCCCACAGAAGGTTTCTTTTTGTGAAATAATCGTGTGAAATGGGTTGGCCTCGGTGCTTAGAACCATCCCACTGACGGTGAGTGAAAAAAATCCCTTGCTTGTCAGTCTGGGTAGGAGATGAGGTCCTTTCACGCGTGTCTTCGTGTTGGTGCGCTTTTCACTGGTCATAAAGGTGAGAGGAACCAGCTCCATGTGTCTCTTTCTGGATGGCCATATGGAACTTGGCATGACAGTAGGGTTGTGTGGTTATTTATTGCTTAACGAAGACTTGGCAGCGTGTACTGGAAATTCAAGCGATGCTGGGTTTTATCAGAAGGCGCAAAGGCTGGAGCTGAGATTCTGGCTGGGCCTGGATTTGGTTTGGGCAGTTTATCTGACCTCCCTGGGCCCCAGCTGGCTCTGCATAGCGAGTAGGGTAGCATCCACTCAAAGTCCCGGTCCACTGTGGCCCGGCACTGATCCAGGCGAGTTCTCAGTAAGTGGGAACTCACAGGTTCAGAAGATGCTGTGGGCCTCAGGGGCTTCCACCTCCAGGGAGGTGCTCTCAGAAGAAGGGCCCGATGGGCTCACTGCATCGTGGAGAAGATACCCTGGCTCAGTCTCAGTCACTTCTCCAAGCGCATAGGTGTTCGGGAAGTGGCCTGCAGACAGCTCCTCCATGCCTTGAAAGCAGAAGTAGCCCCCTCCTGTTTCCCTGTCCCAGTTGGGTGAAGCATGGGGGGCTGCTGAGACAGTCCCAGGCGTGCCGTCACGCAGGGGCAGGCCGTCCGTCGGTCTCGCGGGACTCTGGCTGCGGGTGGCTGAGGACACCTGGCCTCATGGGAGACGGTGCCAGGGTCCCTGGAGTGAGGTGGCTCTCCTCCCCATGGCTGTCACTCCTCAGCAGATTGGTGTGGGCGGGTATGCGTTTAGGAACCTGTGAGCTGAGACACTGTCCAGCTAGCATCAGGCCAAAAGCAACCAAGGCTTTGAGAAATCCACCTGGCCCCGCCGAGCCTGTTTCTGACTGTGGAATGGGATTGGCCCCAGCGCCAGGTGTCTGGGAATCCCAGGCCTCTGCGTGTGAAGGTGCCAGTTGCACGGGCTGTGACCGTCCCTCCACGTGCCTGTATCTCCTGCTCACTGTGCACATGGAGCAGCCCTCAGCCTCACTGTCTTCTCCTCTGGCAAAAGAAGGAAGGAGCAAGGGAACAAAGAGAGGGAGGGAAGAGCCAGAGACAGGAGCCAGGGTTTCCTTTAGTCTGGAGCTCTGGGTGCGAGATGATGTCACCCACCCACGCTCGGCACAGGCCCAGGGTCGGGGGGCTATGGGTGGAAGTAGGAATCGCCACAACTGTCTCTGAGCCCCTCCCTAAAGGGTGAAGGGTGTAAGGGGTGGGTTTTGATGGCTGTGGGCTTAGCTGTGGTCAGTGGACTCAAAGGCCAGTTGGCCAGTTAGCAGTGACCAGAGAGCAGAGGGGGCCTGTGTGTGTTTTGCCCCAGGGTCTTCAGGCTGCCTGGCTGCCTCTATCTGCCCCCTGGGTGTCCAGCACCACCCCCCCAACCGCTGGGGTATCCAGCACCTGTAACCTGTAGCCCCGCTTCTCAGTCCAGGCCTGTTCCAGGGCCCCCCTGGGGTATCAAGCACCTGTAGCCTGTAGCCCCACTTCTCAGTCCAGGCCTGTGTAAAACCTGGCCCCGGGTTGGGTTTTGGGATCCCTGCACCCCTCCACCCCCAACCCCCCACAGCTGGGATCCTGGCTCAGCTGGCAAAGGTTCTGCGTGTTTAAGGAGCTGGGTGGGCCCCAGAGCTCAAGCCGTGGGCTCATTGCAGGCGGCAGCCAGTGATTAGTGCTGAAATCTGACTTTCCCAGCCGCACATGAAAGTGCCGCCGGCACCTAGGCAGGTCACGCTGCATCACGGGATTCGGGGCAAGGCCGTAGGGGGAGCTCACAGAAGCACATGACCTGAGCCACACAGGAGAGCCTAACGGGCACTTGTGACCCTTTTTTCTTGGGTCACAGACCTCTTTCATAATCCAGCAGAATGTGCAGAATCTTGCCCAGAAATGTGTATCAGCCGCCTTCACACAGAAGGGTGGGTTGCGCAGACCCCCGGGGGCCCAGGCCAGGTTGAGAGCCACCCCCAGGAGAGGGGTGTCCAAGGTAGGGCACACTCTTGGACCACCTCTTGGCACCTCTTGGCCACCTCTTGGCCACCACTTTGCACTCCAGCCTTTGAAGCCAGTGATAATCCCCAATTTACAGCTGGGGAAACTGAGGCAGGAGCGAGCCAGGAGCCAGGGGCCACAGTGCCCACCTCTACACTGAGGCCACCATTTGTCATCAGGCATAGGGGAGCACAAAGCCACGCCTGGGGAGTCTGGTGGGTGCCAGGGGTCTGGGGAGGTGTCAGTCAGCAAGACTGGGTGGCCCAGTCGGCCCAGGTAAGGACACAGGTGGGTCAGAGGCTCATCTGTGTTCCCCAGCATCCCCTAGGGGCCCTTTGCGCTCCTCCACCCTTCTCCATCCTTCCCAGACTCACATCCAGGTACCCTGGACAGCCACAGGGTTCTGCCCCCCAGTAGGCCTGGCCCTCCCTGGAGCATCACCTGGATAGCTGGCCATGGGCAGGCCTTGCCTGGCCCGTCTGCAGGGACAGGACACGTGTATGCATGCAGATTGGTACTGTGTGCCCGCACGCTCCCCAGAGGCCCTGTGGCAGCACCCTCTTCCCGCTGCTGCCCTTTTCCAACAGGAGGGCCCCCCACAGCGTCTCCTTCCCTGATACTGGCCGAATCCTGAATTCTCCCTCTGGAAGGCGGACCCTCCGGGGTGGCCACAGCACGTGCGTGCCTCCGGGAGTGTGGGAGGCGTCTCTCCCTGCATCCCTGGCCGTCAGACCACCCCAGGTGGGGACCGTTCTCTGGCATTGCCCGCCCCTCCCCTGCCCTAGGATTTGCCCACTACGTGAGGAATGAGCACCGACCTCCTATTCTGGGCCTTGGAGCGTGACGCCCGCAAACTCGATCCCTGCTGAGTCATCCTGACCTCGGGGTGGGCCAGCATCTGTCACTACTGAGACACTGTATGTGTGAGCTGCTTGTTAACGAGAAAGCCAGACTCTGTAAAATGTTTGAAGAGATTTATCCGGAGTCAAATGTGAGGACCAAGGCCTGGAGGCCCTGAGGACATGTGCCCCAGGGGGTGGGCCACAGCTGGAGTTCATACCTCCTACAAGGACAGAAGTTACAGGCAGACATCAGTCAGTACATGAAAGGTATTTGTTGGTTCTGCCGAGAAAGGCGGGACAACTCCAAGGCGGGGATGGGCTTCCTGGTCACAGGTGGGTTCGAAGATTTCCTTTTTCTTTATATATATATGTGTGTGTGTGTGTGTGTGTGTGTGTGTGTGTGTGTGTGTGTGTGTGTGTGTGTGTGTATTTTTTTTTTTTTTTGAGATGCTTTTGTTACTCGGGCTGGAGTGCAGTGGTATGATCTCAGTTCACTGCAACCTCCGCCTCCTGGGTTCAAGTGATTCTCCTGCCTTAGCTTCCCGAGTAGCTGGGACTACAGGCATGCACCACCATGCCCAGCTAATTTTGTGTTTTTAGTAGAGACGGGGGTTTCACCATGTTGGTCAGGCTGGTTTCGAACTCTTGATCTCAGGTGATCCGCCCACCTTGGCTTCCCAAAGTGCTGGGATTACAGGTGTGAGCCACCGTGCCTGGCAAAAGATTTTCTGATTCACAATTGGTTGAAAGAGTTATTAGCTAAAGACCTGGTATCAATAGAAAGGAGTATCTGGGTAAGACAGGAGGTTGTGGAGACGAATATTGTGTTTTGTTTTGTTTTGTTTTGTTTTGTTTTTGTCACCCAGGCTGGAGTGCAGTGGCATGATCTCAGCTCACTGCAACCCGGTTCAAGCGATTCTCCTGCCTCAGCCTCGCAAGTAGCTGGGATTGCAGGTGCCTGCCGCCACCATGCCTGGCTAATTTTGTATTTTTAGTAGAGATGGGGTTTCTCCATGTTGGTCGGGCTGGTCTCGAACTCCTGACCTCGTGATCTGCCCACCTCAGCCTCCCAAAGTGCTGGGATTACAGGCATGAGCCACTGAGCCAGGCCAAGATCTGTGTTTGAGTGTTAGTGCTGGTCCGCTGTACCTGAATTCCAGAGGGAGGGGGTATAACAAGGCCTGTGTGACCCCCTCTTCCCATCGTGACCTGAGCTCGTTTTTCAGGTTAACTTTGGAATATCCCTTTGGCAATAGGAGGGGTCCCTTTAGTCAGTTACGGGGCTTAGAATTTTATTTTTGGTGTACGTGCTCAAACTGCAGCTGCTACAAAACCAAGGCCATGGTGACCCCGGGGCCAGTCCAGCTTTGTCCCTGTGCTCTCGAGCTGCTGGAGGCCAATGCAGGATTCTGTCCACGGCTCTCATGTGTGGCTTCAGAGCCTGAGGGTTCTTGGGGCCCTGTCTTCACCTGCTACCGTGTAGGGGCCTTGTGAGCTGAGTCAACTGGAAGAGCCCAGGGCCTCTGCAGAAGGCCTGAGCAGGGCCCGGGCACTGTCCCTGGAGCTCTGAGTCCCTCAAGCTGTGTGGCCCGGAGCCAGGCGCTTGACTTCTCTGGTCGTTTGCTTCAGAGCTGGAAGCCTGGGGTGACGTGGGTCTTTGGCAGGGGTCAGGTAGGGGAGGGGCCAGCCAGGAATCAAACATCCCTGACAGGTGAGGGGGCAGGTGAGGAGGGCAGGGCAGGAGCCCCTGGAGCACTTGTGCAGCAGCATCTGGGCCGGTGCAAGCCCTGAGATGGCTTCAGGTCCTGCTCAGAGCTAAGGGCTCCCCGTCACCAGGGATTCTTCCATCACTGCATCTGCAGAGCCCATCGGGATTGGGGAGAGGCCCTGGCCTTAGCTTGGAACAGCTGCATCCTCCTGTCGGGTGTACAGGCTGTGCACTGGTTAAGCCTGAGCGCAGAGTCTGTTCAACGAGTTCATTGTGTGGTATTTGCTTCCGCTTGCTGTTGAGTTGGACTGGCTTGGACGCTGGCCAGGAGCCCAAGTGGACTTGGTGCTTCTCTTTGACAGCCGGGATTGAAAATCCCAGTCAAGTGGCCAGAGCACGAGGGTGAGATTTAGGAGACCTGGATGTCCTCACTTTGCCGCCCAGGAACTGCTGTGTGACTTTCACCAAGTGGGACAACCTCTCTGAACTACGTTTACCCCGGCTATAAAATGGAGGTGTTGGATTGGCTGCCACAAGTGTCCTTCCACCTCCACAATACCGTGACTGGAGCGGGTTTTCACTCCTTTTTCTTGTTAGCATAACTGTTGGAGCTGTAGAGGGTTTGGAGTGGGGCGTGGGTTTCCGGACCACAGATGTGTGAGGCTCCGCACTTAGCCAGCAGTGGCAACTCCTTATCACTGGTGCCCACGGCTTCATCTGTGCCCTGAAGATACTCATGCTGCGGTGACTGGTCAGATTAATGGTGATGCTTTCATGGGGCGCCGTAAGACACGTCCGCGAGGTATTTCGCCCATGCAGCAGGAGGCAGTTGTTCCAGTCTGTTGGAAACAGGAAAGGGAGGCTCAGTCCCTGCAAAGGAACTTGCCGGAGTTCACACAGCATTTCAGCACCGGGTGGCCTGGTTTCAGAGTTTCAGAGGGAGCGGTGGCCCTTCCTGTCAGCCCTGGGGGTCTCCTGGAGTCAGGACCCTTGGGAAACCCAAATCCACCAGGACGCTTGTGTCAGGAGAACCTGACCACATGAGAAGCTGCCCTTTTCCAGTTCTCCTGCTTACCCTGGACTTGGGATGTTGGCAAATTTCAGAGCTTGCCAAATCTGCATCTTCCTGGCCTGTTTAAAATGAATGTGTCAGCCCCATTCTGGACAGCAGCTGACACCTCCTCCCCCGTGCCAGCCAGGACAGTGTGGTTGGGCGTAACTCAGCCCCGGTTAAAAATGGAAAAAAGTACAAAGACATGTGTTCAAGGGCTGGTGACAGAATTTGAAAATGTGACACCAGCCTGTTAGTAATTTGTTTTCACAGAAATCTGTTTCAACACTGAGCAGACAGGTGGGGCCAGGGCCTTGGGATCATCTCTCTGTTTGCCCAGGGACATCTGTATGTCCGGCCCAAAGGTGGGGCCTTGTGCTCTGCAGAGACTGGGCATCAAAATTGAGCCATTATAAGCAGACCATCCCGGCCAGGCGCGGTGGCTCACGCCTGTAATCCCAACACTTTGGGAGGCCAAGGTGGGCGGATCGCCTGAGGTCAGGAGTTCGAGACCAGCCCGGCCAACATGGTGAACGCTTGTCTCTACTAAAAATACAAAAATTAGGCCGGTGTGGTGGCAGGTGTCAGTAATCCCAGCTACTGAGGCAGGAGGCTGAGGCAGGAGAATCACTTGATCCCCAGAGGCGGAGGCTGCAGCTACTCGGGAGGTAGATGTGAGAGAATGGCTTGAACTCAGGAGGCGGAGGTTGCAGTGAGCCAAGATCGTACCACTGCACTCCAGCCTGGGCGACAAGAGCGAGACTTCGTCTCAAAAAAAAAAAAAATGTGAACGCTGCCTTTGCTTCCCTGCCCCGGAACTGCTTCATTTTCCTTGGGGTTTCCGGACCACTTTGACCTCTCTCTCTGGCCAGCAGTGGCAGGGAGGCAGGTGGATCTGGAGCCGGCATGGGCAGGCTTGGCATTCCAGCCCATTCTGGGGTGAGGTTGGCCTTGGGTGAGGACAGGGGTCACTGGGTCAGACACATTCATTTTCTGGAGCCCGGGGCGGTGACGTGTCCATCAGGGAAGCACGCGCCTGTGCTGGGGGCGCTCCCCAGGCCGGCAGCACCAGCCTCCCTGGGACCTTGTTCTGTGCAGATGTGTTGTCTCCATCTCCCGGACCTGCCTGATCAGAAGCTCTGGGTTTCCATCCGCCTCCCCCACCACTGCTTTTATAAGTTCCCCCGGGGGATGACACGGGAGATGGTGGGGGCTGTCTGTCGGTGGAGAAGGTGGAGGCTTGTACTCAGAGCAGGGGATATTTAGACTTGAAGGGGCCAGGGAGGAAGGTACTGGTTCTACTAAAGCCCCATGTGCACTGGGCAGCCACCAAGTTCGGGGCCCTGTGCGTACCGAGTGGATTCCGACAAAGAAGCTGTCTCAGGAGCCCCAGCCAGCTGCAGAGGGGGGCCCAAGCTCCAAGGCTGGGTGTCAGGTTTGCCAGGTGCTGGCTCCGCTAGGGGCCACAGGCTGCACTGGGCGGGACTGGGCTGGGCTGGTACCTGTGCCCGGTGTCGGGCCAGCTGTAGTTGCTGTGGTCAGCTGCCGCTCTCCGGCCCCGTGCGAACTGCTGTGCCCGGTGCACCCTGGGGGACCAGGCTGCCTGGGCTTCCTGGAACTGATGAAGCTGCCGGCCACTTCCTCTGTGCTGTCTCCAGCAGGCAGTTCTGGGTAAACAATCGTCATTTGCCTATAAAGCTGCACAGCTCACAGGCCTTGGACCATCTCTGCCCCAGCCCCAGCATTGGCCCTCTGGACAGACTCTGAAACCGTGCGCGGAACACAGCCTGTCATTACAGATGACTCCTGGAGGCAGTCCTCGGGGGCCTGGCAGGAGCACTTCTGTTTCTGTTGGGTCTGAAAATGACAGAAGGGACTGCAGGATGCCTGCCTGGGCTGGACGCCTGCCTGGGGCACTCACAGTGGCTGTGTTTGGGCTCGAAGGGGCCCGGGAGGATCATGTTCACTGGGTACTCCCACTTACAGACAGGCCAAGGTGCTGAGCCCTGCAGGACTCACTGCTGTGCCTGGCTCGGGGGCAGGTGAGGACCGGCGGCCCAGGGAGCAGCCTCTGTGGCCAACAGAGAGGATTTTCATTGTGGCTGACCCTGAACCCTATCCACGGATGCTCCTGTACCTGGTACATGTTTATTACCTGAAAGAATCAGGCATTAGTCCGTGTGGGGTGGGTTCATGGGGCCTGCGGGGTCCCCACCCAGCCGGGGCCCACAGGTCCCACCTGCTCTCCATATTGAACACACCTGTTACTGGCCCTTCCCCCACCCCTCTCCTCCAACACTGGACCCTGGGGGATCATCCCTTTGCTTGTAGCGGGATTTTATCAGGAGCTGGACAGAGTTGGGGCCAGGAGACCAAGATGCCAGCATCAGGGGAGGTGAGCAGAGCCGGCTGCCGCAGAGGTGAGCGTTCACGGGCATCAGGCAGGGAGGCACCTCAGAGAGTCATCCCCCCGAGGGGAGAGGGGTAAGGCCAGGGGCCAGGAGAAGGCAGCCTCCTGGTTTACAAGTTGTGGGGGTGCTGTGCGTGTGTGTGCACGTGTGTGATTGAGCAGAGTTGGGGGGTCAGCCAGCGGTATGCACCTGTCCCGTCTGTGGGCCCAGCCAGCAGTATGCACCTGTCCCGTCTGTGGGCCCTCCCTGTTCAGGTGCCTTCTTGCATGGTCTCTGAGGTCAGTATCACTGCCGGCCCCACCCCAGAGATGGGGAGGCACAAGGGGGTGGGGGTGTCCCCCACCTCATGCTGGGTGGTGGCAACCTCCCCGGGACGCCCCAGCTCTGAGCAGCAGGGCACGTGGCGAGAGCAGTGGGAGGCCTTGGTGCCCACCCCAGGGTCCTGAGGAGAAATGGGCTGGCCGCGTCCCCAATCCCTCCTGCGTGAGCCTCAGGGTATCTGAAGTGGCTTTTGAGTCAGGACCAGGACCACAGCTTGGGCCTCACTGTGACAGGTGTCCTGGCCAAGGCCCTGGCGCTGGCTCTGGGTATGGCCAGGGCTGTCCTTCCTTCACCGGGCTGTGGGCCTTGCTGTCAATGCCCACCCGAAGATGAGGATGTTTCTGTGGCTGATGGCCCTGAAGGGTGGTGGAGACACAGGTGAAGGGAGGAGGAGGGCAGGGGTTCCTCCAATGCACTGCCCCCAAGGCACCCCAGCTCCTCTGGAGCCCCTGCCAGCCAGCCAGGTGGGAGGCAGCCAGGTGAGGACGGGGAAGACAGCACCCCAGACTGGGAGGGGCCCCCAGCTCAGCCTGCCCGGCTATCTGCCAATCAAGCCAAGCCACGCCACGGGGTATCCCCGGACGGGTTTTATCTCCTGGCCCAGCTGTCCCCGCAGGCTGGCGCGGCCACACTTATCTGGGGGTGGCTGGCCCTGTGTGCTCAGCCCCCTCACTCTGACTCAGGGCACAGCCCTGTCGATCTCCCTGCTGTGGGGGCAGCCAGCAGCCCCTCCATGGTGTGGACACTGAGGCTTGGGAGAGGGCAAGTGCCAGCAGGGACTGAGGTTCAAACCCCAGACTTATCCTGTGACTGCCTCGCCTCCTTAAGGTCGAAAGGTACTGAACCCAGATGAATTCATGTATTTGTTTAAGATTTTATCTCATCTTAAAACGTAAAAAAAAGGACACTGTGGAGAATAATGAAACCTTTGTTTACTCATCACCCAAAGTCAGTGAACATGAAAATTTATGTTCTTGTTATAAAAGGAATAAATATAAGGTCCCCTTTGTTCTATGGCCATTTTGCTCCCCACCTGACTTCAAGACCCGGCCCCCGCCTGTCTGTCCTGTGGTTATTTCCAACGTCAGGAGATGATCTGGTGAACCCTCCCGGTGGCACCCGTCAGCCCCTCCAGACTGTTTTTGGTTGGGGAGCGGCTGGGTTGGAACTGGGCAGGCAGGGTCAGGCTGGCGGTGGGGGGGGGGGCGGGGGGGTCCTGGCCTCTGTCCCACCCACAGTGACAGCCCTGATGGCGTCATTACCCAGCACCACGTCAGTGTGGCAGGACAGCCCGTGGTTGGGCAATTCTGGGCAACTCGCTGCCCTTCCTGGACCCCCCAACCCCCTAGCAGACGTGACAGCCGCAGACGTGACAGCCGCGAGGGCAGTGCTCAGTGTCTCCGCAGCGCCTGTCTGGTGTCTGGAGTTCAGTGGTGGCAGCGTGCCTCTCTCCCTTTTGGGGAGAGGCAGCCTCGAGTGCGGCTTGGCCACACCCACTCCCCGCCTCCCTCCGGGCATGAATGAGCGAGTGATGCAATCAGCCGGCCTCTTGCGAATCCAGAAAGCTCTCCAGAAGCCGGCTAGGTCCCCGAGGCTCAGTTTCTTTTATGGTCGTGCTCCCCCCAACCATAAGGAAATGGGACTGGCAAGCCAGGACCTGCCCCTTGCCCTGTGCAGCGGACAAGGAGCTGCCTAGACCCACTGACCTGACCCTGCTGAGCCCTGAGGGTTGGACTGGAGAGCTCTGGACTGGTAACATCTCCATGTCCCTGGGAGCCCTGGGAAGAGGTGAAGAATCACCTCTTCAGTTTGGGTGAGGAGTGGAAGTTCCGGAATTTCAAGTATTTTATTTTAGGAATAGCAGCGAAAACACTGACTTTCAGACATTTTTCAACCAGACTTTCCTGGTGTGTAGTAGCCGTCTCCGCTCTGGCATCCACAGAATTGTAGCGGGGTGGTTAATTTCTGAGAGATAGGCAGGCGGCAGCCCGTCCCGCACCTCAGGACGTTTCCGGTGTCATTAGTTAATTAGCATGGATGTCTTTCCTCGGGGTCTGTTGCTTACATTGTAAGATTCCACAGGATTTGTTCAGCTGGGGAAAAGCCACTGGAGTCCTCAAGGCCTTGGCTGGCCAGACCTTTCTGAGCGTTACTCCCAAGGGGAAAGAGAGAAGAGGAGCCCACGGCCTTTCTGATGCTCTCACCTTCCTGCAGTCTTAGTGGTGCGGTGCCGGGAGGGCTGTGAGATCTGAGCTGTGTGGGTGGCCCGTGCTGGGCCTTTGCCCACTTCTGGGGTGTAGACGTTCCCACTGGCAGATTTCAAGCTGCTGACAGCGACAGATAACCTCGTGAGCAGAGGAGTGAAGGGTAGTGCAGCAGGCAGTGAGGGGTGTCGTGGAGTCAGTGCCTCGGGATTAATATGATTTTACTTCATTTTAAGTTGTGGGGGTGGCTGTTTCCCCACCAGCTCACAGATCCCTGAATAGTGGCTCAGCGTGCGCACATATTGCAACAGAACCCCCCAAAACACACACACACACGCACACACACACAGTGGCTCAGCGTGCCTATATATTGCAACAGAACCCCCAACACACACACACACACACACACACACACACACACACACACACACACACAGAGGCTCAGAGCTGGGTGCCTTACAGGGCCCAGGAGGACGTGCTGGTGTCTGGAGACCTGTCTGAGCGTGCCTGACCCCACATCTCAGCGCCTCCTGGGGCAGGCGTTCTGGCCATCTGTGTGGGGTCACTCAGGCTTCTGAAGCACACGGTGCTATTTTGGGTTTCATCGTATGCCCCCAAAGCAGCAGGGCAGCAGGGTCTGCTCTGCTCACCACAGGCCCCTGTGGCCCCTCCCAGGCTGCCGTCCCCAGGTGACTGGCCAGGTAGTTCCGGGAAAGCGGGACACCCCACTTCTGTTGGAATCCACAGAAGATCCTCTTTGAGGAAAGGGCCCCGCCCTCATGGAGTCCGGCAGTCGGGCTGTGCGTGGGTCTCACAGTCAGGTCAGGGTGCTGAGTAGGTACAAAAAGGTGTAATGGGCGCCTTCCAAGTGGCAGGGTCACCTTGCTCACCTGGGTCTCTGGAGGCAGTGACCCCACTTGAAGTCCTGACTACAGGTGGGACTCCATGGCCTGGTGTGGTGGGGGGTGAGGAAAGGTCCCTTGCAGATCTTAAGGGGCACCTGGGATCCAGCCCTTAGACCTGAAAGGACTGCGAAGTTTATCAAAACAGGTCTCAGAAAGTCAGAACGTGCCCTAAGGGCTGGCAGGGGACTGGAGCTGTTTAAGGAGCTTGTTTTTCTGGTGGACCTGGCCCTGGGGTGGGGGTGGGGTCGTCACCTCCCAGCCTACCCCTGAGCTGGCGTCTGTCTGCCCGTGGAACTCACCGCTGCCCTCTGTCTCCACAGTGCTGCTCACGGCCGTGAACTGCTACAGCGTGAAGGCCGCCACCCGGGTCCAGGATGCCTTTGCCGCCGCCAAGCTCCTGGCCCTGGCCCTGATCATCCTGCTGGGCTTCGTCCAGATCGGGAAGGGTGAGTACGTCCCCCAGGCCCCACCGGCGGCCCCTCGAGGCTTTGCCTGTGTGTCCTTCACAGGGCATGAGGTCCCGTCCCCGGGTGCCTCCCAGTCCGCAGCTCTGCAGTGCTGTACAACGTGGAGATTTCCCTCTGGGAAAATCACCCAGCAAGTGAAATCCGACCCAGAGGGGGACACAGGAGTGCTCCCGTGGGACAGCGTGGCCACCACTGGGAGGGGCTCTGGCAGTTTTTCTTGTTTTTTACGCTGCGATGTCTGTGAATCTTGAGAGCCCAGCTGATGCGTTGTAACCTCACCTGGGGGCGATGTGGAACATTCCAGGCCTGGCAGGGGCTATGCCTGCCATGCAGACCTCACCCGAGCCATCTCACCCTGGGTCTGTCAGAGTCCCACGTGCTGTCGCCCCTCACCCACCCCCGACGGGGCCATGCTCCTGGTCATGCTGTGATTCATTCATCATTCCATGGGCAGGTGTGGGATTGTCTCTGTGTTTCTGTCTGCTTTTTAAAGAAGATGAGGTAAGCATGGAAAACAAAACAAACGTGGTAACCCCATCACTCAGACGTGTCCACTGTTAGCATTCGGGAACAGGTGAGAGCAGTCTGGCGCACAGGTTTTAAGGCTGGCTGGCCCAGACTTTGGTCTTGTGCTGTGTGATCTTGGGGAAATCACTGATTCTGAGCCTTTTTCCCAGCTGCTTTTTCTCTTGGGGCTGGTAGAAGGAATAAAGAGAGTGAGTGTGAAACAGCCCCCGCCCCTTTGCACCTGTGTTCTCTGTTGACGTGGACTGACACAGTTGGTATTTTGCTGGGTGTCTCTGGACCCTTTAACACACACTCCATAGATCTGTGTTCTGTGTCTGCCTGCAGAGCCTCCACCCTTTCCACACTGCCATTCCGCGGTGAGGTCGGGCTGGGGTTTCATAAGCAGTTCCCATTTGTGTGGTCACAGACCCTGGGACACACTGTCCTTGGCACTGGATCCCACCCGTGGTTGGGTACAGTTGAAGTGGGGGGCCCTGTTGCTTGAGTCCAGCAGGGATGCCTCTGTCTGCAGTTCCTTCTGAGTTTGTCTCCATCCATGTTGGAGCCAGCCTAGGAGCAGAGCAGTTAGGAGCTGGCCTCCTTCTCTTCTCTCCCAGAGCCTCAGGTAGAGATGATCCCAGTCCTGGAGCTGTGGAGCTTTCGCTGAGTGCAGGCACCCGGCGGATGCACGCTCTGGTGACTCGCAGTCACCGATGGCTGCAGAGAGGCTGCCTGGTCCCACATGGCTGTAGGGGAGGCAGGTAGGACCCCAGGGCTGCAGAGGACAGGGCAAGGACCTTGCTCCTAGAGGCAGGAAGGTCCTCACCCAGCAAGCTGTGAGCTGCCCCGCCCCCATGCACGGCCAGGCCAAAACATGCAGACACAAGGACGCTGCCTCCTCCTGTGTGGGGCCCTGCCTCAGGGCTGGGAGGCTCTCCTGTGTGCACCGTGCCACTGGTGGGCTGTGAACTGAACAGTGCCCCGCAGCACCCAGCACCCAGCACGCAGCTTTAGCTGAGCCTCCGCCTTGCTCCTGGCGCCCCCTGCTGGCTGTACGTGGCACTTCGCCTTAGGACAAAGTCTGGCTGCAGCTGGGGAGGGGTCTCCACACCAAGCAGGTAACCTGGGCCTGCAGGGGGATGCAGTGCCGGGCTATACTGACCTCACCACAGCGAGGCGAGCTCCAGGGGCTGGGGCCAGACTGTCTTTATCAAATGTATCAATCTGTACAAAGTCTGCAGCAGGTGTTAGTTACCTGCCTCATCGTCGAGGGGAAGTCCCACTTGATTCCCAGGTGGCTCTGGAAGGTTGCCCAGGTCAATCCTTCAGGAGCTCGAGCCCATCCCCCATGCATGTGTCTGACCAGGGATTCTCAGAGTCGCCCGGGGTACCAGAGCCACCCAAGAGCTGGCAGGACAGGGCTGGCAGGAAGTCCCAATTCTGAACCTTCCTGGGACCTCAGGTTCCGGCACCTTACTCAAGGCAAGACGAGCTCATTCCATGGCTCCCGGGCACTCAGAAGTTGCCCAGGGAGGTGGTTGGGCCTGAGTGACATTTTACGGGCAGGAGACAAATCCATCCTGTGCCTCCCAGAAGTGGGCACGGAAGGGGTGCTTTGCTCGTGAAGGCCTTTGCTTGGCTGCGCTCATCAGATAGCCAGGAAAGATTTAGGAGGGGAACGTGATTTTTGTAAAAACAAATTTCGGTAGGGAGAGCAAAGAGCTTTTGTTCGACTTGAATACATAATAGGTTTATAATTCCGTTAGCTGTTGAAAGCGTCCTCCCACCGTGCTCCCCCCAGCAATTCCCTTCTGAGCTTTGGGATACAGTGCAGTGTCTGCAGAATTCCTGTCTCCTGTTTGGCTTCAACAGATTTATTTTGTTACCAGATGAATGCCTTGCTTTTAGAAGATACATTGTGTTGACCCCTTTCTCCCAAAGCAGTTGTCCAACTTTATACCCCCCAGTGGACGCAAAGCCCTTGGGCAGCTGCCCCCTCCCCTCGCTGGCACCTGGCAGCAGCGCCCCCAGATACTTCAAGGCAGAGACTCCGGCCTCAATTTTGCAACGACTGGCAAGTGGCCCTTTCCGGGTCTGGAGAATGCAGCGAAAATCTGGCAGAGCAGGCCTGGCCCACGCACCTGTTCCTGCCTGTCCCGCACCCTGGGTGCCCTGCTCCATTGGGGCTGAAAAGGCTCCTCCTTGCTGCCCTTGGCCCCCAGGTGGGCCCTGTGCTATGGAAAGGCACTGGCCCTAGGGTCCTGTAGGCCTTGGCTGACCTGTTTCCTCCTCGTCAGGGAAGTTTGTAATCACCCCTTCCCAGTTGGCCATCCGCAGAACCATCTTCTGTCCCGTGTGCCGCATCTATGCCGGGTCCCAATGAGAACATGGCCCCGCATCCAGAGCTCATGGGGGGACCTGAGAGCCATAGGCACGTGAATGGGAGAGTCGCAGTGGGGAATAAGCGGGGCCCTGGTGCAGACCAGAAAAGCCCTTCTGAGGGGTTGGGCCTTTCCTGAGATGCGGGCTGGGAGGGGCAGCTGGCTGAGTGACAGGGGCGACTCTGCAGGGGCCTGAGTGGTCGGGAGCCCTTGCCTCCTCCGCGTCTTGGGGGAGTCATGGCTGCCCCTAGGCTGGGGCATGGGGACACGCAGGCTTAGGTGTCACATGAGGTTCTACAGTTAGTCCCAGCCTTTTCGAAAGGGAGACAGTACTCATGAGGGTTCAGATCTGACCCACCGTCCCATGAGTCCACTCGCAGGCTGTTGCCTAAGGAGAGGGTGGCTGGGCCTTCGCCTGCAGGGCGGAGGGTGGGAGCGAGGGCACAGGCTCTGCCGTCCCAGCCCAGCAGCAGCAGCACGTCCCTCCTGGAGGACACAATGGGGCGCTTTGTGCTTTGCTTGGGCTGCAGCCGTCAGCGGCAGAACAAACTAATCTCTCCTTGAACAGTTACAGATTGGATAGTTGGGCAGATTTAAAAAAAAGGTTGCATAAAAACTTTCTTTTCCTTCTCCTCCCACATTGTACTGTTGGAGGTCAGTATTCCCCTGGAGCAAATTTGCCCTTTCACTCTGTCCACAAAAAGGAAAGAAAGCCGCAGCCTGCCAGGGCGGCGTGCCTCTTGCTGTCCTTCACCCCAGGAGGGGAAAATGCTTCCCCTGGGCAGGGCTCAGACCCCGGCTGAATGGCTTTGCTGAGCTGCTGGGCCCTGGGTCCCGGTGGCCGAGACCCCTGGATGTGACCTACACCTATGAGTAGGGCACTTCTGGACGGTCCCGTGTCCCAGGCGGTAAATACGTGTGTGCCACTGGGCTGTGGGGCAGGGGCCTGCATTTGTGTGTCACGTGACAGTTTTGAAATGATGGTTTTCCTTTGGTTCTTCAGCTAGTAGGGCCCCTTAGACTCAGAGAAGTGGGGTGCCCTGCCCCAGGTCCCACAGCCGTGAGCAGTGGGCAGGTCCCTCCCCACCCCCACTGTGACCCTGGGTGCAGTGTGCAGGGTCATGCGCTGCTGGGGGGAGGCCCACACCTCTGTTCCCAAGGTGCGTTCGGGTGGACAGCACTGGGCCCATCTGCTCTTGGGAGGTTCACGTGGGGTGTCATGTGTTACGGGAAAAGCTGACGGGACAGTTCCTGAGTAACACGTCCATCCTGAGAGGGTGGAGGTCTGGAGGACATTCCTTTTCAGACTGGTCTCTGAGCTTCACTGAGCTTCCTTGAAGGCAGCCCCCTGAGCCCCTCCCGATGTCCCTCCTGAGGAGCTTCCTGGAGGAAGAGGTGCCGCCTCCCTCATCTGGCCCTCATCTGGCTGGGGGTGTGCGGCCCTGTCTTGGTCTCCTCTTCCTGTGGGTGGGGGCGTCCAGCCCCCAGACGATGTTTCTGACAAAGGCCCCCTCAGTGGTCACAGCACATGCCCAGCTGCTGGGCTGTTCTGGTGAGAAAAACGTTTCACCCACACCTTGGCTGTCTGTGGCTCTGGGGTGTGGAGGGGTCGCCTCGTGGACTGAGAAGCCCCCCTGGGCTGTGGCTTAGAGCTGTTCCTTCTTCTGGGCCTGGCTTCACCTGAGTGTGTGCGTGGACCCATAGCTGGGCTTCTAGGCGCTCCCAGCAGAGCTCAGCCCAGCCTGCTCTCCGAACCCCAGATCAGGACTGTGGGCTTCTAGGGTGCCCTCCCGGAGAGAGGGCAAGGGCAGGTGCTAGATGTGCAGCTGCCTTGGGATTCTAGTTTTGCCGCCCCCCGGCCAGGGTGTCTGAGCCTCGGTGTCTTCCCCTGGGAAATGGGCTGTCCTCCCTTGCAGGGAGGAGGCCAGGCTCACCGCGTCCCCGGCACGGGAGCCACTGCCATGCAGGGTCCAACAGCCCCTTTTCCTCACCTCACGCCCTGACTGCCGCTTTCTCCGGGGGTGACAGCAAGAGCGGAGCAGGCCTGGGTGGGTGGGTCTCAGCTTCAGAGGGTCTGGTGCCAGGGCCCTGCTACCTGGATGCCGGCGGGAGAGTCGGTGAGAGGCCCCGCCAGGCCAGGGACCCTGATGCCCTGGGCGGGGTGCTCGGCCTCCTGGCTCCTAGACACCCCCTCGCTGTGTTTCCTTGTGGGAGAGTGAGCTGTCTGGGGCCTCCTCTTGTGTGGACAAGGATCCTGTCAGATCAGGCCCCACCCTGAGGACCCCACTTACCCTTAATCTGTAGAGGCCCCATGTCCACGTACAGCCACACCGGGGTTAGGGCTTCCACGTCTGAGTTTTGGGGGACAGGATGGAGCTTCGGGCCCCGCTCTCCTGGCAGGAAATAGGGCAAGCCCCAGGGCCTCAAAGTGAATCCCAGCTGGGTACAGGCTGTGTTAACCAAGGGAGGAGTCGGCCACAGCTCGGCCTCGAGCTGCCAAAGCTCACTTTCCAGAGAAGCTTCCAGGCTGGCCTGCCTGTGGGGGACTCCAGGGCATCTCTCTGTGAGGCATCTCAGACAGTCTCAGGGTCATGCAGGGACAGACAGGACATTGCGCTCAGGAGCTCCCAGATTGGTGCCAGGCTCGAGTGTGGCTCCACTCCGGACAACCTGGGCCTGGAGCCAGGGCTGCGGCGTTGGCTGCCCCAAGGGTGGGTACTTCGCGACTCAGGGCACCTCTTTTGGGCCTCGAAGACCTCGCAGTTGATAAAGGATGCTTGACCCGCCGCTTGCTCTGGGAGCTCAGTGTGTCCTGGGCCTGCCATTCTTCTGTGCCGTCGGCCTCGGGAGGATGACAGGCTGGGGAAGCTGGGGCTCTGCCGGTGCCGTGTGCTGGGACAGAATCAAAGGACGGGAGCGGGGCTTGTTTTCCCGCGGCCTTCACCTCCCGGTGCCCTTCGTCAGACGCATGGACAGAGGCCAGGGCAGCCACAGCCCTGTGCTGGGGACAGTTCTCAGGGTCTTTCCCCGCCTGTGGAGTTGGAAAAAGCTTTTACTTCTGGTGTGAGGTTGGCAGCTCTAAGCAAAGGGCCCACTCCTTCATGAGTTTCCAAGACCGACAGACACTGCTGGTGGTCCAAAAGTGCCATCTGGTTGCCGCCAGAACCCCCAAACCCAAATTCCTGCCCCATCACGGTTCCCAGGCATTAGATGGCCAGAGCGAAACAGGCATCTGAAAAGCGGCGCCGTGGCCTAGGGTGGGCGTGGACTCCGTGGGGTGGGCGTGGACTCTGCCTGGAGTGGGCATGGACTCTGGGGTGGGCGTGGACTCTGTGGGGTGGGCGTGGACTCTGCCTGGAGTGGGCATGGACTCTGGGGTGGGCGTGGACTCTGTGGGGTGGGCATGGACTCTGGCCTGGGCTCTGGACTGAACCCATGTGGCGGTCACTGCACGACTTCCCTGAGCCCACAGGGCAGCTAGCTCCAGGGTGCTGACCACATGGGACTCACAGCCCCCTCTTAGATGAGGTGCCATTGGCTGTGCACTCGGCTGGTGACTGAGAAGTGGGGTGTGAGCTGCAGCTGTCCTGCCCCTGACCATGCCTGATGCACTGAGAAGCCGGGAGGTCTCCCCTGGGTGGCACGGTTGGCCCCTCATGTGTGGTGACAGATGCCTACAGACTGGCTTTAGCAACAGACATGCAGACGGTCCTGGTCCTGGCAGCCAGAGGTCCAGACCCAAGGTGCCACCTTCCCCTTCCAGCTGCCCGTGGCTCCAGGCATCCTGGGCTGGCTCTGGCTCTGTCTCCCCTGGATCTGTCTCTGTGTCGCTGAGGACACTTGTCGTCGGCCTTAGTGCCTACTCTAATCCGGGATGATCTCATCTCAAGGTCCTTCGCTAATTGCACCTGCGGAGACCGCATTTGCAGCTAGGACACATCCCGCAGCTCCACTGGACGTGAATTTTGGGGACACTGTTCAGCACACTCCACCTAGAGCCCCAAGGGGCCAGAGTGGTTGGAAGGCGGAAGGCCCCAGCACAGTGGAAAGTCCGCGCTTGAGGAGTGACTCTCTTGTCCCTGAGGTGTTTCCAGGGCTGGGGCAGGGGCCCGTCAGCCCTGAGGTTCCGGGATGCCCTCCATCTCCACATTCCCATGTTCCCCACGCTGGGCAGGCTCTTCTCTCCAGGGACACTGCGTTCATGGGGAGACATCGTCCTCTGAGTCAGGAGCCAGAGGCTTGGAGGGTTGGCCGCATCACAGAGGAGGGGGAAGATCCCGTTCCCACGTGCGTTTGGCCACTGGGGGCGTCCCTGGGCCCCGTCAGCAGGATGGCTTTAGCCACCGGCGGAGTCTCCCCTCCAGCCTCGGGGTGGATGGTTCCCATGGCCGCATCTGCCTGACTCAGGGATCAAGGCCACTTTTCCCTGAAATCATCTCCCCAGGGCCTTTGGAGCGCTCGTTCCCACCGCAATTACCCCGCTCTCGGGGGAATCCTGCTGACAGGGCTGCTGTGCCGGGGTCGCCGCGGCGTTTGCAGTTTGCCTTCCCCCCACCCGGGGTTTGGCTGTGCGTTTGCTTTCATGGCAGCTCCACCAGCCCCTGAGGAAGATGCCTCTTAGGGACAAGGAAGGGGCTGGAGGGCCCCACTCAGGCTCTGCGCTGAGTCTGTTCTCGCGTCTCTGTGGGCTCTGGCAGATGTCACCGTCTGTCCACGGTGATTCTCTTCCTCACTTCCCTGTCACGCTGTCCCCTCCTTGTGGGTGGAGGCTGACTGGATAGCAGACTGTCAGGTGTGGAGGCTGGGTGGCTGCTGGATGAGTGGGCCGCTCAGCCATTCCTTCCAGTCCTGCCCAGTGCCTGGGGCTTCATGTCGAAGCCAGGACCACGCCCGAGTCTAGGGTCCATGGGAGAGAAAGCTGAGAGGAGCTGGTCCTGTCCTCCCGGCAGGGGTAGAGGCTCGTGGCTGATGCCTTGTCATGGTCTTCTTGCACAGGGCCTCAGCCTGGCACCTCTGCCACCGTGGGCTCTCTGTTGTGTGGGGGTGTCCCGTGCATTGCAGGACATCCAGCAGCATCCCCGGCCTCCTGCTCCGTGCCAGTAGCGCCGCACCCCGCCGTCGTGACAGCCCAGGTCTCCCGGTGTGCAGAATGCCCGCTGGTCATGCTGAGAGGTACAGGGGTGCTGCCCCCAGGGTTTGAACGCTGTCTAACTCCCACCTCTGGTGTGTCTCTCCCCTGTGTGTAGCGTGGAGTCACTGGATGAGTGTGGTGACCTCCCTGTGTCCAGCTGCCCTGGGCTGCAAGCAGGTCCCTCCTGCAGCCCTCCAGGCCACCCTTAAGCAGAGCTGGACCAGCCTGGCCAACATGGTGAAACCCCATCTCTACTAAAAATACAAAAATTAGCCAAGCGTGGTGGAACTCTGTCTCAAAAAAAAAAAAAAAAAAAAAAAAAAAAAAAAAAAAAAAGTTACTCAGGCCTTAGGGCTGCCAATATCTGGCTCCTGACTGAAGACCTCATACCATGTCAAGCCTCGGTATATTGTCCTTAGCAAAAGCAGCCACCCTCTGTGTAGGATCAGCCGCCTTTCTGTCATGAGGCTGGAGGTCAGCTATGAGGATTGATGTGTCTGGCGGGGACCTTGGACTGAGGCCTCCTGTCCATCAGCTCAGGCTGAGTCCGGGGGTGGTCACAGTGAATGGGGCACGTGTTTCTGGCCTCCAGGGCTCACCTTCACCCCCTCCCACCATGAGTGCCAGATGGGGGAGGCAGGACCTTGATTCTCAAGCAGCCTGGCAGGTCTGCATTCCCCCACTTGTAGGACAGATGCTCCCCCCAGCAGAAGTAAGTGGGCGAGACACAGTAGGGCTATGCAGATGTGAAGGGTCTGCACATTCCAGAACATTCCATCAGAGAGCAGATGGGAGAGAGGCCAGAGGGGCTGTGCCGAGGTGCTGTGCAAAGTGCCCTGTCCTGAGCTGCTCTGAGCTGCCCCCGCTCCAGGCCTGCAGAGTCAAGCTCCGCCTGCTGACCACCTGGTGACCAGAATACATCACACGCAGGCAGTGGGCCCTGGAGCTCCTTCTCAGGAGATCAAGGCCTCAGCAGGGCAGGGTGGCGGGCAGCCCTCAGGGAACCCACCAGCACCCCCAGTGTAGGCTGAAGATCAAAGGCCCCAGCACACCTGGCATCTGGGACAGACAGAGCTGGAGGCAGAGCCGCAGGCATCCAGCACGCCACGGGGAAGCAGGTGCAAAACAGGAACTGGGTCCACCCATCAGGAAGGGACCCCACCGTGGGCTCTGCCGTAGGAAATCTGGTGCCACCTTTGAAGTGCGCACTTTGTTTGGGGTAATTGCCAAGGTCTTATGGGAACCTCCCTTCACGGGTCCCCTTTGAAATTTGCTCACCTCGTCACTCTGCGGTGTTCCCTGGACCACCAAGGTGGTTCCCCTTCTTGGGCCCCCATGGTGACCTGTGGTCCAAGGCCACATGTTGGGACACAGCAGCCCCAGGGCCCGTCCCTGCCTGGCCCTGTGAGACGGGCTGGTGACTTTCCAGCAGGAAGGATACTGTCACACACGGTTCTCTAATGAACTAACAGTCCACAGCCTGACCAAGATTTCCACTTGTGCCTCCAGCTGTATATGCACCTGGCAGGTAGGCAGGAGGGGACCCGGCTCCTTTGTTCCGGTGGTGTCTTTGGTCTTCTTTCCAAGTTCTCCTTCCTGAAGCGCAGTGGTCTGTGAGACTGATGTCTGGGCAATATATTCCGGGCTCGAACACACCAGGCCCATTTCACAGAGGAGGCAACAGCCACAGAAAGGGCCAGTGCTGTCCCAGCAGCCACGTGACCTTCCGGAGACACCCCTTCCCCCAAAAGACATGTCCTCCTGGGGAACCTGTGAATGCTGGTGGCCTTATTTGGAAAAAGGGTCTTCGCAGATGTGACTGAAGTTCAAGTTTTGAAATGAGGTCCTTCTGGAATAGGGTGGAGCAGTCACGAAGTCCAGTGACGCGTGTCCTCAGAGGGCAAAGGAGAGAGCTCTGCACACAGCACGGGGATCGTTCTCGGCCCTGGCAGCCCTGCTCCTGCCCCTGCCCCGGCTGCAGCTGGCCACACACTCAGCACGGTCCAGGACAAACCTATGTTCTTGCCCAGGCCTGTCCTGCCAGCCCTGGAGGGAGGGCAGTCTGTTCCGAGCTCCTCGCACCCCAAGAAGCAGGGCCCTAGTGGCTCTGGGCCTTCCTTGTTGCCGTAGCCAGGATGCAAACCGAGGTCTCCTGGCTTTATACTGCCTTGACACTCATGTCGTGAGGTCTCAGGGAACCTTCTTGAAGGCAACTGGGGCTGGTTGACCCCTCCATCCTGACCTCCTGTAGACAAGCGTCTGAGGAGCCCTCCTGGGCAGTGGTCAGAACTGCCTGTGCCCTCTCAGGTGGGCACAGGGCCTCTGGCAGGGCCACATCCCCCTGGTTGTGGTTGGAACCCTGCACCCTCCATGTGGCTCAGCAGGTACATACCATTTGTCACAGTGAAAAGCCTTCACTCCAGCATTTTTGTTTGCTATGTATTTTGCTCCAGGAACATTCTAGAACTGGTAGCATGACCTCTGTTCAGCGCTCTCTAACCCAGCATTCCTTTCTTTGGCCCTGCCAGGTGATGTGTCCAATCTAGATCCCAACTTCTCATTTGAAGGCACCAAACTGGATGTGGGGAACATTGTGCTGGCATTATACAGCGGCCTCTTTGCCTATGGAGGATGGTAGGTTCTGGAATGTCTGGGTCCCTTGGTCTGGGGACATACAGTCCCTGACGTGTCCAGGAATCCCAAATCTCCCAGCCATCAAGGGGCAGTTAAAGGGAGTGGACTGCCCCTCCCTTTAACTGCCCCTTGGCAGTTAAAGAGTGGCAGGTGACCCTCCAGAGTCACCCACATCCCGACGAAGCGTGGGGAGGCCGCCCGCTGCAGCCCTACTCTGGCTCTAGCTCCACGTCGCAGTCTTGGCGAAGGTGGCAGGTGGAGGCGGCTGAGCCCTGCGGCCCCTTTCCTCCAGGTCCCCAGCCTGACTCCTGCGCTCAGGCGGGCCTCACAGGGACCTGAGAATCACCCCAGTAGGGCGAACAGGCAGGGAATGTGCGGGAGGGCCTGGAAGGGGTAGCAGGGACCCCCCGGAACACGCAGGAGGCTGAGCTCCCTCCCACTCCAGGTCCGCTTTCCAGCCCAGCGAGCAGACCACCGGGGGGCAGGCTCACCAGCTGCCCTGGGATGCTCTCTCCCCGGTGATTTATTTTCCCTGATGAGGATCATATAATTTGAACGCTGTTCTCTAAATTTTAGGAATTACTTGAATTTCGTCACAGAGGAAATGATCAACCCCTACAGGTACGTGCAAGAATGGATGGAGCCGTCTTTTTTCATTATTTTAATGTGAGGCAGGAAGCAGCCACATTCCACTCGAAGCCTGTTGGTCGGCTCAGGCCAGTTCACAGTCGGGCCGTGATTGGGGCCTCTGGGGCCAGCAGGATGTGGGGCGGGTGGCTTCTGGCCGTGTGTCCTTGAGCACGGTTTCTCCAGAGAACGGGTGGCAAGTGAGGGCCCCACTCAGGGCGGGACGGTACAGAGGAGCTGCCTGGGCTCTCGGCTCTGGTCCCCGGCTGTGCAGCTCGTGGGCAGAGCCTTAGAATTCAGACCAGGTGGCCTGACTTAACTCTCCTGAGCCCTTGAGGTCACCCCGAAGAATCCCCATTTCTCAGGTGGGGAAGCTGAGGCCGCGGCCAAGGCACCAGCCAGGGCTGTGCAGTGTCCCGCTCCAGGCACAGCCTCCTGCCGCCAGCCTGTGTTCTCTTGCTGCTTCCCACCTTCCCCGAGAAGCCCAGCACAGAGGCTGGAGCTACTGCTTGCGAGGAGCCCACCTGGCTCCTGGGCACAGGGTTTGGCCTTCAGCCCGGGCTGCGTTGGGTGACATGTCGTCCCTGTTCTTTCCAGAAACCTGCCCCTGGCCATCATCATCTCCCTGCCCATCGTGACGCTGGTGTACGTGCTGACCAACCTGGCCTACTTCACCACCCTGTCCACCGAGCAGATGCTGTCGTCCGAGGCCGTGGCCGTGGTGAGCCGCTACCCGCCAGCTTCCACCAGGGGCCTGAGAGGCTGTGGCCAGCCCGTCCCTTCCAGACCGGAGTGGTGCCCCACATCTCTAAGCCTCCCCTACGCAGAGGGGGCCCCGCGTCTCTAAGCCTCCCCTACCCGGAGGGGTGGAGTGGTGGTCTCCCCTCACAGCGACCGCAGAGGAAGTGTCTGGGGATCATCCTCAAGCTCAGCTGCTGGGGGAGTCAAAGGGGAGAAGGGTTTAAAATCTGATACCAAGCCACACCCAGAACCAGCTATAAGCCAGAATGCCTGGGGAGTCCAGGGCAGAGGTCATTTTAAATCTGAGTACAGAAAGATTGGAGTCTGCCACAGAGTGGGGTTCGTTAGAAGGCACGGCTGCTGCTGGCTTGGCAGGCGGGAGGCCAGGCCCGGGCGGTGTCACCGGGCAGCTCAGCCAGGCTGGCCTCGCAGTTCCCGAGGCTTCTCCCACTGCCCTCCCAGGGCTGGGGGAACAGGGAGTGGGTGCTCTGGCCAGCTTCCTACTGAACAAGCTCTGACTCCCAGCCCGCTGCCGGCAGGGCACCGTGCTGAGCCTGTGGAGGACCCCACGGGGGAAGGCAAGATCCCCACCTGCAGGCCGTAGCTTGCTCCAGGGAGTCCCAGAGGAGGGGGCAAATCAGGACCAGCAAGGGCTCCCCAACAAGCAGGCTGGGCAGGGGTCACTGGAAAGCCCTGTCCTGGGAAGTCCCCCCAGAGGCCAGAATCCAGCCTGAGAGGTCCTCTGCAGAGGGCTCTTGTGAGCACAGAGGGCGAGGGCTGGCCCGGTGCAGAGGGCTCCCAGTGAGCACAGGGAGGGCGAGGGCCGGCCCGGTGGGGCCCAGCTCACTGGTTGTGCCTGCCTAGGACTTCGGGAACTATCACCTGGGCGTCATGTCCTGGATCATCCCCGTCTTCGTGGGCCTGTCCTGCTTCGGCTCCGTCAATGGGTCCCTGTTCACATCCTCCAGGTGAGCACAGCCCGACCCACCACAGGTGAGGGAGGCCCAGGCCTCATGGCCAGGTTCAACATGTTCCATGTCTGTAAAAGGTTTGTCTCTGTGATACTGGGGATGCATAATTGCTCAAATAGGCCAGGCATGGTGGCTCATACCTGTAATCCCAGCACTTTAGGAGGCCGAGGTGAGCAGATCGCTTGAGCTCAGGAGTTCGAGACCAGCCTGAGCAATATGGCAAAACCCCGTTTCTACAAAAATATACAAAAATTAGCCAGGCGTGGTGGCACGTGCCCGTAGTCCCAGCTACTTGGGGGGCTGAGGTCGAAGGATTGCTTGAGACCAGAAGATTGAGACTGCAGTGAGCCGAGATGGTGCCACTGCACTCCAGCCTGGGTGACAAAGTGAGACCATCTCAAAAAAAAAAAAAAAAAAAAGGCAGCAGCAAGCCCAAATAATACAGAAATAAAGGAAGCATGAACTTTGGCCCTCGCCTCCCCACTCCTGCCTGGAGGTGACACAGCTGTGGTGTCCTAGATGCCCTGTGGCCGCCGCTTGACCCCCCGGGCTGGAGTGAGCAGTGGCTCCCAAGTTGCTGTCCTTGCCGAGTTGGTTGGGGGAACTGAGAGGCCCACAGCCAGCGGCTGGAGGGGCCTGGTTCCCACTGTGGCCAGAGAGGCCCAGACAAGCCAGGCACAGGCCCTGCCACTCCCCAGCCTGCGTGTCCCCTGTCCACGTGCTGAGTTGTGGGGCGGTGGCTGACTCTGCCACTCTTGTCTGTCCACAGGCTCTTCTTCGTGGGGTCCCGGGAAGGCCACCTGCCCTCCATCCTCTCCATGATCCACCCACAGCTCCTCACCCCCGTGCCGTCCCTCGTGTTCACGGTAAGCCTGCTGCACGGCCCTGTGCCCTACATCCCTGGGGGTTGTCCGGGGGCTCCCAGAGGGAGGCTGCCACAGCTTGCAGCTCTGTCTGGGGTGTGGACTGGGTGACAGCTCAAATGTGGCCTCCTGCCGAGCTCCGCTGAATGCCAGAGAGCGCTGGAGGGGCTTTAGATTTTATTCCAAAAATAATATATGGTGGCTGCCACAAACGATTCAGACCATCGGAAATGCGGGAGGCAGAAGCTGACCCGGGGTGCTGCTCTGCCAGCCGCCTGGCTCACTGCACCTCCGTGGGCGCCCACTCTGTTCGTTTCTCAGCGGGGTGCATCACACACAGTTTCCTTCCGCTTCTCCTGCATCTTTCCGTGCCAGCCCGCGTGACTGCCTTTGTTCCCTCTGGCTGTGTCACACATCACTCCAAAATGTAGTGTTCTAAAAGGAAAAGCACTTATTATCTCACAGTTTCCGTAAGTCAGGAATTCAGGGAGCTGGTGCCTGAAGCTGTGTTCTCATCGTAGGGTGTGACCAGGGCTGGAGAGGCCACTCCACAGTGGCTTCCTCCAGGGCTGTGGGCTGCAGGCCCCACCCCTGAGCACACTGGGCTCCCCCAACAGGCTGCTTCCCCCAAAGCCAGTGAGATACAGCAGAGGAAGCTGGGGTCTGGCAGCTGTGGGCTGGCCTCAGAGGTCCTGGCCCTTGCTTACTACTCCTTCCCTGAGTTAGAAGCCAGTCAGGAAGGGCAGCAAGTCCTGGACTCTTTGGCAGCTGCACGGTCCTCGGGAGCACGGCTGTGCCGGGGGTTACAGAAACTGTTTTCTTGGTGACCACTGGGTTAGGTCAGGTTGTGGCCCTCGCACACAGAGCCACAGTCCAGCAGAGCCCAGCTGTGTATGTACACTGTGTTCTTCACCTGTCCTTAACCCAAATGTGGTCTCCATTTCCTCCTCTCCTCCCTCCTTCCCTCCTCTCCTCCCTCCTTCCCTCCTCCCCGCCTCTTCCCTCCTCCTCTCCTCCCTCCTTCCCTCCTTTCCTCCTTCAAGACCTTGCATGTTGCTCAGATGAGGTTTCTCCTTTAAAACAAAATTCCCTGGTGCTCAGCTGGGCCCAGCCAGGCTGGACAGTCCCCGGTGGCCACCACGGCCGTCCACAGCCCTGCTCGTGGGCCCCAGGGCTCAGCCAGCCGCCTCTCTCTTCCAGTGTGTGATGACGCTGCTCTACGCCTTCTCCAAGGACATCTTCTCCGTCATCAACTTCTTCAGCTTCTTCAACTGGCTCTGCGTGGCCCTGGCCATCATCGGCATGATCTGGCTGCGCCACAGAAAGCCTGAGCTTGAGCGGCCCATCAAGGTGAGCCCGGGGCCTCCCGCTCACCCAGGCACCCTTCACAGAGGCAGGGTCCGTGGGTCCTAAGGACCCTGAGTTGGGAGCCAGCATCCCAGCTCAGCCTCTGGACCTGCCCCTGCCTGCATGCACCTGGGTCGACTAATTCCGGTGATGACTTGACCACCAGCTACGAGGGTGCCAAGTGTGACTGCAGGAGCCGGGGTTCCTCAAAGGACAGCAGATGGCACAGAGCTTGTGCTCCGTTGGGTGGAGGGAAGCAGATAAGGACACTGCAGTCATAGGTGGGCGGTGGTGAGCCCCGGCAGGGGCGGGGCAGAGCCGGGCCTGGCGCAGCATTCAAAGGGCCGTCGGGGCTGTGCTGGCAGGAGGAATGCAGGGAACCCGGCCCGAGGAGCGCCTGGGCCCAGCTGGACTCTCCTGGACTCTCCCCGTCCCCAGCGGCTCATTCAGAGGGGTAGCTGTTATCCGTGGGCTGCCTTCTCCAAAAACGGGGCCGTCCAGCAGAGGCCATGCTCTTGCCTGGGGCCCAGCAAGTCCCGCCGCCCTGGCCCTGACACAGAACAAGAGGCCAGAGCCCCTGGTGGCTGCTAGCCAGCAGCTTTTGTCACTCAGCTGGCCTATGGCTGTCACAGTAGCCCCTGCTTCCCTGCCCGGACCATCTCTCCCTCTGTGTTCCCGAAGCCTGGGGGCCCCGGGGGTGCCTGTGAATGCTGTTGAACGGGCTTTAGGCTGGGCGCGGTGGCTCACGCCTGTAATCCCAGCACTTTGGGAGGCCGAGGCGGGCAGATCACAAAGTCAGGAGATAGAGACCATCCTGGCTAACACGGTGAAACCCCGTCTCTACTAAAAATACAAAAAAATTAGCTGGGCGTGGTGGCGGGCGCCTATAGTTGCAGCTACTCGGGAGGTGGAGGCAGGAGAATGGCATGAACCTGGGAGGCCGAGGTCGCGCCACTGTACTCCAGCCTGGACGACAGAGTGAGACTCCGTCTCAAACAAACAAAAAAAACAGGGGCTTTAAAATACAGTCAGCACAAGAACCCAGATGCTGCCCCAAGAGAAGGCTGCAGAGGGCAGGGAGGAGCCGCCCTACATGGGCACCAGCTTGTGCCTGCTGTGCCAGCCTGGGGCAGTGCCTAGGGCACAGGGCAGTCACTGCGCACAGCGGGGGCTCAGCCCCCATGGGGACCTGGGCATGGGGTAGGCTCTACCCACTGTTGTGAGCCTGGGCACGGGTTGGCGTCTGTTCCCTGGGGACAGGGCAGTCATGCAGCCCACACTGATGGGCTGGGACCTGTGGTCAGCCCTGCATCTCCCAGGGTGCCCTGTCCAAGTATGGATTCAGGACAGCTGAGTCAATCCCCCAGCCATGCCGAGCCGCAGGTTGCGGCCTGCAGGCTCCTTGCAGCCCTGCCTGGCTTCTGTGCCGGGTGGAGCTCATCTGCTGAAGGTGACAGTTTAGGCTGCAGCTTCAGGGATGGGCTTTTGCTCAGCGCTGTCCACAGCGGCGTCTCCAAGAGGGTGGTCTCCTGGCTTATTAGTGGGTGGCCACTGTCTCCTGGAAGCATCAGGCCCCTGTGCGTCCTGGCGGCTCAGGGTTTCCAGGCCTGTGATGTGGGAATGGAGCCGTGACCTTCCCTGCCCGTGGGAGGCCTCGGGAGACGAAGCTGTCTCCTTCCATCCCTCATCATAAGCCGCCTGAGCCCCTGGCAACATGCCCAGCACTGTATGCAGAGTCGAGGGCGGGACAGCCCGGTGTGTGAGGCAGATGGAGTGCAGATCGCATCTTGGTGACCTGGAAGTCAGCAGCCGTGGGTGTGGAGGGCCCAGGAGGGCTGAGGAACCTCGGGGCATGGGGGAGGGAGGCTGGACAGGAGAGGGCTCACCCAGGCCCTGTCCTCTGCCCCAGGTGAACCTGGCCCTGCCTGTGTTCTTCATCCTGGCCTGCCTCTTCCTGATCGCCGTCTCCTTCTGGAAGACACCCGTGGAGTGTGGCATCGGCTTCACCATCATCCTCAGCGGGCTGCCCGTCTACTTCTTCGGGGTCTGGTGGAAAAACAAGCCCAAGTGGCTCCTCCAGGGCATCTGTGAGTATCTCGCTGGCCCACAGCCCGTGGTACCCTCTGCCCTGGGCAGCGAAGGGAGTTGAGAGGCGTCGGCCGTCTCCACCCACATGGGGCGAAGCGTGTTGGGTGGCAGGAGGGTTCAGGTCACTGCAGTGTCCGCCAGTGACACGCAGCCCACATGGTTCAGGGATAAGACACACAGCGCAGCACCAGCTAATCTCTCAGGACGAGGGATTCCGGAAAACCAGGCTACTGCTGCCAAGTAACAAAATCCTGCTGGCTGCCACCAGCGGACACAGCAGACTTACCCAGAAAGGCAGAAAGAGGCAGAGGCAGGCGGATCACTTGAGGTCAGGAGTTCAAGACCAGCCTGGCCAACATGGTGAAACTCTGTCTCTACTAAAAATACACAGATCAGCTGGGTGTAGTGGCACACACCTGTAATCCCAGCTACTCAGGAGGCTGAGGCAGGAGAATCACTTGAACCCGGGAGACGGAGGTTGCAGTGAGCCGAGATCGCACCATTGCACTCCAGCCTGGGCGACAGAGCGAGACTCTTCTCAAAAAAAAAAAAAAAGGCAGAAGGAGAAACCCGCCCCCCGGCCCTGTGTGCAGCGGCAGCCCCAGGGGTGCTTTGTCACCAAGCTCAGGACCCCGTCCTCAGCGCCTGCAAATGTGGCCAGGCTCGTAGAAAAAGGCCGGGGTGCTTGCGGGCCTACATGCTGATCCCCATGTCACTGGGTGGCTTGGAGAATTCCCGGGATGGCAGCAACACAGGCAGGGAGACCCCCCACCCCTACCCCACACTCTGATCACCGCCAGGGTCATGGTAGAACATTTGCCTCAAGCTTTGCAGTGGGATCTGCATTAACTGTCATTCAGGACACCAAGAGCTTAAAGCAAACCCCCGTCTCTATCCTGAAAGCAGTCCCCCTCCACAGAGTGATGTCTCTGTAGACAGTCCCAGGCGCGACAGGTCTTCCGAGGACCCGTTAGCAGATTGGCCCCTCCGGCCCTGCCTGCTGTGAACAGTCCAGGCATGTGTCCAGGTGGTGGCCCGGGTGTGGACCTGCAGGAAGGCCTGTCATCCCCCCGTTGCACTTTGCTGAGACACCAGGGCCTGGTTCGTGTGCCCCAGGGGCCGCACTCTGCCTCCCCAGGGTTCTGAAGCAGGCGAGGGGTGGGCCGAGTGGGATGTGGCACTTCCGCATTTCAGTTGAAGACAGCGCCTCGGGCACCCGGCACCCACATGCGCAAGTACACAAGGGAAGGTTCCTTAAAATCCCAGCGCTGGGCAGCGGCGCTGGGTTTGGTGACAGCAGGGCTGGGGGAGCCCCAGCTCACGCCCCCGTGTCCCACGGGTGCCTACCCAGCCCCCAGGCTAACACAGCTGTCTTCTCTCCTGACAGTCTCCACGACCGTCCTGTGTCAGAAGCTCATGCAGGTGGTCCCCCAGGAGACATAGCCAGGAGGCCGAGTGGCTGCCGGAGGAGCATGCGCAGAGGCCAGTTAAAGTAGATCACCTCCTCGAACCCACTCCGGTTCCCCGCAACCCACAGCTCAGCTGCCCATCCCAGTCCCTCGCCGTCCCTCCCAGGTCGGGCAGTGGAGGCTGCTGTGAAAACTCTGGTACGAATCTCATCCCTCAACTGAGGGCCAGGGACCCAGGTGTGCCTGTGCTCCTGCCCAGGAGCAGCTTTTGGTCTCCTTGGGCCCTTTTTCCCTTCCCTCCTTTGTTTACTTATATATATATTTTTTTTAAACTTAAATTTTGGGTCAACTTGACACCACTAAGATGATTTTTTAAGGAGCTGGGGGAAGGCAGGAGCCTTCCTTTCTCCTGCCCCAAGGGCCCAGACCCTGGGCAAACAGAGCTACTGAGACTTGGAACCTCATTGCTACCACAGACTTGCACTGAAGCCGGACAGCTGCCCAGACACATGGGCTTGTGACATTCGTGAAAACCAACCCTGTGGGCTTATGTCTCTGCCTTAGGGTTTGCAGAGTGGAAACTCAGCCGTAGGGTGGCACTGGGAGGGGGTGGGGGATCTGGGCAAGGTGGGTGATTCCTCCCAGGAGGTGCTTGAGGCCCCGATGGACTCCTGACCATAATCCTAGCCCCGAGACACCATCCTGAGCCAGGGAACAGCCCCAGGGTTGGGGGGTGCCGGCATCTCCCCTAGCTCACCAGGCCTGGCCTCTGGGCAGTGTGGCCTCTTGGCTATTTCTGTGTCCAGTTTTGGAGGCTGAGTTCTGGTTCATGCAGACAAAGCCCTGTCCTTCAGTCTTCTAGAAACAGAGACAAGAAAGGCAGACACACCGCGGCCAGGCACCCATGTGGGCGCCCACCCTGGGCTCCACACAGCAGTGTCCCCTGCCCCAGAGGTCGCAGCTACCCTCAGCCTCCAATGCATTGGCCTCTGTACCGCCCGGCAGCCCCTTCTGGCCGGTGCTGGGTTCCCACTCCCGGCCTAGGCACCTCCCCGCTCTCCCTGTCACGCTCATGTCCTGTCCTGGTCCTGATGCCCGTTGTCTAGGAGACAGAGCCAAGCACTGCTCACGTCTCTGCCGCCTGCGTTTGGAGGCCCCTGGGCTCTCACCCAGTCCCCACCCGCCTGCAGAGAGGGAACTAGGGCACCCCTTGTTTCTGTTGTTCCCGTGAATTTTTTTCGCTATGGGAGGCAGCCGAGGCCTGGCCAATGCGGCCCACTTTCCTGAGCTGTCGCTGCCTCCATGGCAGCAGCCAGGGACCCCCAGAACAAGAAGACCCCGCAGGATCCCTCCTGAGCTCGGGGGGCTCTGCCTTCTCAGGCCCCGGGCTTCCCTTCTCCCCAGCCAGAGGTGGAGCCAAGTGGTCCAGCGTCACTCCAGTGCTCAGCTGTGGCTGGAGGAGCTGGCCTGTGGCACAGCCCTGAGTGTCCCAAGCCGGGAGCCAACGAAGCCGGACACGGCTTCACTGACCAGCGGCTGCTCAAGCCGCAAGCTCTCAGCAAGTGCCCAGTGGAGCCTGCCGCCCCCGCCTGGGCACCGGGACCCCCTCACCATCCAGTGGGCCCGGAGAAACCTGATGAACAGTTTGGGGACTCAGGACCAGATGTCCGTCTCTCTTGCTTGAGGAATGAAGACCTTTATTCACCCCTGCCCCGTTGCTTCCCGCTGCACATGGACAGACTTCACAGCGTCTGCTCATAGGACCTGCATCCTTCCTGGGGACGAATTCCACTCGTCCAAGGGACAGCCCACGGTCTGGAGGCCGAGGACCACCAGCAGGCAGGTGGACTGACTGTGTTGGGCAAGACCTCTTCCCTCTGGGCCTGTTCTCTTGGCTGCAAATAAGGACAGCAGCTGGTGCCCCACCTGCCTGGTGCATTGCTGTGTGAATCCAGGAGGCAGTGGACATCGTAGGCAGCCACGGCCCCGGGTCCAGGAGAAGTGCTCCCTGGAGGCACGCACCACTGCTTCCCACTGGGGCCGGCGGGGCCCACGCACGACGTCAGCCTCTTACCTTCCCGCCTCGGCTAGGGGTCCTCGGGATGCCGTTCTGTTCCAACCTCCTGCTCTGGGACGTGGACATGCCTCAAGGATACAGGGAGCCGGCGGCCTCTCGACGGCACGCACTTGCCTGTTGGCTGCTGCGGCTGTGGGCGAGCATGGGGGCTGCCAGCGTCTGTTGTGGAAAGTAGCTGCTAGTGAAATGGCTGGGGCCGCTGGGGTCCGTCTTCACACTGCGCAGGTCTCTTCTGGGCGTCTGAGCTGGGGTGGGAGCTCCTCCGCAGAAGGTTGGTGGGGGGTCCAGTCTGTGATCCTTGGTGCTGTGTGCCCCACTCCAGCCTGGGGACCCCACTTCAGAAGGTAGGGGCCGTGTCCCGCGGTGCTGACTGAGGCCTGCTTCCCCCTCCCCCTCCTGCTGTGCTGGAATTCCACAGGGACCAGGGCCACCGCAGGGGACTGTCTCAGAAGACTTGATTTTTCCGTCCCTTTTTCTCCACACTCCACTGACAAACGTCCCCAGCGGTTTCCACTTGTGGGCTTCAGGTGTTTTCAAGCACAACCCACCACAACAAGCAAGTGCATTTTCAGTCGTTGTGCTTTTTTGTTTTGTGCTAACGTCTTACTAATTTAAAGATGCTGTCGGCACCATGTTTATTTATTTCCAGTGGTCATGCTCAGCCTTGCTGCTCTGCGTGGCGCAGGTGCCATGCCTGCTCCCTGTCTGTGTCCCAGCCACGCAGGGCCATCCACTGTGACGTCGGCCGACCAGGCTGGACACCCTCTGCCGAGTAATGACGTGTGTGGCTGGGACCTTCTTTATTCTGTGTTAATGGCTAACCTGTTACACTGGGCTGGGTTGGGTAGGGTGTTCTGGCTTTTTTGTGGGGTTTTTATTTTTAAAGAAACACTCAATCATCCTACCGCTGATGTTCTGTGTTCTTTTCTTCTGCGCCAGGTTCTGTGTATAGGAACGTTCCTGGCCCCCTCTTGGCCACCTCATTCCTTCCCACCTTCACACATTCATTCATTCATTCACCGACAGCCCACTTAGGCCGCTGGGTGGGGGTGAGCCATGGGCGGGTTGCACACATGTGAGCACGCACCCCTCGAGGGTGGGGGTGCCGAGCCAAGATATCGGATCTGCCTCGGGAGTGGGGGGCAGGCAGCCTGCGCAGGGATGTTCAGGTGGAGACCACCGGGGAGGAGGGGGAAGGTTCCAGTCCCAGGGAGCTGCAGGGGTGAAGTTGGGAGGGGTTTGGGGGTCACCCGCTGAGAGGATGCGGGGCTCCAGCTCCTGGGAGGTCAGGAAGGAAGCCTTTCTCCAGCCTGGGATCAGAGCAGGAGAGGAAGCGGCACCGATTCTGTGTTCCCAGGACACTCCCGAGCCTCTCAGTTAAGGGGGCGAGTCCGGGGCTCAGAGCATGAGCCCCTCATCCACCTCCCAGCACGGGGTGGGAAGGCAACCATAGGGCTCCGTCCTGGATCCAGTGAAGGCTGCTCCTATCTGCAGGACTCACGCAGTCCCAGCTGAACGGGAGGTGGGGGACAGGCCCTGAGTGGGCCCCATAGTCTGAGTCTTATCCTGGAGCCACCGAGTCCCGCGAGGAGCTGGGAGGGCTCCAGAAATACAAAGTCACTGGAGTGAGCAGTCAGCTCCACAGGGTATTAGCAAAGAGGCCTCCTGGCTGCAGGTCTCCTGGGACTGGGGGTTGGGCGGCTTTTCCCTAGTAGGCTGGGCACCCCCCTCCCCGCAGCCCTTTCTTTAGGGAGACCTTGCCCAGTGATGGACCAGGGCATTCTGGGGTGCAGCTGGGAACCTTTGCAGCAACCAGGGTCACCTAGAGCCCTGGCTCAGGATCTGTGTGAGCCCCCCACTCTGACCACCCAGGCAGGAAGGGCCCACCCACCTCCCATGGGTTCTGGAAGGATTCGGGCGCATTGTAGTAATGTCTTCACTACTGGGAAGTTGAGGCCCAGGCCTCTCAGTGCTGTTCAAAGGCAAATTAATCCAATAGCTCACCCCCTCACAATTGAGAACTGGCTGCCCTCTAAGGGAGCTGGAATTTGGAAAGCAATTTTTGGAGCTGGGGACCTTGGATGGCCCTGCGGCAGGTGCGTACCCCTTTGCGGACTTGACCGTTAGGGTGGGCTTGTCGAGGGACAGGAAGGAGAGAACTCACAGGCTGCCCCACCCCCGACACTGGCCATGTGAGGTCACCGGTGAGACAGGCCCCAACACACCTGCACCAGCATCTGGGGACTCCCTGGGGGCCTGCTGAGTGATATCCGAGGGTGGGGCTGGGAGCCACAGGTGAGCCAGCCCTGCAGGTGCTGCTACCAGCATGGTGAGCAGCCTCAGCCTCGGCGGCCCTCCCAGGTGGCATTTCAGTGACTGCCAGCCCGCCTGGCCCCCAGCCCAGCTGGCTCCTTCGAGATGCTTGGTGCCAACATGGAGCTCAAAGAGCCTTGGGCTCCTGGAAACAGTGAAGGTTAAGAAACCCCTGACCCCTGTGTTCTGCTTGTGCAGAGAAACCTCTTCCCATGTGACTTGAGGGAGACTCAGAGATGCCCCCACCCCGGGTCTACCTAGGGCAAGGCCCAGCCCAGGCCCTGAGTCCCCTTGACCTCGCCGATGACCGGCAGGGATCCATCAGAACAAAATGCTTGCTGACCAAACCCAGCTCGGCTGCTCTCCCTCCCCTAGGCCCAGGACCTGGACCCCCTCAGCCTGGGCCAGCCTGTGACTTCCCACTCCCTGAGACCAGGCTGGCCCGGGGAACCCCTCTATCTACTGCCCCTCAGGCCCCGCGCCCAACTCCCCACACAGATTCTAGCCTTGTTCACACCCCCATAAAATAAAAAACCCAGGCTGGGTGCAGTGGCTCACACCTGTAATCCCAGCACTTTGGGAGGCCAAGGCAGGCAGATCACCTAAGGTCAGGAGTTCCAGACCAGCCTGACCAACATGGTGAAACCCCTTCTCAACTAAAAATACAAAAATTAGCCAGGCATGGTGGGGGGCATCTGTAATCCCAGCTACTTGGGAGACTGGGGCAGGAGAATCGCTTGAACCCAGGAGGTGGAGGTTGCAGTTAGCAGAGATCGCACCATTGCACTCCAGCCTGGGCAACAAGAGCGAAACTCCGTCTCAAAAAAAACAAAAAGCCTTTGCCTAACCCTGGAGCTCCTTGTAGACCCTGTGGTGGGAGCAGAGATCCCCCATTGCGATAGTCCTCGGTGCTGCAATAACCTTTTTTTTTTTTTTTGAGACGAAGTCTCACTCTCACCCAGGCTGGAGTGCAGTGGTATGATCTCAGCTCACTGCAACCTTTGCCTCCCAGGTTCAAGCAATTCTCCTGCCTCAGCCTCCTGAGTAGCTGGGATTACAGGCCTCCCAAACTGCTAGGATGACAAGCGTGAGCCACCGCGCTCGGCCTGCAACCTTTTCAAGTCAACTCCTTTAAAAACCCTGATTTGTTCTTCATCCCTCAGTCCCCTGCCGAACACCAGTCAGAAAAGCTCCTCCTGCCCTTGAAGAGAAATGCAGACGCCCCACAGAGCTGCAGCCCCACCAGCCCTGGCCCTGCCCAATCTCCCTTTTCCAGTCAGGCTGGGCCCCTGGAGTCCCCGAAGCTCTGCCCCGCACCCCCATCCGCCCCCGTCCCGGGGCTTTCCACTGCCTTCCACTTAGCCTGGATCACTCTCCCTCCAGGCCACCCTTCATGGTCAGACGCCTGCCCTGACCCAGCCCCTGTCCCCCCCCAGAGCACGGTCTGCACCCGCAGTGCTGGTGTTAGCGTTCTTGCAGTCACCCATGGGTGCACCCCCACCCCGGGAAGGTTCCTGAAGACAGGTCATCTGCCCTGTCCCCCACTGGGTCCCCCAGTTCCAGGGTCTGGTTGAACAAAAGCCTTGGTCAGTATTTGTGGAAGAGGTGAAAAAAAATGAAGCCAGCACCCCATCTCAGCTCGGGGGCCCCGAGTGAGCGGCGGCCGGGCCCCTTGGGTGGGGCGCAGGTCTGCGGGAAGGTGGGAGGGGCTCCCTTCTGGGCTGCAGCAGTTACGGGTGCCCAGAGACCGGCCAGGCCACTGCAGGGACCAACGTCCAGCCCTGTCGACGGAGGTGGACACAGGTAGGGGAATGTCAAAATCAAAGCCCGACCCAGACTTTTTGTTTTTCTTTGAGACAGGGTCTCACTCTGTCACCCAGGCTGGAGTGCAGTGGTGCAATCTCAGCTCACTGCAGCCTCGACCTCCCAGGGTCAAGTGATCCTCCTGCCTCAGCCTCCTGAGTAGCTGAGACTACAGGTGTGCACCGCCACACCTGGCTAATTTTTTTTTAACTTTTTGTAGAGATGGGGTCTTGCTATGTTGCCCAGGCAGGCTGGTCTCAAACTCCCGGGCTTAAGTGATCTGCCTGCCTGGGGGGTTCCCAAAGTGCTGGGACTACAGGTGTGAGCCATAGCACCTGGCCAATCCAGACTTTTTTTTTTTTTTTGAGATGGAGTCTTGCTTTGCCACCCAGGCTGGAGTGCAGTGGCGCAATCTTGGCTCACTGCAAGCTCCGCCTCCAGGGTTCACGCCATTCTCCTGCCTCAGCCTCCCGAGTAGCTGGGACTACAGGTGCCTGCCACCACGCCAGGCTAATTTTGTTTTTGTATTTTCAGTAGAGATGGGGTTTCACCGTGTTAGCCAGGGTGGTCTCGATCTATTGACCTCGTGATCCACCCGCCTAGGCCTCCCAAAGTGCTGGGATTACAGGCGTGAGCCACCGCGCCCGGCCTTTTTTTTTTTTTTTTTTTTTTAATTGAGATGGAGTCTCACTCTGTCACCCAAGCTGGAGTGCAATGGTGTGATCTCAGCTCACTGCAACCTCCGCCACCCGGGCTCCAGTGATTCTCCTGCCTCAGCCTCCAGAGTAGCTGGGATTACGGGCACTTACCACTATGCCTGGCTACTTTTTTTAATTTTTATTTTTAGTAGAGATGGGGTTTCACTATGTTGGCCAGGCTGGTCTTGAACTCCTGGCCCCAAGTGACCTGCCGGCCTCAGCCTCCCCAAGTGCTGGGATTCCAGCCATGAGCCACGGTGCCTGGCCAAAGGTTTTCTTTTATGGGGGATGTGAACAAGGCTGGAAAGAATTCAACCTTGTTCTTTGTTCTTGTGTCGGGGGTGGGGTGGGTGGCCTCAGGGACAACAAATCAGCTTCCCCTGGCCAGCACTGTCTCAGGGGGTGGGGAGTCACGGGCTGGCCCAGGCTGAGGGGGTCCAGGTTAAGGGCCTGCGGGAAGGAGAGGAGCTGAACTCAAGTCTAGTCAACAGGTATTTTGTTCTGATGGATCTGTGGGGATAAAAACAGCTCAGAGAATCATTGATGAGGCCAAGAAAGGGGCTGTGTATGTCCCGGCCTCATCCCGGGTGGACCCAGCAAGCTCTGCCCTCCCTCCAACTGGCGCTTCGATGCCTTGAGCACCGTGGGAGATGGCGGGCATAAACGAATGGTGTGTGGCAGCTCCCTCTCCCCCAGAGAGAGGATGAGGGGGGTGCGTTTGTTGGGGCGGGAGCCCCAAACACATTCGAATGAAGCCACCTGTCAGGTGCGCCCTCCCCAAGAAAGCAGGGCTTCCTAAAGGAACCAGTGACCAATCCTCTCACCGCCCCCTCATTGCAGAAAGCCCGGGTCTCCCCATGGCCCGCCCTCTCCTGCTACCTCGCCCTCCTTCAGAGCTCCTTGCTGGAACCCCGTCTCCCCGTGAGGTCCCACTGGACAGAACTCCGGGGCAGCTCTTATGACCTGCTGGGAACTGCCGATAGTAGTGCATGGAGACGCACATTAAACCCCCGGGGTGGGAAAGGGTGGGAAACAGAAGGAAGGAGGGCATTGGCCTGGAAAGCGGGGGCCTCAGTTCTGGGGCGCCCCGGCCCCTCCTCTAGCCCACGGGTGGCTGCGTTCTCCAGCTCCGATGTAAAAGGGTCTTGGCCCCTGAGAGGACCGAAATGAATATGCTTCTGCCTCTGTGCTCGGAGCCCATCAGCCTAACCCAGCTCAGAGGGAGAGAACAGGGAGGGAAGAGGGAAGTGTGGAGGAAAAACGGGGAGAGGAGAGAGAATTCCCCTGGCCAGGGGATGGGGGCCATGGCCCTAATCAAGCAACAGCTCCAGCAACTCTGCCTTCGGGCCTGGAGAGGCTTCCTGTGCAGAGGAGGATGGAGGACAGAGGAAAGCAGAGGGAGGAGAAGGCGGTGGTGGGAAGAGGGGGATGCAGAAGAGGGTGGGCTGCAGGCTGGGACCCCTTCCTGTGACTCCTGCATCCTAGACAATCCTCCTGAGCTCACCACGCTGTGTTTGCCGGCTGTGTGCGTGCGAGCTGCACACCTGGGACAGGAGGAGGCAACCCTGCCCTGGAGTCAGCCAAAACCACCGCGGGGCATGGGCTTCACAGGCTGCAGGAATAGCGGAGGGAGGTGAACAGGGGTCCCAGCCCGGGCAGGGTGGGAAGCCAACATCTGGACAGAGCAGGGGTGCAGGAGCCCCAGAGGCAACAGTGGCTCTGCCTGGGAATCCTCTGTTCACTCCCCACCTGGGAAGAGCAGGGGGCCCAGGAGTCCCCAAGGGAGCAGTGGCTCTGCCTGGGTGTCCTCTGGTCACTCCCCACCTGGGCTGGGTCCCCGCCAACTGTCCCAAACACAGGTTGCCTCTCTGGCCTCTAAAGAGCCTGTAAGTCCTTGGTCTTCAGCAGAAACCCTGCAGAGATGGTGAGATGGTGGGGGGAGGGGCCACGCCTTGGGAGAGCACAGAGGGGAGACAGTGGATGGAGATGGGGCTTCTGGCACTGCCCGCCTGCCACTGAGACCACAGATGACGAAGGCTCGGTGCCCATGCTGGTCCCCACACACCCTGCCCCTACCCCATTCTGGGCAGCCTTGGTGGGAATGCTAATTCACTTGCTCTAAGAAGGAGCATTCTAGGAGCATCTGCTCTGAGGGACAGGGGAGGAGGGGTCACCCTGAAGCTCCTCCAGCCGGATTTCTGGGGGTCCTGGATCCCCGCTGTCCCATGGTTCTGTGCTCCCCGAGGCTTGGCCTGAAGGGGTCCAGCGTGGGAAAGTGAACTGAGCCTGCAGCAGCCAGAGGAGGAGGCCGGGTGCCACCCTGTCTCAGGGAGGAGAAAACAGGGCTCCAAAACATTCCTTCACCTGCCTGGGGTGATCCAGGGGAGCCGAGAGGTGGGAGTGCATCCATGTGCATTGGATGCAAAACGGTAGGAAGCACACAGTGGGAGCATCTCACAAACCTGTGCACCCGGACGGCCCGGGCACCTGGAGGACGTGGGCACCTGGAGGACCCGCACACATGGAGAATCCGGGTTCTCCAACCTGGGCACCTGGCGGGCCTGGACACCTGGCCCACCATCCACATGACGGCCCCTCCCTTCCATCCCACCCTCCTTCTGGGCCTGGCCTCAATTCCTCACAGCCTAACCTGAGTGCAAGACACCTGGCCTCGTCTCCAGCGGAAATGCAAACCCTCACCCCGAAGGTGCTGTTACACTCATCCAACCTTCTCCCTCCAGCCAGAAACGCCTGCATTCCTGTTTCTCGCGCTTGTGCAGCCACACCAAACAGGCCCTGCACTGACCTGTTCACTGCTTGGGGTCCAGTGCCTACAAGCCCCAGCGCTTTGCCTTATAGCCACAGGGTGAGTATGTTCTGCAAGTGGGAACTCAACTGCGCCATGAAAGCCAGCCTTGTAAAACACACCGGCACCCCAGGTGGACAGATCGCTCACAAAACTAGTCTCAACCAGCTTCATTCCAGATTAAATCCTCTCTGGGTCAAAGAGGGTGAGGAAAGGTTCCAGAATTTGCCTCTTTCTCATTGACCTCTGCAAAGGCTGGCTGGGGAATGGGTGTGTGGCCCTAGCCTCACCCCCAGCCAAGGGAGGGTTCTTACCCGTAAAATGAGACCCCAAAGTCAAGGCCTTGGTATCTGGCTGTGACCTACCTCTTTGGTCACCGCCCCTCCAAGCTCTCTGAGTGTCGTCTGTGCTAACCCGAGCCCACCCCCTCCTCGGTAGGAGGCCCCAGCTAATCCCGCTGCCGTTCCCATGAACGGCAAAGAGAATCCGCTTAATCCCCTTGACAACTCCTGACAGCTGGGAGAGAGGCGTGGGCAGGTCTGGGTGAGGACACGGTGGGCTTGGACCCAGACTCCCCCGGAGAGGTTGCACGCTCTGGGGCTCTTCGTCTCCAGGGAGGTTTCGCCACGTTCTCCTGCACAACTCACCGCGCCGATTTCACTCCTTAATGACCGTGTTTCAAACGCTGCCAGGGCGACGCTTCATCTTTAGGCAGCCAGGGGCCAGAAGGAGCCTGGATCCTCCACTGGCCCCCTCCCTCTCCTTCAGCGGCCGTGACACTTTCCCCAGCGTCCACTGCCCTCTTGGGACGGTGTGCTCTGGTCTCAGAATTCACCACGCAGAAACGAGGCCCCCACTCCTGACATCTTCTGTTGACGCTGCTCCTGTTTTATTTCTAAGCTCGGCTCCGTCCCTTGAGTTGAGCCGAGAATTCCACAGAGAAGAAATTG
The DNA here is from genome assembly GCF_000001405.40 of Homo sapiens. Classification (NCBI taxonomy): domain Eukaryota; kingdom Metazoa; phylum Chordata; class Mammalia; order Primates; family Hominidae; genus Homo; species Homo sapiens. The sequence goes on along the minus strand of NC_000016.10, from coordinate 87,822,356 downwards.
TCAAATAAAAAACAAATCCGGATTTAGTAAGGGGAACTTTATTCCAAAAGGATTATTGCAGGGCTTGGGGGAGCGCCTCACAGTAGGGGTACGTACCACTCCAACTTACAAGGCCTACAAGGCCTCCAGAGCCAGGGAAAGGGGTTTTCTTTGACGGAGAGAGGGAGCAGGGCTGGAAAGAATCGGTGGGGGAGTGGCGTGAGGGGGCCTGAGGGGCAGCAGATACAGCAGGTTCCCCCTGGCCAGCCCAGTCTCAGGGGCTAAGGTGGGGTTACAGGCTGACCCAGGGGGAACTAGGCTGGGGGGGGTCTCCCAGTTCAGGGTTTGGGGGAGGCAGAGAAGCTGAACAAGCTTTTTTTGTTGTTTTTTTAAACAAGCATTTTGTTCTGCTGCTTCTGTGGGAACAAAACAGCTCAGGGAATCGCTGATGAGGCCGTGATCTGGCCTTCTCCTAGGCGGACCCGGCAGCCGCGAGTCTCATCTCAGTCCTGTGCGAAGGGGGCTGTTTGCAGTGAGCTGTTTCCAGAACACACGGGAGGGCTTTCCGGGACTGGCTGAGTTCCACGCTGTGGAGATGAAGATGGATTCCTTGCTGAGCTGCACGAGGCACTGCCCCTTCTAGGGCCCCTGGTGGTCTCTCCCTCTGCCCCCGCTGCAGGACACCCCTCCTCGGGACTTTAGATGTGGAGATGCTGTGCGTGGCCTTACTCTCCTTTTTTCATTGTCGAGCACCTGCTGGTTACAGACAACTTCCTGCCCTGTCCTGAAACCGCCTTTGCAAAATTATGACAGGAAGAGAAATCTGACATGGCTGCCTCCATCTTGCTCCTCACCTCACAGGCAGGCTGGCTGGCTTCCTTCATTCCTGGGCGTGCGCCAAGCTAGCTTTGGGAGAAATTTAGTTTTTGAAAATCCCCTAACCTCCATGCCTTCAGGGAGGTTGATTTGAGTAATAATTCCATCTCCCTTGTGGCATGGCCAGCCTTGTGACAATTTTTTATTATTTATTTCTTTATTTTTTTTGAGACGGATCTCACTGTGTCACCCAGGCTGGAGTGCGGTGGCGCGATCTCGGCTCACCTCAACCTCCACCTCCCAGGTTCAAGCGATTCTCCTGCCTCAGCCTCCCGAGTTACTGAGACTACAGGCACCCGCCACCACGCCTGGCTAATTTTTGTATTTTTAGTAGAGATGGGGTTTCACCTTGTTGACCAGGATAGTCTTGATCTCTTGACCTTGTGATCCGCCCGCCTCGGCCTCCCAAAGTGCTGAGATTACAGGCGTGAGTCACCGCAACCGGATTAGATTAGGGGTTTAGGTAGGGGTGGCCAGGTAACAGATGTTTGCTGCTGATTGGTTGGGGTGGAGATGAAATCACAGGGGTGGAAGCCTTCCTCCTGCAGCCGAATTGCTTCTGGTGGGGCCACAGGAGCGGGGCTGTAGGTCCAGGTGGAGCCATGGGGTCTGAGTGGAGCTGTGGGCGTCAGACATGCAAAAAACCTGGAAAGATCTCTCAGAAGATACTTCCATCTACAGCGGTGGTGTTACTTGCAGGAGTAATGGGGGAAGTTGCATATTTGTAACCTCCGGGATAATGGCCGACCATCCTTTGTGTCTGCGCCTTATAAGGTCTCTGGTTCCCTCCTCCTGGAAGCCTGGGGGCCTCCCATTAGCTTTACAAAAGCAGGTTTGGGGCAAGGCCTATTATCAATCATTTAAACTGTAGCCTAAATGTCTTCCAAAGTTAGCTTGGCCCAATAGCCCAGGAATAATTAAGGGAAGGGCAGGATGGGGGCTGGGTTAGCTTAGGTTGGTGTTCTAATTGTCTCACTGACAGGACTTCTGCAAAGGCCGTTTCAGGTGCAGGACCCTGAGTCCCTGGGATGGGGCAGGACACGCATTTCCAGGCGACATCATTCTGTTCCTTTTGAATTTTGAACCATGTGAATGATTCACCCACTCACCGAAACAGTGGTTTTTAAATGCAGTTTTGAGGGTCGTCAGGCTGTCTGGGAAGCTGGGGCTGTCTCCAGCTTTGATCTGGTGGAGGCTCCGTGGACACACTTAGGTGGAAATTCGCCGTGCTGTGCAGAGCTGCGGGAAGCCCGCTGTGGAGCGTGCGCTGACGCTGCCGTCTGGCCTAGGTCTTGTTCTTGCTGTGCCTTCTCCACGTGACCTGCAGACCCCAGGACCCCACCCAGGGGACGTCTGCCGACGCTTCCTCTCCAGCTCGTGGCATCTGACTTTGACCCCGGACCCCTGGCTCCTCACAAGCTATGAGGGAGGCATGGGGATCCCCAGTGTGTGGGTGGAGGAGGGACAAGGGTCTCTCCTGCTGCCCCAGGGATGCTAGAGGCTGATCCTGGTCTCCACGGGTCCTGGGTTGGCAGGAAACGGGTGGCACTGCCAGCCGCCCGGGAGTGTTGTCCCTGGCTGCTCAGTCTCTAAGGGCTGGCGCCTCCAGTAGGAACCCCAAGAACAATTCAGGTACCAGATGCCTTTGAGACACCAACAAGCCTAAGTTTATTCGCTCCTTGAAAGCCAGATTCATTGATTCTGTGCCTCTTCCTCCATGGACTGTGTGCTGGCCTCTTTAGGGGCCACCTGGGAGGAGGGATCTCTTGTGACCTTCCTGGAGCTTCCACTGAGACTCCTGGGGGCACCTCACCCACAGGCCCCACCTTGGTGTCCTCGGTCGCCCTGGTTGGCGCCCCCCCCCCCCCCACCGCCGCCAGGCTGTCTTGCTGAGTGACAAGCTGTCCTGGACTCTCAGACCACGGAACCTGCTCCTGGAGGTTTTGACTCCCGGGATTTAACCAGCCTGCGAGTGGGACGGAGACAGGGGCCCAGGCCACAGCTTCAGGCTATGACAAGTCAGACTCACAAAGTGGAGCCCCCCCACCAAGGTCCGAGGGCCTGGGCCTTGGTTTACAGATGGAGACGCTGAGGCTGGGGCGTGGGGAGTTTGGGGTGACCAGATTCCAGCCCGGGATGAGATAACAGCAGAACGACAGGACTCCGGTTAGGGTTTTGCCTTTTTGTATCAAAGAGAATGATCTCATTGTTTCAATTAATTACTTATTTTTGAATAGGCAGTATCTGCAAATAGTACAAAATTCAAAATGTTCAAAGAATTCTTAGTGAAAAGCAGGCTTTCTGCCCAGGCCTTGTCACCAGCTGCCTCCCCAGCGTACCCCTCGCCAGGCTCCTGGGGTCTTTTCAGAGGAATTCCTCCTGCCAGGGGACAGTGGTGAAATGAATAGATTGGGCTTAAGTCACTGGGCTTAGACAAGCTACATTCTGGGGTACAGACAGAAAGAGCTAGAAAATGCCATCACTCAACCAGGGTCAGCAAACCCGACGGAACTCTGGAAGATGCTCCAGGAAGTAACTGTCAGGCTGGCCAGGATGTTGGGGACTGGGGTAGGATTTGTGAGATCCTGAGAAACTCAGCAGGCGTGTGGCATTCGGGTTTCAGGAAGGAGGCTGATGAGGTTATGACCCGCCATGGCAGAGACACGCAGGCTGGCCCCTGAGCCAGAAGCTGCCGTCCCCCAGAGCAGCTCATGCACGGGTCGCTGTCTGCTAATGGGAGTCAACGAGGGATGGGCCCATGTTGTGTCCTGAGCCTGCTGGTTCCCCATCTTCATCCTTGGCTTGGGTGAATCCATAGATGGCAGCAGGTGCCAGTGACGCCCACCCACTGCTTTCCAGACAGAGCCGCAGCTCCCCAGCCATTCCTGGGCCGTTGTCCCTCACTCTGGCTGGCTTTCCCTGGCTGTGCTGAGCCGCTTTCCCCTTGTCTGCACTCAAACCCACACGGCCTTCTCTTGGTTGCCGGAACATTCCATGCCCGGGACACTCCTTGGGGCCTTGGCACGTGCTGCCCCCTCACTGAACTCTCTTTCTTTGCCCCCTGCCCTGGCTCCCCCTCCTCCTCTTTCTGACCGAGCTCCCGTTGGCAGATCCCTCTCTGTCCAGGCACTTGGAGCGTGGTGCTTCTCCACTCCCTGGGGCCTACGGGAGCATCGAGAATCACCTGTTGGCTTTGCTTTTCCTTATTCACTTACAAGAATATTTTGGTTGCTGGGGGTTCCTGGAGACTTTGAGATGGAAGCTGGAGAATAGGGAATGAGCTCTCCTGTTTGTCCTCCCAGGATCTGAGAGGGCTGCTTTTTTTATGCGGAATCCTGGCCCGCCGCTCTCCAGCTGTGTCCGCTGAGCACTTGGCCCCACCGCACTAAGCCTTGGTTTTCTCGCCTGTGAAGTGGGAGTGGCAGAGGTGGTGTACGCTGTTGAGGGTTAGTGGAGGTGGCCTCTGCATCACCTTCCTCCTGGCCCCTTCTCCCCCAGGCACATCTGTTACCAGAAAGGGTTCCTGATCCAGACCCCAATAAGAGTCCTTGAATCTCACGCAAGAAATAATTCAGGCCAAGTCTGCAAAGTGAGAGCAAATTTGTTAGGAAAGTAAAGGAATAAATCGGGCCAGGCACAGGGGCTCACGCCTGTCATCCCAGCACTTTGGGAAGCCCAGGCGGGTGGATTACCTGAGGTCAGGAGTTCGAGACCAGTCTGGCCAGCATGGTGAAACCCCATCTCCACTAAAAATACAAAAATTAGCCAGGTATGGTGGCAGGTGCCTATAGTCCCAGCTACTGGGGAGGCTGAGGTAGGAGAATCACTTGAACCCGTGTTAGAAATGCTAAATGCTTGTTCCCTGGTGCCATAAAGAAATAGCACTTGAACATATATTTAATTCTCTCAGCAAGGCAATTTTTACTTTCTGCAGAAAGGGTACACTCGCCAGCAGTCTTGCCCCAAGAGGACAGTGAACAAAGGAAACGCAGACATATTTATTCCTTACACTTTTGGCTCATCCTTACTGTTGTGTCCTGCATCCGTTGGCTTCAGCCAGACTTCACAGTCTAAACTGATACCCAACCCAGGAGGCAGAGGTTGCCGCGAGCCTAGATGACGCCATTGCACTCCAGCCTGGGCAACATAAGCGAAACTCTGTCTTGAAAAAAAAAAGGAAAGGAAAGGAATAAAGAATGGCTACTCCATAGACAGAGCAGCCCCAAGGGCTGCTGGTTGCCCATTTTTATGGTTATTTCTTGATGATATGCTAAACAAGGGGTGGATTATTCATGCCTCCCCTTTTTAGACCATACAGGGTAACTTCCTGCATTGCCAGGGCATTGGTAAACTGTCATGGAGCTGGTGGGAGTGTACCAGTGAGGATGACCAGAGGTCACTCTCATCACCATCTTGGTTTTGGTGGGTTTTGGCTGGTTTCTTTATTGCAACCTGTCTTATCTGCAAGGTCTTTATGACCTGTGTCTTGTGCCGACCTTCTATCTCATCCTATGACTTAGAATGTCTTAATCACCTGGAGATGCAGCCCAGCAGGTCTCAGCCTCATTTTACAGCCTCTATTCAAGATGGAGTTGCTCTGGTTCACATGCCTGTGACACACCCATCAGCACTCCAGGAGCCACCGCACCTTCCTGATCCCAGGCGCTTCTGGGGAGCTCAAGCCCACAGCTGCTGCAGGGCTGTGGCTGCTCCGTGGTTGAACTTACACCCCTTCCCGGCAGGAGCAGCTGTGCCTCTGGGGTCCGTGGGGAAGCCTGCTGGCTGCATCTGCAGAAGGCTTCCTCTTAGTGCCACAGGCTCCTGAAAGAGGCAGTTTCCTTCCTCTGGACGTTGCCGAAGGCCCCTGAGGCCTGAAGCTGCCGGTGCTCCAGCCCATCCTGAGAGAGGCCCACCATGCTGGAGCCCCAGGAGTGGAAGGGAGAAGCAGATGCCACCGGAAGTTCACACTCCCTCCAGACGTCCAGTTGCAGAAACCAACAGATGTCCTCACAGCTTCCACAGTTTGACTTGGGTTTCCTGTTCTCGGGCAAGTCCTGTATGACCCCAACACTTTGCCTGCAGCTTTGAGCAGGAAGCCGGGTACCTAGGACACCTCCAACAATGGTGGGCTGCGAAGAATGTTGTATTTATTTATTTATTTACTTGAGACAGAGTCTTGCTGTCGCCAAGGATGGAGTGCAGTGGTGCAATTTCAGCTCACTGCAGCCCTTGACTCCTGGGTTCCAGCGATTCTTGTCCCTCAGCCTCCCTATTAGCTGGGATTACAGTCGCATGCCACCATGCCCTACTAATTGTTATATTTTTGGTAGAGATGGGGTTTCACCATGTTGGCAAGGCTGATCTCGAACTCCTGACCTCAGGTGATCTGCCCGCCTCGGCCTCCCAAAGTGCTGGGATTACAGTCATGAGCCACTACACCCAGCCGATGAATGTTATTATTGTGGCTGTCACAGCTCCCGTCCCTTCCAGGAGCTGCTCAGGGTGGGAGTTGCTGGCTGCCTGGCTTGGTCCAGGTCTGGAGTGGACGTTGAGGGGTGTGGCCCAGATGGTGCGAACCCTGAGCCTTGCTGTCCTCAGCTGGCTGCCGGCGGCTGTCTGCTGAGCCCACAGCTTGCCTTTGGTCAGAGGGAGCCCACAGCTGTTCCTCCCTTCTGTTGGCCAGCAGCTATGTGGCCATGGGGCAGTGTGAGTGCCCTCTGGCTGCAGTTACATCCACCACAAATGGACAAACGGGGTGGCTGAGAGAACAGGAATGCACTGTCCCAGTTCTGGAGGCAGATGTCTGGGGTCAAGGTGACAGCAAGGCTGTGCTCCCTCTGAGGGCTCTTGGGGAGGGTCCTTGCACTCCCCTGGTGGGTGGCTGCACCATTCTGGTCTCAGCCTTGGCCTTCACACAACCTCTCCCCTGCATGTGTGTATCTCCCTCTCCCTCCCCTTAAAAGGGCCTAGTCGTAGAATTTAGGGCCCACCTACCACACTAAGATGAGCATGACCTCATCCTAGCTCATTCCATCTGCAAAGACCCTGCTTCCAAACACGGCCACATTCTGGAGTTCCAGGTGGGTGTGCATTTTGGGGGATGGCCTCTTCTGCGTGGCACATGACGGAAAAGGGTTCTAACCGAGGGACTTCTGTGTGGGGCCTCACTCTGATTCTCATCCTTAGTGCTGGGTACACGGCAATAGCCCCTTTGTGAAATTCATCAAACGGTGGACACTTAGGGCATGTACATCACACTTAAAAAGTCTGCATTAAAATAGAGGGTCAGGCTGGGCGTGGTGGCTCACGCCTGTAATCCCAGCACTTTGGGAGGCTGAGGCGGGTGGATCACCTGAGGTCAGGAGTTCAAGACCAGCCTGGCTAATGTGGCAAAACCCTGTCTCTACTGAAAATAAAAAAATTAGCCAGGCGCAGTGGCACATGCCTGTAATCCCAGTTACTCAGGAGACTGAGGCAGGAGAATTGCTTGAACTCAGGAGGCAGATGTTGCAGTGAGCGGAGATCGCACCATTGCACTCCAGCCTGGGCGACAAGAGCGAGACTCTGTCTGAAAAAAAAAAAAAAAAAAAAAAAAAAAGACCGGGCGCGGTGGCTCATGCCTTAATCCCAGCACTTTGGGAGACTGAGGCGGGCGGATCACCTGAGGTCGGGAGTTCAAGACCAGCCTGACCAACACGGAGAAACCCTCTACTAAAATACAAAAATACAAAACTACTAAATACAAAACTACTAAAAATACAAAACTAGCCAGGCATGGTGGCACATGCCTGTAATCCCAGCTACTAGGGAGGCTGAGGCAGGATAATTGCTTGAACCCGGGAGGCAGAGGTTGTGGTGAGCCAAGATCGCGCCATTGCATTCCATCCTGGGCAACAAGAGGGAAACTCCGTCTCAAAAAAAAAAAAAAATAGGGGTCACAGAAAACCAAACCTAAAGAAGAGACAAGCCAGGCACAATGGCTCACACCTGTAATCTTAACACTTTGGGAGGCTGAAGCAGGTGGATCACCTGAGGTCAGGAGTTCGAGACCAGCCTGGCCAACATGGCTAAACCCCGTTTCTACTAAAAATACAAAAATTAGCCAGGCATGGTGGTGGGCGCCTGTAATCCCAGCTACCCTGGAGGCTGAGGCAGGAGAATGGTGTGAACCTGGGAGGCGGAGCTTGCAGTGAGCCGAGATGGTGCCACTACACTCCAACCTGGGCAATAAGAGAGAAACTCCATCTCAAAAAAAAGGGCGGGGGGACAGGCAGTGAGATGTCCACAGGCATGTAGTCTTTTCTGTTCTTTTTTTTTTTTTTTTTTTTTTTGTGAGACAGAGTCTTGCTGTCTCCCAGGCTGGAGTGCAGTGGCGCAATCTCGGCTCACTGCAAGCTCCGCCTCCCGGGTTCACACCATTCTCCTGCCTCAGCCTCCAGGGTAGCTGGGATTACAGGCGCCCACCACCATGCCTGGCTAATTTTTGTATTTTTAGTAGAAACGGGGTTTAGCCATGTTGGCCAGGCTGGTCTCGATCTCCTGACCTCGTGATCCGCCCGCCTCGGCCTCCCAAAGTGCTGGGATTACAGGCTTTGAACTCCTGGGCTCAAGTGGTCCTCCCACCTTAGCCTCCCAAAGCACAGGGATTACAGGCGTGAGCCACCTCAGCTGGCCTGTTTTGGGTCTTTTGACCGAAAGCAATAAAGGTTTTTTTTTTCTTTGAGACGGAGTCTCGCTTTGTTGCCTAGGCTGGAGTGTAGTGGAGTGATCTCCGCTCACTGCAGCCTCCACCTCCCGGGTTCAAACGATTCTCCTGCCTCAGTCTCCCAAGTAGCTGGGATTACAGGCGTGTGCCACCATGCCCAGCTAATTTTTGTATTTTTAGTAGAGATGGGGTTTCACCATGTTGGCCAGGCTGGTCTCGAACTCCTGACCTCAGGTGATCCACCCACCTTGGTCTCCCAAAGTCCTGAGACTACAGGCGTGAGCCACCGCGCCTGGCCTGCAATAAAGCTTTGATGATAGAATTTCAGGGGCCAAGGGCAAGCCCAGGAGGAAAGATATCAAGGTGGGAGGGTGGGAAAGGCACCTGAAGAACTCTTGGGAACTCCAAGCGTGGCCAGCTCTTCTCCCTCCCTGACGCAAGGAGGGAATGGACGTGTGGCCGGGTTCTGGTTCTTCACCCCAAGTCTCTGGGTCTTATTTTTATCTTCATATCCCAGGCACACACTTTGAGGAGGTCCCAACAAAGGGCAACATCTTTGGGTTTTTTAAATTTTTTATTTTTAGAGTCTTGCTCTGTCACCCAGGCTGGAGTGCAATGGCATGATCTTGGCTCACTGCAACCTCCACCTCCCAGGTTCAAACAATTCTCCTGCTTCAACCTCCCAAGTAGCTGGGACTACAGGCGTACATCACCACGCCTAGCTAATTACTGTATTTTTAGTAGAGACAGGGTTTTCATCATGTTGGCCAGGCTGGTCTCAAACTGCTGACCTTAAGTGATCCACCGCCTCGGCCTCCCAAAGTGCTGGGATTACAGGTGTGAGCCACCATGCCCGGTCTAAGGGGGAATCTCTTTGGAGGAGAAGAAAACAGTGTCAAGAAAACCCAAAGACTGTCTTGGGAGCAGCCGCTGCAGGACCTACAAGGCTTTCCCTGTGGGTCTATGAGAGGGTTCGTGTTCACCAACCAAGGATGGGTGAGGATGGAAGGAGACCTTGGGGCCGCCGCTGGGGGCCACAGAGCAGAGTCAAAGTTTAGTAGAGGCCATGGGTTTGGGTTAGACACCTGTAAGACCCTTTGCAACCTGGGATTCCAGGTCGCCAGGAGAAAGAGAGATAGGGTAGGGTAATAGTCAAGGTCTCAGGTTCCAGAAACCTCTCTGGCCATGACTTCCACACTGAGATGGCTCAGGTCCAGATGTCACAAGGGACACATGTTCCTGTCTTGGCAGTAGCCAGGCAACCGCCCCCAGGTAACAGATCCCACAACAAAAGTGTAACCAGAATGCTTGGCAAACAGCAGCTCTGTTCAGTGTCTCAGGCCCCAGCAGCCTGGGCTGGGGGTGGCTTCCTGCGGCAAGTGCTTCCTCCCGGGCCCATCCGTTCATTTTCCCCATGTTTTCCCAACTCACTCATCACCTGGTCTCTGCTGCCTCTTGCTTCAAAGGCTGCAATCACACAGCGGCAGCTTATCAATCACTCTCTCGGCCCGGAGCGGAGCAGCCCAGCCGGGCCTGTGTGGAGGGTTCAGAGAATAGCTCCGTAGGAGGGTGTCTGGCATTTGCTCACTCCCCAGGTGAGGCTGGAGACATGTAGCGGTGCTGTGAGTGCGATGGTTTGAATTCAAGCTATCGCAAAATGTTTCAACGTTCCCTATGAGAAGATGTAAAGACAATGTAACGTTTGATGTGACTGAACATTCATTATCACTGTGCACTTATAAATAACTCTCTAGGGCCGGGTGCGGTGGCTCACACCTGTAATCCCAGCACTTTAGGAGGCTGAGGCGGGCAGATCATGAGGTCAGGAGATCGAGACCATCCTGGCTAACACGGTGAAACCCCGTCTCTACTAAAAACACAAAAAATTAGCCGGGTGTGGTGGCAGGTGCCTGTAGTCCCAGCTACTTGGGAGGCTGAGGCAGCAGAATCGTTTGAACCTAGGAGGCAGAGGTTGCAGTGAGCCAAGACTGCACCACTGCACTCCAGCCTGGCAACAGAGCAAGACTCAGTCTCAAAAAAAATAACAATAATAGCCATTCTGACTGGTGTGAGATGGTATCTCATTGTGGTTTTGATTTGCATTTCTCTAACAGTGATATTGAGTTTTTTTTCTTATGTTTGTTGGCTGCATGTATGTCTTCTTTGGGAAAGTGTCTGTTCATGTACTTTCCCCACTTTTAAATGGGGTTGTTTTCTTCTTCTATATTTGTTTAAGTTCCTTATAGATGCTGCATTTTAGACCTTTGTCAGATGCATAATTTGCACATATTTTCTCCTATTCTGTAGGTTGTGTGTTTACTCTGTTGATAGTTTCTTTTGCTGTGCAAAACCCTCCTACAGAGCTCTTCTCTGAGTCCTGCACACATGCCCGCCTGGGCTGCTCCGCTCCGGGCTGAGAATCCATAGGGTAAGAGTCGGATTGACAAGCTGCCGCTGTGTGATTGGAGCCTTCGAAGCAAGAGGCAGCAGAGACCAGGTGATGAGTGAGTTGGGAAAACATGGGGAAAATGAATAGATGGGCCCGGGAGGAAGTACTTGCAGCAGGATCTAAGTTTAATTAGATCCCACTTGTCAATTTTTGCTTTGTTGCAATTGCTTTTGGCGTCGTCTTCATGAAATCTCTGCCCGTTCCTGGGTCCAGGATGGTATTGCCTAGGTTGTCTTCCAGGGTTTTGATAGTTTTGGGTTTTACGTTAGGGTCTCAATCCCTCTTTTTTTTTTTTTTTTTTTTTTGAGTTGGAGTCTCACTCTGTTGCCCAGGCTGGAGTGCATGGTGTGATCTCTGCTCACTGCAACCTCCGCCTCTCGGGCTTAAGCAATTCTCCTGCCTCAGTCTTCTGAGTAGCTGAGACTACAGGCGTGTGCTACCATGCCTGGCTAATTTTTGCATTTTTAGTAGAGATGGGGGCTTCACCATGTTGGCCAGGCTGGTCTCGAACTCCTGACTTCAGGTGATCTGCCCACCTCGGCCTCCCAAAGCGTTGGGATTACAAGCGTGAGCCACTGCACCTGGCCTTCCCTGGCTTGTTTTCTAATCGGCGCCCAGCACTGGAGCCGCCCGAGCTCATGACAGGTTTTAGGTGAAAGGACCTGACTTCTTCCTGCAGCAGAAGAGGCTCTGCTGCCACCCAAGGTCCACCTGGGGCTGCAGTGGGGTGCAGGGGCCCCCCCGATCACACCCATCCCTCTATGCTGCTCCGTCCCAGCCCCAGGTGCTCATTACCTCAGCAGAATCACTTCCCCATTTGGCAGTTTTGCATCAAAGTACTCAGAGAATTGGGGAATTTGGAGCTTTACTGTGGTTGGGCAAAGCCGAGGGTGCTGGCTGAGAGGAGAAGGTGGGTCTCCAGGGCCTGGGGACAGTCCTGCAGGCAACCACGCTGCGGCCAGAGTCACCAGCACCTGTGGGCTGCTTCAAAGACCCCACGTGGGAGGAGACCATTTTCTCTCTTCTGGCTCTTCTGAGGGAGGGGTGTGTGGGGCAGAGCTGCCCCCTCCCACTCACAGCTGTTGGGCTCCCTCTGCCCATCTCTGTGCCGCGGCCTGAGCCCTACAGCCTGCTTCAGGGGCTCTCTTGTCCAGGGAATTGCAGTGGGGCCATTGGAGAAAGAACAGAGCGCTGGCCGGGCGCAGTGGCTCACGCCTGTAATCCCAGCACACTGGGAGGCCAAGGCAGGTGGATCGTGAGGTCAGGAGTTCGCGATCAGCCTGGCCAACATAGTGAAACCCCGTCTCTACTAAAAATACAAAAATTAGCTGGGTGTAGTGGTGCGTGCCTGCAGTCCCAGTTACTTGGGAAGCTGAGGCAGGAGAATCACTTGAACCCAGGAGGCGGAGGTTGTGGTGAGCTGAGATCATGCCACTGCACTCCAACCTGGGCAATAGAGCAAGACTGTCTCAAAAGAAAAAAAAAAACGAAAGAGTGCTCAGTGTGCACGCTGCTGCCCCTGCCCATGGTTTGGGAGTGGCTGTGCTTCTCTACAGCTGTGTGGGTGAGTTGCAGCCTACAATATGCTCGAGTCCTAACCCCGGTATCTGTGAATGTGACTCTGTTTGGAAACAGGGTCTTTGCGGATGTGATTATCTAAGATGAGTCATACTTACCGAGGGGCCGTCCCTGAACCCAATGCCAGGTGTCCTTATAAGAAGGGGGAAATTTGGACACAGACACAGAGGAGAGACTGTGTGAGGGGGAAGGCAGGGATTGGAGCGATGCAGCCAGGCACCAAGGGACTCTGGGGGCCACCAGGAGCCGGAAGAGGAAGGAAGGAGCCTCCTCTAGAGCCTCTGGAGGGAGCAGGCCCTGCTGACAACTTGATTTTGGACTTTAGTTCTCCAGGATTGCAGGACCCTCAGTTTCTGTTGTTAGAGCCACCTGTTTTGTGGAAGCTAATGATAGCAGTTCCAGGACACGAATGCCACAGCTGTGAACAGGTTCTAGGAGAATTGCCACCCCAGAAGCGGAAATGATGATCCAGGTGCCTATGCACCTCCCTGCTCCCAGAAGGAACTTGTGCTCAGATCTCCTGCGGGGACCCCGCTGACAACGTTGATCCAAAATCATGCCACTGCACCCCAGCCTGGGTGACAGAGCGAGATTCTGTCTCAAAAAAAAAAGAATACCAGTGGCACAGGACATGGTAAAATGGTTGAGTTATGGGATAGCGGGTGTTAGGGAAACCTCTGGAAATCATACTGGACTTGGGCTTCAACTAGTGTTCAGCATTGGTTTATGGTCCTCTCTTTCCCTTTCTCCTTTCCTTCCACCCCTTCCTTCTTTCTTCTTTGTGTACAGTCACATACACTGAAGCAAACTACCTACGAGGCACCACTTCATGAGTTTTGCCAGACACATACACTTGTTAACCCGAATCCCTATCAAGATAAAGAACATTGTTTAAAATCTTTTAAAAAACAGATTCCTGACCAGGTGTGATGGCTCATGCCTGTAATCCCAGCAGTTTTGGAGGTCAAGGTGCACCCGGCCAATTTCACATTTAAAAAAGAAAAACACATTTTTTACTTCCTTTTAAAAAAATGAAAGATTTAGTAATCTGGGGCTCACCATCCTCAGAGCCTGGAAGTGGCGGGGGCTGAAGGCTGTTGCCCCTTGGTTGTGGCACGCCTCTGCATTTAACCATCATTCCCACCTGCCCACTTCACTCATCTCTTTCCTGGGTCTGGGCCCTGTAGCTCTTTGAGATTTCAACTCCCGGCCTGTATAAAAACCATCCTCAAGACAACAACAATCCAAAGGAGGCCAACATGTTGCAGAACCTACGCAGTTGTGCAACATGGTGGCCCAGGTCCAAGCACCTCTCCTCAACCTGGAGCTCACAGAGCAAAGGAGACTATAGGTGTGAAGGTCCCAGAGAGAACAGTGGGAGGTGAGATGGGTTATACATTCAGGACAGTCTGCCGGGTGGGATTAGGATTGCAGGCATCACCACCACCCTGTCTGCACCAGTGGCAGACATAAGCAATCGATGGCAGCACTGTCTCTCCCAGCCCGGGTTTTTCAGTCTTGGTCACTGGGATTGGGGGCTGGATAATTCTTCACTGTGGGGTTAATTGGTTGTTTCCTGTGCATTGCAGGATGCTTAGCAGCATCCTTGGCCTCCACCGACTGGAGGCCAGCAGCAACCTCCCCGTTAGTTAATTGTGACAACCCAAAAATATTTTACGCCAAGTTTGTCCGACCTGTGGCCCAGTGCAGCTTTGAATGAGGCCCAACACAAATTTATAAACTTTTTTTTTTTTTTTGAGATGGAGTCTTGCTCTGTTGCTCAGGCAGGAGTGCAGTGGCGTAATCTCAGCTCACTGGAACCTCTGCCTCCTGGGTTCAAGAAATTATCCTGCCTCAGCCTCCCAAGTATCTGGGACTACAGGCAGGCACCACCACGCCTGGCTAATTTTTGTATTTTTAGTAGAGACGGGGTTTCACCATGTTGGCCAGGCTGGTCTCGAACTCCTGACCTCAGTGATCCACCCACCTCAGCTTCCCAAAGTGCTGAGATCATAGGCATGAGCCACTGCATCCAGCCCAAATTCGTAAACTTGCTTAAAACATTATGAGATTTTTTTTGTGATTTTCTCTTAGCTCATCAGCTATTGTTAGTGCATTTGATGTGTGGCCCAAGACAATTCTTCTTCCAGGGTGGCCCAGGAAAGCCAAAAGATTGGACACCCCTGTTCTAAACATTGCTGTATCCCCTGGTTAAGAACTAAGTCCAGCTGCAAACACCAGGCTGCAGGCAGGCAGCATCATCACTGGGAGCTGGTGGTGCGAAGCCTCTCTCCCGTGTCTGCTGGGGTGTGGACCGTGTGGCTTTGCATATGTGTGCTCTGTGAGGTGCCTGGGTGATGCTCCCCCTTCCAGGCCCTGCATGGCTGGCGTTATCTCGAAACGCTGGCAGCCATCCTGGCTCCCATCGTCCCTGTGAGGATTAAAGGGCAGGGCTGACTCCTTAAAGGGCCCCACCCCAACCTCCCTGCCCTCCTCCCTCCCTGCTTCCAGGAACCGCGCCTCCAGGGGTGGCTCACAGGGGAGCCTGCCGTGTCCCAGGTGAGGGCAGGTGCGTGTCAGAGCAGCTCAGAGGAGCAACTGGACCGTATGACACCCATTATCTCCAATTGTACAGGTGCCAACCTGCCCACAAAGGGTGCAGCATGTTCTGGAGAGAAAGAGGAGCCCCCGGGGCACCTCCATTCCCATCCCACTCATGAACCCAGCCCCCAGGGCTTAGTGACTTTACATCAACGGCAGCTCTGCCCCAGCTGCACCCTCCCATGCTGGATGAAAAAGAGGCTGGTGGCTGATGTAAGAGGCAGACATGATTCAAGCAGGAAGTATGAGTTACAGCCCTGCCCGGCAGCTCCGTTTGGAAAGGCGGCTGCATCTGCACCAGGTGGCGGCAAGGCAATTAGAGCAATTAGTGGGGCCTTGTGTAGCTCTGTGGAAGGAGGACCTGAAAGAGACCCACAGAAAAGGGAAGCCCCCTCCTCCCGGAGCCCTTACAAATGCACGTGGGCACAGAAGTGGGAAAGAAAACAAGAGCCGCCCTGCAGGCACCTCCCAGGACAGGCCCCGTTGGGGCTGGGTGGGCGCCGCCGGGCTGCTGGGGAAATGATTCTGGGAGGCAGAAGACCTGACTGCAGTCTTCTGCAGGACAGCGTGGGGATGTAAGGCAGTGGGCTTTTTAAAGAGCTGTGGGCCGTGCCCCGGCTGCAAAGGGAGGGGCCTGGGGTGCCGGGAGGCCCGGCTGCAGCTTTACCTGGCTGTATGTTGGACAGGGGCTGCGGGTGTCTGCGCAGAACACGGCTCCTTTGAGAGAACTGTCGGTGCCACTTTTGTTTCCGACACATGTATGCGTATGTCTGTGGATTTCTGAACGTGAGTCATGGTAAGGGAGGTTGACAGATGTCGTCCTCAGCCACACGCCCCTTGACCACAGTGGTGTGTCTTGGTCACCTTCGTGTCCTAGGTACCCTAAAGCTGCCTCCTCCTCCGTGTGGGGAGGGAGTGGGGCTGCAGTGACTTCACTGGAAGAGCATGTTCTTGGAGGGGGCGAGGTAGGGGCAGGGGCCTCTCTGGGTGTCCTGTGCGTCTGCTCTCCACTCTGATGCCTGGCCCTCTGCGGCCTCCTTGCTCGTCCCTGGAGGCTTCGTGGTCCTGGCCCCTGGGGGGCTGCTGCTCCCACAGCTTCTATTGCCCCCACTCCCCCAGGCTGGGCTCCCACCTCACCCCACCATCCTCCGGAGCAGGGGAAACTGCGCCCTGTTCATCCAATGTAAATGAGGATTCTGACAGCCATCGAGCTCAGCTTGGCCTTCTCAGACTTCCACTGGGAGAACTCAGGGTCCAATTAAACTCCAGAACCAGGTGAGCTGCACCTTCTCAGGTATCAAAACACAGGGCCCGCCAGGCACGGTGGCTCACACCTGTAATCCCGTAAGTTTGGGAGGCCGAGGCAGGTGGATCACCTGAGGTCAGGAGTTCGAGACCAGCCTGGCCAACATGGTGAAACCGCTTCTCTATTAAAAATACAAAAAATTGGCCTGGCATGGTGGCTCATGCCTGTAATCCCAGCACTTTGGGAGGCCGAGGCGGGCGGATCACCTGAGGTCAGGAGTTCGAGACCAGCCTCAACATGGAGAAATCCTGTCTCTACTAAAAATACAAAATTAGCCAGGCCTGGTGGTGCATGCCTGTTGTCCCAGCTACTCGGGAGGCTGAGGCAGGAGAATTGCTTGAACCTGGGAGGTGGAGGTTGTGGTGAGCTGAGATCGTGCCACTTCACTCCAGCCTTGGCAACAAGAGTGAAACTCTGTCTCAAAAAAAAAAAAAAAAAAAAATTAGCCCGGTATGGTGGTGCATGCCTGTAATCCTAGCTACTTGGGAGGCTGAGGTAGGAGAATCGCTTGAACCCGAGAGGCGGATGTTGTAGCGAGCCAAGGTCGCGCCACTGTACTCCAGCCTGGGTGACAGAGCAAGACTCTATCTCAAAAAAAAAAAAAAAAAAAAAGGCCAGGGGTCCATGCACCAAGGTCAGGGCGGGGAGAGCCCCTGCCTGGGGAGTGTGTGTGGATCTCACAACTCTCAGTTCCTTCCCAGCTGGGTGAGCCACAGGCAGATGGGCAGGTGGCAGGGCTATGATGACCACTATGACATGGGAGGAAGCGGGCCACAGAGAGGCCTGGTGCCTCGCCCTCAGCAACATGGCTGGGCGGCGTTGGAGGCCCCATGGCCACGAGGCCCCAGAGACCAGCGAGAAAGGTCAGCCTCTGGGGAAGGAAGGATGACGGCCCATCCGCCCTCTCTCTCCACATGCTGCCCCTGCCCATCAGACCCCAAGATATGGGATAAAGTGTCTGTCCAGGTGCTATGTGTTTGACTAAGCAGGTGCCTTCCTGGAAAGGTGGAGTCGAGGGGTCATCCCGGGAAGCCTCAGGACAGCAGTCAAAGCCATGTTGTTTTCTTTTCGACCCTCCTCAGGCAGGGTCGTGGTGGGAACGTGGTGGGGAGGAGGGTGGGATACAGAGAGTATTCGCCAGTGTGGGAAGGGCCTAGGAAACCGAGGCTTCGAGAGAGCAGGACCAGGGACCCCGAGCTCAGGGAGGACAGGGAGGGCCCAGAAGGTCCCGAGATCCCTGCAACAGGGAGGGGCTGCTGGCCTTCCTGGAGAAGCATGCCCCACAGCAGAGCTCCAGTGGGGAGCTGGGGAAGAAAATCCAGCCACAAACCCAGTTGGAAGCCACAGTGGGCAAGAGAGGCCCCCGTGGGCAAGAGAGGCCCCTGAAGGCAAGAGAGGCCCCCGGGCCCAGAACAGGGTGGACACAGCAGAGAGAGAATCTGGAGGCTGGGAGGCAAATCCCTTCAGGTTGGGCGGGGCAGGGCTGGATAATGACACCAGGCAGTTCTGGACAGGCAGGGATACCAGGGAGTGGGGTAGGTGCATCCGGGGCAGAAGAGCCAAAGATGGGGGTCAGGCAGCACTCAGTTCCAGATCAGCACACTTGTTAATGTTCCTGGCATTGAACTTCAAAAGAGCTTGGTCGGGCGAACAAGGCTGGGACAAGCAGTGACTGCAGCCCTGTGCCCGGGAAGTAGAGTCAGGTCCTGACCCGTGTGTTGCCAAGCCCAGCCAGCGCCCTTCTCCATGGTCTCCTGGCACCCCACCTCCCTTCGCCTGAGCATTCTGCCAGGTCCCTGCTGCACTGAGTTCCCCAGCATGAGCAAGGGGCCCCTCTGTGGACTGGGCGGATGAAAGTCAGTAAGGATACTGTGAAGGACGGTGATGGAGCTCTCATCAGACTCTTCCTGCCTCCTGTCTGCAATGAGAGCTCTAGGAAGGGCCACCACATACAGTTGCACAGTTTGTTCACTGTACAAAAGCACCTGGCGCCAGCCTGCGACTCATGGGCACCCTGTGCATTCTGGCTGGGCCTCCTCCAGCTCAAAGATGGGGCCTCTGCTTCCCTGCACAGAGGTGGTGTCCACTAGCCTCCTGTGGACTGTGTCAGCCCAGAGGGAGTGCTGTTTAACAATGCGTCCCCCCTAGAGTGGGAGCCTGTTTTGGTCCTCACCAAGCCACTTCTTGGGCTATCTATTGCTGCAGAACAAATCAGCTCAACACGTAATGGCTTAGGACAATAGTGTAGCAGCTCATGAGTCTGGGACAGGCTGGGCTCAGCCAGGTGGTTCTTGTGCAGGGTCTCCCATGCACTTGCAGTCAGGTGGTGGCTGAGTCTAGAGTCCTCTCAAGGCTTCTTTGTCCACGTGTCTGGCCCCTCACTGGGAGGGCTGGAACCCCTGGGGCTAGTTAGGCAACTGTCTCTCTACGCGGGCTCCATGGGGCTTGCCTGGAGCTCCCCATCACCTGGCAGTCTGAGGGTAGTGGGGTTTCTCACGTGGAAGCTCCTTGCTCCAGAGTGACTGTTCTGAGAGAAGGGAAGAAGGGATGTAGGAGCTGCCAGCCTCCTGGGGCCTGGCCTGGAATTGGCACAGTGTCACTGCCACTGGATTCTACTCTTCCAGAATCGTATGACACAAGGAGGGTGAATGAAGTGTGTGGTCATCTCTGCCCCATCCCGTGCTATGTGGACTGGGTGGTGTGATCTGATGCAGGGCCCTGTACCAGGAACTGGAGGGTCCCAGAATGAATGAACCCCCACCAGTGCGTTCTGGGAGCTGCCAGCCTCATCAGGCAGACGAACACCCAGAGAGTGACAGCACAGACCACTGTGAAGGGTGTGCTGTGGAGGGATGGGGTCGGTGCCCCTCGGCCACTTTCTTCCTTCTCTCCCTCGCTCCTGGTGCTGCATGGGCTATGAGGAGACACATTTTGAAAGAAGAAAAAGGAAACAGCCTCTGCGGGTATCATAGTGCATAACGGTCAGGCTGCAAGAGGCAGCAGATGCCCACAGAGAAACAGGTGTTTGTGTGTGTGTGTGTGTGTGTGTTTTGAGACAGTCTCGCTCTGTCACCCAGGCTGGAGTGCAGTGGGACTTGGTCCATCTCAGCACCCAGTGTCTGTGACCAGCTGGCAGCGAGAGCTGCTTTCTTTCTTTTCTATTTTTTTTTTTTTTTTTTGAGATGGAGTTTTGCTGTTGTTGCCAGGCGGGAGTGCAATGGCACGATCTCGGCTCACTGCAACCTCTACCTCCTGGGTTGAAGCGATTCTCCTGCCTCAGCCTCCCAAGTAGTTGAGATTATAGGCAAGCACCACCACACCCAGCTAATTTTGTATTTTTAGTGGAGACGGGGTTTCACCATGTTGGCCAGGCTGTTCTCAAACTCCTGACCTCACTCAAGTGATCTGCCCGCCTCGGCCTCCCAAAATGCTGGGATTACAGGCATGAGCCACTGTGCCTGCACAGCAAGGGCTGCTCTCTGTGACTGACGGAGCGTGTGTCTGTCCAGGTGCTGTGGAATTGACTAAGCAGGTGTCTTCCTGGAAAGATGGAGTTAAGGGGTCATCCTGGGAGGCCTCATGGCAGAAGTGCCGTGGCAGGAGCTTGGGGACCCATGGATTTCAGTGTGTGCAGATGGCAGATGGATGGAGGGGACCAGGTCATTGTGTGAGGCAGGAAGCAGCGGAACCGGGGTGGAAGCTCCTGGAAAGGTCCTGGAGCCCGGGAGAGGAACTGCGCTGTAACTGGCGGCCGCCCCCTAAACAGCGCCAGGTCTGCTCTGTTTCATGGGACTTTCTCAAGTTGAGAGGAAACAGCCAGGAAACAGCTGTAGCCACAGCCTCTTAGGTGGTCATTGGTCTCTGAGGGACCTGCAGGGCACCCAGGTGGGGGTGGAGGAACTGGCTCCCTGGTGAGGGGTGGCTCTCGTCCGCTGAAGGTCTCAGGCCCTTTCCAGTTCAGACCGTGTGAGAGAGCAGTTCAGCCTGGGGGTGGCCCGCACCCTGCAGGCTCCTCCTGTGGAGGCCTCTGGGCAGGCGCATCAGCCCAGTGACGGGAGCTGCCTCCTCCTTGAAGGTCCACCCGCCCTCTCCAGGATTCTGTTCCAGGCTGACTTGGAGCAGAAGCTTGGAGCTTGACGCTGGGGTCTTCTGGGCCAGACACCTCTCTGTGACATCGTATCTCCATCAGAGGCCTGTGCTCTGACTCCAGTGGTCAGAGAACCCACGGGTTTGAGCTGGAAAAGGGGCCCAGGAGATCTGCTTAGTCAACATCCTCACTGAGACGTGAAGAGATGGAAGCCCAGGGAAGGGAGATGTGTGTTCCCAGACGTCCATCCAGTTAAAGCCGTGGTGGGAACTCTAGCCAAGGCTCTTCTTGTCTTCACTGCAGGCCTGTTATAAACACAAAATGTATTAGACCAACTGTGACCAGCTTCTCTCCCCTCCTCTTCCAGTTCTGCTCCTCAGGGAGCAAATCAACTCCTCCCTCTTACTCCTCGGAAGACCAGGGAGGAGATGGGAAGTCGGGTTCTCCACCAGGGATGCTGTGAAATTAGAGACCCCTCCATTCTCAAATTTATAGTGCACAGGGATAATTTTCTTTTCTCTTTTCTTTTCTTTTCTTTTCTTTTTGAGATGGAGTCTCGCTCTGTCACCAAGGCTGGAGTGCAATGGTGCAGCCCCGGCTTGCTGCAACTTCTGCCTCCCAGGTTCAAGCAATTCTCCTGCCTCAGCCTCCCAAGTAGCTGAGACTACAGGCGCCTGCCACCATGCCCAGCTAATTTTTGTATTTTTAGTAGAGATGGGGGTTTCACCATGTTGGCCAGGCTGGTCTCAAACTCCTGACCTCGTGATCTGCCTGCCTTGGCCTCCCAAAGTGGTGGGATTACAGCCGTAAGCCACTGCACCTAGCCTGTTTGATTTTGTTTTGTGAGAGTGTTCTGGGGCCTGCTGGAACAGTCCCACACACTGGGGGCTGAAAACAGTAGGAATTGATTCTCTCACCGTTCTGGAAGCAGAACTCTGAAATCAAGGTACCAGTAGGGCCACGTTCCCTCCTAGGGCTCTTGGGGACCATCCTTTCTGCTATGGTTTGGATGTGCTTTGTTCCTGCCAAAAGTCATGTTGAAATTTGAGTCCCAGTTTGCCAGTGTTGGAGGTGGGGCCTAGTGGCAGGTGTTTGGGTCATGGGGCAGATCCTTCCTGAATCGACAAATGCTGTGTCGGGAAAGTGAGTTCTTGCTGTCATGGGGCTGGGTTACTGCAAGACCAGGTGGTTTTTTTTCGCACTTTTGGTCTCTGCACCCCCTCGCTCTCCTTCTGCCTTCTGCCAGGACTTGAAGCAGCACAAGACCCTCATAGATGGGCTGCCCAATCTTGGACTTCTGGCCACCAGAGTTATGGCCAAATAAACCTCTGTTCTTTATAAATCACCCAGCCTCCGAATCACGAGGTCAGGAGATCGAGACCATCCTGGCTAACATGGGGAAACCCTGTCTCTGCAAAAAATACAAAAAAATTAGCCGGGCGTGGTGGCAGGCACCTGCAGTCCCAGCTACTTGGGAGGCTGAGGCAGGAGAATGGCGTGAACCCAGGAGGTGGAGCTTGCAGTGAGCCGAGATCGCGCCACTGCACTCCAGCCTCGGCGATAGAGCGAGACTTCGTCTCAAAAAAAAAAAAAAAAAAAAATCACCCAGCCCCCAGTGTTCTGCTATGGCAACACAAAATGAACTCAGACACTTCTGTATTAGTAGGATTCTCCAAACAGACAGAGCCAAAAGGATGTACATTTATATGTAGAAAGAGGTGTGCCTTAAGGACTTGGCCACACAATTACAGTGGCTGGCAAGTCTCAAGATCTGCAGGGTGAGACGGCAAGCAGGAGACCCAGGAGAGCCAATGGTGCATGCTCCAGTCTGAGTCTGAAGGCCTGAGACCCAGGAGAGCTAGTGGTGTAGTTCTAGTCTGAAGGCCCACAGGCTTGAGACCCAGGACAGCTGATGGTGAATGCTCCAGTCTGAGTCTGAAGGCCTGAGACCCAGGAGAGCTGGTAGTGTAGTTCTAGTCTGAAGGCCCACAGGCTTGAGACCCAGGAAGACCCCATGTGTCAGTTCTGGTCTGAAGGCAAGAACAGACCCATGTCCCAGTTCAAAGGCCATCAGGTATGAAGAATTCTCTCTTTCTCAGGAGAGGAACAGCCTTTTTGTTCTATTCAGGTTTTTAACTTATTGGATGAGACCCACCCACATTGGAGAGGACAATCTGCTCTTCTAAGTGTACAAACTCACATGTTAGTCTTATCCAGAAACATCTTCATAGGCACACCTGGAATAATGTTTGACCAAATATCTCAGTACCCACAACCCAGCCAATCTGATACATAAAACCAACCATCACACCCTCCTTGCCCCTTCTAGCTCCTGGTGGCTCCAGGCATTCCTTGACTTGAAGCTCTGTCACTGCAATCTCTGCCTCATCTTCTCATGGTCTTCTTCTCTGTCTCTCTGTGTTTCAAACCCCCCTCTCTTTTATTTTATAAGGATACCACCCATTGGATTTAGCCTCTACCTTCAATCAAGAATGATCTCATCCTGAGATCCTTAATTGCATCTGCAAAGAAGATATTTCCAAATAAGTTCACATCCACAGGTGCCAGGGATTAGGACTTGAACATACTCGTTGGTGGGGGAGGGTGTCACTATTCAACCACTACAGAGAAGCAAACAATATGTCCTTGGGATTCCTCTATTTCTAATTCCCAAATAGGCTTTTCTATGCCCTCTGGGGTCTCATTCCCAAGTCTTGCTCCTCCATCAATACAATTTTATCTCATTTATCTTTTTTTTTGAGATGGAGTCTTGCTCTGTTGCCCAGGCTGGAGTGCAGTGGTGCAATCGCGGCTCACTGCAACCTCCACCTCCCAGGGTCAAGTGATTCTCCTGCCTCAGCCTCCCCAGTAGTTGGGATTACAGGTGCATACCACCACGCCTGGCTATATATATATATATATATATATATATATATATATATATATACATATATATATTTTATATATATTTATATATATTTTATATATTATATATATTATATATATTTATATATTATATATATTTATATATAATATATATATTTATATATTATGTATATTTATATATTATATATATTTATATATTATGTATATTTATATATTATATATATTTTTATATATTATATATATTTATATATAATATATAAATATATATATTTATATATATATTATATATATTTATATATTTTATATATATTTATATATTATATATATTTATATATATTTTATATATATATTTTATATATATATATATTTTTTTTAGTAGAGATGGGGTTTCACCATGTTGGACAGGCTGGTCTCGTAATCCTGACCTCAAGTGATCCGCCCCCCCTTGGCCTCTCAAAGTGCTGGGATTACAGGCGTGAGCCACCATGCCCGGCCTCCTGGAGTGCTGGGATTACAGGCGTGAGCCACCGTGCCCAGCCTTTCACTTATCTTTATTGTATAGAATCTCTAGCACTGAAATGTGTCACTAACGCTACTCCTCAAGTCCTTCTATGTTTTCCACTTCTTTGGTGGCCTAGAAAACACTACAGCTAATACCATCTTGGATGGAGGTTTTCTTTCTTTTTTAAAAAGTATTGATTGATTGATTGATTGATTGATTGAGGCAGGGTCTTGCTTTGTCATCCAGGCTGGAGTGCAGTGGTGTGATCATGGCTCACTTCAGGCTTGAACTCCCCGGCTCAGGTGATCCTCCCACCTCAGCCTCTCAAGTAGTTGGGATCACAAGTGTGCACCAACACACCCGGCTAAGTTTTGTATTTTTTTTTGTAGAGATGAGGTTTCACCATGTTGCTCAGGCTGGTCTCAAACTCCTGGGCTCGAACGATCTACCCACCTCGGCCTCCCAAAGTGCTGGGATTACAGGCATGAGCCAGTGCACCCAGCCTATAGAGGTTTTCTTATTGGATGTGGTACCCTCCCTAGGAGGCATTTTGGAAGTTTGTGGGAGGTGTTTGCAGCCTTCTTAGGATGTGGAGTAAGAGAAAGGAGGCTAAATGTTCTGTGATGTGAAAAAAGGTCCTAAACAATGAAGGATTGTCCTGTATGAGTTTTCAAAGGTGAAAAACCTATTTATAACTATCTGATCCTAAAACCTAACATTGTTATTATTTTTTGCCAATCAACACAAAGTGGGTCTGTCCAGTTTTTTTTTTTTGTTTTTTTTTTTTGAGGCAGAGTCTCCCTGTGTCGCCCAGGCTGGAGTGCAGTGGCATGATCTTGGCTCACTGCAACCTCCGCCTCCCTGGTTCAAGTGATTCTCCTGCCTCAGCCTCCTGAGTCACTGGGATTCCAGGCACCTGCCACCACGCCCAGCTAATTTTTGTATTTTTAGTAAAGACGGGGTTTCACCACGTTGGCCAGACTGGTCTTGAACTCCTGACCTCAAGTGATCCACCCGTCTTGGCCTCCCAAAGTGCTGGGATTACAGGCATGAGCCACCACGCTCAGCCACTTTGGCCAGTTTTGATAAGTTCTGAAATCTGTAGAGATGAAACTACCATGCAGATGAAGGTGCTGGGTTCTAACTGGAACCAGGAGAGGCTCACAATTTTAGTAAATCCCCTCCTGGCATTTGAGCCACAGTGCTCCTGATGCTGCTGACATTTGTCCCTGCTGCGTTGACAGCAAATTTACATGTGAGTACAGCATTCGTGTTTTATGTCTTCTAGCATAGCGGTGCCTGAGAATTTACATCTTGAAATTCATATTGCTTTATTGCCAATTGTTTTTATTTTCATACTTCCTTTCTGCTTCAGTTTATCTCTCATGCTTGTATGATCCAATATGTATCGTGTAGATTTTTTTAAATTCCGTGTATTGGCAAGTTATAGTTTCTGTGGATTTCATTTCAGGGTAGAAAGGAGGCATTCAAAATATCTGTTATAAAAAGAGCAATAATATGGTGAAACCCCATGTCTACTAAAAATACAAAAATTAGCCTGGCGTGGGTGGCGGGTGCCTGCAAACCCAGCTACTTAGGAGGCTGAGGCAGGAGAATCGCTTGAACCTGCGAGGTGGAGGTTGCAGTGAGCAGAGATTGTGCCATTGCACTCCAGCCTGGGTGAGAAGAGTGAAACTCCATCTCAGCCGGGCGCGGTGGCTCACACCTGTAATCCCAGCACTTTGGGAGGCTGAGGCAGGTGGATCACGAGGTCAGGAGATCGGGACCATCCTGGCTAACACGATGATACCCCGTCTGTACTAAAAATACGAAAAATTAGCCAGGCAGGGTGGCGGGCACCTGTAGTCACAGCTACTCGGGAGGCTGAGGCAGGAGAACGGTGTGAACCCGGGAGGCGGAGCTTGCAGTGAGCGAAGATCGTGCTACTGTACTCCAGCCTGGGTGATAGAGCGAGACTCCGTCTCAAAAAAAAAAAAAAAAAAAAAAAGAGTGAAACTCCGTCTCAAAAAAATAAAATAAAATAAAAAGAGGGCAGTGAGGCTGAGGGGACCGGGCTCTGTCTAGAAGGAGGTAGCCCAATCCACACAGATGTAAACAAATGTTCACTTTCCTGAAACATCTGGCAGATCTGATGGCGGTTCACCAATCCCCAGTTCTTTATGCACAGGCAGGAATTCTAGTCTTAGACTTCGGGAAGGCCAGTGGGCTCAGAGTGGAGGCAATGGGTGTCGCTTCTTGGTGGAAGCCCTTATTTGCTGGGGTTCGCCTTCCTCTGTCCTCTGCATGATGGCTGGGCAAGCAGGGGTTGGCGTGGGTCATGTGTGGGCCCTCCCCTGGCAGCAGCTACCCTGGGGAACCTCCTGGACCCCCAGCGGACTTGATGTACACGAGAAAGAAGCCTGAGTTTTCAAGCCCCCGAGATGCCTGTGCTTTTTGTTGCTGCAACAAACAGGCTCTGAGACAACACTGGCAAGCAGGCAGCTGCCTTGGGTTACAGGGTCTGAGCATACAATTCTTCTCATATGACACTGACGAGTGATTCCACATGGGCCACCAGGGAGGGACCATGGCCTGGGACGTGACATTGCTTTAGCCAAGGGCAGTTCCTGGAGAACAATTTGTGGAGAAACTCCTGGTCGGGGGACGAGAGCCTCAGTGCTGTGGGGGTCTCCAGAGAGCCCTCCACAGCACCCCTTGCAGTTGGTGGTCCAAGGCTCTGACCCCAGCTCATGTGCCCTACAGCACCCAGTGCCAAAGGCTTTCCCGTGGCCTCACTGGAAGGATCAATGCGAGAGGACTGAGGGCCTCCCCAGTGGCGAGCCAGGGCCCGGCAGCTGGGCCAGAGAGATCAAAGGGGGACCATGCGGTTGATACACACAGGGCCAGGCTTTTCTTGAGCTTGCTGGGAGGGAAGCGCGGCAGCAGTGGAGACTAACGCAGGGAACACCTTTGGCATGTGCCGAAGACTAAGTGTGAGGGCTGGTTTAGGTCGTGGTAGATTTCTCTGGCTGCTTCCCCTTGAAGACAGTCCCCTCAGCAAAGCGACCTGCTGTTGAGGACGTCCACCTAGACTTTGTAGGAAGGAGCAATCAGAGGGCTCTGCTCTATTCCTTTCTCTGGCCGGAACCCTCAGCCTCTCCGTGGGTGTCCTGCAGCCTGGGATACCCCACCTGGCAGTGCCTCCCTTTAGACTCGCCCCTCTGGGACCGTCGGCTGCCTGGTTTCTGGAGTGTCACTGCAGGGAATGGCAACAGTCTCCTGGTGTCTGACCACCCCTCCCAAGCTCATGAAGACTGGGGAACTCCTACCTGGGCTGGGCCAGGGGTAGGTTAGACCTCTGAAGCAGGTGCTGTTTAGTATGATTTCTGAAGCATCACCCCTGGTGAGCAGTGGAACCCCAAAGGGTTCAGGCTGGGAAGGGAACCCCACAGGGAGGTCATGCCAGGGCAGTTGGCTTCAGACCGCTGATCAGGGTCCACAGGGCACCGAGGTGGCAGGGTGAGCAGAGAGCCCTTCCGCCGAGTTAGCAGGGATCCCAGCTGTGCCAGAGGACCTTGTAGGACCTGGGACGGGCCACCTCACCTGCACCACCAGGTCCCCTCACGCTTTGGAAACTGCCTACGTGTGATCACGATCACCAAAAGCTTCCGGAAATGCGTATCTCCTGTGGGCTGGGGAAGGCGTATGTGTGCATAACATTTGCTTCGGAAATTGTACAAAGTCCCGGGCCTCTGGTTTCTTGCCCAAGGAAATGGGAACAGTCCCTTTGATCGTGAACCTGAAGGTGGGATCAGAGGTCCTCACCAATGACTGAGACATGCCTGCATGCCAAGGATGTGAGGCCTTGACACAGCTGTTTGCTGAAATCAGAGATAGTCTCTGTTTTCTTGGGGGATAGGGAGGAAACCATCATCTCTGGTACAGGAGAATCCTGTCAAATGGAAGGGACCCTTTGCAGGCTAACAATGCTTCTCAGGTTACAAAACACAGTGCACAGTTGATATTGCCTCATTTCATCCTCTGGGACACCCTGGGGGATAAACAGCTTAGATTGTTCAATTCCCAGGACAGATGAAGTTCAGAGAGGCTGAGAGACCCGCCTCTGATCACACCACTAAGTGGTCAAGTTGGAATTTCTATTCTGAGTATTAGCTTTTTTTTTTTTTTGAGACGGAGTCTTGCTCTGTTGCCCAGGCTGGAGTGCAATTCACAATCTCAGCTCACGGCAACCTCCGCCTCCCAGGTTCAAACGATTCTTCTGTCTCAGCCTCCTGAGTAGCTGGGATTACAAGCATGCGCCACCATGCCCGGCTGGTCTCAAATTCCTGAACTCAAGTCATCCACCTGCCTCGGCCTCTCAAAATGCCGGGATTACAGGCATGAGTCACCATGCCCACCCCAAGTATTAGCATTATGAAGCAAGAACTATGGCTTTTTAGCTATTCCTTCTCCTTGCTCTAGGGATTGCAACATCTACCCTTAGTTTTTCACAGTCTACTCAGAGTGTTTTGTTTTGTTTTGTTTTGTTTTTTGTTTGTTTGAGATGGAGTCTCGCTCTTGTTGCCCAGGCTGGAGTGCAGTGGCGCGATCTCGGCTCATCACAATCTCCACCTCCTGGGTTCAAGCGATCCTCCTGCCTCAGCTTCCCAAATAGCTGGGATTACAGGCATCTACCACCGTACCTGGCTAATTTTGTATTTTTAGTAGAGACGGGGTTTCTCCATGTTGGTCAGGTTGGTCTCGAACTCTCGACCCCAGGTGATCCACCTCCCAAAGTGCTGGGATTACAGGCGTGAGCCACCGCGCCCAGCCCAGAGTTAGTATTAGAAATATAAACGTCACATAAAACATAGAAGCCTTGTGACCATATTTACCCAACCCCCCATGCTTCATGCTGCTGTTGTCTTGCATATTGCACCTACATACATTACAAACCCCAGGGTGATGTGGTAATTTTGGCTTTATACAGTCCTATGTATTTTCAATAAATTAAAAAAGGAAAAGTTATGCTGGGCATGGTGCCTCACCTCTGTACTTTGGGAAGCCGAGGTGGGTGGATTGCTTGAGCTCAGCCCAAGACCAGTGTAGGCACCATGGTAAAACCTCATCTCTACCAAATATACACAAAAGTTAACTGGGGCAGGTGACATGGCTCACGCCTGTCATCCCAGCACTTTGGGAGGCTGAGGCGGGTGGATTGCTTGAGCTCAGGAGTTCAAGACCAGCCTGGGCAACATAGCAAGACCCCCATCTCAATTAAATAAATAAATACATAAATAATAATAAAATCAGCTGTGCACGGTGGCATGTGTCTGTGGCCTGAGCTACTCAGGAGGCTGAGGTGGGAGGATCACCTGAGCCCGGGAGGCAGAGGTTTCAGTGAGCCAAGATTGCACCGCTGCACTCCAGCCTGGCCTTGTGGCTGCATCTCAAAAAAAAAAAGCCAGACCCTGTCCTAAAAAAAAAAAAAAAAAAAAGTAAAAAGAAAACGTTTGGCCGGGCGTGGTGGCTCACGCCCGTAATCCCAGCATTGGGAGGCCTAGGCAGGCGGATCACCCGAAGTCTGGAGTTTGAGACCAGCCTGCCCAACATGGTGAAACCCTGTCTCTACTAAAAATACAAAAATTAGCCGGGCGTGATGGCACGCACCTGTAATCCCAGCTACTCAGGAGGCTGAGGCAGGAGAATCACTTGAACCCAGGAGGCAGAGGTTGCAGTGAGCTGAGATCGTGTCACTGTACTCCAGCCTGGGCGACAGAGTGAGACTCCATCTGAAAAAAAAAAAAAAAGAAAAGAGAATGTTTTAATATTGATTGGGGTAATAGCTGCATAACTCTGTCATTGTACTAACGGCCACTGAATTGCGCACTCTAAATGGGCAAATCGTACGGTAGGTGGGTTATATCTTAACTGATCTATTCCTTGAAAAATAGCTCGTTGTGCTCGTCCTCTTGGTTAGCCTGGAAATGTTCTGAGAGCAAGCTGCCAATCCGTGTCAGGTACCACAGTGCTGACTGCAGAGCTGAGCCCAAGACCAGCTGCTTGGTAAATAGTCCTTGGTTGACTGATTGAGCAGAGGCCTCCCCAAAAAGGTTTTAATTGGTTTCATGTTTAAATTTTGCAATGAGGAATAAAAATCTGCCTCAGATGAGAATTTGGTTCTTCTCCTGTCCCTTCCTATACACAAGACTCCATAGAAACTGAGCAAAGCACCGAAATTTGTGTTCACCGGATCCCCAGAACATAACCGGATTTGGAATCAGGGTCTTTGCATGTGCCATTAGTTAAGATGAGGTCGTGCTGGATTAGGGTGGGTCCTAAATGCGATGACAGGTATCTTTATAAGAAGGCCATGTGAGGACATGCACTGAGGCCACGTGAAGGCAGAGGCAGAGACTGGAGTGACAGACACGCCACAAGCCCAGGAAGCCAGCCGCCCCCAGAAGCTGGAAGAGGTGGAAAGGACCCTCCTCTTTGGCCTCCAGAGGGAGCAAATCCCCCCCCCCCCCGCCCACCCCGTGTGAAGGGGCCTGGCCTCTCTGACCTCCTGGCCTCTCTGACCTCCCGGCCTCTCTGACTTCCCGCCTTTCCCCCCATGTCAACACGGGGGGTCGCTCCCTCCTGGGTCCGTCACATGCGGGAGCCCTGTCCTCCCTGTTGGGTTGCCCTGCTTAACTTATTCATCGGGATCCCAAACCATCTTGTGTATTTGTTTACTTGTCATGAGCTCCAGGAGAGCAGAGGCCTCTGGGTGCCTGGACTGGTCTGGCGCCGGGCGGGCCTCCGCAGGTGCTTGCGAGATGAGAGGCTCCCCAGAGGCTGGTGGGTTGAGGCGGCTCGCTGTCCGTCTCCCGGCGTGGGTTTGTTGCCCAGTGCTGACCAGTCACTCAGACACACAAAGAGCTCTTGGCCTGGGCCAGGGGAACAGAGGGCACTGTGTGCTGTGCCGATGCCGGCGTCTCTAGCCTCTGAATGCTGTCTGTGCACTTCAACAGATGAAGTTCTTTCCAACTGAAATGAAACCGCACAGTGAAACGGGGAGTTGTGCCCAGCTCCCTGGCTGGATCTTCTCCACCCGTGGTCTGGAAGTCTTGTTTATTTTATTTTTTATTTATTGAGTTGGTGTCTCACTCTGTCGCCGAGGCTGGAGTGCAGTGGGGCGATCTTGGCTCACCGTAGCCTCCGCCTCTTGGGTTCAAACTATTCTCCTGCTTCAGCCTCCCGAGTAGCTGGGTCTACAGAGTGGCATGCCACCACGAGCGGCTAATTTTTTGTATTTTTTTTTAGTAGAGATGGGGTTTCACTGTGTTAGCCAGGATGGTCTCGATCTCCTGGCCTTGTGATCCACTCCCAAAGTGCTGGGATCACAGGCATGAGCCACCGCGCCCAGCCAGAAGTCTTGTTTATTTAACCCACCACTAACAAATCAGAGTGTGGCCTTGGCTGTTGATAGCAGAGAATAATATTTATTGGCTTGGTGCCATTGCTTGGGCAAGCTTTCTAACCATAGTGGGTAAATGATGCCCTGTGTCTTGGCAGTCAGGCCTGGGCTGCTCCTCTCTGGGAGGGGGAGCCCCAGGGAGCTGGGAAGGCGATGATACTGAGACAAATGGGAGAGCTGCCTGGGAGGGCCGGGCAGAGCCAGTTCCCTTGCACATTTGCCACACCAGACCCATGTCTGTAGGGAGCGCCCCAGGGCTCTGGTGGGTTGTTAATTACAGCAAACGTACATTATCTCTGGATAATTCGAGCACGGGATTCTTTTGCCTAGGGCTGAAAAGATGTGTCTGCTAGCCAAGTAGGGGGAAAGCCCGTGAAGCCAGTCTTCTCTGCGTAATAAAGATAGAAAACTTAATGCAAACCTAATTCGCAGAGAGAATCCCACCAGAGACCGTGAAGACCCCAAAGAGCAGCTTGAAGAGGCCAAAAGCTAATGGCCAAAGAGAAGCAGTGGGTTTGGGTTTTCTTTGTACAGGGAGAGGACCTCAGGTGTCCAGCGGGGTGCTGCAGAGGAGAGGCCTTGGGGGAAGGTTATTACAGGAGCCCCGCCTCAAGACGACTCACGGCAGACAGGGGAGCCATGTTTTGAACAATGCACTTGGCATCCTTGTTAAACCACTCTAGCACGCAGTCTACACTGGACTGACTCCTGACTCTCCCGTGACTCAGCGGCCCTGCAAGTCAGCTCGTGCCTTGCGTGCACAGAGCAGGTTCCTCCACCCCGTGACCCAGGACAATGACCTGGCAAGCTCGCGGGCATGGCCTGGCCCCCTTCCCTGCCCTTGTGCGTTAGAACCCTCAGGGTCCTATGTGTTAATTCCCAAGGAATGAAACAGCTGGAAGGACCCAAGAATTGCTGGGATCTCATTCCCATGGCTTACTGACTTCCCAGACCTGATGGAACAAGCCTGAGGAGCTCGCTCGGCTTTCCTGGTGGTCTTTCGTGCCTCCTGCCATTTTTCCATCTTTTGCAAAAGGCTGCAGGCAGCACCCACACAGCCCTGCATGAGGCTTGGGTCAGAAGTAAGGGAAACTGCCAAATGCAGCCTTCTGGGTCATTTCAATAACACATACCTCCTCAAGCAATGAACGTCAGCCACGTCCAACATTGCACTTAGGTCCAAAGATTAACCAGCCATTTCTTAATAGAACAAACAAGCATGTTTGGCTTTGCCTGGTGGAACTGCAGCCTCCGGGCGACTGGGCAAAATCCACGAAGAACTGAAGTAAGCCCTGGAGAAGCCTTCCACTCAGCTGGGGAAGGCCAGGAGCTGTCAGGGGGTCCGAGCTGTTTGCTGTGGTGTACGGGAGGAGAGTGTAGAGTCTCGAGAACACCCAAAGCAGCCAGGCTCCAGGGCTCATTTCTGTAATCCCAGTGCTTTGGGAGGCCAAGGCAGGTGGATTACCTGAGGTCAGGAATTCAAGACCAGCCTGACCAACATGGCGAAACCCTGTCTCTACTAAAAATACAAAATTAGCCAGGTGTGGTGGCTCACGCCTGTAATCCCAGCTACTCAGGAAGCTGAGGCAGGAGAATCGCTTGAACCCGAGAGGCGGAGGTTGCAGTGAGGTGAGATCAAGCCACTGGACTCCAGCCTGGGCAACAGAGTGAGACCCTGTCTCAAAAAAAAAAAAAAAAAAAAAAAAAAGGAAAAGAAAAAAAAATTGGTGTTGAATCTGTAGGTCAGTTTGAGGAGAACTGACATCTTTCTAATATTTAGTCTTGTCTCAGTTACTAAAAGAGCCCTGCCATTATTTTTTGGTCTCCTTACATTTCTCTCAACAATATTTTGTAGTTTTCAGTGTAGAGGTCTTGCAAATTCTTTGTTTGATTTATTCTTCGTTTGTTTGTTTTGGTTTTGGTTTTGTTTGAATTGAAGTCTCATTCTGTCACCCATGCTGGAGTGCAGTGGCGTGATCTTGGCTCACTGACACCTCCACCTCCCAGGCTCTAGCGATTCTGGTGCCTCAGCCTCCCGAGTATCTGGGATTACAGGTGCATGCTAACATGCCCGGCTAATTTTTGTATTTTTAGTCAAGACAGGGATTCACCATGTTGGGCAGGCTGGTCTCAAACTCCTAACCTCAAGTGATCCACCTGCCTTGGCTTCCCAAAGTGCTGGGATTGCAGGTGTGAGCCACTGCACCTGGCCTGTTTGATTTATTCTTAAGTATCTGATGTTTTTTATAAATGGTGACTTTATAAATGGTAACTTTTAAGATTTTAGCTTTGTTTTGTTTGCTGCTGATATATAGAAAAACAACTAGTTTTTGTATGTTGATCTTGTATCCAGCAACCTAGATAAATTTACTTATGGATTCTAATAGATTATCCGTACATTCTTTAAATTTTCTACATTTTCTAAACCTTAAACCTTTTATTTCTTTTTCCTGCCTTTTGTGCTAAGCCTTCTGGTACAATGTTAAATAGACATGCTGAGAGAGAACATTGCAGCTTCACCTTCTATTTCTTTCTTTTTAATTTTTTTTTTGAGACAGGATCTCACTCTGTCACCCAGGCTGGAGTGGTTACCACTCACTGCAGCCTTGATCTCCCTGGCTCAAGAGATCCTCCTATGTCAGCCTTCAGAGTAGCTGGGGCTACAGGTGTGTGCTAGCATGCCCAGCTAATTTTTGGATTTTTTGAAGAGACAGGGTTTCACCATGTTGTCCAGGCTGGTCTGAAACTCCTGTGCTCAACTGATCCACCTGCCTCGGCCTCCCGAAGTGTTGGGATTACAGGTGTGAGCCACCACACATGGCCTACCTTCTATTTCTTACCCCTTTCCCTTATCAGCAATCTTATGAAGATCTGGGAAGATGGCAGTGGCAGCATAGTTTTTGAACATTCCAAATCCCCACAAAAAAGCAGAGAGCATGACAACATAGCAAAACAAAAAGTCCAGGGATTCTTTCATGAGTGTTCAGTGAAGTTTTCCAGAGGCCATATGACATGATGCAGCCAGGAGATAGAATGCAGAACCAGATATAAACTCTGGGCCACTGGCCTGGCATGGTGGCTCACACCTGTCATCCCAGCACTTTGGGATGCCAAGGCAGGTGGGTCACCTGAAGTCAGGAGTTTGAGACCAGCCTGGCCAACATGGTGAAAACCTGTCTCTACTGAAAATACAGGCCAGGCGTGATTGCTCACACCTGTCATCCCAGCACTTTGAGAGGCCAAGGCGAGTGGATCACTTCAGGTCAGGAGTTCAAGACCAGCCTGGCCAACATGGTGAAACCCTGTCTCTACTAAAAATGCAAAAATTAGCTGGGCATGGTGGCACATGCCTGTAATCCCTGCTACTCCAGAGGCTGAGGCAGGAGAATTGCATGAACCCAGGAGGTGAAGGTTGCAGTGAGCTGAGATTGTGCCACTGCACTGCAGCCTGGGTGACAGAATAAGACTCTATCCCAAAACAGAAAACAAAATCTGGGCCAGGCTCAGTGGCTCATGCTTATAATCCCAGATCTTCTGGAGGCCGAGGAAGGCAGATTTATTGAGCCCAGGAGTTTGAGACCAGCTTGGGCAACACGGTGAAACTCCATCTCTACAAAAAAAATACAAAAATTAGCCAGGTGTGGTGGTGCACACCTATAGTCCCAGCCACTTGGGAGGCTGAGGTGGGAGAATTACCTGAGCCAGGCAAGTTAAGGCTGTGGTGAGCCATGATCACGCCACTGCACTGCAGCCTGGGTGACAGAGTGAGACCCTGTCTCTAAATAAATAAATACATACATAAAATAAAAATCCAATTGTCTTCTATTTGCAAAAACATAAAACAAGCCATCCTTCTTACTAAATATGTTGTGGTTTTAGAAACATAGTTGCTTTTCATTAAAAAAATAATTTATTTACATTCACATGTAATAGGATTATCACTGACAGAGTGGTTTTCTCTGCATTAGTGGGTGAGTGCAAGGGGACTCTGGTTATGTTTAAAGAGGCTGGGGTCTACATCCTCTGTGAACTCTCAGAAATCACTGCTCAGGGCCTCCTTTCAAGACGCACCAAGCAAAACCGATCTTCAAGTACAAAGGGCATAGACAAAACATCGACGTGCAAGAACTCATTATTCCCATAAGCCTTTGTATTTTTTTTTTTTTTTTTTTGAGATGGAGTCACACTGTGTCGCCCAGGCTGGAATACAGTGGCTCAATGTCGGCTCACTGCAACCTCGGCCTCCTGGGTTCAATTGATTCTCCTGCCTCAGCCTCCTGAGTAGTTGGGACTAGGGGTGTGCGCCACCACACCTAGCTAATTTTTGTATTTTTACTAGAGACAAAGTTTCACTGTGCTGGCCAGGCTGGTTTTGAACTTCTGACTTCAGGTGATTTGCCCGCCTTGGCCTCCCAAAGTGCTGCAATTACAGGTGTGAGCCACAGTATCCAGCCTCCTTTTTTTTTTTTTTTTTTTGAGACAGAGTTCTACTTTGTCTCCCCCAGGCTGGAGTGCAATGGCATGATCTCGGCTCACTGCAACCTCTGTCTCCCGGACTCAAGGAATTCTCATGCCTCAGCCTTAGAGTACCTGGGATTACAGATGCCTGCCACCGCGCCCGGCTAACTTTTTTATTTTTAGTAGAGACGGGGTTTTTGCCATGTTGGCCAGGCTGGTTTTGAACTCCTGACCTCAGGTGACCCACCCACCTTGGCCTCTCAAAGTGCTGGGATTACAGGCATGAGCCACTGTACCTGGTCCCTATATGCCTTTTAAGGAACCTCCTAGAGGCTGGGTTTCAGACAACCAAAGTGACAAGATATCAAGAGAAGGACTGCTGGGAGTGGGAGATACACGTGCATAGCTGTTTGAAGGACTAGGACAAAATGAGAGATGTGATCATATGCAATGACTCTGTGATTTGACAATGTAGAAATTATGCACATTTAAAATAGGGGTTAAGGCCGGGCGCACTGGCTCATGCCTGTAATCCCAGCACTTTGGGAGGCCGAGGCAGGCAGATCACCTAAGGTTGGGAGTTCAAGACCAGCCTGACCAACATGGAGAAACCCCATCTCCACTAAAAATACAAAATTAGCCAGGCGTGGTGGCACATGCCTGTAATTCCAGCTACTCGGGAGGCTGAGGCAGGAGAATCGCTTGAATCTGGGAGGTGGAGGTTGTAGTGAGCCGAGATTGTGCCATTGTACTCCTGCCTGGGCAACAAGAGTGAAACTCCATCCCCCCCCACCCACCAAAAAGAAGTAAGATGATGTCGGTTACATTAGATCTCTTTCACTGCTGCAGTCATAATTTTGCAAAGGCGGCTTCAGCTTCTGCACCCAGCCATGGCAGGGAGAAAGAACACGGAAAGCAAGACATAGTGGTCTCCAGTTTTATCCCTGGAGCCTGGGAGAGAGCGGGAGTGGGTTTGGCCCGTGAGGTAGGAGCTCCTTCACTCCCAGCACACGGCAGCGTCAGGGCCCCCAGAGACAGCTCTGGAGGCAACGTCCCCAACCCAGCACTCTGGCCCCATCAGAAACCAGGGAGTGGCCCTACTTCTTCCAAGGTTCTGGCCTGAAATCTGAGGGTGTCGCAGCCAGAAGGTGCAGTGTGGTTTGCAGGTCACCACAGAGAAAATGGGACTTGGGTGTGAGGATGTTCTGTTTCTCCAATTCTGCCTCGAAGGGCCAAGTTACTTTGGGCGAGAGATTCGGGAACTCCAGGAGAGCTATGCCAACTTCTCCATGGCCCTTCAAAGGCATGAGGGATATTCTTGCAGTCACCAGTGCAGAGAAGCCATGCTCAGAGCCTGAGCCGTGTTGGCCTCGTTTTCTAATCACGGTGAAATGTGGATTGCCCTTGGAATGCCACCACCCACATTCCGGCTGCTGTGAGGTCAGCGGCCCCTGAGCAGGAAAAATGGACAACTTGCCGTCCCCTGTGGCTCAGCGGTGATAGCCTACTCTCTCCTAGCAGAGAGAGAGCCGGACAGACTCCATTTTAGTTTCTTCACCTGCAGTCCCCTTTCATCTCCCTCCCTTAAGGCATAACTAGTGTAAACTGACTCAAAGCACGTCCAGAAATGCACCTACTGATAAGATACAGAGGCAAGCTGCACCAGCAGCTCCTCGGGACGCGCTCGGTGGATGGCACCCGAAGCCCCTGCATTTATCTCTTTGTGATAGTTTAAGCCCCTGCACCTGGAACTGTTTATTTTTTGTAACCAATTAATTTTTTTTTTTTGAGATGGAGTCTCGCTCTGTCGCCCAGGCTGGAGTGCAGTGGCGCGATCTTGGCTCACTGCAAGCTCTGCCTCCCGGGTTCAAGCCATTCTCCTGCCTCAGCCTCCCGAGTAGCTGGGACTACAGGCGCCCGCCACCACGCCCGGCTAATTTTTTGTATTTTTAGTAGAGACGGGGTTTCATCACGTTAGCCAGGATGGTCTCAATCTCCTGACCTCATGATCCACCCGCCTCGGCCTCCCAAAGTGCTGGGATTACAGGCTTAAGCCACCGCGCCCGGCCATGTAACCAATTAAATTTTTAACTTTTTGCCAGTTCTGCTTCTGTAAAAATTGCTTCAGCTAAAATCCTGCCTCCGCTGTTTAGACCACGGTATAAAAACAAAACTAGTCCCTTCCTCAGGGCTGAGAGAATTTTGAGCATTAGCTGCCTCTTGGTCGCTGGCTAATAAAAGACTCTTTAATTTGTCTCAAAGTGTGGCGTTTCTCTGTAACTCGCTTGGTCACAACACGACGATGGGAGGCGTGTTGGATTCTGAGTCCTGGGAGTTTGTTGTGGGTTGGCTTTATTTTGTGTATTCTTATCTGTGGATGTTTTCGGTTGGCTTGAGTGGAACCCCGTCATCCTTGCACAGTTGGATGGGCAAGCGCCTCGGGAAGGTCTCCCTTTCATTTTCTGGGTAAAGAACTCACTTTGTCGGCATCTGGATGCCACGTGGCCTGAGTCTCCTGTGACCTCTGTGCCGGTGCTTTGGCTGTGGGGGGTTGGGAGAGGCTGGAGGGTGGGTGGCACTGAACCAGCCTGGCCTGGGCACTCTGGGAGTGTGCACTTCACAGTGAGGGGTCACAGGCACAGAAGGAGCGAAGGGATGGGACTCCCAAAGAGGCTTCAATCCCCATGACTACCAAGACTCTTTTTTTTTCTGTGACGGAGTCTCGCTCTGTTGCCCAGGCTGGAGTGCAGTAGCGTAATCTCGGCTCACTGCAACCTCCCTTCCT
Source organism: Homo sapiens (assembly GCF_000001405.40). Taxonomy (NCBI): domain Eukaryota; kingdom Metazoa; phylum Chordata; class Mammalia; order Primates; family Hominidae; genus Homo; species Homo sapiens. The sequence goes on along the minus strand of NC_000016.10, from coordinate 87,783,682 downwards.
GGGTTCAAGTGATTCTCCGGCCTCAGCCTCCCGAGTAGCTGGGATTACAGGCACGCACCACCATGCCCAGCAAATTTTTGTATTTCTGGGAGAGACAGGGTTTCACCATGTTGTCCAGGCTGGTCTCAAACTCCTGACCTCAAGTAATCCGCCTGCCTTGACTTCCCAAAGTGCTGGGATTACAGGGGTGAGCCACTGCGCCCGGCCTTTGACTACCAAGGCTCTAGATGGTTCCCATCCAGAGAACTTGGCATCTGCACATATCAGCAACGGGCGATACTGCAGCAAGACCTGCGGTTTATCCTAAGTAGTAAACGGCTGATATTTAGAATCTCGTGAGCAAATCAACTGCAGAGACAAGGGACCCATGGGGGTAAAGGGAGGGGAAGGCCAGAGTCAGGTCCATGGGGAGAGCACCAAAGGCAGCTCCCACTTCTTCAGCTTGTGAAAGGAAAATAAATCTTGGAAATCTTGTGGCCCTCAAATCACTAAGCTAAAGGGAAAAGTCAATCTGGGAGCTGCTTAAGGCAAAACTGCCTCCCATTCTATTCAGTCACACCTCTGCTCACTGAGATACATACATATCTGATGGCGTCCTTTGGAAAGGCTAATCAGAAATTTCAAAAGAATGCAACGGTTTGTCTCTCCCCGACCTGCCACCTGGAAGCCCCCCTCCCTGCTTGAGTTGTCCTGCCTCTTTGTACGGAACCAATGTACATCTTACATATATTGATTGATGTCTCCATGTCTCCCTAAAACGTGTAAAACCAAACCGTGCCCCAGCCACCTTGGGTACATGTCCTCAGGACCCCCTGAGGCTGTGTTACCGGTGGACGGTGTCCAGGTTCTTGGCATCTTGGTGTTGTCCAACAAATAATTGCACAAAATGCACAAACAAAGCAAAAAGAGTGAGGCAGCAAAAGCAGAGAGTTATTGAAAACGAAAGTACAAGGCCGGGCGCGGTGGCTCACACCTGTGATCCCAGGATTTTGGGAGGCCGAGGTGGGCGGATCACAAGGTCAGGAGATCAAGACCATCCTGGCCAACACGGTAAAACCTCGTCTCTACTAAAAAATACAAAAAATTAGCCAGGCGTTGTGGCGGGCACCTATAGTCCCAGCTACTCGGGAGGCTGAGGCAGGAGAATGGCGTGAACCTGGGAGGCGGAGCTTGCAGTGAGCTGAGATCACGCCATTGCACTCCAGCCTGGGCGACAGAGCGAGACTCCACCTCAAAAAAAAAAAAAAAAAAGAAAACGAGAAAGTACATTCCACAAGGTAGGAGTGGGCCCCAGCATAGGGGCTCAAGAAACTGGTTACAGAATTTTCTGGGATTTAAATACCCTCTAGAGGTTTCCATTGGTTGCTTGGTGTATGCCCTTTGTGAATGAAGAGGCTAAAGTGAAGTTACAAAGTCATTTACTTGGTGTACGCCCTGTGTAAATGAAGAGGATGAAGTAAAGTTACAAAGTCACTTACTCATTTGTCAATGAAATCATTTACGCTTCATTTACACAGATGCCCTATGTAAGTAAAGAGGATATTTCCTGTCATAGCTGAAGTGTTTCTATTTTATTTATTTATTTATTTTTGAGATGGAGTCTCTCCCTGTCATCCAGGCTGGTGTGCAGTGGCACGTTCTCAGCTCACTGCAACCTCCGCCTCCCAGGTTCAAGTGATTCTCCTGCCTCAGCCTCCTGAGTTGCTGGCATTACAGGCACCCACCACTACACCCAGCTAATTTTTGTATTTTTAGTAGTGACGGGGTTTCACCATGTTGTCCAGGCTGGTCTTGAACTCCTGACCTCAGGTGATCTGCCCGCCTGGCCTCCCAGAGTTCTGGGATTACAGGCGTGAGCCACTGTACCAAGCCCTTACATTTGATTTAGTCCTAGGCAGTCTCTCGGTTCCCTTCTTCCAGGATCTATTCTCCTGACTCAGCTGTGTCACAGTGCCTGTCTTTGACCTGGCAAAATAAGCTTTCTTCATTGATTGAGACCTGTCTCAGATTTTTGGGGTTCACAGGCTCCCAGGGCATTTAGGGTGCCACTGAGCACCACGACTCGGTGCGTTTCCTCCCAGCAGCAGGAGGCCACACACCTGGAGCTACACAGGGTGAGATGGGTTAGGGTCTAAAATCTCTGCATTGAAGAGTGAACCACATCTAAATGCAATGTTGTCTCCTGCGTAGGATCCTGGATGGGAACAGGAAAAGGATGTAAGTAGGAAAAGACCCAGGGAAATCCAAAGCAAGTCTGGGGTTTAGTTAATGGCAATATACCAATGTTGGTTGCTTAGTTTTGACCAATGTACCATTGTATGGAAGATGATCACTGGAGAACTTCAGGAACTATCTTAGCTGTCCTGCAAAGCTACGATTATCCCAAAAGAAAAAAATTATCAAAACAAGTAAATGAGGCTGGGCGCGGTGGCTCACACCTGTAATCTCAGCAGTTTGGGGGGCTGAGGCGGGTGGATCACTTGAGGTCAGGAGTTCAAGACTAGCCTGACCAACATGGTGAAACCCCGTCTCTACTAAAAATATAAAAATTAGCCAGGCATGGTAGTTCAGGCCTGTAATCCCAGCTACTCAGGAGGATGAGGCAGGAGAATCGCTTGAATCTGAGAGACAGAAGTTGCAGTGAGCCAAGATCGTGCCACTGCACTCCAGCCTGGGCGACAGAGTGAGACTCCATCTCAAAAAAAAAAAAAAAAAAAAAGGAAGTGAATAAAAAGCCACAGGAAATAGCTCCCGAAGGCTGAGCCTGTGGGGAGAGGGTGAAGGACTTGTGGGCAGAGGGAGGAAGGCGTGGGTGGAGGGAGGAAGGCAGACACAGGAAAGCTAGACTGGGTGCTCCACTGAGGGACATGTGTGGTTCTCTTTGCAGGAAGCAGAGCTCAGCTCTTGCCCTCTCACATCCTTTGAAGATGACCACCTTGAAGATTAGGATGAAAAGCAAACCCTCGGCTCCTGGCCTGAGCTCTTGGCAATCATGTCTCTCACCAGGCAGGAAGCAAAAGAAGATTGTTTCTGCACTCATTTGTTTTCAGAACAGTGGAGCAAACAGTCATTTACTGGTCTCCATAGACACTGAAGAGACACCAGGTGGCGGTGACTCTGCGGGTTGCAAATGTCCCCAGCGTCAGATTCATATTATTTCCCCTGACCCCCTCTGTCCTCTGTGGATGAGGAGAGCTGGGCAGAACACCTTGGTGGGGTCTCAGGGCTCCAGCGGTGACCACTGCTGGGTCGGACCAGCAAATGGAAAGGAGCCCACGTGTGCTCTCTGTGGCCCGGGCGGTAAAGAGGAGGTGGATCCCGGGGCTGTGGGTGAGAGCAGTGGGAATACCAGGTACTATTTCTTCCCTCCATTAATCCTCCCAAAAGATTGCTATGTCTGCACCAAAGTCCCTGCTTAAAACTTTGGAACAAGAATGTAGCTTCAACGGCCAGGCGTGGTGGTTCATGCCTGTAATCCCAATGCTTTGGGAGGCCAAGGCAGGCGGATCACCTGAGGTCTGGAGTTTGAGACCAGCCTGGCCAACATGGAGAAACCCTGTCTCAGGCCGGGCACGGTGGCTCACGCCTGTAATCCCAACACTTTGGGAGGCCGAGGCGGGTGGATCACCTGAGGTCGGGAGTTTGAGGCTAGCCTGACCAACGTGGAGAAACCCCATCTCTACTAAAAATACAAAAAAATCAGCCAGATATGGTGGTGCATGCCTGTAGTCCCAGCTACTCGGGAGGCTGAGGCAGGAGAATCACTCGAACCCAGGAGGCAGAGGTTGTGGTGAGCCAAGATCATGCCATTGCACTCCAGCCTGGGCAACAAGAGTGAAACTGCGTCTCCAAAAAAAAAAAAAAAAAGAAAAAAGAAACCCTGTCTGTACTAAAAATACAAAATTAGCAGGGTGTGGTGGCGCATGCCTGTAATCCCAGCTACTTGGGAGGCTGAGGCAGGAGAATTGCTTGAACTTGGGAAGCAGAGGTTGCGGTGAGCCGAGGTCGTGGCATTGCATTCCAGCCTGGGCAACAAGAGTGAGACTCCCTCTCAAAAAAAAAAAAAAAAAAAGGAATGTAGCTTCTTGTACATTATTGACCTGGGGGTAGGGGTGAATTTGGGATTTCGGGACATTGCTTCAGAGGGCATCCTGACTCCCTCTCGGCCAGGTGAGACCTGGTGGCAGGGCCCCAGCGGCTGCCTGGGGACCAACCACCCGGCTGAGTGCCGGAGCAGCCAGCTCTGACGTCCGCGACCAGAAAGGACGCCAGATGCTTCTGTTGACGTTGACAAAGGGCTTTGCCAGGAGGCTCAGGCCCGCCTGCGGGCTGGTCCCCATCCTTCCTCTTAGACCCCGCGAGGGTGATGCAACCTTCGCATACTGCGGTTGCGAGGCTCCAAGGCCGCCTTCTGCGCGGGAGGAGTGACCCCTGGCGGCCGACGCAGACATTGCGGGCTTGGTGCTTGGACTCAACTTCTGAGCTGTGTTGCATCAGCCAACGGGCCCTAAGGAAGCTGAATAATGCCTCAGGCTTCCTGCCACCCTGCAGGCCGGGAAGTTGGCAGGTGTGGCGGGTGGGGTGAGGGGTCCGAGTCCCATGGCCTAGGACGTTCATTTCTCCGAGGCTCGGTCTCTCCTCTGGTGGGACCATGTCTCGAAGAGCCCCTGGCTTGGCTTCTGGAGCTGGCGGCCAGGTAGGAGCCCCCAGGAAAGCTCCATCGGCTGCTGCTGAGCCGAGCTCTCCTGAACCCGGCCTGCGCTGCCCCCAGCGCACCTGGACCACAGACCCAAGTGATGTGATATGAAGAGGGAATGAAACGCTGACAGGGAGCGCTGGCTCACGTCTGTGATCCCACCACTTTGGGGGGCCGAGGTGGGTGGGTCGCTTGAGCCCAGGAGTTTGTCACCAGCCTGAGCAGCATAATGAGACCCCATCTCTGTACAAAATATTACAAAATTAGCCGGGCGTAGTGGTACACGCCTGTGGTCCCAGGTACTTGGGACGCTGAGGCGGGAGGATTGCTTGAGCCCAGGAGACAGAGGCTGCACTGAGCCGAGATGGCACCACAGCACTCCAGCCGGGGAGACAGAGCGAGACCCTGTTCCGAAAGAGAGAGAGAGCGAGAGGGAGAGCGAGAGGGAGAGAGAAAGAGAGAGACAGAGGAAGAAGAAAGAAAGAAAGAGAGAGAGAGAGAGAGAGAAAGAAAGAAAGAAAGAAAGAAAGAAAGAAAGAAAGAAAGAAAGAAAGAAAGAGAAAGAAAGAAAGAAAGAAAGAAAGAAAGAGAAAGAAAGAAAGAGAGAGAACAGATTGCCACTTGCTACTTTTAACATACTATTACCAAGGAATGTATTGGCAGACCCGGACCATTTCTGACCCTTGACTCCTCCTGTCCAGGGCTGGGAGTGGAGAGTCAGAAATGGGGACCTGGTCAGGGCAAGGGGGCAGATGCTCGGCTCACGTCGTACCTGGTAATTTAGAAATGCAGCAAGTCTAGTCATGTAGATCTCTGGCTTTCTCTCTCGTTGCTTATTCTTTTATTATTATTAAATGAATGTTAATGTGGAAACGCCGTGTGCACGTGGGCAGAGCCAACCGTTCATGAGCAGTGTGCTTGTCGCCCCCTGCCGGCCGGCTGCTGCCCTGACCTGAATTATCCGCATCTCCGTCATGGTCCCCCAGAGCCACCAGGAAGATCAAGGAGCCAGGGCCACCCTCACGTTGCCTAGGCAACAGCATCCGTGATCAGACTGTAAGGCAACTGGGACCCATGCGTGCTCCCCGGGGGAGGCTGCAGGTTCACGTCGGTGTCCGGGTGAGTATGTCCCCTAACCATACTTCCTGGAAGGCGGGAGTTGGCTTCTAGGCACCCACCCGCTGTATCCCAACCTCTGCGCAGCACTGGCATCACGGGAGGTGCTGTTTTTGGATAAATCATGACTGACATGAAAAGATGCGCCACCTCCTGGCCGGCGTGTGGTGCTGTCCATGCTCTGGATTTTGGCCACAGCAACACCCGTCCAATGGCTTCTCATGGCTGTTAGAGTTTACATATCCCTGATAGCAGACGTTTGCGGATAAATGTCCATGACTTTTTTTTTTTTTTTTTTTTTGAGACGGAGTCCGCTCTGTCGCCCAGGCTGGAGTGCAGTGGCGCGATCTCGGCTCACTGCAAGCTCCGCCTCCCAGGTTCACGCCATTCTCCTGCCTCAGCCTCCGGAGTAGCTGGGACTACAGGCGCCTGCCACCACGCCCAGCTAATGTTTTTGTATTTTGTGGTAGAGACGTGGTTTCACCGTGTTAGCCAGGATGGTCTCGAGCTCCTGACCTCGTGATCCGCCCGCCTCCGCCTCCCAAAGTGCTGGGATTACAGGCATGAGCCACTGCACCCAGCCAAGAAATGTCCATGACTTATAAAGTCGTTAGTCAACAATTTCCCCATATCCAGGGAACACTTGAGGGACTGGGGTGCCAGGCACGTTTTGGGGGGCCCCACACAGAGTGTCTGGCAGCAGAGAGGGGAGCAGGAGGCCTCCACAACCTCTCAGTAATTCCACCTGCACCTTGCTTTTGCCTTGGGTCAGTTTCCAGCAGCTCCCTGGAAAAACCAAGTTTGTGTTTTTACTTTCAGTGTTGACCATGTTTCCAGGTCCCCAGCTACAGCAGTCCCCTCTGCTCCACCCCAGGCTACAGCAAAAAAAGAAAAAGAAAGAAACATAGGCAGATATGAGATATGAATCAGAGTGAGAGCCAACAGCAAATTCTTTTTTTTTTTTTTTTTTTTTTTTGAGACAGGGTTTTGCTCTTGTTGCCCAGGCTAGACTGCAATGAAGTGATCTTGGCTCACTGCAACCTCTGCCTCCCGGGTTTAAACAATTCTCCTGCCTCAGCCTCCCAAGTAGCTAGGATTACAGGCACCTGCCACCATGCCCGGCTAAGTTTTGTATTTTTAGTAGAGACGGGGTTTCACCATGTTGACCAGGCTGATCTCGAACTCCTGACCTCTGGTGATCCGCCCACCTTGGCCTCCCAAAGTGCTGAGATTACAGGTGTGAGCCATTGTGACTCGCTCTGACAGCAAATTCTTTTTTTTTTGAGACGGAGTCTGGCTCTGTCACCCAGGCTAGAGTGCAGTGGCGCAATCTTGGCTCACTGCAACCTCCGCCTCCTGGGTTCACGCCATTCTCCTGCCTCAGCCTCCCAAGTAGCTGGGACTACAGGCGCCCGCCACCACGCCCGGCTAATTTTTTGTACTTTTGGTAGAGATGGGGTTTCACCGTCTTAGCCAGGATGGTCTCGATCTCCTGACCTTGTGATCCACCCACCTCGGCCTCCCAAAGTGCTGGGATTACAGGCGTGTGCCACCGTGCCCGGCCTCTCCCCCCGCTTAAGAAGGTACTTTGTAATATTCTCCCCCTAACCTTGTGAATGTACTTTGTAATATTCTCCGAGCCCTTGAGAATGTACTTTGTACGCCTATCCCAAAAGGGTAAGAATTAATGATAATCCCACCACCCTTTGCTGACTCCTTTTTTGGACTCAGCCCGCCTGCACCCAGGTGAAATCAACAGCCTTGTTGCTCACACAAAGCCTGTTTGGTGGACTCTCTTCACACGGACGTTTGTGACACAGTGGTGTGATCTTGGCTCACTGCAACCTCCGCCTCCCACGTTCAAGCAATTATCCTGTCTCAGCCTCCTGAGTAGCTGGGATTACAGGCACACACCGCCATGCCTGGTTAATTTTTTGTATTTTAGTAGAGACGGGGTTTCACTGTGTTGCCCAGGCTGGTCTTGAACGCCTGAGCTCAGGCAATCCGCCCACCTTGGCCTCCTAAAGTGCTAGGATTACAGGCGTGAGCCACCGTGCCCAGCCTAATTGTTAGTATTTTTTAGTAAAGACGGGGTTTCGCCATGTTGGCCAGGCTGGATTTGAACTCCTGACTTCAGGTGATCTGCCTGCCTTGGCTTCCCAAAGTGTTGGGATTCCAGGTGTGAGCCACTGCGCCCAGCCTTCATTCACTGTTTATCAATCATTTATTTTATTTTATTTTATTTTTTAAGACGAAGTCTTGCTCTGTTGCCCAGGCTGGAGTGCAGTGTCGCAATCTTGGCTCACTGTAACCTCCATCTCCCGGATTCAAGCAATTCTCCTGCCTCAACCTCCCGAGTAGCTGGGATTACAGGCATGTGCCACTACACCTGGCTAATGTTTTTGTATTTTTAGTACAGATGGGGTTTCACCATATTGGGCAGGCTGGTCTTGAACTCCTGACCTTGTGATCTGCCCACCTCGGCCTCCCAAAGTGCTGGGATTACAGGCGTGAGCCACCGCGCCCAGCCCACTTATTAACATATAACAAACAGTCCAACATTTTTGTCCTGGGACATAAAGGTGAATAAGACAAGGCCAGAGGGAGATTAAAATCTCCTGGAAGAGAGCCACGGCACATGAATTATCATAAAACACTAAGTTTCTAGACTATTCTCACTACCATAAAAGGAAGGGCTGTTAGTAGGAACATCCTGACTTACTTGGAAATCAGATAATAGGATTGTTATTTCTGGCATGTCTTTAAAATAGTGGACAGCGGTGAACCAATGCTCCAGCCGAGCGTCCTAGTATAAACCTGGGCATGCTTCTTACAACATAGCAACCCTCAGGTTCTAGCGTAGATGTCTCTGCTGCATTTCACCTGCTCTGTGGTAATGTATCATTTACTAGTGTTGCCAAGAATAGGAGGAGGTGGTTAGCTCTGCGCTCAGAATGAAGGTTTCAGGACCACATTTCCGTGAAATGTAAACATCTGGCCTTCTCCAGATGGTTCATGATGACAGTCTGTGTAGGAACAATGAGAAAAAAAAGACCTTTTTTAGAATTAGGGGGTTTCAGTGCGAACTAGTTCCATGGCTAGACAGCCAGAATTTCAGGGGTTACCACTGTGAACCCTAAGCATACATTTTTTTTCTTCTTTTTTTTTTGAGACGGAGTCTCGTTCTGTCGCCCAGGCTGGAGTGCAGTGGCGTGATCTCGGCTCACTGCAAGCTCTGCCTCCTGGGTTCATGCGATTCTCCTGCCTCAGCCTCCCGAGTAGCTGGGATTACAGGCGCACACCACCACGCCCGGCTAATTTTTTGTGTATTTTTAGCAGAGAGGGGGTTTCACTATGTTAGCCAGACTGGTCTCGAACTCCTGACCTCGTGATCCGCCCGCCTCAGCCTCCCAAAGTGCTGAGATTACAGGCGTGAGCCACCGGCCTGGCTAAGCATACACTGTTGACTATGGGATTATCAGGCTGGAAAACAGCTCGTTCCTGGGTTAAGAAGCCAGATGCTCAAAACATTGACAGTATAGGATTTTAAAAATCTACTTACTTTGAGAATCATCAGCGTCTTGAAGTATTTGGCCAAGGAGTTTTACTCTCAAAAACACATTTAGCAACAGGTTTGCCTGCTTTGATTGCTGTATTTCCTCTGGTCTGGCATCTCTGATGACTGCATGCAGGAAAGCAAGGTTTTGGTTATGTCTGGGTAGGGTCGGGGAACACGCCCACTGGGAGACAGACGCAAACCTGCAGTCTCACATGGGGAGCACACAAGGTCCATGGCTTCCTCAGAGCCAATCCCTGGCTCGCAGTTGTTGACATGATGTGAAAAGCTGTTTCTAGCCGGGCGCGGTGGCTCACACCTGTAATCCCAGCACTTCGGGAGGCCGAGGCGGGTGGATTATGAGGTCGGGAGTTCGAGACCAGTCTGGCCAACATAGTGAAACCCCGTCTCTACAAAAAATACAAAAAAATTAGCCGGGTGTGGTGGTGTGCGCCTGTAATCCCAGCTACTCGGGAGGCTGAGGTGGGAGAATTGCCTGAACCTGGGAGATGGAAGTTGCAGTGAGCCGAGACTGTGCCACTGCACTCCAGCCTGGGCGACAGTGCGAGACTCCGTCTCAAAAATAAATAAATAAAAAAAAATAAATAAATAATGCTGTTTTCTAGTTTGCAGTTAGCATTTCCAGCATAGCTTCTATCTTCTGTTCCATTTTCTGTGCTATTTTCTAAGTTTTGGTAGTTTCTTCTTCCCTATCTTTGCATCAGGTATCTTACAGAATGTTCTTAATCTTCACGTGCTTCTTCTGAGATCAGTGATAAAGAAGACACGGATACAGCAAGAAGGAAGGAGGCCCTGTGCACGACACTAAGATGAGTGACGCCACAGCACGGACCTTTGCTCAAGATCCGTCAGCAGGAAATACCCCCCAAGTGCCGAGAGTGCTGGCATGCAGCAGAGAAGGCTGTAAGTGACTGTGAGGTTTCCTTCATTATACTCATCTGCATTTTCCAAATTTTGAAAATGAGTATATATTAATTACACACTAAAAAACATCATTTACATCTGTAATCCCAGCACTTTGGGAGGCCAAGGTGGGCGGGCGGATCACTTGAGGTCAGGAGTTCGAGACCAGCCTGGCCAACATGGTAAAACCTTGTCTTTACTGAAAATACAAAAAAATAGCCAGGCGTGGTGGTGGGCGCCTGTAGTCCCAGCTACTCAGGAGGCTGAGGCATGAGAATTGCTTGAACCAGGGAGGTGGAGGTTGCAGTGAGCCGAGATCACACCACTGCACTCCAGCCTGGTGATAGGGTGAGACTTCATCTCAAAACAACAATAACAACAACAATAACAGACTTCATTTACCTGGGTGTGATGCTTCACGCCTGTAATCCCAGTGCTTTGGGAGGCCGAGGCAGACAGATCACTTGAGGTCAGGAATTCAAGACCAGTCTGGCCAACATGGTGAAACCCTGTCTCTACTAAAAAAACAAAAATTAGTTGAGCGTGGTGGTGCAGATCTGTAATCCCAGCTACTTGGAAGGCTGAGGCAGGAGGATTGCTTGAACCCAGGAGGCAGAGGTTGCAGTGAGCCAAGATCATGCTGCTGGCACTCCAGCCGGGGCTACAGAGCAAGACTCCGTCTCAGAAAAACCTCCCAAAAACCCACCATTTAAAAACGAAGCAATGCTGCCTTTTAAGGAATATGGTAGACACAAATAACATCAGAAAGGCATCCGAAAGCTAATAAGGAATTACCAAGTCAGACCTTAATGGAAAGTAGCAACAAAAACAGGCCACTGGGCTCTGAGACAGCTTTTAGTTTCACGCATGAGCCGATCTTGCCATACTTACCTTTGGTTTTGACAGCCTCCAAGGGCAAGAAAAACATAATCAAATCCAAGGGTGTCCAAGGTGGGATCTAAGAGAGAACTCCCCAGATTAAGCCAAGATTTCAAGAGTTCTGCCCCAAAAGGGTAAGATTGAAGCAGGCCTCACCCTACCCCCATGACCTAAGGAACCACAGAAATCAGCTCAATGCTATGGGAGACGATCTCACAGCCTGGCCAATTTTTATATTTTTAGTAGTGATGGGGTTTTGCCATGTTGGCCAGGCTGGTCTTGAACTCCTGACCTCAGGTGATCTACTCACTTCAGACTTCCAAAGTGCTGGGATTACAGGTGGGAGCCACTGTCCCTGGCTGTAGGATTCCATTTTGTAAAACCCTAGAAAAATGGAAACTAATCAAGAGTTTCTTTTTATTTTATTTATTTATTTATTTATTTATTTATTTATTTGAGCCTGAGTCTCGCTCTGTCACCCAGGTGATCTCGGTGCGATCTCAGCTCACTGCAACTTCCATCTCGCGGGTTCAAGTGATTCTCCTGCCTCAGCCTCCCGAGTAGCTGGGATTACAGGTGTGTGCCACCACGCCCAGCTAATTTTTGTGTTTGTAGTAGAGACGGGTTTCACCATATTGGCAAGGCTTGTCTTGAACTCCTGACCTCAAATGATCTGCCCACCTTGGCCTCCCAAGGTGCTAGGATTACAGGTGTGAGCCATCATGCCCAGCCACATTTCTTTTTTTTTTTTTTTTTTTTTTTTTTGAGACGGAGTCTCACTCTGTTGCCCAGGTTGGAGTGCAGTGGCACAGTCTTGGCTCACTACAACCTCTGCCTCCCAGGTTCAAGCAGTTCTCCTGCCTCAGCCTCCCGAGTAGCTGGGATTACAGGCATATGTCACCACGTCCAGCTAACTTTTGTATTTTTAGTAGAGATGGGGTTTCACCATGTTGGCCAGGCTGGTCTTGAACTCCTGATCTCAAATGATCCACCCACCTTGACCTCCCAAAGTGTTGGAATTACAGGCATGAGCCACCGCGCCTGGCCACATTTCTCTTTTTAATAAAACCCCCAACCTTCTCTTTGTTCTTTGGACATATTGAAGTTCACCCCAGCCTGTGGATATGCCTCAAAATATAATTCTATGATTCCCATACAAGGTGTTTTGTTTAGAGATCCATCTCTATATTTTTATTTGACCTTGATAGTATTTTTTTTTTTTTTGAGATGGAATCTCACTCTGTCGCCCAGGCTGGGGTGCAGTGGCGCGATCTCAGCTCACTGCAAGCTCTGCCTCCCGGGTTCACGCCATTCTCCTGCCTCAGCCTCTCCAGCAGCTGGGACTACAGGCACATGCCGCCACGCCTGGCTAATTTTTCTATTTTTAGTAGAGACGGGGTTTCACTGTGTTAGCGAGGATGGTCTCGATCTCCCGATCTTGTGATCTGCCTGCCTCGGCCTCCCAAAGTGCTGAGATTACAGGCGTGAGCCACTGTGCCTGGCCAGACCTTGATAGTATTAATACATATTAAATTCTACACTTTAATTTATTGTTTTAATTAGAAGAACATCACTTATTGCTTTATGCTATGACACTGGAAAATCGGCCGGGCGCGGTGGCTCATATCTGTAATCCCAGCACTTTGGGAGGCTGAGGCGGGCGGATCACGAGGTCAGGAGATCGAGACCATCCTGGCTAACATGGTGAAACCCCGTCTCTACTAAAAATACAAAAAAAAATTAGCCGGGCATGGTGGCGGGCGCCTGTTTTCCCAACTACTTGGAAGGCTGAGGCAGGAGAATGGCGTGAACCCGGAAGGCGGAGCTTGCAGTGAGCCGAGATAGCGCCACTGCCCTCCAGCCTGGGAGACAGAGTGAGACTCCGTCTCAAAAAAAAAAAAAAAAAAAAAGAAAAAAAATTGGACAATCTTGATGAAGAAGACGGGACACATGTTTCCAGGTTTCCAATTTGGAACTTCAAGGCTGACAAATTCCATACTCATTTCTCATCATCCCTTGAGGCCCCTCCTGAGTGGGTGGCCCTTCTCATAGGGCAGGGGACAACTGTAGATCCCTCTTGCTCCTCAGCAGCCACCTGCCTCACCCCAGCCACCTGTGCACACTTGAAATATATACAGTTTATTGTATATAAGCAACACATAGATAAATCCCTGATTATAGTTGGAAATCTTATTATTCCTCTCTCTGGAATGGATTCAAAGAAGTGGGAAAAATTCAGTAAGGCCAGCATGGTGGCTCACGCCTGTAATCCCAGCACTTTAAGATGCCCAGTCGGGTGGATCACGTGAGGTCAGGAGTTTGAGACCAGCTTGGCCTACATGGTGAAACCTTGTCTCTATAAAACATACAAAAATTAGCTGGGTGTGGTGGCAGATGCCTGTAATCCCAGCTACCTGGGAGGCTGAGGTAAGAACTTGGGAGCCGGAGGTTGCAGTGAGCTGAGATAGTGCCACTGCACTCCAGCCTGGGTGACAGAGTGAGACTCTGTCTCAAAAAAAAAAAAAAAAAGCCTTTGTGTTTTGCTTTTTTACTTCCCTAAGCTTTATTTTATTTATTTTTAATTTTTATTTTTTGAGACGGAGTCTCACTCTGTCGCCCAGGCTGGAGTGCAATGGTGCGATCTTGGCTCACTGCAAGCTCCGCCTCCCGGGTTCACGCCATTCTCCTGCCTCAGCTTCCCGAGTACTGGGACTACAGGCGCCCGCCACCGCGCCCGGCTAATTTTTTGTATTTTTAGTAGAGACGGGGTTTCACCGTGTTAGCCAGGATGGTCTTGATCTCCTGACCTCGTGATCCACCCGCCTCAGCCTCCCAAAGTGCTGGGATTACAGGCGTGAGCCACCGCGCCTGGCCTCTTTCCTAAGCTTTATTATTGTTTCACTTGATTTTCCCAAGAATCCTGTGTAATAGGTGAACTAGTTCATTATTCCCACTTTCCTGCTGGGAAACGTGCAAAGAGCCACGTAATCCATACCACACTTGGCAGAACCTTCCAATCACATTGATTACTTGTGGTGAGGATAATTAGAAGTTAGCATATTTTCCTAAAATTTAATCTATTATTAATAGATTTTTTTTCTCTTCTGCACTTCAACTTGAAGGCAGCAGAGGGCGCCTGATCACACAAAAGATACACTCTAAAAGTCAGCGACAGATTAAAGATAATCCATGAAAGTTTCAACAATGTGAATTTTACTAAAATAGAGCCTTGTACTTAATCTTTTGACTATTTTAGGATCTGATCTCATTTTAGATGTTCTATTCCGTCTTTCTCAGTATGAGAATTTCAGTCTCACGTAAATCACCATGACACCTATAATCCAAGAGCCTTCTAATTTAGCTTCAAGCTTCTTTCAGATAATAAAAGTATTAAACCCCGCATCCACCAGATCCTCCTAAATCTTCAATAGGTCATACGCTCTCCCTGTCTCCGGCCTGAAGTGGGCACCACTGTAATGTACTGCAGCCAGATGTGCTGTGAATGAAGAGCCTTTTGGCTTCAAGTGCATTGCCTCAGGTTTACCCAGGATTTTTAGAAAAATATTAAAGGATTACGTATGTTCTTAAAGTCATAGTACACTAGAGGGGACAGAACTATTTCCCGAGGGCAATAGTGAGGATTTAGCCTTTTGTAGTTCGTCATGGAAGATAAACATGCCTGGATGCCCAGGCTGGGTTTCTGTGAAATTCTCCAGCTCCTTTCTGCTCAGCTCCTAACCGGTTTTTTTTTTCTACCACCACATAGGTTTCCTACAAGCAGTGCTGGAGACCATGGTGGTCTTCAACCAGTGCTATCTTTTCTTCTCATTATTTCCCCAAATTTCATTTTTCTTCTTAAAGAGCTAGGTTTATGGATAAGGCTTGGAGTGGGTTGGAAAATCATTCCTCCTCAGCTGCTCAGTGACTAGTCATTGATTGGATCTAAGGTAACTTTTTTTGTTTTTGAGACAGAGTTTCGCTTTTGCTGCCCAGGCTGGAGTGCAATGGCGTGATCTGGGCTCACCGCAACCTTTCCTCCCGGTTCAAGCAATTCTCCTACCTCAGCCTCCTGAGTAGCTGGGATTAAAGGTGCACACCACCACACCTGGCTAATTTTTTTGTAT
This sequence comes from Homo sapiens, assembly GCF_000001405.40. Lineage (NCBI taxonomy): Eukaryota > Metazoa > Chordata > Mammalia > Primates > Hominidae > Homo > Homo sapiens. Next base: position 87,768,387 of record NC_000016.10, on the reverse strand, counting down.
TTTTGTAGAGACGGGGTTTCACCATGTTGGCCAGGCTGGTTTTGAACTCCTGACCTCGTGATCTGCCCACCTTGGCCTCCCAAAGTGCTGGGATTACAGATGTGAGCCACTACGCCTGGCCGAGTTAACTTCTTCTTTTTTTTTTTTTTTTTGAGACGGAGTCTAGCTCTGTTGCCCAGGCTGGAGTGCAGTGGTTCAGTCTCGGCTCACTGCAACCTCTGTCTCCCAGGCTCAAGCCATTCTCCTGACTCAGCCTCCCGAGTAGCTGGGATTACAGGTGCGCACCACCATGCCTGTCTAATTTTGTATTTTTAGTGGAGATGGGGTTTCACCATGTTGATCAGGCTGGTCTCAAACTCCTGACCTCAGGTGATCTGCCTGCCTCTGCCTCTCAAAGTGCTAGGATTACAGGCGTGAGCCATCACACCTGGCTGGATCTAAGATAACATCTTTTTTTTTTTTTTTTTTTGAGATGGAGTCTTGCTTTGTCGCCCAGGCTGGAGTGCAGTGGTGCAATCTCCGCTCACTGCAACCTCTGCCGCCTAGGTTCAAATGATTCTTTTGCCTCAGCCTCCTGAATAGTTGGGACTACAGGTGGGTGCCACCACACCTGGCTAATTTTTTTTTTTTTTTTTGTATTTTTAGTGGAGACAGGGTTTCACCATATTGGCCAGGCTGGTCTTGAACTCCTGACCTCGTGATCAGCCCGCTTCAGCCTCCCAAAGTGCTGGGATTACAGGAATGAACCACCACGCCTGGCCTAAGAGAACTTTTAAAGGCTGACTCACACACAAAGTAATAAACTAGATTATTTCCTGATTTATGCTTTCCCTTTGCCAAATTTTGGCTTGTCCTTGTCCTTAATTTGCCTTATTCCTTGATTACCCATCCAAAGATGACATCTTCTAAGTAGTGATAAGCATTTTTACTCTGCTCTTTCAAATCATAACATTCCATGCACTGCAGATGATTTTGCCATTTCTTACGTAATTTGAGGCAAATCCTAGAGTACAATTTCCTAGCAGGCATTTGGATATTACCTATCTTTATTTCTCAGGCTCCACAAATTGAGTACCCTTTCAGGGTGCTATCATTAGCTCTAGCCTACCTATGAAGAAACAAAAGTCCTCCATGTTAGGACATTTGAGGACATGCCCTTAGTACCTAACAGTGTCTGGCACATTTTAAATGGGAAGGTGGAAGGGCCCCCCCATTTTTTTTTTTTTTTAAGATGGAATTTTGCTCTTTTGCCCAAGCTGGAGTGAAGTGGCTTGATCTCAGCTCATTGCAACCTCTGCCCCCTGGGTTCAAGCAATTCTCCTGCCTCAGCCTCCCAAGTAGCTGGGATTACAGGTGCCCACCACCACGCCTGGCTAATTTTTGTAGTTTTAGTAGAGACGGGGGTTTCACCATGTTGGCTAGGCTGGTCTCGAACTCCTGACCTCGTGATCCACTCACCTCGGCCTCCCAAAGTGCTGGGATTACAGGCGTGAGCCACCGCGCCCGGCAGGGACTGTCTTACTCAGGATCTGCAAAATCTTATAACTGTGTGAAATTTTTTTTCTGGGAAAAAAGCACTCATTTGTTTGGTCTGAGGGGAAAAAATGGGGCTAGCCCAAGAGTCGCCCACTTAGTTCTACCCAGGGCGAAGCAATGTGCCTTAACGGGGGGCACGTGCACCCCGGAAAACTCAAGAGAAAATGAGCCGGGCGTGGTGGGCTCCTGTGGTCCCAGCTACTCCAGAGGCGGAGGTTACAGCGAGCCGAGATCGCGCTACCGCACTCCAGCCTGGGCGACAGAGCAAGACCCTGCCTCAAAAAAATAGAAATAAAAAATAAAACTCAGAGGGCACGTCTCCTAGGACACGGGGACAGGCTAGGTGGGGGCACAGGGCGTGAGAATTGGCGAGCATGGCCGGGGTATGTCAGGCCGGGGCTGCCATCTTTTTTGTTTTTTGAAACAGGATCTCGCTCTGTCGCCCAGGTTGGGGTGCAGGGGCGCATTGCTGCCTGGAACTCCTTGACTCAAGCGATCTTCCCGCCTCACCTTCCCGAGGAGCTAGGACCACTGGGCGCGAGACACCACGCCCGGTTAATTTTTTTTTTTTTCTTCTGTAGCGACTGGGGGTGGGGGGTGGTGTCTCGCTTTGTTGCCCAGGCTGATCTCGAACTCCTGGACTCAAGCGATCCGCCCGCCAAGGCCTCCCAAAGCTCCAGGGTTACAGGCATGAGCCACCGCGCCCAGCCCGGGGCCGGTCATCTTTTCCGGGGCCTTATGCAGAGTCCGAGGCCCCCGAGCCCGCTGCCGAAGACGGAGCTCCAAGACCGAACCTCGTAAAGGGCCCAGCCGCACCTCTACCCGGAAGCGGCTCGAACTCGGGGCCGGAAGTGACTCCATTTCTGTGCGCCGAGCTCCGCCCCACGAGCACCTGTTTCCGAGCGGAGAGCGCGGGCCGTTTTCTTTCCTGGTGTCCCGTCGCGGCTTGGGACCCGGCAAGATGGGCAAGAAGGGCAAGAAGGAGAAGAAGGGCCGCGGCGCGGAGAAGACGGCCGCCAAGATGGAGAAGAAGGTGTCTAAGCGCTCGCGGAAGGAGGAGGTGAGCGGGTCAGACCGGGCTTAGCGGCCCGACGTCGCGGCCGTGCAGCCTCGGCCGACTCCCTGCGCCCCCCGGGGTTACGGGTCGGCCGTGGGAGCCGCGCCGGCCCTGCGGGAGAGCTGGAGGCCGTAGGAACTGCCCCGGCGCCGCGTCCGGGCAGCCCAGACGGGGCCCGCCCCCTCCTGAGTCTCCACGTGTGTCTGTCCGCTTCTCGGAGCTGCCCCCTTTAACGTGCTTGCTTTTCTTAGTGTGGTGTCACGGGCGTTTTTCTGCGTTTCCTCCCCCTCCTCCCTTCTCCCTCCACCCTCCCTCTGAAGGGAGGCTGGGTGGTGAGAAGAGGGAGGGGTTTGGCACAGGAAGACCTGAGGTTGAGCCGGGGGCTGCCTCTGCATGATGTGTGGTCTGGGAGTAAGACTCTTAACTTTTCTGAACCTTACTTTTCTTTCAAAAGAGGGCAAATAATCATCACAGCAGCCCTGAGCAGTGAGCAGCAGATGGTTAAGTGAAGAAGGCACTGGAGCCACGGGGTATCCCGTAGCAGCTGATGGCGGCCATCACGGTTGTCTCCTTCCCTCTGGTCCTCAGCCCGGGGTCTGCAGGAGGATCCGTCCTGACCTTGGGGTTGAGTGTTCTGCGGCTGCTGCTCATGGATTCCCTAACCGGGGCCAGTTTTATGGCCTGCCGTGCGCCAGGCACAGCTCCCTGGGCTTTACTCCTCACGAGCAGGTCAGTTCCGTAGCACTGGTATTCCCATTTGACAGGAAGACCAACAGGTGAACCATGAAGTGGTATGGAACTGGGATGTGACCAGATGTCCTGAATCAGGAGCTCTTGACCACAGTCCTTTGTCCCTTTTCTTCCTAAGTCATTGATCTCTCCATGTCCTCATCTCTTAAATAATGGAGTTGGACTTTTCCCTCACACTCCTCTTAGGCTCTTTCTTTTTTTTTTTTTTTTTTTTGACAGAGTCTTGCTCTGTCACCTAGGCTGGGCTGCAGTGGCATGACCTGCTGGCTAGGGTTGTGGCACAGGAAGTCAGTTCATCTGTGTGGTATCTTCAGAATGGTGCTTGGCAGAAAGTAAGCACTCAGTAACCAGCTGTTAGCTGCTTTCTGCTTTTTTTTTTTTTTTTTTTTTTTTTTTTTGAAGGAGTTTCACTCTTGTTGCCCAGGGTGGAGTGCAATGGTGCGATCTCAGCTCACTGCACCTCCGCCTCCCAGGTTCAAGTGGTTCTCCTGCCTCAGCCTCCCAAGTAGCTGAGATTACAGGCATGCACCACCACACCCAGCTAATTTTGTATTTTTAATAGAGACCGGGTTTCACCGTTTTGGTCAGGCTGGTCTGGGACTCCTGACCTCAGGTGATGCGCTCGCCTCGGCCTCCCAAAGTGCTGGGATTACAAGCCGTAAGCCACCTTGCCCCGCCAGTTACCTGTCATTTTTACTCATCTCCATGTCTCCCTCCAGTACCCAATACTAAGGTGATTGTAACAGTAGCTTCCCTTAAGAGAGAGAGCCTGTCAGGCCTGGGGTTTGTATGTTATCTGAATGAACCCTCAAAACAAACTTTTAAAATAAGTGGGCGTCTGATTAGGCTAGACCCACAGAGGATCATCTCTTTCTTAAATTCAGCTGTGTCTGTAATACAACCTAATCACAAGAGTGGTATCCCATTCTTTCACAGTCCTGGCAATTATTGGGGGAAGGATTGGGGACAGTTTGGAATTCTGCTCCCACAGAACTCATGTATCAGGTCACCTGGTTCGCACCTTCACTTAGTCCTGGCCTCTGCCTGTCTTTCCAGCTGTCTCCCTGGGCTCACTCCAGCCACAGTGTCTTTTAGTGTCTCAAACATGGCAAGTTGTGTCTGTGGTCTTACCTATACCCCAACCATACTCCGTCTGAGTCGTCTTTTCAGCATTCAGCTTATTGTCACTTTGGAGAGGCTGTCACTGGCTAGGCCACTGGCGTCACCCAGACCCTACCACCTTGCTCTCCTTCAGTCACCCAATGATGATGAGGTTCAGCCAAGGTCAAAGACCGCTCTAAGTAGCAGCAGCAAAGCTTTCGCGGTACATAGACGTTAGTATTTGAACTGTTTGTTTAACCTCGTTGAGCAAAAAAAGCAAGTTGAAAGAATATACAGTATGATACCATTTAATGACATTTTATTTTTTATTTTTTTTGAGATGGAGTCCTGCTCTGTCACCCAGAGCAAGTGTCGCAGTGGCATGATCTCAGCTCATTGCAACCTCTGCCTCCCAGGCTCAAGCAATTCTCCTGCCTCAGCCTCCCGAGTAGTTTGGGACTACAGGTGTGCGCCACTGTGGCCGGCTAATTTTTGTATTTTTTAGTAGAGACGGGGTTTCACCGTGTTGGTCAGGCTGGTCTCGAACTCCTGACCTCAAATTATCCACCTGCCTCGGCCTCCCAAAGTTCGGGGATTACAGGCGTGAGCCACTGTGCCCAGTCCATTTAATGACATTTAAAAATGTAAAACAATACTATATGTTGCTTAGGGATACACATGTGTAATAAAAGATTGAAGAAAAGCGTGAGACTAATAAGCATCGAGTTCCAGATAGTGGTTACTTGAGGGAATGTGTGGGTGGGTACATGTGGGTGACACTTTATTCCTTACCCTGGGAACCGTATACAGGAATGTCTTGGATAAAGTTCTGTTAACTTGTGTGTTTTAAATATTGCATCGTTTAGAATACTAAGCAGTGTACCCTGCTGACATTCACCCTGAGATGAGAGGTAGACTGAAGGAAGCACGAGGTGGGGCGTGGCAGGCTGAGGGAACCTGGCGTTTTCATTGAAGGAACGGAGAGGACGCTGGTGTATCTTGGAGAGTGAGGCCAGGTGGGAGGTGAGGTTGGAGAGGTGGGTGTGGGGGAGGGAAGATGGTCTGCAGGTGTGTGTAGTTGCAAGCAGGACACTGAAGGCTAGAAGGAACTTGAAATGCCAGGCTCGGGTGTGCATGGGAGTGTCTCGTAAATGTTGGGAAATGGGCACTGGGACTGAGGCGGGAACACTGGGTTCCAGTGCTGCCCTCTGTGCTGGCACATCAGTACCTTGAGTCACTCTCGATGGTAGTAAAAGTTGAGACCTTCTTACTTGGATAGACTGCAGCTGGTATTTGCTGAGCTCTTGCTGTGCAGGCAGTGTTTTAACTAGACACAAGTCTTGCTCTGGTGGAGCTCATATTTTATTATTTTGTTGGGGTGGAGGAAACAAATAAGCAAGAGAAATATATCAGACACTGCTCAGCAGACAGGAAGGCAGGCAGGCGTGACGGCCCAGGCCTGGGCTCTGAGAGGTGCTGAGGGTGTCTGCAGTGAAGTCACGATGGGCTTGTCTAAGTGGAAGTTCTTGTCAGACACTGCTCTGCAGACAGGAAGGCTGGCAGGTGCGACGGCTCGAGTCTGGGTTATGAGAGGTGCTGAGAGTGTCTGCAGTGAAGTCACAACGGGCTTGTCTAAGTGGAAGGTCTTGCAGAGGGAGCGTTAAGGGTGTGGAGATAATACTTGGTGCACACATCTACCCTTTAAGCAGACTGCCTTTGAGGTCAAGCTCTGGTTACTTTCGAATGTGTCAAACTCTGCATTTCAAACAGGCACAGTATGTTGCAATTCACAGATGTGACTGAGCCCAGTCGAATCACACTGATTGGAGGAAAGCTGAGCGGGCTGTGGCTCCGCGGCGGGTCCTGGGAATAAGTCTCACGTGTGCCTGCTTGCTTGCCCTAGGAAGACCTGGAAGCGCTCATAGCCCATTTCCAGACACTCGATGCCAAGAGGACTCAGACTGTGGAACTTCCGTGCCCCCCACCCTCACCAAGGTGAGCAAGTAGCATTTTTCATATTGTATGTTTCCTTTTCTTCTATACATTGAAAAACTGCTTTAAATAGCACCAGGTTTCGTAAATGACCAGGCACTTGGGACATTTTCATTATTAAAACCTGTTCTTGGTCACTTTCTGCTGAAGAACTGGAATGAGGCTGTAAGCTTTACTGTCATGGAACCTGGGAGCAGGGCCTACAGCACAGCTGCTGCCTCTGGGCTCCGGTGCCAACTTTGAAAGCTCCTCCACTGGTCGTGACGTGGGGATGAAAGTTTTGCCCCAGTGAGCTTTTCTTTGGTTCTTAAGGTATTTTAAAAGTGCGTACTGTAGGCAGAAAGCTGAAAATCACTGTGGCCTTTTGATGTGTTTGTAATGCTTTCAAATTCTCATGTGAAAAGTTTGTTAAACATAAATTGAGTATAAGCCATTTTAAATGGATTTGAAAATTACGTAAAAACGTTCCGAGTCTGTAGGATTTCATACACGTGTGGGATGAGCTGGAATGAGAAATGGTTTATTTCCCTCAGTAGGAGATTAACCTTGCAGGATTTACCCTTTTAATAAAGCTGCTGCAGGCCCTAGTGGAAGCCGGGGTTCAGCCCATCGGGAGTGGAGGGTCACGATTGTGCTGCGTTTGCATTAATGAGGCGCATGTGATGGCTCTGGTGCCCGAGTCCCACCCACCGGCCTCAGAGGCAGGGTTATCATCACCTGCCCAGAGGTGGGAGGAGCACGGTGATCAGCCCCTGAGCAGAGTGAGTGGTGTTGGAGCCACTCCCAAAGGCCAGTGTCCTTCCTGGTTTTCACTTCATGTCCATTAGGATTTTAGTTTTCTTTTTCCCTTTAGTTTGCATGTTGCCCTCAGGGCCAAATGTAAGTTACATGTGGTAAATGTACTTTTTTTTTTCTTTTTGAGATGGAGTCTCACTCTGTCATCCAGGCTGGAGTACAGTGGCATGATCTTGGCTCACTACAACCTCTGCCTCCCAGGTTCAAGTGATTCTCCTGCCTCAGCCTTCCAAGTAGCTGGGATTACAGGCGCCAGCCACCATACCCAGCTAATTTTTGTATTTTTAGTAGAGATGGGGTTTTGCCATGTTGGCCTGGCTGGTCGTGAACTCCTGACCTTAGGTAATCCACCTGCCTTGGCCTCCCAAAGTGCTGGGATTACAGGCGTGAGTCGCTGTGCCTGGCTGTAAATGTACATTTTCATTTGAGTTATTGGAGCAAATAAATCCTTGATCTTAGGCTTCTGATATATAGCACTCCTGAGGAAAGCCACTTTGAATGGGGATTAGTTTTATTTTTTTTGTAGAGACTTTTTTTTTTTTTTTTTTTTGGGACGGAGTCTCACTCTGTCACCCAGGCTGGAGTACAGTGGCGCCATCTTGGTTCACTGCAAGCTCTGCCTCCCGGGTTCACGCCATTCTCCTGCCTCAGCCTGCCAAGTAGCTGGGACTACAGGCACCCGCCACCAAGCCTGGCTAATTTTTTGTGTTTTTAGTAGAGACGGGGTTTCACCATGTTGGCCAGGATGGTCTTGATCTTCTGACCTCGTGATCCGCCCGCCTCAGCCTCCCAGAGTGCTAGGATTACAGGCGTGAGCCACCGTGCCCGGCCCTGTAGAGACTTTTTTTTATGTTGTCCAGGCTGGTCTCGAGTTCCTGGGCTCAAGTCACCGTACCTGGCCTTTTTCTTTTTTTTTTTTTTTAATGATATTTTAGAATTTTTCCATAAGTAATGTTGCCTGAAAGTCAGATTTCATGTCAGGATATAATTTAAGGTGTTGGCAGTTCCCTGGGTCAGCTGGAAATGCTTCCTAATAGGAGGGAGCAGTTATCCTGAGATTAAGATCTTTTGCTTGGTAACCTTAATATCTTCCAACTTCCTATTTCTTAATCATATTACTTTAAAACCTTGTGAGAATGACCAGTTTCTAAATGAGCATATCGTCAGGATTGGCTCTGATGTGACCTACCTGGAAAATGGGGGCATGACACCAGCTGCCTCAGTACCTCACCTGCCTGTGCGGCGGCAACACCTGGGCTGGTGCCGCTGGTGGCTGGGTGGGGACCTCAGTTTGGGCCCCGTGTAGATCGTTTCTGAAGTTGTGTTTGGTGCTTTTCTGCAGAAAATCAATAGGTATTCAGTGAGAAAAGATTCAGGGTCAGAGGAATTTGGGAAACACTCTTTATTTTTTTTTCTGAGACGGAGTGTAGCTCTTGTTGCCCAGGCTGGAGTGCAATGGCACGATCTCGGCTCACTGTAGCCTCCTAGGTTCAAGTGATTCTCCTGCCTCAGCCTCCGGAGTAGCTGGGACAATAGGCATGCACCACCACGCCCGGCTAATTTTGTATTTTTAGTAGAGACGGAGTTTCTCCGTGTTGGTCAGGCTGGTCTTGAACTCCCGACCTTAGGTGATCCACCCACCTCGGCCTCCCAAAGTGCTGGGATTACAGGCGTGAGCCACTGTACCCGGCCTATTTATTATTTTTAAAAAGTTTTTTTTTTTCTTTTTTTCTTTTCTGAGACGGAGTTTTGCTTTTGTTGCCCAGGCTGGAGTGCTATGGCGCGATCTCAGCTCACTGCAACCTCTGGAGTCAGGCTGGCCTCAAATTCCTGACCTCAGATGATCCAACTGCCTTGGCCTCCCAAAATGCTGTGATTACAGGTGTGAGCCACTGCACCCGACCTAAAAAGTTTTTTTTATTGTGGTAAAATGTTTAACAAAATTTGCCATTTTATTTTATTTTTGTTTGGTTTTGGTTTTTTTGAGACAGAGTTTTGCTCTTGTTGCCCAGGCTGGAGTGCAATGGTATGATATCGGCTCACCGCAACCTCCACCTCCCAGGTTCAAGCAATTCTTCCTCAGCCTCCCAAGTAGCTGGGATTACAGGCATGCGCCACCATGCCTGGCTAATTTTGTATTTTTAGTAGAGATGGGGTTTCCTCATGCTGGCCAGACTGGTCTCGAACTCCCCACCTCAGGTGATCCGCCCGCCTCGGCCTCCGAAAGTGCTGGGATTACAGGCATGAGCCAATGCGCCTGGCCAAAATTTGCCATTTTAATCATTAAAACTGTGCAGTTCAGTGGAATTACTTCATGTCGCTGTGCAACCATTAGCACTAACCAGTTGCAACATTGTTTTATCACCCCAAATAGAAACTCTAGACCAACCTTGTCTAACTGGTGGCCCAGGACAGCTTCGAATGCAGCGTGACACGTATTTGTAAACTTTCTTAAAACATGATGAGATTTTTTTTTAAAGCTCATCAGCTATTGTTAGTGTTAGTGTATTTTATGCGTGGCCCGAGACAATTCTTCTTCCATTGTAGCCCAGGGAAGCCAAAAGATGGGAGAAGTGTCTAGACCCTTCAATGGTTGCTCCCTGTTTCCCCTCCCCCAGCCCCCTGGTGACTTCTGGTCAACTTTCTGTCACTGTGAATTGGCCTATTCTAGGTATTTTGCGTAAGTGGAGTCATAGAAGTGTCTTTTTGTGACTGACTTCCTTCACCTGGTATGTCCAAGTTCATCAGTTCTGTGGCATGTGTGAGAACTTTATTTCTTCTTATGGCTAAATCCTGTTCCGTCTGTGGGTATGCCACATTGTGTTTGTCCACTCATCTGCAGACCAACACTTAGGTTATTTCTACTGTTTGGCTTTTGTGAGGCCGTAACGAGCATTGCATACAGGTATCTGTTTGAGCTAATGCCTGGGAACGAACTGCTGGATTATGTGGTGATTCTGTGTTTAGCTTTTAATACTGGTTTCTTTCCTGCAGAAATTCCCAGCCTATGACATGTTTCTATGCAAATAAATCCCCAATAGAAAATAGAGTTCTCAGATTTCCCAAACTCACTTGACCTTGAAACCTGTTTTTCCTTTGAGAAACATCTTTTGGAGTTGGCATTATGGAGCACGCCTTGGGGAACGCCGTCTTAGAGGACTCTGAAGGGAGGATCTTTCCCAGTGATTCGCCAGATAGTCACTGTGTCTTTCATTACTTTCAACTGAAGTGGCCCTATGTATTTATTTATTTATTTTTTGTTTTTTTAAGACAGTCTTGCTCTGTCTCCCAGGATGGAGTGCAATGATGCAATCCTGGCTCACTGCAGCCTCTGCCTCCCGGGTTCAAGTGATCCTCCTGCCTCAGCCTCCTGAGTAGCTGGGATTACAGGTGCCCACCACCATGCCTGGCTACTTTTTGTATTTTTAGTAGAGACGGGGGGTTTCACCGTGTTTGCCAGGCTGGTCTTGAACTCCTCACCTCAGGTGATCTGCCCGCCTCAGCCTCCCAAAGTGCTGGGATTACAAGTGTGAGCCACCGGGCCTGGCCCATAATATTATTATGTAATTTCCTTGTAGCTCTTCTTTTGTTCTCATGTGAAATAAATAGAAAGTTGTTTGTATTTTCTAGATGGAAGATATCTGGCATGTATATTGAAGTACTTACATATGGACTTTTTTTTTTTTTTTTCAGATGGAATCTTGCTCTGTCGCCAGGCTGGAGTGCAATGGCATGATCTCAGCTCACTGCAACCCCCAACTCCCAGGTTCAAGTGGTTCTCCTGCCTCAGCCTCCCGAGTAGCTGGGACCATAGGCACGCACCACCATGCCCAGCTAATTTTTCTATTTTTAGTTGAGACGGGGTTTCGCCATGTTGGCTAGGATGGTCTCGATCTCTTCACCTCGTGATCTGCCTGCCTCGGCCTCCCAAAGTGCTGGGATTACAGGCAGGAGCCACTGCTCCTGGCCTAGTTACTGGACTTTTTAGAATGGTTTTGAGGTGATTTGACAGGATAGGCTCTTAAAAGAGGACAGTTCTGAGGTCCAGGCACGGTGGCTCACACCTGTAATCCCAGCACTGTGGGAGGCCGAGGTGGGCAGATCACTTGAGGTCCGGAGTTTGAGACCAGCCTGGCCAATGCAGTGAAACCCCATCTCTACTAAAAAATACAAAAACTAGCTGGGTGTGGTGGTGGGCACCTGCAATCCCAGCCACTCGGAGGGCTGAGGCAGGAGAATTGCTTGAACCCAGGAGTTGGAGGTTGTGGTGAGCTGAGATTGTGCCATTGCACTCCAGCCTGGGTGACAAGAGGGAAACTCCATCTCAAAAATGAAAAAAAACAAATCAAAAAAACAGTTCTGGAACATTTGATACATCAGTAGGGGCATCTGGACTTATTCCTGCCTGGGGAATTTTTTTTTTTTTTTTTTTTTTGTTAATACAACCAGACACTGTGTCAGTCCAGCTCCATGGTTGTCCTTGGAGTGTGGCCCTGGGCACTGGTAGAGGGGTTGGTGTTCAAGTGGCACCTTTGCTTCCTTTCTCGATGCCAGGCTCTCCTTTCAGGAAGTGTAGAGGCAGCCAGTTTGTGGTGACAGAGGATTCTGTGAGGAAGGGGACAGCGCTCAGGTGGGTATCGGGGGTGATCTTGCTGACCTGCCGCTTGTGTGTCTTGTAGGTTAAATGCCTCCCTCTCGGTTCATCCTGAGAAAGATGAGTTAATCCTTTTTGGAGGTGAATATTTCAACGGCCAAAAAGTAAAGTATATATTTTTTTCTTTTCTTCCCATGTTGCGTGAGTATCATTTGACAGAAAGTTAACTTAAGGCAGTGACATCAAATATGCGTTAGCCCCTTCACCCCTTGTATCACGCGCTTGAGCCGTCAGGCCTGATGTGAGACGTCGCCAGGATGCTCCAGGCCCTGGCATGACTGTTGATGACTTCAGTGGTCCTGGGGTCTCTATTCCTGGGACTTAGGCTGAGGCCCAGCTCTGCCGTCATCACTCTTGGCGGGCGCACCCCTCTTTGTGGTTGTCTGTGCTGTTCTTCCTCCCAGCGGGTTTCCAGGTTTCACACTCAGCTTTCAGGTTGTCTTAAACACGGAAAGTGCTGATAAATTTTAGGGCTAATTTTTATTTTTGAGCAGGCCAGTAAGACCTGTGTTTCACAATTGTGTGTGACACACAAAAGCAGGAGCTCACCTTCCCTGCAGCCCGGGATGGGCCTTGGGGGTTTGACTGCATTTGTCCATCTTCGTCTCTCAGTTTTCGTGCATTTAGAAACTAGGCTTGACTGGGTACAGTGGCTCATGCCTGTAATCCCAGCACTTTGGGAGGCCGAGGTGGGCAGATCACCTGAGGTCAGGAGTTTGAGAGCAGTCTGGCCAATGTGGTGAAACCCAGTCTCTGCTAACGATACAAAAATTAGCGGGGTGTGGTGGCGGGCGCCTGTAGTCCTAGCTACTTGGAGGCTGAGGCAGAGAATCACTTGCACCTGGGAGGCGGAGGTTGCAGTGAGCAAAGATTGCGCCATTGCACTCCATTGTGGGCAACAGCGAGACTTCATCTCAAACAAAACAAAAACAAAAAAACTAGGCTGGAATTAGGAGAATGACCAGTCCTAATAACAACGAGGGCTTTCAGTACCTTCCAGATTGATGGGCCTGGTGGGCGTTCGGTCGTTTTCATTGTGTCGTCATCCCCAATGGCCCCGGGGACCCAGCCCATGGCCTCCCTGTGCTGGTATGGTTTACATTCCTTTAGCATGTCAGTTTCCCAGGGAATTGTCATGATTAAGATTGTTCTCACCACTTCCTTGGAAGCGTATCATTTGTGACACTGACATTCTTCTTCCTTCCTGTAGACTTTTTTGTATAACGAGCTCTATGTCTACAATACCAGAAAGGACACCTGGACCAAAGTTGACATCCCCAGTCCACCTCCGAGGCGCTGTGCTCACCAGGTAATGTCAGCACTGACTCTCAGCCACCCTCCCTCTTCCCACGTGGGAGTCTGGTAGACACACGGAGAGTTGATAGGTGACAGGCAGCTGGTGCGGAGGGGCTGGGCCCTGTAGATCGCCTGGTTCTGCTGTTTGCTCACTTGGATTCCTTACTCAGCTTCTTCACTGTGAGACGGGGAGGAGAACACCTGCTCCCCAGGTGGCATGAGGATCACATGAAATATTCCATGTAAAATAGCTCGTGTCGTTCCTGGTGTGTCGCAGCCACTGGCAGAATGCTCACTCCCCCTAGGCCCACGGTCTGGACTAGATGGTGAAGACAGGAGAACTGGATGTTCAGGAAAGGTGTGCATGGTGGAAGGAAAACAATTGTATTAGCGGAAACGAGTGGTAACCGGATCACAGAGAAGTGGCACTGACTTAGCACGTGGTTAGCTGGTTTCCTACCCAGGAGAGCAGTGTCAGCTGTCGCTCTCCTGTCAGGGAAGGGGCTTCCGGAGTTAGACGTTCTGTAAGCTCTGTGAGGATGGGAACTCTGTCCTTGTCCATTGTTCAACTCTGTGACAGTTAGACTCGCACAGAAAATTTGAATGAGTGCCTGCCTCTCCAGTGCAGAGAAAGATCAACGCATCAGGTGACCACAGCATGATACATGCATTCCTGTGCAATATTTCCTTCCCCCTTTGCTGATTGTGTGCTTAGAACTCACCTGCTAATGAAGTTGGTTTGGTGAGGAGGACCTGCCTGCCTGAGCTGTGTGAACATCCCGTGCAGATGCAGGCTTGCAGGCATTTGGGCTGGTTTAAAAATCAGATTTGTATACGCTTGTATTTGTTGTTGTTGTTGTTGAGATGGAGTCTTGCTCTGTCACCCAGGCTGGAGTGCAATGGCCTGATTTCGGCTCATTGCAACCTCTGCCCCCCAGGTTGAAGTGATTCTCCTGCCCCAGCCTCCTGAGTAACTGGGATTACAGGCACCCCTCACCACACCTGACTGGGATTGTATTAGGTGGCTAAGGTGCCTTCTACATTTGAATCTTTATTTTATTTTTTTTGAGAGGGAGTCTTGCTCTGTCTCCCAGCCTGGAGTGCAGTGGCATTATATCAGCTCACTGCAATTTCCGCCTCCTGGGTTCAAGGGATTCTCCTGCCTCAGCCTCCCCAGTAGCTGGGATTACAGGCACATGCCACCACGTCCGGCTACTTTTTTTTTTTTTTTTTTTTGAGATGGTGTCTTGCTGTCACCCAGGTAAGAGTACAATGGTGTGATCTCATCTCACTACAACCTCCGCCTGCCGGGTTCAAGCGATTCTCCTGCTTCAGCCCGCTGAGTAGCTGGGATTACAGGTACCCGCCACCACGCTTGGCTAATTTTTTTTTTTTTTTTCTCCTTGAGATGGAGTCTCTCTCTTGTTGCCCAGGCTGGAGTGCAGTGGCGCGATCTTGGCTCACTGCAACCTCCGCTTCCTGAGTTCAAGAGATTCTCCTGCCTTAGCCTCCCAAGTAGCTGGGATTATAGGCGTGTGCCACCACGCCTAGGTAATTTTTTGTATTTTCAGTAGAGACGGGGTTTCACCATGTTGGCCAGGCTGGTTTCGAACTCCTGACCTCAAGTGATCCACCCACCTCGGCCTCCCAAAGTGCTGAGATTACAGGCGTGAGCCACTGCTCCCAGCCTGAGTGTCTGGATTTTTTCACCTATCAAACAGTGTTGCATTTTGTCCTGAGGTGATTCAGTTCCTTGCAGATCATCTTGATCTTTGACGCTCTCTCTAGGGCTGGCTTAGCCCTCAGTGGTGGCCTTTCTGCAGTCTCTAGTGAATGACCTGTGTGGTCAGTGACATCTTTTCACCTCGTCTGGTTGGAACTTGCCTGTTTCCAAGCCCTGTGTAAGCTCTGATAGTTCTCAGCATCAGAAGATGCTTTTGTCTTCACAGTGGTGGTTCCTTGGTCTCACCCTCCCAGGGTGCAGTTTAGTGTACAGAGACTCCAGGGGACGCCCCCGTGCAGATTTCCAGGGCTTTTTCTCCCATAGCTTCCTCTCTCCAGTGCTCTGCCCTGCCACTTTTAGCTGCCTCTGCGTCCCTGAACTCCAGTCCTTGTCTCCTCAGCTATGCAAGACCACCTGCCCTGCCTGTGCCCCTTGTCCCTGCTCCAGGGAAGGAGCTGCCTGCAGGGGCTGGAGTCATGGGTCAGGGCTGCGTGGCGTGTTTCCTGGCTCTCAGGTTCACAGTCCTGCACTTCCCGCTTCCTGTTGTCTGGAGGTTGTTGCTTCCTAGATTTCGTCTGGTTTTTTCCTTGTTGATGGTGCGGAGCTAACGTGGTACAGGTTGCTCCATCGTGGGCAGGAGTAGAAGTTTTATCTGTGGGTCTCCGTAGTTTTAATCTTCCCTTGAGTCATATTTATTTTTTTCCCTGGTGTTCATTATCTTTGGGGCGTAGGCTATACGAAGCTCTTAGACTGCTGATCAGCCTGCCTTTGGGTGGTCCTCTGGGTCGGACTGGGTCAAGCCTGGGATTGTAACTAAGATGGAGGAAAGGATGTTGAAACAGTGCTGTGGGCTGGGCATGGTGGCTCATGCCTGTAATCCCAGCACTTTGGGAGGCCGGGATGGGCGAATCACAAGGTCAGGAGATCGAGACCATCCTGGCCAACATGGTGAAACCCCGTCTCTACTAAAACTACAAAAATTACCTGGGCGTCGTGGCGCGTGCCTGTAATCCCAGCTACTCAGGAGGCTGAGGCAGGAGAATCGCTTGAACCAGGGGCGTTGGAGGTTGCAGTGAGCCAAGATCACGCCACTGCACTCCAGCCTGGTGACAGAGCGAGACTCTGTCTCCAAAAAAAAAAAAAAAGAAAAAACAGTGCTGTGGATCGGATTGTGGATTACACTCTTGCCTGGAGTTTGACTTCATTTTTTTCTTTTTGGTCTTTTTTTTTTTTCTTTTTTGTGGAGAACGGGTCTCGCTATATTGCCCAGGCAAGTGTTGAACTCCTGGGCTCAAACGATCCTCCTGCCTCTGCTTCCCTGAGAGCTGGGATTACAGGCGTGAGCCACTGTGCCTGGCCATTTGGCTTCTTTTTTTTTTTTTTTTTTTTTTTTTGAGACAAAGTCTCACTCTGTTGCCCAGGCTGGAGTGCAGTGGCGCGATCTCGGCTCACTGCAACCTCCGCCTCCCGGGTTCATGCCTCCCGGGTTCATGCCATTCTCCTGCCTCAGCTTCCTGAGTAGCTGGGACTACAGGCACCTGCCACCGTGCCTGGCTAATTTTTTTAGTATTTTTAGTAGAAATAGGGTTTCACCATGTTAGCCAGGATGGTCTTAATCTCCTGGCCTCGTGATCCGCCCGCCTCGGCCTCCCAAAGTGCTGGGATTACAGGCGTGAGCCACCGTGCCCGGCCGACTTCATTTTTTAAGAATGGCTTTATTTTTTATATTTTAGAAATAGGGTCTTGCTTGTTGTGAAGGCTGGTGTCAAAGTACTGGGCTCAAGCAATCCTCCCACATGAGCCTCCCACAGTGTTGGGGTTACAGGCATGAGCCACTGCACCTGGCCAGGAATGGCTTTAGGGACTGATTATGTAAGGTGTAAATATTCATTCTGAAAAAAATGAAAAGAATTAAAAGGCAAGTCCATTGTCTATTCTCCCTAAACTGAATTTGTATTTTCTGCATGTTTTCTCTGCACATAAAGTTCATTTTTTTTTTCTTTTTTTTTTGAGATGAAGTCTTGCTCTGTTGCCCGGGCTGGAGTGCAGTGGTGCGACCTCAGCTCACTGCAACTTCTGCCTCCCAGGCTCAAGCGATTCTCCTGCCTCAGCCTCCCAAGTAGCTGGGTTTACAGGCGCATGCCACCACGTCTGGCTAATTTTTATATTTTTAGTACAGACAGGGTTTCACCATGTTGGTCAGGCTGGTCTCAAACTCCTGACCTCATGATCTACCTCCCTCGGCCTCCCAAAGCACTGGAATTAGAGGCGTGAGCCACCACGCCCAGCCAGTTCATATTTCTATGCATCTATTTCACGCTAACTGGAGCGTGCATGTATGTGTTCTTTCTATAGTGTTTTTTACCGTTGATGTATTATTGTAGGATTATTCTGTGGCATTGAATAGTCTTCCCGAGATGATAGTTTAAAACTCTATTTACTGTGTGGCATGGTTGTGCCACCTAACTTCCTCTAGACTCAAAACATTTGTTAGGTTTCGGCCTTGAGCCAGTCATCATGTCTGCTGTAAAGGTGTAAATTGGTCAGTTTCTCCCTATGGAACTACTGGGCTTTTAGAATGATAGGAAACCTGGCCTGTCCCTTTACAGGTAAGTCCTCTGTGCTGAGATGACAGATGCAAAGAACAACTGGAAGTGGGTGGGGTGGAGAGGGACACGCCACCCCCTGTGTGCTGCTACCACCTGCGCCCGCTGTCTGGCCCAGGAAGGAACCGCATCGGTGCAGAGGGGCGGCACTGTGGCCGTTTCTATGTGCGGGCGGGCGGAACACCGACTCAGAGGTGCCGGGAGGGAGCCTGCTGAGGACCACTGTCTGCCCCACCCGAGGCGCACTTGACCTTAGACGGGTTGGCACTCTCATTTACCAGCCCTCTCTGCGCCCTGTGTGGAACCATTCTTCGTCCTGCTAGATCCTCACTCTTACCTTGAAACGAGAGGAAATAAAACAAGAGGCTTTTATGAAAGAACCAACTCTGCAATGACCACGGCTGAGCTGGGAAATGGGGCTTCACCTGCTGCCAGGTTGCTCAGGTCGCTTTTTCTCTCTTAATTATGCCACTAGGTGCGTTACAGTCAGGCGAAGCTGGGCTGCGTGACCCTGGGCAGGGTGGGCGGCTCTCACCTGTGGAGATGCAGCACTGAGGGGCCCCTCCAGCGTGGTTGCTAACACAGACTGCCTAGGAGCGTGCTTTTCTCATCCTGGACCCCAGCTACTGCTTAATTTGCAGGTTTGGAGGAAAGACCCCGTGGAGCTTGGTGGTCTCTGCCATTGCTTGTAGCCCAGCAGTCTGTCCAAGCAGCTCTTTCCACAGATGGATGTGTGCCGTCCCCTAAAGACTCTGCCTCCCGCAGTTCTTGGGGGCCCTGAGAGGGAGTGGGCCACGGAGGGCCTCATGTGGAGTAGCCGGTGGTGTCTGATGACCCGTCAGGGATGCCGTTGTTTTTGATTGGTGGTCTGCTCTCTCCTCAGCATCCCCTGCTGCCGGAGTGCTTTGCCGTGTGTGGCCCAGAGGGCATCACTCCCGCTGCGCTCCTTCACCTTTACTGTGGTGCTGAGTCTTTATTAATCATTCATAATGTCACGTAAGGCTGGGTGTGGTGGTTCGTGTGTGTAATCCCAGTGTGCTTTGGGAGGCCGAGGCGGGAGAATTGACTAAAGCCAGGAGTTTGAGACCAGCCTGGACAGCGTAGACGCCATTGCTGCAAAAAATTAAACAGCTGGGCATGATGTCACATGCCTGTCGTCCAAGCTACTCAGGAGGCTGAAGTGGGAGGGTCACTTGAAACCATGAGGTCGAGGCTGCAGTGAGTGATGATGGCGCCACCGCACTCCAGTCTGGGCAATAGAGCAAGACGTGGTCTCTAAAAGGAAAAAACATAAACACTTTCTTTCTTTTTTTTTTTTTTTTTTGACATGGAGTCTCGCTCTGTCGTCCAGGCTGGAGTGCAATGGCACAGTCTTGGCTCACTGCACCCTCCACCTCCCAGGTTCAAGCGATTCTTCTGCCTTAGCCTCCCAAGCAGCTGGGACTACAGGTGCATGCCACCATGCCCGGCTAATGTTTGTATTTTTAGTAGAGATGGGGTTTCACCATGTTGGCCAGGATGGTCTCTATTTCTTGATCTCGTGATCTGTCCACCTCAGCCTCCCGAAGTGCTGGGATTACAGGTGTGAGCCACCGCGCCTGGCACATAAACACTTTCTTTTACGTGCACATTGTACTTCTGAGGCTAATTTAGTTGGCACATGATAGCAAGGAGAGGGATTAACGAGAGCAGGCAGACAGCTTTATTGTGGATATTAATAAAAGGAAAACACTGCTAGGTTGCACCACACCGTTGTTAATGTTTGAAGTAACTAGCTGTGTCCACTTTAATGGGATATGGCATTGTCTACATGTAAATGGATGTTTATCTTGCAACCTAGGGATACATGAAGGTTTATTAGACCCTTGACTGAGGACGTGCTTTCCTACGAGGGTGTTTGTCTGGAATCCTCCCCTTAGAGGCAGGAGAGGAAAGTGGCTGAGTGTGGGGCTGGTCATGTTGCAGGGCATCCGAGATAGTACTGAAGCGCTCACCACTACCGGTCACCCATGACACTGGCCCTTCTGCTGTGTGGCTGTGCCCTGACCTGTCACCTTTCTTTTCACAGGCGGTGGTAGTGCCTCAAGGTGGCGGACAGCTGTGGGTCTTTGGAGGGGAGTTTGCCTCTCCCAACGGAGAGCAGTTCTACCACTACAAGGATCTCTGGGTCCTGCATTTGGCCACCAAGACCTGGGAACAAGTCAAGTAAGAAGCCAGATGAGAAGCTGAGCTCCGGGCATGGCTCTTCTGTGCTTGTGTGCTGAGCCCGAGTGCTCGGAGCAGACCTCAGAATACCAGGGTTCAGAGGAACTTGGGTCACAGTCCTGGAGCCCAGCCTCGCTGGGTCCTGGGAGACCACATTTTCTCTGGACCCTTCATACAGAAGCCTGGGCCGGGTGTGGGGGGTGCCAGCTGCCTGGTGTTGTTCTCCAGGTTCCTCTTGTTGTTGGCCACCAGCCTCTCGCTGCCTGTGTTGCAGCTCTTCTCCTGTGGTCTTCTGTTTACATCATTGGAGGCAGCTCTGGGTGCCCAGCTTGTTGGAAGGGGGGCCCCATAGCGATGTGTCATTGACTAAAAGGCACGTTCTTTCTGTGTCGAGTTGGTGTAGAAACCGTGGAGCTGGTATGAGACAGGAAGGATGTTGACATTTCTCTTCAGTGAACCCTGCTCAGCCTCTTGATTTCCACCTCTGTCGGGAATGTTGCTGATGGGGTTTCTGATGCATGTTTACCACGCACGGGTGTCTCCCATTAGTCAAGAGCTACATGTTTGTCTCTCCGTGTAGAGAGCCAGATGGCATGTTTGCATATAAATTATTTAAGAGAAGAAGTCTAGTCGAATGACAGACTGAAGTAGAGTTGTTAGTGTCCTTCTATGTGTGGCCTGGCTCGATTGCTGCGGCCATGACCCACCATTACGCACACCATCTCTCTGCCATTAAAGCAGCAGAGCGGAAGTGCCCTTGCTTCTGGGATAGAGGCCGCCGCACACAGGCCTTCTCCACATCCTGGGGCTTCAGCCGGAGGGCAGCGGCGCTCCCTGGAGCCCGGGCTTGGTTATGTCACAATGAGCCAGTTCCGGGTGTTTTCTGGAGTTTGGTCCCCAGCTGTATTGCAGTGAGCCTTGTCAGGGTGTTGAGTCCTGTTCGCTGGCTGCACTGCTCTGCCTGGCTCTAGGCCGGGAATGTTAACCAGTCAAATGAAGAGTCTGCTGTGGGTGGGGAGGGTGCAGACAGATTCCCTGCCCTGGGCCCACCTGCTGGAGGAGGACATGACCATAGCCTTACAGTGGGACCCGGAAGGTGCTGTGGTGTGGGGTGGGTTACTGTGTTCCCAGGCTTTTCCGTCCCTTTTCTCATGCTTGCTTTGAGAAAGGTTCGTAATTTTAGTAGGCGCAGCAATTGGGAAATTACTTTCATGCTAAAAATGGATTTCTTTGTGTATATCTTGAAGCTCACGTATTTCCACTCAGCACACAGTTGTCCTTTTGCTTTATTCCTTTTGGAGCCCGCTTGTTACTGATTTGCTTGTTTATCTTTGGCAAATCGATTGATTTTTTAATAGCATTTTGTCAGCTTTGGTATCTCTTGTTCACAATTGACAGGTGAGGAGAGTGAAGTCTCTGTGATAGAATGCGGCTAACCCAGCACCCAACCCAGCAAGTCCCGCCAGGCTGGTGTTGGCTCCGGTGCCTCTGTGGTGACTCTGTGGTGACTCTGAGCTGTCTGTGACATGAGGGCTCTCTCGTGCCTTCAGGCTTTGCTGGTTCTGTCACTCGGATCGTGGGTATCTGTTCCAAGGGAATAGGGATGCACTGTGGGTACCTGGTCACTTTGGGAGTGGCCCTGGCCCCTCTCTTGGGCCGGCAGCTGCGGATGGCAGCCCCTACCTCGTGTGCAGCTCCAGCTGCATCCCACACTGCAGGCTCGGTCGTACGCGGGACATCCGTGGCAGCTGCCCTGGGTCTGGATTGTCTGATAAACAGACACCTCATTCCTCGAATGCTTGCTAATGGTAATTAAAACAGGAGACCTGTTTTAAAGGTATATTGTAGAAGCTATTAGACTTTTTTTAATAGTGATCCTGCAAACATACAATGTAGTTGCGATTCTTGGCCCCCAGTTCCAGTCTCTAGAGGGAGTGGTGGGGCAGGAACAGGGTCATTATGTGCTTCACTCTCTTCTTTTTGCCAGAATCACCCTTTGTGGAGGCATCTGTCTCTGGTGGTGATTTCTGGTTCTCCTTGGCCTAAGTAACCATTAGCAAGGGAGACCTGTGTGGGGGATGAACAGAGATACCTCGCGGAGCATTGCTTTGAGACGTTTGCCTTGGCAGCCAGGGTGTGGTTCCGCAGGTCACCCTTGGTCCTGGAAGGTCGTGTGGAGTGTGCGTCTGATAAGGAGACACAGCCTGTTGTGAGTACGGATTTGGAGGTCAGGGAATGGAGGGTGTGCGCTTAATCTTTCTCTCACTCTCTTTCTCTCTCTGTCTCTTTCTCTCTTTCTCGCTCTCTCTCTCTTTCTCTCTTTGTGGTCTTGTCTTTTTCTCCTCTCTGTCTCTTTTCTCTCTCTCTCTTTCTCCTTCCTTTCTTTCTTTCTTCCTTCTTCAAGAGACAAAGTCTTACTCTGTTGCCCAGGCTGGAATACAGTGGTGTGATCACACCTTATTGCAGCCTCAAACTCCTGGGCTCAAGTGGTCTTCCTGCCTCAGCCCCCCTAGTAGCCAGGATTACAGGCGTGCACCACCGTGCCGGGCTAATTAAATTTTTTTTTCTTTTTTTAGAGATGGGGTCTTGTCATGTTGCCCAGGTTGGTCTTGAACTCTTGGCCTCAAGAGATTCTCCCACTTCAGCTTCCTGAGTAGCTGGGATTATAGGTGTGAGCCACTGTGCCAGGCTGAGCTGCTTAATTTCTGTATTTCTACTGCTCAGCAGGATTCGGTTACTGCTGCTTAATGTATTTGTGATT
This sequence comes from Homo sapiens, assembly GCF_000001405.40. Taxonomy (NCBI): domain Eukaryota; kingdom Metazoa; phylum Chordata; class Mammalia; order Primates; family Hominidae; genus Homo; species Homo sapiens. The sequence goes on along the minus strand of NC_000016.10, from coordinate 87,745,911 downwards.
GGGAGATGCCTAATGTTGAGCCTTATTCAGTTGTTAAGACCCTGACGAGACGCACAGCGGTGACAAATGGTCTGCAGGAGATGTTCTTTGACAGCTGATGTCCGTGTCCCTTTCCGCATTCTCTCCCACCCTGTAGTCAGCTCGGGGTGCTGAGCCCTTGCCCTCATAAACACCAGGCGCCTTGACTGTCCCCATGGCCTCAGCCTGCCCTCTCCCACCCTGCCCCAATGTCGTCTTGAAGACCTTCAGTGCGAGTGAACGCTTCTCTTGCGGTGACAGTTGACTGCAGTCTGTTGTGTACCAGCTCCAAGCGCATCTTAGCTAAGGTTTTCTGAGCAAGACATTCAGCAGAAGCCAGAAGAGGTGGATGGATTTGCCCATATGAAACAGGAAGGTCTTTGTGTGGAAGATGATGCCACAGGGAAAGTTAAAAATGGTGACTGGTGGGGAGAAGGTACCTGCAGCATCAGGCGGAGCTCACGTTCCGGGAGGTGGTGCCCTCTGCAGCAGAGCAGAAGGCGGGGCAGAGGCACCACAGGGCGGGCCCTGGGGCGGGTGCTGCGAGAGCAGTGCTGGGTAGTATGGGCTGGGCAGAGGCACCAAGAGGTGGCCCCGGGGCGGGTGCTGCAAGAGCAGAAGGCGGAGCAGAGGGCACCCTATGGCCGGCCCCAGGGCGGGTGTTGTGAGAGCAGTGCTGGGCAATATGGGTGTAGGGTGAGGGTGGAGAGAACATGCCCCCACCGCTCAGTGGGTGGCACCTGCTCATTGGAATTTTAAATGTGCGTGTCCCCTGACCCCCAAGTTTAAGGATTATACCCTAAAGAAATGCTTCCTCTTATTTCGTACAAAAATATATACAAAAAACAGGATGCAGAACAACATATGCTTGGAAAAAAGCCTGCATGTGTACACGTGTGTGCACCGCGTGTGTGCAGATGATTGCATGTGTGCACGTGTGAGCATATGTGAGTGCATGTGCCTGTCTATGCCTGTGTATGCATGTGTGTGACTGCATGCGTGTGAGCGTGTGTGTGCTCGTGTGTGTGCACTTGCAAGTGTGTGCTGACGCAGTGATCTGGAGAACCTGGTGCGTGCACACTGTACGTGCACAGGAGAAGGGAGAAGGTCTGTATTGTTTCTGAGGTTTTTTCTGATTCATTGATCTTTTCTTGGTATCATTTTTTATGCTATTTTAATTACTGTAGCTTTATGGTATATTTTGATAGGTTGGAGGATTTTTCTCATTTACTTAAAGTCTTTGCTTTTTTCATGTATTTTGTTTTTATGAGCTTTACCATCAGTTTTTCAAATTCTATTTTTTTTTTTTTTCTGAGACAGTCTAGCTCTGTTGCCCAGGCTGGAGTGCAGTAGCACAATCTTGGTTCACTACAACCTCCACCTCGCTGGTTCAAGCCATTCTTGTGCCTCAGTGTCCCGAGTAGCTGGGATTACAGGTGTCTGCCATCATGCCTGGCTAATTTTTTTTTTTTTTTTTGGAGACGGAGTCTCATTCTCGTCGCCCAGGCTGGAGTGCAGTGGCGGGATCTCGGCTCACTGCCACCTCCACCTCAGAGGTTCAAGCAATTCTCCTGCCTCAGCTTCCTGAGTAGCAGGGATTACAGATGCCCGCCACCATGCCCGGCTAATTTTGTACTTTTAGTAGAGATGGGGTTTCTTCACGTTGGTCAGGCTGGTCTTGAACTCCTGACCTCAGGTGATCCCCCCACCTCGGTCTCACAAAGTGCTGGGATTACAGGCATGAGCCACTGTACCCAGCCTTAATTTTTGTATTTTTAGTAGAGACAGGGTTTCACCGTGTTGGCCAGGCTGGTCTTGAACTCCTGACCTCAAGTGATCTGCCCCCCTCGGCCTCCCAAATTGCTGGGATTACAGGCATGAGCCACCACGCCTGGCCCTCAAATTCTAATGTTAAAAGTCCAGAAGGATTTTGACTGGATTGCGTTTGCTGATAAATCGCATTTAGGCAGTGACAGCATCATACCCCTCATTCCTCCCCATCGGGAGCATTGTGTATGTCTCCATTTGGTTTTTTTATTTATTTAAGAATTTAAACCTGGGCTATGGTGGTAAGAGTGTCAAATCCTGACCTCTAAACACCCTGGGAAGTTAGGTTTATTTATTTATTTATTTACTTTTATTTTTATTTTTTTTGAGGCGGTGTCGCGCTCTGTCTCCCAGGCTGGAGTGCAGTGGTTTGATCTCGGCTCACTGCAAGCTCCGCCTCCTGGGTTCACGCCATTATCTTGCCTCAGCCTCCCGAGTAGCTGGGACTACAGGCGCCCGCCACCACGCCTGGCTAATATTTTGTATTTTAAGTAGAGACGGGGTTTCACTGTGTTAGCCAGGATGGTCTCGATCTCCTGACCCTCATGATCCACCCACCTCGGCCTCCCAAAGTGCTGAGATTACAGGCATGAGCCACGGCGCCTGGCCAGGTTTATTTTTTTTAATATTCAGTCAAGTTTAAAATGGCCTGAAGTAGAATTGTAGAGTCCAGGCCGGGTGCAGTGGCTCATGCCTGTAATCCCAGCACTTTAGGAAACGGAGGTGGGAGCATCACTTGAGCCCAGGAGTTTGAGACCAGCCGGGACAACATAGTAAGACCCCATCTCTAAAGAAGTTAGCTAGGTGTGCTGGTGTGTGTGTAATCCCAGCTACTTGGGAGGCTGGGGTGGGAGGATCACTTGAGCTCAGGAGTTCAAGGTGGCAGTGAGCTGTGATTGCATCACTGTACTGCAACCTGGGCCACAAGTGAGGCCCTGTGACTTAACGAAACATCAGAATGCAAGGCATACACATTTATAAAGTCTTTGACCTCATGTCTGATGGTTCTCCCAAAAGCCTCCAGTTGGTGCCGGTGCTGGCGTGTGGAGGGCTGACTCTTGGCGTGATGCCTGTGCAGGTGCTCCTGTTTCACAGTTTTCCTCAAGTGTTCTCCGTGCTCGTCGTCACTTCATACCTGTGGCAGACACTGGACTACAGCTGCGGCGCCTTGCAGAATGAGTCTTCCCTTCCCTGATAGGAAGGCGTTAGGGCAACTCGTCTGGAGGGGCCGTGTTTTGATTCTGAACTTAGAGAACAGTGGGGGGTTTTCCTGGCACAGTGGCCAGCAGAGCTGTCTGCTGGCAGAGAAGAGGATCTTGAGTAGTGGTTCTCAAGTCTTCGTACTCCACGTAGACCCTAGGGAGCCCAGGAGACTGCTCCTTCCTGCCCTCCCACTCCGGACATCAGTCCCATTCAGAGCAGGTTGATGTGTGGTTGAGGAATCTGTGTTTTACCCTAACCTCTCCTTGTACCCTCTCCACGATCCCTATCCTGACAGCTGTGGACCATAGACGGGGTCCAGTTGTGATCTGATCCATCAGCCTCTGTGACTGGTGGAAGGCATGCTTATTTTGAATATTGTTCAACTGATGTGAAGTTTTTTAGTTGCTGCTTAAAAGAAGTAAGAATATTCATGTAAAATACCTCTTAGATCCTTAATAATGAAAGTAGTGTAGGTTTTGCTTTTGTAAGTTACTAATGATTGCAGAATGAAAGCATTCTCTTAACGGTGGTTTGGCAGGTCAGGCTCTGAGTGCTATGTGGCCGGATCGTCAGGGGCTAGTGTAGCTGGGGATGGTACAGGGGACTGAAGGGTGCAGGCGGCCTGTTGATTTCATGGGCTGGGCTGCGGTGTGTGGCATCCTGGTGCAGTGCTGCTGCTGCCTGTAATTGGGCTTGGGGGTTCACACACTATGTGGCCGCTGCTGAGAGAGGACTACTCTGGCTGTTTTTCCTCTGTCATTTTTTTTTTTAAATTGATCTAAAAGGAAAGGTCAGGAGATTCAGCCACAACAAAGACGGTTTTTGCCCTTTCTGGGGAAGATTGCTGTGTCAGGCCTCGTGCAGAGCACGTGGGAATCCCTGTGGGGTGGGCTTATGTCTTTTGAGAAGTCCAGGAAGAGCTCATCAGGAAACGGAATAGGCGTTGCTACCATGACGCAGCCCTGCACTGCGCATTCATTTTTTAGTGAATATTTTTTACTTCTGTGGGGGAGTTGGTTTTTCAGCCGAGGATGTGAAGTTGGCGGGAATTAAATATTGGTAGAGGCGCAGGGAGTCTGGATTCAGTATCTGGAGTAGTCAGTCTCTTCCTTGGCTTTTAAGGGTTTTCTTGTAGGAAGGCAGAATAGAGTCCCTCCTGTTATCTGGTCATTTTTAACAGCGATGCATATTTTGGGATGCTGATAATCTGATTTGAGTTGTGTTAATGTATAGCAATGGTCCCCACCCTTTTCGGCACCAGGGACTGGTTTCACGGAAGACAGTTTTTCCACCGCTGGTGGGGAGGGATGACGGTTTCAGGATGAAACTGTTGCACCTCAGATCATCAGGCATTAGATTGTCCTAAGGAGCTCACAACCTAGATTCCGCAACCTGGATCTATGGTGTGTGCAGCCCACAACAGGGTTCTCACTCCTGTGAGAGTCTAATGCTGCTGCTGCTTTGACAGGAGGTGGGGCTCAGCCTTTGATGCCTGCTGGCCCCCTCACCTCCTGCTGTGCGACCTGATTCCTAACAGGCCATGGACCTCCAACTGGCAGGCAGCAGGGCGCCTGGGCCTCTGTCCAGGCCAGCGCTGGCTGGCTGCCTTCTGCTATGTGTTGGTTGGTTGGCTGGCGGGTGTTTTTGTAGCACATTGGATGACTAGTGGATACTTTTTAACAGTCTCTCATTGTCTTCTCCATTCTAGCAACAGACAGGACATCATGTGGATACTTTGTAACAGTCCCTCATCTTCTCCATTCTAGCAACAGACACATATACTTGACGTCATAATGGTTTGGAAATGAGGGGGGTAATGGCAATGCTGACCTCAAGACCAAAACTCACGTGCGGGAGCATCCGTGCCTCGTTGGAGGGCTGCGTGTGGCCAGCGCTAGCAGCTATTTTGAGATCTCTTCAGTCTCTTGCTTGAGTGGGAGTTGCCTGCAAAGCTGCCCCATTGCGACTTTGCAGCATAGATCTCCGTACTGTTTCTTATTTTTGTTTCTGTGTGTTTGTTTTAAATGTGTGTGCGCTCATGTGAGTTTGAAGGGAGTTAGATGCAACAGCAGGAGCTGTGCTCAGGGCAGTGGTGTTAATTATGGAGGGCGTGGGAAGGGCTGGGAAGAGGAGGGGGTTGTAAGACTCCCCTTTTCCCTCGCATGTAAACAGATGCTGGTGACTGAAAGTCTGTCTGCGGTTATTGGCAAGAGTGACTGGAAACTGTGAAACACTAAAAACACCAGCATCTGGTGTTTGCAGAGCATTTTCCTTTGACGAAGGTGTGTCCTGGTGGAGATGGGTCACAGCTGGGGGTGCAGGCAGCTCCCAGGAAGGTGGGAGCCACCCTCCGCTGGGCTGGGCGGGAGAGAGGCCCTGTTGCCCAGTCCGGCCTGGATCCTCCCAGCATTAGGCTCTGGAGCAGGAGGGGAGGCGGCTGCTCCTGGGAACCCCCAAAGTAGGGTTTCCCCTCTCCCCACCCCCACAACTTGTCAATCTCCCGTTGTGCTGCTCAGCCCTGGGCCTCTGGGATAGGGAGCAGAGCGGAGCCGGTGGTCCCCTCGGGATGCACACATGTCGGGTGGGATCACTGGAGCTCTCTCATTTCCCTCCTCAGTCACGGTGGGCCTGCCCTGCCGGCTGAGCTTGCTGGCTTTGAAGATTCAGAGTTTGGTTAGGTCTGCCTGCCACACATCACAGCCAGCGTTTCTCCAGGCACTTGCCACCTTCTCTTCCTGTCCCCTGGAGAAGGTGCAGGGGGTTGGGGGAGATTCGTCTCCCTCCATTGGTTTCTGGGCCAGTGCCCTCTGAGGGATGATCTGTGACTCCACTTTAGGACCCCGCCCGATAGGTGTTTCATAACAGCTTTCTCTGAGATGTGATTCATATACCCTCAAATCACCCTTTAAAATGTGTCATTCATTGGTCTTTAGCATGTTCACAGAATTGCGCAGCCAACACCATGATCTAAAGTTGGTGCATTTTCATCCCCCAGAAAGAAAAACCGTCTTTTTAGCAGACACCCCACCGTCCCCGGTCCCTGCTGTCTGTGTCTGTGGATCTGCCTCTTCTGGGTATTTCATAAAAGCGGAATCAAAACACGTGGCCTCTGTGACGGGCTCTTCTTTCCGCGTGGTGCTGTCAGGACGTGTCCTGCTGTTGCGAGTATCAGCACTTCACTCCCGTGGCCAGATGAGGTGCTGGTGTGTGGATGTATGACGTGCTGGTGTGTGGATGGATGACGTGCTGGTGTGTGGATGGATGACGTGCTGGTGTGTGGATGGATGACGTGCTGGTGTGTGGATGGATGAGGTGCTGGTGTGTGGATGGATGAGATGCTGGTGTGTGGATGAGGTGCTGGTGTGTGGATGGATGACGTGCTGGTGTGTGGATGGATGAGATGCTGTTGTGTGGATGAGGTGCTGGTGTGTGGATGGATGAGATGCTGGTGTGTGGATGAGGTGCTGGTGTGTGGATGGATGACGTGCTGGTGTGTGGATGGATGAGATGCTGGTGTGTGGATGGATGAGATGCTGTTGTGTGGATGGATGAGGTGCTGGTGTGTGGATGGATGAGGTGCTGGTGTGTGGATGGATGAGATGCTGGTGTGTGGATGGATGAGGTGCTGGTGTGTGGATGAGATGCTGGTGTGTGGATGGATGAGGTGCTGGTGTGTGGATGAGATGCTGGTGTGTGGATGGATGAGGTGCTGGTGTGTGGATGGATGAGGTGCTGGTGTGTGGATGGATGAGGTGCTGGTGTGTGGATGGATGAGGTGCTGGTGTGTGGATGGATGAGGTGCTGGTGTGTGGATGGATGAGATGCTGGTGTGTGGATGGATGAGGTGCTGGTGTGTGGATGGATGAGGTGCTGGTGTGTGGATGGATGAGGTGCTGGTGTGTGGATGGATGAGGTGCTGGTGTGTGGGTGGATGAGGTGCTGGTGTGTGGGTGGATGAGGTGCTGGTGTGTGGATGGATGAGGTGCTGGTGTGTGGATGAGGTGCTGGTGTGTGGATGGATGAGGTGCTGGTGTGTGGGTGGATGAGGTGCTGGTGTGTGGATGGATGAGGTGCTGGTGTGTGGATGGATGAGGTGCTGGTGTGTGGATGAGGTGCTGGTGTGTGGATGGATGAGGTGCTGGTGTGTGGGTGGATGAGGTGCTGGTGTGTGGATGGATGAGGTGCTGGTGTGTGGATGGATGAGATGCTGGTGTGTGGATGGATGAGATGCTGGTGTGTGGATGGATGAGGTGCTGTGTGGATGGATGAGGTGCTGGTGTGTGGATGGATGAGGTGCTGGTGTGTGGATGAGGTGCTGGTGTGTGGATGGACCACGTTTTGGTTTTCTGTTGGGCACTTGGGTTGTTTCCACTTTTCTGCTCTTGCAGTGTTGCTGTGAAAGTTCACGGACAGTGCATACATCTTTGTATGCACCGGAGCACTTGGGAGATGATCGGTACTGTTTGGTTGGATGAAGATATAGATGTGTGTGTGTGTGTGTGTGTGCACGTCCGTGTGTGCGCAGGCATACGCACTGTTTTCTCCTGATGTGAGGAAGGGTCCTCATTTGGTCCTCAGCTAAAGCTGCATCTGAGTGAAAGTCAGTTTCCTGGAGAAGGCTCCTCGGCAGGATGATTCCGTTACTTTACGATTCTGTAGTGAAGGACCGCAACGAGTTAGCTAACAGTGACTGGCCTCTGAGAGTCTCAGGTGTGAAGTACAGGTCACCATAGGAATGGACACACCCTGCTCTGCCCTCTGGGTGGTGGGTTGGGTTGCATGGTCTGAAGCTCTCTGACTCCACAGTAACCTGGGGTCTATCGACAGCAAACAGCAGTAGCTCATGAAGGCAGAACCTGCCCTGCTGGAAGGCCGGGGTGTGTATGGATTCCCCGTTGTGCTGTTTGCTGACGGATGATAGTTTCTATCTCTGATAGGACGGAGGTGGGACCCACATGTACTTAGAGAGACTGGGCTGGGCGCAGTGGTTCACACCTGTAATCCCAGCACTTTGGGAGGCCGAGGCAGGCGGATCACCTGAGGTCAGGAGTTCAAGACCATCTTGACCAACATGGTGAAACGCCATCTCTACAGAAATACAGAAAAATATTAGCCAGGCATGATGGTGGGCACCTGTAATTGCAGCTACTCGGGAGTCTTAGGTGGAATAATTGCTTGAACCCGGGAGGTGGAGGTAGCAGTGAGCTGAGATCGTGCCATTGTGCTCCAGCCTGGGTGACAGAGCGAGACTGTCTCAAAAAAAAAAAAAAAAAGACTGATTTGTAGAGAAACCGGGAAGGTGAGCTGGAGTGCGGTGGTGTGATCTCGGCTCACGGCAACCTCCGCCTCCTGAGTTCAAGTGATTCTCTTGCCTCAGCTTTCCAAGTAGCTGGGATTACAGGTGCGCACCACCACGCTCGGCTAATTTTTGTATTTTTAGGAGAGTCGGGGTTTCACCATGTTGGCCAGGCTGGTCTTGAACTCCTGACTTCAAGTGATCTGGCTGCTTTGGCCTCCCAAAGTGCTGGGATTACAGGCGTGAGCCACCGCCCCTGGCCTAGGGTAAGTGGTTTTTGAGCCATAGGTTTATTTCAGTGCTGAGGCCTCTAACTTCATGTGATGTCATTTAGTGTCTTAATCAGTGTTGACAGCCAGAACACCTTGGTTCAAATTCTGGCTGTGCCACTGACTGCTTTCCTGGGTATCCTGACTTGTTAGTCTTGGTTTTCTTATCTTTTTTTTTTTTTTTTTTTTTTTGTCGCCCAGGCTGGAGTACAAAGGCGCCATCTCGGGTCACTGCAGCCTCTGCCTCCTGAGTTCAAGCAATTCTCCTGCCTCAGCCTCCCAAGTAGCTGGGATTACAGGTGCCTACCACCATGCCTGGCTAATGTTATATTTTTAATAAGAGGCAGGGTTTTACCATGTTGGCCAGGCTGGTCTCGAACTCCTGACCTCAGGTGATCCACCCACCTCGGCCTCCCAAAGTACTGGGATTACAGGCGTGAGCCACCGCGCCCGGCCGATTTCCTTGTCTGTAAAATGAGAATAAAGGTAATATCTGCACCACGAGTTTGCTGTGAGGATAAATGCACATAAAAGGACTGTGCCTGGCATAGAATAAACACAAATGGTGGTTTTTCTCTGAGTAGTAATCATTAAGATGAGACAAGGGTGTGGTTTATAAGTTGCCTGAATTCTGGAGACGGCTACTAATCATGCCACATAACGTGATTAAGTGCCCTGTCTTTACACTATCATTTGTTATTTGATGGACTTGATACTCGGAAAAGCAGGGCGAAGTTTCCAAGGCATGTGTTTGAAATGGTAGGGGAGGTGCATGCACACGGCTCTCCCTGGCTGTGCTGTAACTGCTTTTGAAAGACAGGGGCTCTCTAGTCTGAGGATGAGCCACTAGACTCTCAGGGATCCGGCAGGAATTGCTCCTTTGCTCAGCAGATGTCTCTAGGCCGCCGGTGCAGCAGTGGTCCTGCTGTCGGGCTGCCTCACGATGTTTCTGTTCACGACGGACCATACATACTGGTGGTCCGCTAAGATGATCAGACTGTGTTTTTACTTCCCTTCTGTGTGTTGAGACATCTACTTGCCATTGTGTTACAGTGGCTTAGAGTGTCTGGGACAGTACTGTGCTGTCCAGGTTTGTAGCCTATAAGCATTGGGCTCTCCCGTCAGTGCAGGCGTGTGGCAGGCTGTGCCTTCCAGAAGTGTGTGCGTGCACTCGGACAGCACAATGACAAGGTCGCCTAATGATGTGTTGTTTCCCAGAACCCGTCTCTGTCATTAAGCAGTGCGTGACTGTATGTTGTATAATTTTGTAAGGTGTAGACTGTAAAGTCACTCAGAGAAGCGTTTGCATGCAGAGTGCTTAACTCAGAGAAGCGTTTGCATGCAGAGTGTTTAATTCTGACTGTACCCTAAGCATGTAGAGTTTTCTGTAAATGTCACCACAGCGGCCCAGTCGAGGGGCCTGGTGGTGACACTGCCTGGCAGCTTGCCCTGCTTGGAGCTCCATCCTGCACGCAGCTGCTGAGCCTCGAGGCAGCCGCCACCACGACATTCCCCTGTATTTTGTGCTGTCCATAGGCCTCTGGCTGAGGAGGACATGTGGATTTTTTAAGACTTCGTATTTAGGAATGACAGCAGTTTTGAGAAGCCTGTTGGGGTTTCAAATATAAATGGGCTTTTTAAAGTAGCTTTATTTTTCTAAAGAGGGACGTGGAATCTTTTTATAGAAAATTTTCCCCTTTTAGGTAGAAAACGGTGATATTTGGCTACTGCCACAAAAAGTTAATTGAGTCCGTTGTGTCAGCCAGAGGATGAGACTCTGGTGGGGTTCCCATGCAGGCAGTGAAAGGAGGCCCCGCCCCAGCGCAGTTAGGGCAGCGGGGGGCGCCCCATCTATGGGGCTGCAGCAGGCCCCAGGCCTGTGTTCCCTCGCTGGTTGGGGACGGCAGTGGCAGCGCTCGGTTCTCCTCTGTCATTTTTTGAAGCGGACTTGGATGCAGACACACTGGTTTAGTTTTTTTTTTTTCTTTTTTTTTTTTTTGAGACGGAGTCTCGCTGTGTTGCCCAGGCTGGAGTGCAGTGGTGCGATCTCTGCTCACTGCAAGCTCCGCCTCCCGGGTTCACGCCATTCTCCTGCCTCAGCCTCCTGAGTAGCTGGGACTACAGGCGCCCGCCACCATGCCTGGCTAATTTTTTTGTATTTTTAGTAGAGACGGGGTTTCAGCACTGGTTTAGTTTTGAATGAAGGTCTGATCCTCAGATTGTTCTTATAAAGTAATCCATCAGGAAATTCGTCTGGGGGGGAGGGGGCGTCGGGCAATTCGTCAGGAGGGGGAGGGGCGTCAGGCAATTCGTCAGGAGGGGGAGGGGCGTCAGGCAATTCGTCAGGAGTGGGAGGGGGCATCGGGAAATTTGCCAGGAGGGGGAGGGGCGTTCTTTTCTTGCTCCGCATGTGTGGGGTTTTCTTCTCAATTGACTCTCATGTGTAGTGTGTCCGCTGGATGGTGCTGTCCCCTGCGGTGCCAAGCCCGGAGGGGATGGAGCTGCTGTGGAGTCTGTGGAACTGTGAAGTGAGGCCAGCTTGCAGGACTCCAAAGAAACTTAGTGAGCTGAGATCCTGCTGGGTATCCCTATGTGAAGAGGCCACCCCAAAGGCTCATGCCAACTCCGGGTTGGATTAATAGAATTGGTGTCTAGAAAAAGGAACTGATTGCTTCTGGTTGACATTCCATGGAGGGGTGTGGTTGTCATTTTCAGTGATACATTGAAAGGGGTGCTGATATGATGGAGGGTGCTAGAGGAGAGAAGCTGGTGGGATCCCGCGTTTGAGCAGTGAGAACCGAATTCGCTCCAGCTTGGAGCAAGCGAAGACTCCTGGCAGTCACCCTGATGATGTGGTGAATTATCTCTGAACTTCAGTAAACTTGGATTAGATCACTCAAGCTTCCTTTTACGTTTGAGATTCCATGTCTTGATGTCTTGTGTTTTTTTTTTCTTGAGACGGAGTCTTGCTCTATCGCCCAGACTGGAGTGCAGTGGCGCAGTGTCGGCTCACTGCAGCTCCCACCTCCTGGGTTCAAGCAATTCTCCTGCCTCAGCCTCCTGAGTAGCTGGCATTACAGGTGCCTCCACGACGCCAAGCTAATTACTGTATTTTTAGTATAGACAGGGTTTCACCATGTTGGTGAGGCTGGTCTTGAGCTCCTGACCTCGTGATCCGCCCACCTTGGCCTCTCAAAGTGCTGGGGATGACAGGCGTGAGCCACCGCGCCCGGCCCTCTTGTGTTTTTTAGGGTACCTGCCCATTTCTGGGCTTTTACATAAAACCCTGTAAGTGGGTTTTGGGGACAGCTGTGTAACATGCACAAAAAATAAATGGAGGAAGAATGCATTATCTAAATAGGCACTGACTTGCGTGATTGAAGCTGTAACCATCCTTTGCAGCCCAGAGTTGCTGTGACCTGTGTGGAGAGGTGGGAGGGCCAGGCAGAGAGTGGGTGTGAAAGCCACGGAGGATCCCAGGGAGTGGATTCCTAAGTAGGAGGCGAGGCAGGTCATCAGTGAGGATCCCAGGGAGTGGATTCCTAAGTAGGAGGAGAGGCAGGTCATCAGTGAGGATCCCAGGGAGTGGATTCCTAAGTAGGAGGCGAGGCAGGTCATCAGTGAGGATCCCAGGGAGTGGATTCCTAAGTAGGAGGCGAGGCAGGTCATCAGTGAGGATCCCAGGGAGTGGATTCCTAAGTAGGAGGCGAGGCAGGTCATCAGTGAGGATCCCAGGGAGTGGCTGCAGTGACTGTGCCCAGCAACCCTCCTTAAGGCCCTGCCCTGGTGCCTGCGGCTCTAGGAGATTCCCTGGGTAGTCCCAGCACACGCACCCTGTTCAGCCTGATGTTGCAGCCCAAAGCCATTCCTGTGTGCCCCGCCTCCTCTGTGCCTGGGCGCCCTGCACATCTGTGGCCGGCGTAAGCACCTCTGCGAGCTTTCTGAGCACCTGCTGCCCGAGCGCCTCCTCACCACCCCTGTCTGTTTTGTTGCTCCTCTCTCTGGTTGTGAAAGTCACGCCTGCTCACTGGAGGACTGCTGGGAGATGCAGGAAACGATTAAGACAAGAAAACCACTGAGAACCACCCATGTAGAAGCTGGGTTAGGATTTGCTTTGCACCTGCCTTTTCACCTGTAGAAGCTGGGATAGGATTTGCTTTGCACCTGCCTTTTCACCGATAGAAGCTGGGATAGGATTTGCTTTGCACCTGCCTTTTCACCGATAAAAGCTGGGATAGGATTTGCTTTGCACCTGCCTTTTCACCGATAGAAGCTGGGATAGGATTTGCTTTGCACCTGCCTTTTCACCTATAGAAGCTGGGATAGGATTTGCTTTGCACCTGCCTTTTCACCTATAGAAGCTGGGATAGGATTTGCTTTGCACCTGCCTTTTCACCTATAGAAGCTGGGATAGGATTTGCTTTGCACCTGCCTTTTCACCTGTAGAAGCTGGGATAGGATTTGCTTTGCACCTGCCTTTTCACCTGTAGAAGCTGGGATAGGATTTGCTTTGCACCTGCCTTTTTACCTGTAGAAGCTGGGATAGGATTTGCTTTGGACCTGCCTTTTCACGTGCTGTTTTTCGAGCATTGTCCCGTGACATGCAGTATTTTAAAGAATCTAATTCTTAAACATCTTTGTCAAGTTGATAGAATAAAATGGTATCTCTGCTTTATTTGAAATTCTTTGATTACTAGGGAGGTTGATTGTAGTTATTTATGTGTTATTTGTGTGTGATTGTATTATTTGTGTGTATTTTTAAGGTTTTAAATTTGCTTTTTGTATTTTTTTATTGCCATGTATTTTTATATCAGTTTTATTGAGACATAATTACAATAAAATTCAATAAAATGCATGCCTTTTAGATGTACACTTAGATGAGTGTTAAGAAATATACACACCTGACCAGAGGCGGTGGCTCATGCCTGTAATCCCAGCACTTTGGGAGGCCGAGGCAGGCAAATCACCTGAGGTCAGGAGTTCGAGACCAGCCTGACCAATATGATGAAACCCCATCTCTACTAAAAATACAAAAATTAGCTGGTCGTGGTGGCAGGCACCTGTAATCCCAGGTACTTGGGAGGCTGAGACAGGAGATTCACTTGAACCCTGGAGGCGGAGGTTGCAGGGAGCCGAGATTGCACCACTGCACTCCGGCCTGGGCAAGAATGAAACGCTGTCTCAAAAAAAAAAAAAAAAAAGAAATATGCACACTTATGTAATTAGCACCACAGACAAGATGTAGGCCCTTGTCACCCCAGAGAGCTGTAGTTGGTCCCCTCCCAGCTCCTGCCCCGAGCAGCTATCCTGGGCCGAAGACGGATCTCACCTTTAAGACGCTCGTGTGCATGGAGTCCAGCAGAACCTGCCTTCCTTCAGCGAGATGTTTTTAAGATTCATTCACATTGCTGTGTGCATCAGTAAACAATTCCTTTTTGTTTCTGAGAAGTCCTCCCCCATGTGGGGAGCACCACATGCTGTTCATTCACCCACTGAGGGACAGCTCGGCTGCTGGTGGTGACACAAGAGCGTGTATAAACTTGTGCATGTCCGTCTGTGTGGACTGGTGTTTTCCTTTCTCTTGAGTCCATGTCTTATGTCAGATTGCTAAGCTGTGCGCTAAGTTTATGTTTCACCGTTGTTTCACTGTGTTACGTTTTCACCGGTGCCATGGCTCCAGCAGCCCCATGTCCTCGCCAGCACTTGATGTTGTCTTGATCTCGGGTGCCCAGCCATGTGTGGTAGGAAGTCACTGTGGACTTGGCATATGTTTCCCTGACCGCTCGTGATGTTGGGCATCTTTCCTTTTTTCATTGGCCTTTTTCCATCTTTTTTCCCCCCATTTTTCTATCTTACGAACTTTCTGATCAAATCTTTTGCCTATATTTTTATTGGGTCATTTATCTTACTATTAAGATAGAATTCTGGGCCGGGCACAGTGGCTCATGCCTGTAATCTCAGCACTTTGGGAGTCTGAGTCAGGCAGATCACTTGAGGTTTGAGGTCAGGAGTTCGAGACCAGCCTGGCCAACATGGTGAAACCCCATCTGTACTAGAAATACAAAAAATCAGCCAGGTGTGGTGGTGCACGCTTGTAATTCCAGCTACTCAGGAGGCTGAGGCAGGAGAACCGCTTGAACTTTGGAGGCGAAGGTTGCAGTGAGCCGAGATCTGGCCACTGAACTCCAGCATGGGAGACAGAGGGAGAGTCCATCTCAAAAAAAAAAAAAAAAAAAAAAAAAAAAAAAAAAAGAATTCTGTATGTATTCTGGATACAAGTCATTTGTCAGTCATGTGTTTCAAGATATTTCTCTGTCTGTTGCTTGTCTTTTTATTTTCTAATGGTGTATTTTTGAAGTTTTTTATGTTGGCGGAGTCCAGTTTATAATGTTCTACCTAGGAAATCTTTATGCAGTCCAAGGTCTTGGAGATGTTCTCCTGTTTTATTCTTGAGGTTTGAGCTTAGCTAGCTGGGCTCTTAGCAGGATGGTTTTGGTAGTTGATAGATCAGATTAAATGGTATTTAATTTGTGAGCAGTAAGTGCTCACAAAACAGAAATCAGTGTAAAAATTGGATTTTGTTTGTTGTTGTCGTCTTTAGAACAACCAGAAATTAAGCAGGTTGATAGTGTCTTTTTGTTTATTTCATTTTAGATCAACAGGCGGTCCTTCGGGTCGGAGTGGACATCGGATGGTGGCCTGGAAGAGACAATTGATCCTGTTTGGTGGCTTCCATGAAAGTACACGGTTGGTACCAAGAACGGAAAAATCTTTCTCTCCTGAAGCATTAAGGAGTGGGCTTTTTATAGAAAGAGCATTCTGAATACACAAGAAAGACGCACCCATCCTCCCAAATCCAGCTTCATGAGCTTTGGGCAGCCACACAGGGCCTTGCCCTCCAAAGGGCCTCACACCGGGCCTCACACTGGCTTCATGCTGTATTCCTATTGAAATTCTTAACCATTGTTGAACAAGGGACCCCACATTTTAATTTTACACCAGGTCCTGCAAATGATGTGGCTAGTTCTATCTAAAATGGGGTTTTGGCTGGGCATGGTGCCTCACGCCTATAATCCCAGCACTTTGGGAGGCTGAGGCGGGTGGATCACTTGAGCTCAAGAGTTCGAAACCAGCGTGGCCAACATAGTGAAACGCTGTCTCTACTAAAAATACAAAAATTGGCCAGGCGTGGTGGCAGGTGCCTGTAATCTCAGCTACTCAGGAGGCTGAGGCAGGAGAATCGCTTGAACCCAGGAGATGGAGGTTGCAGTGAGTTGAGATCATGCCACTGAACTCCAGCCTGGGTGACAAAGCGAGACTTCGTTTGAAAAAATAAATAAATAAAAAAATAAAATGGGATTCTCAAACCTTAGCCTGGTTCAGAATACCCTAGAGGGCTGGTTAGAGTGCTGATCGCAGCTCTGAGTCAGAGGCCTGGAGTGAGGCCCAGGAATCTGCATTTTAACAAGCTCCCAGGTGATGTTGACGTTGCTGGCCAGGGGACTTCACTTTGAGAGCCACGGGTCTGTAATCACTTCAAAACACTCCTGTCCGGGAGAGCAGTGATAGCACACTCTCCACAGCGATGCCGGAAGAGGCCTGCGGTTCTCTTTTGATGTCACGTGGGTGTTCGTGCAGCTGGCATGGCTGCCCAGGGTGAGCTGCGGGCTCTCTCATTGTTTTAGGCCTGTTATCTGCTCACGTTATCTTCTTGAGCTTACTTAGTTCAGTCCAGAAAAGCAAGACACAGGGGAGCTGGTTATCCCTGTTTCTGTCATAAGTGCAGTTGTGTTCTGAGTGAAGTGTCGCAGACTCTGCAACCCTGGTGAAGGTCATCTTTGAAGGCTCTCTGCTGGCATCGTGGTGTCAGAGACAGTGGCTGTCTGTATCTCCGGGGCCTCATTTGAAGCCCTCTTTCTCTACTGGTCCCTCAGGAACCAGCATGGCAATTGATTGATGTGAAGGTGCCACTCACACCTTTGTCACATGGTGAGTCCAGTCGCACCCTCTCGTGATTCTTGATCCATCGTGATAAGTCTGTACAGCCTCCCAGAGTGCTGGGATTACAGGCGTAAGCCACCGCGCCCAGCCGGGTTTCAGATTTTCTTCACTGATATAGTCTCATTAATTTTGTGAATTCGGGGGGAAAAGGGATCCAAATTCTTAAATACTTTTCAAGGGGGAAAGATTTAAAAATGTAATTCAAACTAAAAAGTATTTAAGGCTGGGTACAGTGGCTCACATGTGTAATCTCAGCACTTTGGGAGGCTGAGGTGGGTGGATCACTTGAGGCCAGAAGTTTGAGACCAGCCTGGCCAACATGGCAAAAACTCATCTCTACTAAAAAATACAAAAAATTAGCCAGGTGTGGTGGTGCACACCTTTAATCCCAGGCACTCGGGAGGCTGATACAAGAGAATCGCTTGAACTGGGGAGGCGGATGTTGAAGTGAGCCGCATGCCCAGCTAATTTTTGTATTTTTAGTAGAGACGGGGTTTCACTATGTTCGCCAGGCTGGTCTCGAACTCCTGACCTCATGATCCACATGCCTCGGCCTCCCAAAGTGCTGTGATTATAGGCTTGAGCCCCCGCGCCTAGCCTTATGTTCATTCTTAAAATTTATTTTAAAACAAATAATTGTCAGAATGCACACATAAGTTTGTCAGAGCATTAATTCATTACCTACTATGTGTAGGACAGTGAGATTGTACAGCCCCTTCCTCCTTTGAACTTACAGGTTATAAATCAAATCATGCTTCATGTTTGTTTTAACTTGCAACCATTTTAAAATCAGAACTTTTTTCAAAGCTGTTGTTATCTTGTTTAAAATTATTCAAATACCAACTTGGGAGTTTTCCTTAAACTCTATTCTGCATTTATAGAGAAAATATTCTGTATTTATCTTACGTGCAAAGTAGAATCTTTGTACTAAAAATCTGCGACGTGAAATCTGAAAAAAACAGTGGTCTGTAGCAGTCTTTTAAAGATTACACGCTTCCACATTTCCACATTCCTCAGATTCTATCTATATTAAGAGCCATCGTCCTGCGAAGGATGTGGTCAGTCTGAGTTGCAGTCAGCAAGGTCAGGTTATCTTTTCTTTCTTCTTTTTTTGAGACAGATTCTCACTCGATCGCCCAGGCTGGAGTGCAGTGGCGTGATCAGCTCACTGTAGCCTCCACCTCGTAGGTTCAAACTATTCTCGTGCCTCAGCCTCCTGAGTAGCTGGGATTATAGGCACCCGCCCCCATGCTTGGCTAATTTTTTGTGTTTTTAGTAGAGACAAGGTTTCACCATATTGTCCAGGCTGTTTTTGAACTCCTCGCCTCAAGTGATCTACCTGCCTGAGACTCCCAAAGTGCTGGGATTGCAGGTGTGAGCCACTGTGCCCAGGCTGTTTATCTTAAGACCAGATGTGGCAGCTGGTGCTGGGTAAACGCCCTGTGACTTTTCCTGCTTCACACAAAACAGGAACAAACAGGAGAAAACCGGGCACTTGAGACTTGGGCTAGAGCTGCTTGCTCTTCCATGCTTTCCTTAAAAAATGAGTTTGGCTCTCCTTTTTGAGTAGCTGGAGAGCAGCCCCTTACGCTTTCACGATAATTGTGTCAAAGTTCCACATTAGGACAGGACTTTCTGGGTGCGCCTCCGAGTCTCCCCATGCCTCCAGCAAAGCTGCCACTTCCCTGTTCAGCCCAGTCTGCGTGCTGGGTCCGGCAGGCACTGAGCAGGGCAAGGCTGCGGGGCCTCCTTGCCGCGCTGTGATTTCGGGCACAGAGGGTCGGCTTCTGTGGTCTTCAGTTTCCCTGGAGCGCCCAGTCCCCTCGCTCACCCCTCCAGTCCACTGTGGGGCCTTACCACCCTTGCTGCCAGGCTGCTCACACCTCCGTTCTGATCATCCCTTTGGAGGCGCCATTCACTGCTGCCCTTACGGTTGCACACCTAATAACCTAATGGAATTGTCTCTGATTGTGTTAACTGTGTAAGAAAACGCAGTATGGCTTTCAGATTAAATTCCTCTGCCTCTGTGGGCCAGCATTATTTCCGGTTTTCAAATGCAAACTCATACGTGCTTGTGGTCCTTTCATATCAATTCAAACTTGAATTAAACAGGTGAAAATGTTGCCCTGTCTCCAGGTAGATTGCGTCAAGATTGAGTTTGAGGAGACCTGACTGGCGTCTCTGGCTCGTTGCAGGGAAAGCGGCCACGTTTCTGTGTTGATTGTTGTGTTGGTGTAAGAGCAGAGGAGAAAAATGGTTTGAGTTTTTCCCCAAACAGTAGGAAATTTACCTTTAATTTAAATCAGTTCAGTTTTTAATGTCAGGGCTTTTCCCAATGTTACGGACCCTGACAGCTGCTGTTCTTCTAACCAGGGATTACATCTACTACAACGACGTGTATGCCTTTAATCTGGACACCTTCACATGGAGCAAGCTGTCCCCGTCAGGGACGGGGCCCACACCCAGATCAGGCTGCCAGATGTCCGTCACTCCCCAGGGCGGCATCGTCGTCTATGGGGGCTACTCGAAACAGGTAAGGCGGGGGGTGGGGAAACAGGCAAGGCGTGGGACCGGGAAACAGGCGAGGCGCGGGGTGGGGAGACGGGCGAGGCGCGGGGTGGGGAGACGGGCGAGGCGCGGCGTGGGGAGACGGGCGAGGCGCGGCGTGGGGAGACGGGCGAGGCGCGGCGTGGGGAGACGGGCGAGGCGCGGCGTGGGGAGACGGGCGAGGCGCGGCGTGGGGAGACGGGCGAGGCGCGGCGTGGGGAGACGGGCGAGGCGCGGCGTGGGGAGACGGGCGAGGCGCGGGGTGGGGAGACGGGCGAGGCGCGGCGTGGGGAGACGGGCGAGGCGCGGCGTGGGGAGACGGGCGAGGCGCGGCGTGGGGAGACGGGCGAGGCGCGGCGTGGGGAGACGGGCGAGGCGCGGCGTGGGGAGACGGGCGAGGCGCGGCGTGGGGAGACGGGCGAGGCGCGGCGTGGGGAGACGGGCGAGGCGCGGCGTGGGGAGACGGGCGAGGCGCGGCGTGGGGAGACGGGCCGAGGCGCGGCGTGGGGAGACGGGCGAGGCGCGGCGTGGGGAGACGGGCGAGGCGCGGGGTGGGGAGACGGGTGAGTTGCGGCGTGGGAAAATAGGCGCTGCTGTCTGTGGTCTCTTCAGTTTCATGAACATTGAAGCTTTCACATGGGATTACTCATTGGTTGAATATAAACAGTTCTTTGTATAGAATTAGAAATAGAGATAGTGTTAATCGGCTCCTCTGTGAACTTGGTGCCGTGTTAGGGCCCTGTTCTGTTCTCCACACCCCTGTCAGCAGTGCAGTGTGAGCGATTCTGTGTTCTGAGGGTCTCCTTCCTGCACCATGGACGCTCACTACTGTGTAGTAGTCTCTGTGGAATGAAATTCTCCTCGCTCCTGTTAACGGGCTTGTTTCTTTGGTAACCTGAGAACAGTGCTGACAGGAATGTTCTCGCGCCCACCCCGGAGCCTCCTGCTCTTGGGGCGTGTGCTCTGCACGTGTACTGGCATCTGCTCGTGGAGTGTGTGCTCCTCACATGTGCCTGCTGCTCGTGGGGCGTGTGCTTCACAGAGGCGGCTGGCACAGGCTCTGTCCTCGGAACTCAAGTGTTCCTGTTGCTTCACTCCCATTTCACACTCTGCCAACCTTTACATTTCTGTGAATCTGAGAGGTATGAAGTAGTATCTCACTGTAGGGGTTTAAAAAATCCTTTGTATTTTGAAAATTTTCAACCACAGCTAACTTTTGAAAGAATTTTACGGGGAACACCTGTATACTCCTCCTAGATCCTGCTATTAAGATTTTGCTATGCTTAGGCTGGGCGCGGTGGCTCACGCCTGTAATCCCAGCACTTTGGGAGGCCGAGGCGGGCGGCTCACGAGGTCAAGAGATCGAGACCATCCTGGCTAACACTGTGAAACCCCGTCTCTACTAAAAATACAAAAAATTAGCCGGGCGTGGTGGCGGGCGCCTGTAGTCGGTGGTAATTTCCTATGCGTCATTGACCCACAGTGAGGGGACACATTTTTACAAGTGCGGGCACCGTGTGACTCACACCCTGATCCTGCCGTGCCCTTCCCACTCGGCCCCGCTGCCCACCCTCCCCTCCGCCCAGAGGTGACGCTGCTCTGATTTTCCCACCGTAATAGATCTGCCTGTCCTGGAGCTTCTGCTAAACAAGTCACCCAGATGTGTGGGGCCAGTCTTCTTTCCCTCAGCTTTTCAGACCCACGTGTTGCATGTTTCTGTTCATTGCTGCTTCGTGCTGAAGTGTTCCATTATATGACTGTCCCACAGTTTGTGGTTCTGTTTTTCGTTGGACACCTGGGCTGTTTCCGTTCTTCAGAAGACACAGCCTTTGGAAGCAGCTGTGACTGAAGCTGCTATGAGCACGTCCATAATAATCTTTTGAGTGGCTGCGTGTGTTGGTTTCTCTTGGGTAAATAGATATCTGGAGTGGAGCTGCTGGGCCCTGGGGTGGGTGTGGGTGTGGGTGTTATTTAATAAGGAATGGTCAGCTCTCTTCCCGAAGCAGTGGCCGGTTCCACTTGTGCTGGAAATGTTGGGGAGTTCCAGTTGCCCCCTGTTCATACCAGCCCCAATGGCGTCAGTCTTTCTGTTTTTAGCTGCTCTGGTGGATGTGTGGTACCTCGTGGTTTTAATTCTCATTTCTCTCATGACTGCTGGTGTTGAGTGCTTTTCATGAGCTTGTCTTTCCTGAAGTGTGTGTTCATGTCTTCTGCTATTTTTAATGGGCTGTAGTTTTTGTTAGTGAGTTGCAGAAGGTGACATTCTGGACACCAGTTCTTTTCAGGTGTGTGGATTACAAATACCCTCCCAGTAGTGGCTTGGCTGGTCACCTTCCGAAGTGTTTGTTGATGAGAAGCTTTGAGTTTTTGATAAAATCTAATTTATTACGTTTTTCTTTTGTGATTATTGCGGTCTGTGATACAGGAAGACCTTGTTTAGCTTCAGTAACAAAGATTTTCTTTTATTTTTCTCTAAAAATGATATGGTTTCACAGTTAGCCCTGTGATCTGCCCGGGACTAATTCTCAAGAGCAGCATTAGGTGAGTGTTGAGGCTGTTTCCCCCATGTAGATACTCACTTGTCTCAGCAGCATCTGTTGGAAAGGCTTTTTAGGCCGAGCACAGTGGCTCACGCCTGTAATCCCAGCACTTTGGGAGGCTGAGTCGGGCGGATCACTCGAGGTCAGGAGTTCGAGATCAGCCTGGCCAACATGGTGAAACCCCATGTCTACTGAAAAATACAAAAATTAGCCAGGCGTGGTGGGGCGTGCCTGTAATCCCAGCTACTCGGGAGGCTGAGATAGGAGAATCACTTGAACCCGGGAGGCGGAGGTTGCAGTGAGCCAAGATTGTGCTGCTACATTCCAGCCTGGGCAATAGAGCAAGACTCATCTCAAAAAAAAGAAAAAAGAAAAGGCTTTTTATTCTCCATTGAATACCTTAGGAACCTTTGTTGAAAATCACATGCCTGCAGGAACATAGGTCTGTTTCTCCATTCTGATCCACGTTCATTCTGCTGCCTTGGCAATAAAGGATTTCAGCCTTTTAATGGCAGTTGGTCAGAGATTGTACCGAGTTGATCGGAATGACCCGATTTTTTTCTTGGTCATCTTTTGTTCTGCACAGAGAAAATCACCCTATTTTCTGGAGTAGTGGCTGGCATCGGTCAGGCTTGTCTAGATATTCTGGCATGTGGGAGGGCACTGAGAACAGGCTGACTTGGCTGAAAGCCAGGCAGGATGCCCCGGTCTAGTGCTTTCTCCCAGCAGATGTGTCGTAGAGTGCAGCAGGACGGTGAACAGCCAGACCGGCTAAGCTGTATCGCTTTCATCAGAGTCGCGTGTCATTCTCAGCAGCTGCTGTCTGCAGCCACGTGCACCCGCCCTCAGTCTGACGGTGGGTGATCTCAATCCACTTAGTTCAGTAGCTCTTGGCTCTGAGCCTGTGGCATTTGGAATTGCAGTGAAAAGCTTGTCTGTTTGGATTCATGAGAGATTTATCAGAATTAGCGAGAGATTTGAGTTGTGAATGGTTTGGAGTGTAAAAAAAAGTCAGTAGCCTAAGCAGGTGGTCAGCTGCGCCATGGCTGAAGCGGCAGTGTGCACGAACTGATAGAAACTTTGGTACATGGCCCGTACCTGAGCTTGGGGCTGGGGGAAGCTCGTCCTTGCTCTGGCGCCATTACACCCTCACCCGCCATGCTCTGTCCTCTTGGCATGACCCAGCTGTGCTGTGCTGCTGCGCGGCCCAGGCCAGAGAAGACCCCACACACTGTGGGCACACGCCTCTCTCCCACGCAGGCCCCGTCCATGCTCCCAGGAGGTCCTGCCACCCGCCACCCACCCTCACCTCACATTTCACTGAGCAAGTAGAGGTGGCTTGGAGAGTGCCTGACCCCTGCCCACTGCCATGCACTGCACTCTCCTGCCAGACCTGGCGCCTCCCCGGGGCCCTCAGGATCACACCACAGTGCAGCAGCTGGAGTGACCTGCAGAGATGCAAGCCAGGCCAGGTCTCCTCTATGCAGAACCCCCATGGTCCTCGTCTCAGCAGGGCGGCCCCAGTTTCCATCCCCCTGCGTGTCCTTGTCCTTCTGCTCACCATCCTCCCTGCTGGTTACAGACTTGGCCATTGTCTCTCAGCCCGGAGAAGAGAGTCTCACAGGGCCAGTCTTCTGTCCACTTGCGTGCCTGGTGCCTGGACAGTGGCGTGCTTGACAGTGTTTGATCAGATGAAGGCATTCTGACCGTGGTTCTGCATGGCAAGGCTCCAGAGTTTGACATGTGAAGAGCTCGGGTTCATGAAGTGGACAGTAGTGCTCAGAGCCTTGACCTTGGGGCTGGACCTGCCTGTAGATTAAGAGGAACTCACAGACACCTGCCCTCCTTCCTCCTCCTGTAACCAGATCCCGTCCCAGGCTCCCTCAGGAGATGCATCTGAGTAGCCTTGGGAGGACTTTAAACACCCTCCAGGCTCTGCGCTGCCACGAAGAACCGGCAGCTTTGGTCAGTATCGTAACCACGTTTTATAAATTCCGAGTCAGTCTGGGTCCAGCTAGTGCTTTGACTATGATGACTTGTATCCTAACGAAAGAGATGCAGCGTGTGGGACAGCAGACCCAGCAGCATTCACGTGTCAAAGACTCAGTCCTTAGACCCAGCAACATTCACGTGTCAAAGACTCAGTCCTTAGTATGTGCTTCCGGTGTCGTGGGAGCTTCTGGAGAGGGGGAGTTCTCGTTCCTTTAGAGAGTCAGGGAACCAGCACAGCTCTTTGGAAATGGTGTTTGGATGGGGAGGGTGGGGGCGCGACGGTGGAAGGTTTATCACCTAGTGGTCTGTTTCCATGGACACATGGGCAGCGAGGGGCGGAGTCCTGCTGAGGACGGGGCCCTCCTTCCTGCCTGCGTTTTGACCTCAGTTGTCATTGTGCGCCTGGAGGTCAGGAGATAACGTCCATGCATAACCAGGAGAGGGCTGTTCTCTGCACGCCCCACTGTTACCGCGAGGCCGTGGAGCATGCTGGCAGAGGCCAGAGCGTCCTTTCATTTGCCACTTGGGAGCTGAGCTCCTGGAATACCAGAAGCAGACAGAGTTGTTGCGAGTGTGGACTGTGTGACTTGGGAGATCCCGGCTGACCTCGGAGCCAGAGCTCCGTGCTCACCTGGCCCCTGAGGTCCGTGCCCAGCTCTCCCAGGTCACCGGCTGCAGGTTGTCTCAGCTTGTCTCGTGCTGGGGAATTGGGCGCGACAGTGGCTTCTACTCATGTTCCAGCACACGCAGACCTGTGGCCACACCTGTTTCTGGGTGTATTTTTTTTTTTTTTTTTTTTTTTTTAGAGACAGAGTCTCGCTCTATCCCCCAGGCTGGAGTGCAGTGGGGCAATCTCGGCGCACTGCAAGCTCCACCCACCGGGTTCACGCCATTCTCCTGCCTCCGGAGTAGGTGGGACTACAGGCGCCTGCCACCACACCCGGCTAATTTTTTATATTTTTAGTAGAGACGGGGTTTTACTGCGTTAGCCAGGATGGTCTCGATCTCCTGACCTTGTGATCCGCCCGTCTCGGCCTCCCAAAGTGCTGGGATTACAGGCATGAGCCACTATGCCCGGCCTTCTGGGTGTATTTTTTAATGGCGAAGCTGAAAATGTTCAGTCTTGGAAAGCGACAGGTAGAAGTCTTGGCTGTGGGGGGTTGAGTGGCCGTTGGCCGTTAAGAAGGTGGTCTCGGATGTGGATGGGAAGGTGCCCTGGGGCCCAGCTTCAGGTATGGAAGCAGGCAGGGCCTTGTCCCGGTTCAGACACGCAGAGGGACTTGACCCGGTTCCAGGAGAAAGGACTGAGTGACTGGAGAGGCAGGCACGGTGGGGACCCCGGGCTGGCTCTGCAGAAACCATCGCGACAGCAGTGTCCCCAAAGAGGCTGCGGCTGTGGCAGGGCACATGCATGGGCTTCTGGAGCAGCTTCCCTGAAGCAGTTTTCAAAAGGAAGCTGACTAGAAGTGGTGCTGATGGAAGTGATGCTAACCGTAACCGACAGGGTGTCATTTTAGCAGCAGCTCTGCCTGGAGGGGGCGCGCGGCTTCATGCTGCTCTCGCGACACGTGGTTGGGCGGGGGTCCTCTCGTCATGGGTCCCTCTCTCCCAAGCCCCGCAAAACGTGAGATGCCTCCTGTGCACTGATGTGGTGCGGCGTCTCCCCAGGGGCGCGGCGTCTCCGCAGGGGCTCATCACCTGTGGTTGTGTGGTGAGGAGGGCACGGTGCGTGCGGTCGCTGCTTGCCCGAGCTGTGCTCTTGATGGGTTGCTGGACCTGCGTCTGGCAAAGGTGGTTTAGGAGTCGTCTTCGGGCGCCTGGATGGACAGTCTCAGTGGTGTGGGAAGGAGCGGCCCCCATGGTTTCTGTGTTCACACACGTCCGCTTGGAACCGACACCCTATCCCTGCCTGATTGTGATTTCGGTGAACATCAGTGCTGCCGTTAGCACTGTCTTCTCCCAGGACCAGTCGTCTGGCCGTCTTCTCCCACAAACGCTCCCCGGCCTTTATCTACCTACCACTGCACCGCCGGCCCATTCTGTGACCTGGCCTGAGCTGGTGACGGGGTCCTTGGGGCGGCCCTGTGTGTCTTCTCCTCTCCTGATGATTGAAATGGGTCGGCGTCTGAGCCGACAGCCGGGTGAGCCAAAGCAGCTGCATTGAGGACTCACTGCAGGCTAAGCTAAGTGGCCTGTACTTCTGCGGGAGGTGGGGTCTCATCAGGGGATGTGGCTGCAGGCTAAGCTAGGTGGCCTGTACTACATTGTGCGGGAGGTGGGGGCCCGTTGGGACTTGGCGTGTGCGGCCGATGCGCCTCCAAACGTTCAGGCACAGCTCTGCTGGGCTCTGGGGTCTCAGCCGGATGCTAAGTAATTCCAGAGCCAGCCCTGTTGCGCTCACCCTCCATGTTGACACTTGATCTCTCTCTCAGATGTCTTTGCATTCCAGCAATAATGTATTAGAATGAAGTCTAACTTCTCCAAAAATTCATGCAGATTCTGTTTACTACTTTACCGTAGCCGAATCAGTTTTTTGTTTTTTTTTTTTAGTATTTATTGATCATTCTTGGGTGTTTCTCGGAGAGGGGGATTTGGCTGGGTCATAGGACAACAGTGGAGGGAAGGTCAGCAGATAAACATGTGAACAAAGGTCTCTGGTTTTCCTAGGCAGAGGACCCTGCGGCCTTCCGTGTGTTTGTGTCCCTGGGTAGTTGAGATTAGGGAGTGGTGATGACTCTTAACGAGTATGCTGCCTTCAAGCATCTGTTTAACAAAGTACATCTTGCACCGCCCTTAATCCATTTAACCCTGAGTGGACACAGCACATGTTTCAGAGAGCACAGGGTTGGGGGTAAGGTTATAGATTAACAGCATCCCAAGGCAGAAGAATTTTTCTTAGTACAGAACAAAATGGAGTCTCCCATGTCTACCTCTTTGCACACAGACACAGTAACAATCTGATCTCTCTTTCTTTTCCCCACATTTCCCCCTTTTCTATTTGACAAAACCACCATCATCATCATGGCCCATTCTCAATGAGCTGTTGGGTACTCCTCCCAGACGGGGTGGCGGCCGGGAAGATCCTCACTTCCCAGACGGGGCAGCCGGGCAGAGGCATCCACCACCTCCCTCCCAGACGGGGCGGCTGGCCGGGCGGGGGCTGCCCCCCACCTCCCGGATGGGGTGGCTGCTGGGCGGAGACGCTCCTCACTTCCCGGAGGGGGCGGCTGCCGGGCGGAGGGGCTCCTCACTTCTCAGACCGGGCGGCCGGGCAGAGACGCTCCTCACCTCCCAGACAGGGTGGCGGCTGGGCAGAGACACTCCTCAGTTCCCAGACGGGGTCGCGGCCGGACAGAGGCACTCCTCACATCCCAGACGGGGCGGCGGGGCAGAGGCACTCCCCACATCTCAGACGATGGGCGGCCGGTCAGAGACGCTCGTCACTTCCCAGACAGGATGGCGGCCGGGAAGAGGCGCTCCTCACTTCCCAGGCTGGGCAGCCGGGCAGAGGGGCTCCTCACATCCCAGACGATGGGCGGCCAGGCAGAGACGCTCCTCACTTCCCAGACGAGGTGGCGGCCGGGCAGAGGCTGCAATCTCAGCACTTTGGGAGGCCAAGGCAGGTGGCTGGGAGGTGGGGGTTGTAGCGAGCCGAGATCACGCCACTGCACTCCAGCAAAAACCAGTCAGGCGTGGCGGCGCGTGCCTGCAATCCCAGGCACTCAGCAGGCTGAGGCAGGAGAATCAGGCAGGGAGGTTGCAGTGAGCCGAGATGGCGGCAGTACAGTCCAGCCTCCGCTCGGCATCAGAGGGAGACCGTGGAGAGAGAGGGAGAGGGAGAGGGAGACTGTGGAGGGAGAGGGAGGGGGAGGGGGAGGAGAGGGGGAGGGAGAGGGAGGGGGAGGGAGAGGGGGAGGGAGAGGGAGAGGGAGAGCGAGAGCGAATCGGTTTTTGTGGAAAGACTGCGTGAATGTAAAGCTGGTTTGGTGTATGCTAATAGAGCTTGAGCACAGGTGATCCAGAAAAACAGAGGGCAACAAGGCCGTTGTCTGTTACTTTCTTTGAAGACAGACAGGTTGGATTTTGGGAAAAGTCACAACACTTCAAGAAAAGAAACTGCTGTAGAAGGAGGAGTTAGAAGCTGTTGGGGAGGTCGAACCATGGGCCCTGTTAGAGGGTGTGGCCAGCCAGCTGTGTGCCGGAAGGAACCTGTGGACCCGTGTGAGCAGATCAGGCCTTGTGAAGTGCTCCACCTCTCTGGCTTGCATGGTCTGGAGGGGAAGTACTTAAATATTGTAGCATAAAACATTCCCCCATAGGCTGTTAATTCTAAGAAGACAATGTTGCTGTCAGCAAAACAAGACGGTTCATATAGACAGGTGCAGGGTACTACAAGGAGACAGAGACCTGCCGAAGCTAAGCAGCGATTTGAGTTTCTGATGACAAATAGAGACGTCACTGAATTCCTTCCTTGTCCCCCCAGCAGATGAAGTCTCTGGGTGTCAATTCAGTTCACAATAATGCTAGGCCCTTAGGTTTGGAAAAGCAGGCATGGAAATGACAGCCATTTTCTATCAACCTGTTACAAAAAGAGACTAGTCTCAATCACTGTCTGTAATGTGCAGAAACTGCATCACTGGAATTGCACAGATGTTTCCAGAAGGAGAACAAAAGAGACCCAGACTCAGTTTTCACTTCCTGAGATTCAGGTCACTCTCCATATGGCCAATGTGGAGCCCTCTTAGTTTTAGGACACTCAGGCCCAGGTGGAAATATGAAGTCTCTGTGGACAGTGGATCATTTGCATGTTTCAAAAGGAAAATGTTTTTTTTCCATTATAGTAAATACAGTACATGTTAGCTATAAGAAAAATAACCATAAACAAATATTTCCTTGCTCTACCAGATGGGACGGCCTAGAAACAATACTACCCGGTAGCAGTTTACACATCCATTGCCCAAATCTTGGTCTCTTTAATTTTTTTAATTTTTGAGAAGTCTCACTCTGTCGTCCAGGCTGGAGTGCAGTGGCATGATCTTGGCTCACTGCAGCCTCTGCCTTTCAGGCTCAAGTAGTCCTCCCACCTCAGCGTTGGGAGTAGCTGAGACTACAGATGCATGCCACCATGCCTGGCTGATTTTCATATTTTTTGGGAGAGATGGGTTTTTGCCATTGCCCAGGCTGGTCTTGAACTCCTGAACTCAAGCAGTCTGCCCACCTTGGACTCTCAAAGTGCTGGGATTACAGCAAATCTTGGTATCTTAGTTTCTTTTCTTTTCTTTTTTTTGAGACGGAGTCTCGCTCTGTCGCCCAGGCTGGAGTGCAGTGGCGAGATCTCGGCTCACTGCAAGCTCCGCCTCCTGGGTTCATGCCATTCTCCTGCCTCAGCCTCCCCAGTAGCTGGGACTACAGGCGCCTGCCACTGTGCCTGGCTAATTTTTTTGTATTTTTCGTAGAGATGGGGTTTCATCGTGTTAGCCAGGATTAGTCTTGATCTCCTGACCTCATGGTCTACCCCCCTCGGCCTCCTGAAGTGCTGGGATTACAGGTGTAAGCCACCGTGCCCGGCCCCTGGTTTCTTGGTTTCTAACACTATTCTCCAACAAAGGGAACCAGGGCTCCCTTGAGAAATGGCGAATCGTAGGGCCGAGCAGGGAGTATATAGGAGGAATTGAGCATCTTGTGGTGCCAGAGCCTAAGGAGGTGCTCAAAGGAACCCACAAAGATGGTGCAAGTCACAGGGACCCAAGAGTAGCTGTAAAGGCTCCTAGTGGCAGCTGTGTGTCGTTGAACAACCCGAGCAACAAAGATGGGTAGTGATAGAGCATAGCCGAACTCTGCGTCAGTATCCACGAGACATAGCGCGTACCCAGAGTCTACGTCAATATCCACAAGACCATAGCGTGTACCCAAAGTCTACGTCAATATCTACAAGACCATAGCGTGTACCCAAAGTCTATGTCAGTATCCACGAGACATAGCGCGTACCCAAAGTCTACGTCAATATCCACAAGACCATAGCGTGTACCCAAAGTCTACGTCAATATCCACGAGACATAGCGCGTACCCAAAGTCTACATAAATATCCACAAGACCATAGTGTGTACCCAAAGTCTACGTCAGTATCCACGAGACATAGAGCGTACCTGAAGTCTGTGTCAATATCTACGAGACATAGAGCCTACCCAAAGTCTGCATAAATATCCACAAGACCTTAGAATGTGCCCAAAGTCTGTCAATATCCATGAGACACAGAGCGTGCCCAAAGCCTGTGTCAATATCCACGAGGCACTGAGCGTGCCTGAAGTCTGTGTCAGTATCCATGAGGCACAGAGCATGCCTGAAGTCTGTGTCACTACCCCTGCGACCACAGTAGCGTGGCCGAAGTCTGTGTCAATATCTGTGAGAACATAGAGCTGAAGAGAAACTGTCAGACACGACCTCAGCCAGGCGGTCGATGTCAGCATCCACTGTGATGAGTCCTGTTGATGGTGTGGACCCTTGATGGGATGTGATGAGATGGGCACTTCACCCCGGGGATCGTCCTAATGATTCATAACCCCAGTCTAATGAGAAAGACAGCAGACAGTCCCAGTAGAGGGGCACTCTATAAAACTCCTGAGCCATCCACACAGCTATCATGGTCCTCAGAGACAAGGAGAGTCGGAGAAGCTCAGGGCCCAGAGGAACCTGAGGAGGCGACAGGACGAAACGGCCAGTGGGACCCTCGACGGGATCCCTGGGCAGGATGAGCTGCGGAGCACTGGGGCAGTGAATGAAGTGTGGGCCACGCTCCCGGTAACGGGTCAGTGCCGGTTCCTGATCCGTCACAAGGGCGCCAAGGAGAGGAAGGTATTCATGCTGGGAGGACATTGGTGTGGGCGTGTGAGAGCTCTCGGTACTATCGTCTCAATTTTCTGCAAATACAAAACTTCTAAAATAGTGTATTAAAAATAGAGAATTAAAGTGCAAACAAATACAAAGATGAGATGGAAATGGATGGGGGCCCTCCACCCAGGGTGAGCGTTTTGCTGGCTATCTCCCTCACAACCTTAGGTCCCAGGTAATGGGTGTGGCACCAGGACTTGTAGGGCATGGGTGCTGGGGAACAGTGCACCTGGTCCAGCTGAGGCTCACTTGAGGCAGAAGACTAAGGGCTAAGGGACATGGAGCGCGTTGTTTTCGAAGCTTGGAGAAGTCTTTCAGTGGGCAGTGCCTGCCCTCTGCACACAGTAGTAACTTGATTTCTGCTGTGAAGCCTGAGTCGTGTTATTTGGAAGGCGGTGGGGATCCACCGGGATCAGGAACAAAGAGTGACTCTGTAATGGTATCAGAGGCCCCTGTGGTGGTTTCCACACAGACCAGGGCTGCTGTGGAAGCTGTGCGTGCCCCGACAGGAACTCTAGTGTACTGTGTGATCGCGGCCATTAGAAAGGTGGCCTCTTCAGATGGACCCATTTGGGGGATAAAGCCTGTCAGGTGGTGCCAGCCCTGAGCACACTGCAGGCACGCTTTGGAGCTTTGGGGCTGGTCTACAGGGAAGGCCTCCAGCCCCTTCCATCCAAAATGCGCCCACAGGGTTGGGGGGTCTGTAAGCAACCACTGTAGCTGCCCCCGGTTCTCACACAATTCCTTTCCATTGCAGAGAGTTAAGAAAGACGTGGACAAGGGCACACGGCACTCAGACATGTTCCTGCTGAAGCCAGAGGACGGAAGAGAAGGTAGAGGTGCTGTGCCTCCAGGGCGGGAGCTGGCTGGTCTGTGTGTGGCGGGAGGCAGAGCCCACACCCTCCCATGGATGTGGGGCTGGCGGTGAGCCCCTGCACCCTGCCCGGAGCGGAGGGCCTGCCGAGATGGCTCATTTCGGGGTGGGCCGGGTGGGACAGGCTCCATAGCCCTGGTGTCTGCTGGGCAATCACCTTTGGGGGCATTGATGATGGACTGACTGAGAAGCACGGGCGCTGTTACCCTGCAGACAGCCCTCTGTGGAGCAGTGAGCACAGTGCCCCTCAGCAGCTCCTGATGGGCCCCTCCAAGGGTCTTGAGCTCTCGAAGGGAGAACCATCCTGGGCCTTGAGTACAAGCCACCAGGAGTCACTGGGGCTGCCTGGCACTGTGGTGACGGGCCTCGCTCTTGGGGTGGTTGCGGGCAGCAGCTGGGCAGGCTGGGTGTGGGCTTCCCAGCCAGGGGTCGGTGTTGCTCATGCACAGAACTTCAGAAGTCATCACCGAGACTGCTATTGGCCCTCACAGGGACGGCCTCCAAGAACGGCCGTGGCCTCTGTCAGCTTGAGTTACTGAACTCGGGGCTGTTAGAATGCCTAGATTTCTAAAAGCTTTTAGCTAAACTGGGATCTAAGAATCAAAATTTTCTTACTAAAGCACAGGGGAACAATCATCATTCTCTGGGACTTTTTAAAAGGATGACATGGGATGACCTAGGGGACAGCCCTTTACATGGCTCTGGCACCCAGAGGGCCCAGGATGTGTCAGCCACTCTCACCACCTTCTACACATGGCACGTTTCATGTTCCTGGGCGTGGGTCATGTGCTGAGATGAACTGTTGGCGGCGTTTCCTGCCAGTGGCTGCCCGTCAGTTCTCACAGACCTCTGAAGCGGAAGAAGCCGTGCCTGTGTGGAGCATGGGCGGGGGGATGGGGGTGGCCTGCTACTTTTCAATCATTAATTTCTTGATTTTGAAAAAAATTGCATTTGTTACTGGCTGGGCGCAGTGGCTCATACCTATAATCCCAGCACTTTGGGAGGCTGAGGTGGGAGGATTGCTTGAGGCCAAGAGTTTGAAACCAGCCTGGGCAACATAGTGACACACCATCTCTTAAAAAAAAAACGTAGCCAGGTGTGCTGGCGTGTGTGCCTGTAGTTCCAGCTACTCGGGAGGCTGAGGCAGGAGAATGGCGTGAACCTCGGAGGTGGAGCTTGCAGTGAGCCGAGATTGCACCACCGCACTCCAGCCTGGGCGACAGAGCGAGACTCTGTCTCAAAAAAACAAAAAAAATATGTAGCCAGGTGTGCTGGCGCACGTCTGTAGTTCTAGCTACTGGGGACGCTGAGGTGGGAGGATTGTTCTAGCCCAGGAGGTGGAGGCTGCCGTCAGCTGAGATCGTGCCACTGCACTCCAGCCTAGGCAACAGAGTGAGACTCTGTCTCAAAAAATAAAAAATAAATAGAAGGAGACAATGGCATTTGTTCTGCTCCAGAGCAAGAGAGTGATGCCAGGAGGCACAGATCAAGGGTGTTTGCCGTGGAGTTTAGCGTCCCCAGTGCCGTTAGGAAACCAGGGGACAGCTCTCTTATGGGAGGCTGTGGCTTGGGACCAGAGGGCTGGGCTAGACCCAGGAGACCCAATGCCTAGGCCAGGTCTGCTTTTGTGACCCACAGCAAGTTCTCCAGCCTCCCCAGGAGAGGGGACCATTGTGCAAAGTGTTTTTACCTCCTTCTTGCACTAAAATTCCTCATGCTGAGGCCTCAGAAATACCCGAAGGGTTAATCTGAGTCCACACCCATTTGCCTGTCAAAAGGCCCAGGTGCCTCTCCCAGGGCCCTGCCTTACTGCACCCTGGCTGATAGGACAGACGCCTTCTTTCAGTCACTTTCCAGCCTACACCCCAGTGAACTTGAACCTGGATGCTGGACTGTTTCCCGCAGGGCGGCCCTGAGCCTGTGTGCTCTGCTCGTCAGCCCCCAGGAGGAAAGCATCGTGGTGAGGAGCGACACACCTTGTGTGTGTGGGTTTCTGTCACCGGAGAGGGTCCTGCCCTGTGTGGCGAGTTCTTGTGGTGGTCTTCCCTGTTCCTTCACACAGTCATGTGCTGGTGGGAATGAGGCGGGGGCCCCAGAGCCACGCCCACACTGGGCATGGGCGGGTGACGTCTAGCACCACACAGAATACGTCCATTTGCTGCTTCTGTTTTTTTTTTTAAATGTTCATTGGAGGAAAAAAATCTCCATTCTGTCTCCTAGAAGTGGTGGGGAGACATCTGCACATTGGGCTCTGTTTGAGGGTTGGCACATCACATAGGCGCGTGCCAAGAGAGAACATAGACCCTTCCTGAAGTAGAGCTGGCCACACTGCAGCCCAAGGTGGGGCTGGTGCAGGCACTCAGACCCCAGGCGAAGGCTCCTCGCTGGCCACACTGCAGCCCCCGGGCGAAGGGTCCCTGTGCAGGGCGGAGGGTCCCCGTGCAGGCCCAAGGGCGGCTGGCACAGGCATTCAGCCCCCTGGGCGAAGGGTCCCCTTGCAGGGCGGAGGGTCCCCGTGCAGGCCCAAGGGGGGCTGGCACAGGCATTCAGCCCCCTGGGTGAAGGTTCCCCGTGCAGGGTGGAGGGTCCCCGTGCAGGCCCAAGGGGGGCTGGTGCAGGCCACTCAGCCCCCTGGGCGAAGGGTCCCCGTGCCGGGCGGAGGGTCCCTGTGCAGGGCAGCCTCCCCACAGAAGCCCCTCTGTGTGTCTAGCGTGTGTGCTGCTTCTGCCCAATCCCTGCCTTTCCACTGCGGCTTGTAGCTGCCCCTAGTTTAGAGGTGCTTGGGGGTGTGTGGAAAGCTGTTGAATGCCAGCTCTCTTAAGGAAAAGGGTGGAACTCGAGGGGAGTTGAATGGTGTCTGTTTTTCTGCAGAGGGAGCAGAGTTTTTGCCCACAGTCTCACGGTTTTCATTTACCCCATTCTGGGGGGCACCTGGGGTCCTGAGCGTGTCCTGGGCTGGCTCTCAGGGTCCTTCCTTGTGTTCTTATCCCACTTCCTTGTTCTCTTTTGACAGACAAGTGGGTTTGGACTCGGATGAACCCTTCGGGGGTCAAGCCCACCCCACGGTCTGGCTTTTCCGTGGCCATGGCCCCGAATCACCAGACACTGTTCTTCGGGGGTGTCTGTGACGAGGAAGAGGAGGAGAGCCTGTCGGGCGAGTTCTTCAACGATCTGTACTTCTACGACGCCACCAGGAACCGTTGGTTTGAGGGACAGCTGAAGGTAGTGCAACCTCTGAGTAGCATGCGCCGTGGTGCGCAGCCCTAACTTGGGTCCCTGCCACCACTGCCTTCCTCCAGCACCTTTTGGTATTGGGGCCCCCAAAGCCCATGAGCTCTCTCAAGAGGGGCGAGGGTTCCGTCTCTGACTGTCCTGGGTGACTAGGCTTGGAGAGCCCTTGGTCACGGTCCCCTTAGTCTGTCCTGGATGCTGGCGGGGCTGCTACCTCAGAAGCCAGTTGCCCTGGGCTGAGGTGCCCGGGACCTCCCCGGCCCTCTGTGTGAGAAGGGTTTGCTGGAGGTCCTGGTGTGGACCAGCCTGTGTTATGACCCTTGAGCTTCCCTGGTTTCCGACACCATCTTTACTGTCCACGTGAGCATAGCTGCTGTCCAGGGCCAGCCCAGCACAGGCACAGCAGTGGGTGACAGTCCCAGAAGGGGATCCCCCAGTTGGCCTCAGGGTCTCTGAGTGTACCAGGTCAGCCGGACCCAGAAAGGGCCAAGGAGGGCTGGTCGCTGTTGGTTGCAAACTCCTGAAGCTGCTTTTGACGTGTGGTGGCACCTGGGCTGGAAATTGGAAAAACACGCGGGTTCGTTTCTGGACCCACAGTCCGCCTCGCTCTTTTACTTTAGAAGGAATTGCTCCAAGCAGAGTCTACACAGGTTTCCCCTGTGGCTTTTCTTCAGAGAGCGTGTTGACCCCAGCTAGTGTCACGGTTCTCACACTGTGATCTCAGGGCCGTTGACATTCCCCAGGATTACGGAGGACCTCAGAGAGCTTTCCCTTTTGAAACTCACTGTTGCAGAGTCCAGACACAAAGTGGATCTTAGAAGTCTAGAATGTGAAGCTGACTTTGGGTTGATCTGGAGGTAGTGATCCTTGGAAAATTTGGAAATAACCTGGCAAATGTCACCTCGTGAGCTGGCAGCGTTTTGTGACAAAATGACAAAGGCTGTGACAGAAGGGTCCAGACTGACCCCTGCGACGCAGCCAGGGAAGTGGGACAGAGAGGGATGGACAGCTGTCCTGCAGGAGGCAGCCTGACCTGAGAGCTCCCCTTTAAAAACGTTTGGTGAGGAAGGGCCCCTCTCTGGCTCGCCGTTTGTAGTAAATGAGCTGGGCTTGTGGGCCTGACCGTCTGTCTTGCTTGGGAAAGGGGAGGAAGCCCCTCAGCCTGGCTTCCCCAGCCCTTCTGGGAGCCAGCACTGTGGGTGATTGGGTTTTCCCAGGGTGAGCGTCGGAGCCTGTGGGGCTGGTGCCCTGTGTGTGGGGTCTGGTGGGCCTGTCCACCTCTCAGTGGAGGTGTGGAGCGGCCCCTCAGTGAGGACACGCAGTGGGGGGTTTTCTGCCCCAGCCCAGGAGTGAACGGCGAGGCTAGTGGGAGACAGGAGCGTGCTCCTGCAGCCCAGTGCCTGCACCCAGGGCAGTCAGGGATGGCGCCTTCCTGGGTCACACACTCCCCACGCTTGTGGGTGGTCCCCGCAAACCCTTGCCTGGCCTTGTGGGCATAGCAGGAATGACCCCTGCCTCGCTGAAGCTGCTGCTCTCTGCTTCCTCGGTCTATTAATAGGGACCCAAGTCTGAAAAGAAGAAACGCAGGCGGGGCAGAAAAGAGGAGCCCGAAGGTGGTAGCAGGCCGGCGTGTGGGGGAGCTGGCACCCAGGGGCCTGTGCAGCTGGTCAAGGAGGTGGTGGCCGAGGATGGCACCGTGGTCACCATTAAGCAGGTGCTCACCGCGCCAGGCTCGGCGGGGCAGCCCCGGTCTGAGGACGAAGACAGCCTTGAGGAGGCCGGCAGCCCCGCACCTGGGCCGTGTCCACGCTCCAACGCCATGCTGGCTGTGAAGCATGGGGTGCTCTACGTCTATGGGGGCATGTTTGAGGCCGGCGACCGCCAGGTCACCCTCAGCGACCTGCACTGCCTGGACCTGCACAGGATGGAGGCGTGGAAGGCCTTGGTGGAGATGGACCCAGGTGAGCCAGGCAGCTTGGTGCCTCCGTGCCCGGGAGCGAGAGCCCACGGTCGTGTGTCGCGTCCCTCGAAAGCAAGCCCTGCAAGCTGCCCAGAGGCGGCCTGTGCCGACACTTCTCGCCTGTGCTCCTGCCTCCACGGTCAGATTGACGGAGAACAGGACCCTGTTGTGGAAAGGGGGGCCCACCCTGGGCACGTCTGTCCTTTGTCCCGGGTGCTGACGGGAGCTGCGGCTCTGGCGGCACAGGACACGGGTGCATCTGCTGCTCCGTCCACAGCATGCTTGTTTGTGGATGGCCGTCCGAGCCGGGCCCCGAGGCCCTGGGTCTGAGCCTCCAGCCTTGCTGCCTGACCCAGGGCCCCTCTGCTGCCGTAGTCACACGTCCCCTTTACCCCAACTGCTGCTGGGATCGAGTCACCATGCAGTTTTTAAAGATCTGAGACTAAAGCAAAATCCACAAATCTAGGGAAAGGTGGTGAACTGTTGGCACAGGATGTTTGCTGTTTTGTGAGAACACCGTGAGCCGGGGTGGAGGGTGGCAGGAGGCCCCGTTGGCCAGCCGCTCCGTTATGGGGGTGCTTTTGCATGTTTGCCGTCTCGGATCTCTGTCCTGAAGCCCAGGGGAACGCAGTCTGTTTCCTTTGTGGATCTGAAGGGGGTCGGGGAAGAGGAGTTAGGTTTCACATTATGGTTCTTAAGAAAATGGAATCCCCCCAGGACGTAGCCACCACCGTCCCGCAGCCTCCCCCACCTGCCTCAGCTGCGCTGACGTGTATGTGCGTTCATTCTGCTTTTGAAGAAACTCAGGAGTGGCTGGAGGAGACGGACTCGGAAGAGGACAGTGAGGAGGTTGAGGGCGCCGAGGGTGGGGTCGACGACGAAGACAGCGGAGAGGAGAGCGGTGCGGAGGACTGAGGTGAGCGGGCTCGGGCTGGCGGGTGGCGCGGCTGCTGGGTGTTCGTGAAAGGCTTTTCATGTTTATCGGATGCTTATTGGAATTCAGCTTTGTAAATTTTTTAAAAACGTTGGTGTGTGGAGTAATTTGGGCAGCTTGCTAATGAGTGCCGTGTGCCTGTGGGCTCTTTGATGAGGTCTTCCCTGAAAACCCGGTGTTCTCTCTACCCCTCCTGCACGGGCCTCCCCCTCGGCTGAATGTGTTTCTCTCTCATTCCTTCCTCCTTGCGTATCAGAAGAGCCCCTGCCAGGGGCGCCTGGCAAGTGCTGTGCCCACGTCCGCCCAGGACCCAGCCGTGTTGAGTGAAGCTCTTGGGGCCAGCGTGCGTCCTGACGCACAGGAGAGAGCTGAAGGTGGGTGGCCCAGGCCAGGGTGTGAACTTTCTCCCATGGTTTAGTCTCTGACGCGGCACTGGGCCGGAAGTTCAACTGAGTGCAGTGCAGGTGGATTCCCTCAGCAGCCTGTGTGTTGTGTGAAATAAATTGGACTTGAAACAAGACCACCGCGGAGGGTGTCTTCTGTGTGGCCCTAGGCACACCGCAGTCTTCCCGGGGCCTCTGCCCCGGGCCAGGGCTGGGCCTAGGGCGAGACCACCCCACACTGGAGGGTGGAACCTTGGACACGAAGGACCCTCGAGAAGCAGGTTTCTGTGCCCGAAACCCCGGAATATGCTGTGCTTTGTGAGCCTTTCCTTCTGCAAAACCAGAAGAGGGCCCTGACTGCCCATCCATATTCACACTTGGGATCAGCCTCTGATGCCTGAAACTGAAAAGCAGACCAGGGCCAGTGCACACCTTCCCGGTTCTCATTCACGTGAAGCACCGCTGGCTGGCTGCACACGGGGGTCTCGTGGTGGGGGCTCCTCGTGTGCAGCGGCCTCACTCCTGGGAGCCACCTGCCGCCGCGTGGTCTCTGGGAGGCTGTGGTGGGACCATCCCTGTCCCTGTCCCAGTCGGGTTTAGGGTTTAGGATTAGCATTTGCAAAGCGACAGGAAGGGAGGCTGGAGGGCGAGGGCTCCCAACGTCCCCACATGGCTGCCACCAGGTGTCCCCATCCAGCTCCTCCTGGCTTCAGCGCTGCGGCCTCCTTGCCCCCGAAGGCTGTGGTGCGCTAACTCCCAACCTAGGCCTGCTCCAGTCCAAGACTGAAGGCCAATTCGGATTTGCATAATTGGGGTCAAAAGTTGAGCATTGAAACCACACCTGGTGCAGTTTTTGTGTATCTTAAATATTTTGAACAGTGGGAATATAGGATCCTTAGTTTTCTATAACGGGGCTGATGACATATTCACTATGGTCCCATTTCTTATCTGGGAGTTGAAAACAAGGGTGGTGGGGAGACTTCCCTCCTGGCGGAGCCGGTGCTGGGCGGGTGGAAGCACCGCTGGGAGAGGGCTAGAAGCTGACTTGGTGGCGAGCCCCTGTGAGCACCTCCCCGCTCCCTTGGCCTCTTCATCCTTACGGCTCCAGGTGGGCCCAGGAAAACCCAGGTCACCTTGGGGCGATGGCTTGAGAAGTGTCGCCTCTCAGGATCATCTCAGGGGCACTCGGCCAGCTCTTGCACAGCAGGGCACGTGCTGAGCTCCCTGGTGCAGCCGGGTGTTCAGGAGGCCTCGGTGGGTGGCACTTGAACTGGCCCCAAGGGCCCCGCCCACTGCCATCGGTGTGACCTCACTTCAGGCTTCCATTGTCACTTGACACTTGATGGGAATGCTGATCAGAAAGGGGAAGGCTCTGGGCACTGCCTCTTCCCTGGTGGGGACACCTGTCTGGTGCGTCTGGATGTGGGTGGCAGTGCTGACAGGAGTGAGGCTGCAGGTGCCGCCCCCCTCGAGGGCTGCAGCTTGTGTTTGCGTTGTGCCGGCCCCCTCCGCCGACCCCCCTGGAGGCTGCAGCTTGTGTTGTGTTGTGCCGACCAACCCCCCCACGCCGACCCCCCCAAGGGCTGCAGCTTGTGTTTGCATTGCGCCAACTTCCCCCTCTCCGAGGGCTGCAGCTTGTGTTTGGGTTGTGCCAGCTCACCCCCCTCCCCGCCACCGACCCCCTCAAGGGCTGCAGCTTGTGTTTGCATTGCGCTGACCCCCCCCCGAGGGCTGCAGCTTGTGTTTGCATTACGCTGACCCCCCCCCGAGGGCTGCAGCTTGTGTTTGCATTACGCTGACCCCCCCGCGAGGGCTGCAGCTTGTGTTTGCTTTTGCGCCGGCAGCCCGCCCGCCCCCCGCAAGGGCTACAGCTTGTGTTTGCGTTCCGCCGACCCCTCCTCCCCTCAGGCTGCAGGTTGTGTTGCCTTGTGCCAACCCCCTGAGAGCTGCAGCTTGTGTTTGTGTTGCACCGACCCCGCACAGGGCTGCAGCTTGTGTTGCGTTGCGCCGGCTTTGGCGGCCGGTCTGGGCACTTTGTCTGAGTGCTGGGCAATCAAGGTCCTTTCCTCACACTCTCAGCTAAGCTGGTTGGAAGAGGCTCGGACAGGGTTGAGAAGCCAGAGCGCAGGCAGCAGCGCCCCCGCCCCCGCCCCCGCCCAGGCCCTGCCCGGCTCTGCGGCTCCAGCCCTTGTCCAGAAGATGGACGCCATTGTGTGGCCGGTTCTTTCTTCCCTCCTGCTCTTGGAGGAAGAAGAGGAAATATCTTGTTGGCTTTCAATGTAGTTGTCTGTTATGAGAGACAGTTTTTCTTTCAGAGGAGCTTGTAACTGATTAGGTGGGATTCCAAGGAAAAAGAGACTTTTGAATCAACCCAGTTGAAAGAAAGATGACAGCAGCCCTGAGGAAGAAACTTCTTGTACACTTTCTTACACAGAAAGCATTTTGCTTTTGTTGCTAAAGATTTGGTTTGAATGAAAGATGCTGATCAGAACCAATGGGGATCAGATAGACAAGCTCCCAGCATGGAGTGGCTGTCACGGCCGTGATGAAAACAGGGCCCCTTCAGTGTGGAACCGTGGGAGACGCGGAACACAACACAGGGTGGTGGATTCCTGGGCGGAGCTCTGCCTGCCCCACGGGCCTGTGGTCTGCTCTGTCTGCCGGGGCCCAGTTTACCGAACTACTTGGTGGCCAGATAGCCACCGTAGGGCGTGAGCGGCCGGCACGAAAGCCCAGGGCCTCTGTCTCCCGGGAGCTGCTGGCGCGGCGCGGCTGGGACACGCCGTACTCGGTGCCACGTTCTTGCCCAGTTCCTCGCTGTGGTGAGCTGCTGGCTGTTAGGAAGCCTTTCCCTCGGCTGCGGCCCTCCCACACGGCCCCCAGACCCCTGACTGCAGGGTGGGCGGGCGTACCAGGGGAGGCACTCTGGCCGGCCCGCTTGGCAGCAGGGCCACAGCTCCTCCTCGCAGGGCTTTGTGGGATTTTAAAGGATGAATCGTCTTGTTCTCCATGCTCCCCCTGCCGCCCATGCGCGCCATGCTCTGTGTGAGGATGAATTGGAGGGACTGGCCATGAGCGGTGGCTTTTTTCGTGTTTGGGGTCGGGAGGGTGTTGGGTGGAATGAACATCAAGGGAACCACCCATTGAGCTTAGAAATTCTTGCCAGGCAGTTGGTTTGTGTTTGTGTTTAGATGAGAGCAGTGTTGATTGCAGTTTGACATCTGATTTTTTTTTTAATTGAGTTGGTACAAGCAGGATGTCATTGGCTAGGTGACAAAGTCACTGGGGGACCAAATACCAAGATGCCCGTTGGTGAGAGAGACCCTCCCCAGGACCCTCCCCAGGCGCCTCCTTCTCCGTGACGTTCAGGACCCTCCCCAGGCGCCTCCTTCCCCGTGACGTTCAGGACCCCTCCCCAGGGCCCTCCCCAGGCGCCTCCTTCCCCGTGACGTTCAGGACCCTCCCCAGGCGCCTCCTTCCCTGTCATGTTCAGGACCCTCCCCAGGCGCCTCCTTCCCCGTGACGTTCAGGACCCTCCCCAGGCGCCTCCTTCCCTGTCATGTTCAGGACCCTCCCCAGGCGCCTCCTTCCCTGTGACATTCAAGACCCTCCCCAGGGCCCTCCCCAGGCGCCTCCTTCCCCGTGTGGTTCAGGACCCTCCCCAGGCGCCTCCTTCCCCGTGACGTTCAGGACCCTCCCCAGGGCTCTCCACAGGCGCCTCCTTCCACGTGTCGTTCAGGTGACGAGGCGAGACCCCGCGCTGGACGTGGCACTCGGGTGTTGGAGTGAGGTGGCGGCGCCGTGTGCTTGATGGTTTCCATCAGAGAAGAGTCAGCCTTCCTCCAGAAGGAGCGGGGGATGGTGGTTCCCCAGCCCGGAAGGAAAAGGAGCCGAGCTCTAGCTGTGATCACGGCCTCAGCCTGCCTGCCTTTGTGCATGGAAGGAACTTGCTAGTGACCGCTGCTCTCCTGGGCAGTGTAAGAGTGTTGTGTGGAGGCCGGGGGCGCTGGAGGCCAGTCTCGTTTTCATAGCCCAGATGGCTCCCGGCGCAGGTTGCAGTCACCTCCATTACTCTTTCACGAGAGAGCTGCAGCAATGCCATCTGGGGCCTGGCCACACCTGGTCACTGGTGTCCCGAGGCACACAAGCAGTCCCTGCCGGAAGCTGACACACTGTCATGGCCAAGGGCCACAGTGCAGGTACCACGGTGACCCGGCTTCCCTGAGTCCAGCTCACGCCCGTTTTCCTTGTCTCAACCTTCAGAGCCCTTCCAAGCCCCCACTGGCTGCAGCCCACCCAGGGGACCCACCTTTAGAGGCTGGACTCAGGCTTCACTGAGGGGTGAGAAGCGCAGGTTTACAAAGCTCTGGCTGGGAAGAAATTGAGTAACCACTCCCTGAGAAACAAACGGAGACGTTTAATTACATGAACGCACACATTTTAAAAACCGCCTGTGCACTCCCGGAGGGCAGAGCCTGCCTCTCTGGTTATTTTTGTGTCCTCCATTCACTTACAGGCTGTGACAAACCCTGTGCCCACGCTGCCTCCACTGCCGGGAGACTCAGGGCTGGGGGAGACATGCCCTGGTCACCACTGCGGAGACTCAGGGCTGGGGGAGACATGCCCTGGCCACCAGTGGTGAGCCAGCGAGACAGGACCCCACGCGCGCTGACCCGGGGACGCCATGGAACTCACTCGCGATTCCTGCACGCGCGCTGACCCGGGGACGCCATGGAACTCACTCGCGATTCCTGCTCACAGCACGTTTCCTGCTCGAAAACCAGGAGAGC
Organism: Homo sapiens; assembly: GCF_000001405.40. Classification (NCBI taxonomy): domain Eukaryota; kingdom Metazoa; phylum Chordata; class Mammalia; order Primates; family Hominidae; genus Homo; species Homo sapiens. The sequence goes on along the minus strand of NC_000016.10, from coordinate 87,703,158 downwards.
CTCCACGTGCCGACTAGCTCTGTCCACACATCCATTGCGCAGCTCTGCAGCGGAAGGACCTTCAGTAAAGACGCTGGTTTGTAACGAGAGAAGCGTTCCAAAGTGTCACACGACATTGTTTATTACTAAAAGGAGCAGAATTTCTTTTTAATCTTGACAGTGTTGTTTTCGTAACAGTATGATTTAAACTGTTACATTCATTTAGGAAAACTTTTTTTCATTTCATAAGTAATCAAGCTATCTTTCCAGCTTAAAAGCAAAGAAAAAAGGCTCAGGGTAACTTTTTAAACCACTTCATCAATAAGAAAAGTTCTCTCTGTCATTGCACGGCGTGATTGTACACAGTATTAGCAAGCAGTTCACATGCGCCAGGGCCGACTTGGAAGGAAACACAGGTTAACACTGTTTCCTGTCCGAGTTCACAGAGATGTTTGCAGCAGGCTCAGTTGCTTTGGCAGCTGGAGCGAGGGTGCCTCTTCCGCGTGGCTCCCCTGAGCAGAGAGGCCCCTGTGGTTTTTTTCTCCGCCGGGCTCTGGGGACAGGGTTTCTGTGGAAATGGCAAATGGTGCAGATGAGCAGAGTCCTGCTAGAGAGGTCAGCTCAGCGTCCAGGAGGGGGCGCCTGCCCCCGAGGAGGCCACGGACATGCCTGGGAAGTTGCTGCCGGAGAAGTGTGCTCTGATGTGGCTACATTTGGGGACGCGGGCTCCCCAGAGGCCCAAGCGAGAAAGCCGGGGGTTCCCAGGCTGGGGGTGCAGGACGGGCCAGGCACTGCCCTGCAGGGCCCGCCCCCCTGCCCCTGCACCCTCACACCCATCTTCCTCTCTCAGCCTGACCCCAGGGCCTGGGAGCCCCCGGCAGACCGGCCCTCCTTGCCAAACAGTGGCTGCCCTTTATGGACTCGGCGCCTGGCAGAGCCACTGTGGAGGAGGAGTTGGCTGTCATGGTCAGGGGAGGCAGCCCTTGGGTTGTCAAGGTTGGTGGTCAACGTTGAACCCATATCTGCTGGAATCTCCCGGTCTGTTCCACACACGATCATGCGGGAAGCTCTGGGACCCGAAGGCTGTTCTGATCTCGGGGGTCACAAGTTCTCACAGCAGCCTGGGGTCACCAGGGACCAGACCCGGCGTTAGCCTCTGTAAGGAGCTGCCTGGCTGCTGGGCTGAGCTTTGTTGCAGGCCCAGGAAGATGACCAAGAAGGACAGAGCAGAGCCCCATCTACCACTGCTGGGAGGGCCCGAGGGAGCACGTGCACAGCAGAGCCCCATCCTCCACTCCCTGGGCTCGAAGAGGCTTCCTCGGTGTGGATGGCAGCTGTTAACGAGCAGTGGTGGTGCAGCTGGAGGCCTCTGTCCCATGGGGCACAGACGGGAGAAGGATGGCGGACGGGTGTGCACGCTTGGGAGGACGGGCGGGCGGCATAGGCCTGAGCAGGTGGCATGGGCGCACGAGAAGGGTGTGTCTGAGACAGGATGTTTATCCCAAATGCCAGGAGTGGACGAGGCGGACGAGTGGCAGTGAGGTAGGCATGTGAGGTTGTTGCCTGGCCCACTCTGCCGACCCCAGAAACCCAGCGGCCTGGGCCCAGCACCCGGCTACACATGGGGTGAGCTCACGCCCACACTGTGGCCTGTGCCCGTCACGGGGCTGCTTGCTTCTCCTAGGCTTGGGAACAAGCTGGCATGAACGCTGTGGCCGCATTCACAGCTCAGGCACTTCCACTTTGGGTTTCATGAAGAAACAGACTTAAAGAGCATTTGTTCCTAATGGGTGGGCTGAAGCTTGGGAGGAGCATTCAGCTTCTCTCCACAGTATGGCTTCACCTGTTCCTGAGCGCCCTGCTACCCTCTTGCTAACCTGGGTGGCTGAGGTCCTCTGCTTTGGTGGCGTTGACTTCCCGTCTGCAGCCAGCGCCAGGTGCCAGCCCCCGCCTCTGCTCATCGGGAAGCGCTGGCCTGCAGGTGCTTTGTGGTTGCCACGGACCCTTGTTCTGTCCCTTTCCAGCACCCACCCCCCACGCGCTGTGCATTCCGTAGTTCATTTTCAAGGCAGGGGGCACATGGTGAAAATACAGCCTGGCTTTTTTTCAACAAATGCAGCTGCACTCTTCCTTGCTTGTTTTGAAGGCTGAGCCAGCAACCTCCTTGGCACCTGGGGACAGTCGCTTCCTCAGTTTCTGCGTACCGACTGCCTCACCTGACACGCGGCCTGGGCGCGAGAGAAGCCAACCAGGTGCCTGAGTTGACTGACTCCTTCCGCCCTCCAGCTTCCTCCCTCCGCCCTCCAACCTCCTCCCTCCACCCTCCAACCTCCTCCCTCCGCCCTCCAACCTCCTCCCTCTGCCCTGCAACCTCCTCCCCTCTGCCCTCCAACCTCCTCCCTCCGCCCTCCAATCTCCTCCCTCTGCCCTGCATCCTCCTCCCCTCCGCCCTCCAACCTCCTCCCTCCGCCCTCCAACCTCCTCCCTCCGCCCTCCAACCTCCTCCCTCCGCCCTCTGCCCTCCTCCCTCTGCCCTCCAGCGTTCTCCCTCCTCCCTCCACCCTGTTTCCTCCCTCCACCTCTTCTCTCCTCCCTCCACCCTCTTCCTTCTACCCTCTTCCCTCTGCCCTCTTCTTCTGCCCTCCTCCCTCCACCCTCTTTCCTCCCTCCTCCCTCCACCCTCTGCCCTCCTCCCTCTACCCCCTGCCCTCCTCCCTCCGCCTTATCTGGAATCGGGGTCTTGGTCCTGGGCTGGAGGCAGACCCTGGCCCGGGCGAGGTTAAAGGTACTGCAGGAGGGCGGCATCATGATGTCCTGAAGCTTGTTGCGCCCGGTGCTGTCGGCCGGCTGAAGGCAGAAACAGTCACAGCACCTGCAGCTATGGAAGGCGACGACTGAAAATCTAATAGGCACCTTGATGTCAAGTTTCCAAGACCAAAGGCAAGAACAGTCAGATCAAACTTCGGAAGAGTCAGAGAAAGTGAGCATGACCTAGAGGAGGGAGACGGTCCTTCCGCTGTCTCCTGCAGAGCGTCTGTCGCACGTATGAGGTGAAATCCGCACTGTCCCATGAAGACTGTGAGGGGAGTTGCCACCCGCACACGGCCCAGGAGCGCCAGCAGCTTGGGGACCACCACAGGCCTCAGGGTCTCTTCAGTCCGACGGGTCCAGCTGTCGATAAAACCTCCCGGGGAAGGAGTAAAGGACAACCAAGAACCTGAACTGCAAAAGTATGAAAAACATTTCATTTCCCTCGAGTTCTCCACACTTTAGGTCTGCAGCGCCTTGGGGGTGACTGATGGCCCTCCGTGAGACGCGGTGGCCATGTGCTTCTACAAGTGAAAAGGAGCAAGTGTGGTTAGAGCCTGGAGTATGGACGTCCCGGGGACCGCTGGCCCATGGCCTGGCTTGGGGCCTTACAGGGGAGCGAGCTGAGTGAATGCAGGGGAGGGCCCGTCTTTCTACAGTGTGTATCTTGTTTTTGAGACAGACTCACTCTGTCGTCCAGGCTGGAGTGCAGTGGCGCGATCTCTGCTCACTGCAACCTCTGCCTCCCGGGTTCAAGCGATTCTCCTGCCTCAGCCTCCTCAGTAGCTGGGATTACAGGCACCTGCCACCACGCCTGGCTAATTTTTGTATTTTTTTTTTAGTAGAGATGGGGTTTCACTATGTTGGTCAGGCTGGCCTCGAGCTCCTGACCTCAGGTGATCCACCTGCCTTGGCCTCCCAAAGTGCTGGGATTACAGGCATGAGCCACCGCGCCCGGCCCTGCCCTGCTTTTCTACATCACCACTGTCTTGTCAGTTAGCTCGGCTCAGGCATTGCATGCCTGATCTGTATCTTTGGGAATCCTGTGAGGTAATGGTTCTAGATCCAAAAGAATGGATAAAGAGACTGTTTCAGTTCCCGAAATTATCCAGGCACATTCTGTGCGCTACTGAACTTCAGAAAGCACCAGTCCATCCAGTGTGCAGAGGCTGGTAAGTAAAACAGGCCAGCCGTGGGCACAGACAGTTTCACCAGAGGCCCCGGGGCAGAGGGTCTTCTCCAGCTCTTCCAGGGCGGGGCTCATCTGTTCCTGGGCCAGAGGTGGACCTGTCTGCAGGCTTGTAAGGGTGGGGAGACGCCAGCCTGGCCCATGGGCTGTCCACACCCACCCCCCGCAGACCGCGCTGCTGTCTGCAGGGGATGCCACCACTTCCTCCTGGCCTCGGGTGCACAGGTGAAACATGAAGAAGCTATTGGGGCGGAAAATGGCTCTCACCAGGCTGCTCTCGGGTTAATGAAAACTCGTCAAATTCTCCATGCAGCAGCAGCCAGCCGGGCACATGCTGTCCTGCCCTGCCCGACTGTGTGCAGGGAAGCAGGTCCCCTGGGCCTGGGCGGAGGGACTGCGTGCCTGTCAGGGAAGGCCGAGGCTCCGGACAGGCGGGAAGCAGCCTTCTGCTTAATCACCCCATGTGGAAACCAATTAAAGATTCGATTCTCTCAGACCCGGGGCATTTTAGCCTTGGTTGAATCCTCCTGGAATTCACAGGGAAGTGGCTTTGCCCTCTGCCCTCGCTGCTGGAAGGCAAGGGGCCGTTCTCGCCTTGGTTTTCTAGGTTGTGTTGCGGCAGGAGCTGACTGCCCCTAGGCCTAGATCTCTGCACAACTTCGCTCAGGGACACCTGCCTCTGTGCATGTCTCATGGTGTGAATGTGTTTCCTGCTCACAGGTACCGTTTTGTGTCATGCAGTTACTGGAATGTACAAAAGCAGCTGTGATCTTTGTGAGAGCTGCACAGAGCAGGAGTCTGAGAGCTGCACAGAGCAGGAGTCTTTATTTGGTTCACTTCTGGTCTGCAGCAACCACTTGCTACTAAAAGATGGAAAAGATGTACAAAAATGTCACAGCCCTTTAGAAAGCGACATTATCAGAAATGTATGACCTTCAGTCCTCCCTCCCTCTCCTATGCCCCCACCAGACCAGGCGGCGAGAAGGAACAGGGAGTGAACATGTAACGGAAAACAATAAAACTGAATTTAACTGGAACATGCTCTAATCTTTAGTTTATTTCTGGTTAAAAATATAGCAATCCAGTGCAGTGTAGTAAAGAAGTCTGCTCGAAAGGTAGCAGAGAAACAGCTAAACATAAGCAAAGCAAGGCAGAGTCCATAAGACGGGCTGGCCCCAAGACGACCGGATGGGGAATCCCTGCAGCGCCTCCCCGGGCACAGGGGTCCTGCGTATGGCCGTGCCCGGACCCCTCAGGCACGTCCATGCACACGAGAGCCAGGGCCAGGGGGCACTCGGACATCCTGGCAAACCTTGTTCTTTTGTTTGGGTGATGGAGCGACCCTGGTGGAGAAGGCAGAAACATAAGGAACCTGTTTTTGTTGGACTGAACAAGTTACATTGTACATTTTAGGGGGCTGGATATGCTACAGTTTCTCAGGAAGTTTCAAGCCACTGGGTTTGAACCGCATTCCTGTCCTGGGACCAGGCCCACTGTGGTGTAGCACTGAGGCATCTGGAAGGAATATGCATATCTGTTAGGGGAAGTTGAGGCAGGCACAGTACAGAGATGTGAAAACCCGTGGAGATCAGTAACCATGGGAGAAGGCGTCCTCTAGGGCCCTCACTGCTGGGGACACGGAACCCCACGCGTCCACCCTGCACGCCAAGCGCACACACCCAGAGCCCCGGCGCGAGCCCAGCTCCACGGCACAGCCCCCTTGGCTTCCGTGCTTAGCTGAGCCCAGGCGGATCGGAGTGGGCCCCGGCTTCCCTGGGGTCTGGTGGGGGAAACAGCCGAATGGGACCCACAGTGAGTGGGCAGCAGAAGAAAAGGGCTTTGCTTTAAAACTCGGTGTGGGGAGTCGGCTTCTCATGGAAGGCCGGGGGCAGTGCCGAGAAGAGGGAAGGACCTGCATCCGTCTCACAGGGAGGAGGTGGCCGATCCCTCCCCCTCCCTCAGGTGTGCAGCACAGATCTCACACAGAAAAAGGCCAGGCTACTGCCCACTGGGGTGGGCCACCCTGCCCCATGCCTCCTGCCCATACTTGTCACCCGTCTGTTCTAGACAGAGAAAGCAGTGAATCCACTTTCTAAGCTCGTGTCGACGGGAGTCAGCCCTGCCACTCAGGGGCCGCGGGGCTGAGGCTCTGCCCCGGGCTGCCCTCCATCCACACCCAAGACGGGACGTGTGACCACGAGGACAACGTCCGCTGTTACCACTGATGTGCCGGGATCCCTTCTGTCTCCACGTGGAGCTGGAGGGGCTGCGTGCTGGCCTCCTTCTGCCATGCCACACAGCAGAGTGTTATACAAGCAAAGAATTTTGGCTAAAATCCAAAAAACATTACCCAGAAAAAAAGGCAAACTGTGAGTGATACCCAATCGTGTGGTTCTTCTGTGAGAGGACTTGGAAGTCGCTGGGCTGTCCGAGTTGCGGTCTTTCCCTTCTTGTGGTTTTGCTTTTAATTTTAATGTCCCTTTTTTCTACCCTTTCTCTATTTTTGCTACCGCGACATCTCATCAGATGAAAAAGTTAATAAACAGAATGGCGACTCCGATGTTGAGCAAGATCACCATGACCACCAGGATAGGCGCTGAGCCCTGGAAGAGAGCGAGGGGAAGAGGTGAGCGACAGCTGCGGGGGGCTCTGCCTGGGCCACCACGCCTCCCACCCACGTCTTTTCACCAAGCTAGCAGACCCTCGGGGGTGGAAGCGTACGGGAGGATGTTAGAAACGCTTGGACACCAAAGGCCCACCAGAACCTGAGCTCCGTGAAGTCCAGACGCGGGAGAGAAGCCCCAGCTGCCTGTACGTCTGAGGTTGCTGGTCCTGGAATTCCCTTGGAATTCCCTTGTGGCCCCGACACCCTGAGTACCAGCTCTCCCAGGGTCCCCTTGGAGAGAACCACCCAGGCCTCCCTGCAAGCAAACGTCTCGGTGCGTGTGGCCTTTGTGCCAGTCAGCAGGCTTCTCCTGCCCTGTGGAACTGGGACCTCAGAATCTCAGAAGGGCCCGCATGGCTGCCATGGCCAGTGTCAGATGCAGCCCAGCAGAGAGGCCCTGGAACTCAGAGGACTCCCAAAGTCCGTGAGCACAGTGTCCTCAACAAAACCCCCCCTCACCACACCTTCCTCAACAAACCCCTCACGCCAACTGGCTCTGGAGGACTGTGTCCAATTGCGAGCTGCCTTGGATTTAGGTTATGGTCCTGAATGCTGCTGCCACCACCTCCCTGAAGTGGCTCACAAGTCCTCAGCCTCCGCCGGAGCCCCAAGTGCCAGACTCCCCCTTCAGCCGCACAGCCTGGGCACTCGGACCAAGCTGCCACCTTCCCTGTGCTTGCCGGGGCCAGGTAGGACACGTCTCACAACAGAGCCTTTTCCGGGGGCGCCCTTCTGCAGTGATTCTTGCAGTCCTGCACTCTGCTGTGTTCTGCTCACACCAGGCAGGGGGAGAGGGAGCGTGGCCCCTCTGGGAAGCTCCCAGGACGGCAGGGGTGGGTGCTGCCCTACAGATACAGTACCTGCTGCACAGGGAATGGACGCCTCCTGGACGGTGGCCCCAGCCCAGGAATGGCTGGGACACCCACTCCAGTCTTGCCCACAGTCTGCTTCCAGAGGACACTTGCCCCTGCCTCTCCCCACCCCCACCACGCCCTGCATCTCGCAGCCACCTGGAAGGAGATGTAGACCCCACTGTGGTAAGGAGCTGTTCAGAGCCCCCGGAGCCCTCCACTTCCTACCACGCAGACATCCTGCTGCTGTGCGACACAGATGGACCAGGGCTTGTCCTGAAGGTCCCAGGATGCACATTCCTCAGGGATGGCTACTCTCCTCCCCCTCCCTGTTAACAGACTGGTTTTCCATGGACTCCTTTAAGCCCCCAAGTCTGGCCTCTGGTCAAATTTCAAAGACATGATGGGGTGGTCTGTTAAGACTGAGTAGCTCATGTGGCACCAGGTGAGGGCTGCTCAGGCCTGCATTAAGGAGGGGAGCCCGAACAACGGGCCTCCCCCTTCCCCCCACCCACAACGAAGCAGCTGCTGCTGGCTCCTCTCCCAGAGACTGGAAGAGAATTGATGAGAACACCGGGGACCCAGCAGTTCCACTCCCAGGCCTAAATCTAAGAGGGCAAAGTCAAGCCTCCACTCAAAACCTTGTGTGTGCACACACTCCCGGCAGCAGGATTCACAACAGCCACGGAGTGGAAGCAGAGCCAGCTGTCCAGTGGAGGATGAACACACAGCGGGGAAGACATGGGCCGTGCAACCGCGGCTGCCACAGAGAAAGCGCAGGAGCAGTGCATGCTGCGTGAGAAGCTGGGCACCAGGCAGAAAGCAGAGTCCGGGAGCTGGGGGAGGAGGGGACAGCAAGTGCCTGCTCAATGGCCCTGAGGTTTAAGGTGATGGAGCTGATCTAGATAGAATTGGGGGTGATGGCTGTATAACTGGGAATACACTAAAATCCCTGACTTGTACACTGTGGCCACCTGAAGTGAACAGTACACGCTTTCTGTCTCAGTAAAGCTACGCAAAGAACAGCAGACATCCCGCATGAAGTCAGCTCTCCAGGGCCGCACCATGGGAGCTATGGGCTGGCAGTGGCCGGCTCTGCTCTTGACACACAGGAAGGATGCAAACTCAGAGCCCCAGTGGGGTCACGGCCTTGCCCGGAGAACTCCCTCTGGGGATGGCAGCCTGCCGTCCCCTTGCCTAGCCTGGATGCCACATCCCGCGGCAGCGAAGCAGCCTCCTGCTTGACCGTCTGGCCCGGGGACCCTTTTGTCTCCTGGGTCAGTTTCATTCTTTCCCCAGGCTGTGCTCCTGATGAAGCAGCATCGTAGCTGATGTTGAAGGGCCTCACGCCAGCACCTAGGCTGGTCTTCCCTGGGTGCCTGCTTGAGCACGTGGCCCAAAACAGCCGTTGCATGGGGCACTCAGAACCCACCACACCCTCGCCCCTTCCCAGCCCGCCACCCTGTGGCTGAGGCCCTGTGCCTTGAGCAAGCTGCTGCCCCTCCTCCTCCTGGTCCAGTTCTGCCCACACCTGGGTGCCCACCTCCCCTCCCTGTGGTCTCCAGGAGCTGCCCCCAACATGCCCTGGGCAGCAGTGCTCATCGTAGCCCCGTCTGTGGCCTGGACAGGCTCTGACCACTCCTGCGTTGGCACAGCTTCCTCGGGAGGCTCCTGCCAACACCACTCGGCACGGTGGGCTCAACACGGCAGCGGCAACGGGTGGGAGTACTTGCCTCTGCCTGGCCCGAATGGCGGTTTTCCATTTGGATTTGGGGATGAGCAGCCAATGAGCCTATCTCATTCCCGTTAACGTGAGAGAAACATCCAGACGCTATCCTCAGGTCTCACACACCCCCGCCGTGCTCTGCACCACACCTGGCAGGGGCACCCCCGACTGTATGCTGGGCATCAGCTCCCAGGCCCGAGCGCCTCACCTCACACTGGGGATTGGAGCCCTCAGGCCCTAGAGACACTGGCTTGAGAAACTTTTGAGATGGAGTCTCGCTCTGTTGCCCAGGCTGGAGTGCAGTGGCATGATCTCAGTTCACAGCAGCCTCTGCCTCCTGCGGGTTCTGGAAATTCTTGTGCCTCAGCCTCCTGAGTAGCTGGAATTACAGGCGTGTGCCACCATGCCCGGCTAATTTTTGTATTTTTAAGTGGAGACAGGATTTCACCCTGGTGGCCAGGCTGGTCTCGAACTGATAACCTCAGGTGATCCACCTGCCTCGGCCTCTCAAAGTGCTGGGATTATAGGTGTGAGCCACCGTGCCTGGCCAAGAAACTTTTTAAAGAAAAAGTTTGCTCAACAGATAAGCTGAACCCCAGTCAGCAAAGGGCTTTGTAAACTGTCCTTGGGATGCAGCTCAGAGAGGAGGGTCCTCAGAGGGTGAGGTGCTGCCTAGGGGGCACCTGCAGCCACAGCAGCACCAGGCCCACACCCTCCGCAACCTCCCAGCCTATCAGGGACCTGAGGCGCAGATGGAAGTGGAGTTGTGGACACAGCAAGGGCCTCCACTCAGCCAGAGAGAAAGCAAGCTGCCCTGAGCCCAGCTTTCCGTGGCATCGTGGCCTCAGGCAGGTGTATTGTGAGTCTTGGGCCCCATGACAACTTGGTTGGGCCGGGCCAGCCTGCAGGGGGCAGAGAACAGCCAAGGGCCCAGCCCTGCCCACTGATGCCACCCCTGGTGCAAAGTTCCCCCACCCCAGCGAGGAGGAAGGGCCGGATGCTAGTCAGCCTGTAGTGGGGTAGCAGGACAGAGTGGGGTGGTCAGTGGCACCTCTTCTGCCACAGTCCAGCCCGTGCTCTGGGCCGGGAAGCAGGTACGGACGCTGTGGGCGAGGGCGTGGCTGCCCGCAGGAGGGAAGCTTCTGTCTCCCCAGCCATCCTCCAACCCTGGACCCCACCATCAGGTCATATCCATCATTTCACCAAGAGGGAAACAGCCAGGGCCAGAGTTCCTTCACCAGTAGAGCGGTAGGGAGAACCTGTGCTTCCATCCTAAGGGACTTTACCCTGAATTGCCAGGGCCCTACACGGGCCAGAATCCCAGGCCCATCTGTGGCCAGTGGGACCCTATGTGGGCTAGAATCCCAGGCCCATCTGTGGCCAGTGGGACCCAGGGCCTCTGGCGTGTGAGCTCTGCAGCATGTTGGGAATGGTGGAGGGGGATGGCCAGAAGACAGCACCCCAGACCCTGCTGGTGGCCCAGGGGAGACACTGCAGAGAGCTGTACCCCTGTGAGGGGGTGGCACTGAAGGCACTCAGCCCAGCCTGGCACCCGACTGCCCTGACACCTGTCCCCTGACATGGATGCCGGCTGGCACGGGCCCCTCCTGCTTCCCACCAACAGGGCCTGGAACAGTGCTTAGGATTGACCGCGCCTCTACACACCATCTCCCCTCACAGACCTGGCAGAAAACACAGCTCCAAAGCTGTGGGGAGGGAGACGGGGAGGGAGACAGGGAGGGAAACCTTGTTTGCACCAGCACCAGGTACCCCAGGGTGGCCACTTCCAAGGAGCTCAGCTGGCATCCTCCAGGGTGGGTGGGACATGATGCTGCAGCTGACGGGACCTCCAGATTAGCCCCAGCTGGAGACCGGGCAGGACCAGGGCAGCATGTAGCACCCTGCGTGTCGCTAACTCATCCCAGAGGCCAGCTTGGCACTTGTCCCCAGCTTGTGCATTGACCCCCAGGGAGGTTCATTTAAAAGCACCCAAAAGTGTCAGTGCATTAAGCAGGCTAAAAATAGAACCCGTCCCTACACCTCCCACCCTGCCCACTGCTTGGCTGTTCCTAAAATAACCGCGCGCGCACAGCCACGCACACATCTCCGGCTGCGATGGGGAAAATCAAGTTGTAAGTGTGAGCTGGTATTTTGGTCCCAGCAGGAGCATAGGGGCTGTTCTCTGTGGGCTTTGGGGAACGGGGAGGCATCTTAGGAACCCAACAGGACAGACAGACGTCCGCAGTGGTTCCAAGGAGAGGCAGAAACAGGCATTGCCGCCCGGCAGGACGTGCCCCTTCAAAGGGGTGTCACGCGGTGACCCCTCTGGGGGTGGGGCTGGCAGGAGGAGAAAACCACAGCTCCCCTAGGTCAGGGGCAGGGACAGACACCGACCCCTGCCGCAGCGTCGACAATAAACCTACCAATGGTCCCCCCTGCCCGGCCCACACGCCCTGAGCGCCCCCTGCGGACACCCCCCTGCGTCCTCACACCCGAGGGGCAGACTGGCTTGCAGCACTTCTGTTCAGCACCACGCACTGCCTGGCAGCCACGAGCGAGCAGAGCCCTGCTGGGGTGAGGGCCTGGCCGTGCGCAGATCCTATGTAGCCACCGTCCCACAGCCCTTCATTCCCAAAGCCCTTCATTCCTGCAGCACTGGTCAAGGGAGCAGGGTGGGATTTGCAGAGTGAAGGTCCCTTCAAGGGGAGGCCAGCCCTGTGTGAGGCACCAGGACCCCCAGCCTCGCACACCGAGTCTAGCCTGGGACCCCCAGCCTCGCGCCGAGTCTAGCCCAGGGGGACGCTGTTCTTCCCTCCAAGCTGCCTGCCCTGGAGGAACGAATTTGGGGGGGGGGTGCTGGGTGAGGCTGACGGTGAGTTGCACACAGCGGGCCTCACGTGGGAGCCGGCTCCAACCCCAACACCCCCCATGGGTGAGAGAAACCTGGACTGGCAGCTCCCCCCAACCCCAGACCTGACTCCCAGCCCCAGGGCCAGCCTTGCCCCCAGCTGTTTCGCCTCTGGGTTCCTATCCAGGACACAGGACACTCAAGCGGTCATCTCACGGCCCAAGGCTACTGACCAGGGGCACAGACTCTTGGAGCAGCTGGGGTTGAGCACGTTGCGGGGAGCGCAGGGATCCCATGCTGCCTGGAAACCAGGAGTTTCGTGTGCTTTCTGGACAACCTGGGGGCAGCCTCTCACGGAAAGAGGTATGACACCTGCCCCACCTGGCTTCCTAGGGGAGGGTCCCAGCGACCTGAGGGCCACCACTCCCGGCTGTACCCCCACCCTACTCCACCCCTGGAGAGGAACAGGGGAGCAGTGACCTTGCTGGAAACCCTCAGGAAACACCAGGTCAGCAGAGAGGTGGATGTTGCCTCCACTGGGACCAGCCTGGTGGCCGCCCACTCACCGTACTGGACTTGAGCTCATCCCCATTCTCCTCGTCGGACTCTAGAGCGACAGGCAAGGATTTCTGGGGCGGGGAGAAGGTCAAGTCCCAACGCAGCAACCGGGGCTCGGCCCCGCCCAGCCGCAGGCTCGCCAGTTTCTGCACGGCGGGCTCCGCGGAGGAGGCCGGCCTGAAGTTCTCCTTGTTCTGGGCCTTGGACCGCAGTCTCTGCACCCCGAAGCCCCGGTCCTCGGGGCGGTGGTCGTCCCCCAAGCCCCGGCAGGCGCCGCCCTTGCTGTAGCGTCTTTTCTGGGGATGCGTCTCCATCCTCAGCAAGGGTTTCATCTCCATCCGGTAGTTGCTCAGCTTCTCCTCCTGCAGCTCCAGCAGCCTGGAGCCTCCGGGGCTGTGGTTGCTGGCCCGGTGGTGGGAAGTCCACGTGAACACGGGGGGTGACTCCGTCCGCCGCTCCCGCGGCTTGGGGTTCCCGGGCTGCTTGCGGCCCGAACCTCGGGTGCGGAAGTCATCCACGAGCAGGCCGCCGCGCAGGGCACCGCTGCGGACACCCCTGGAGCCCCCGGCCTGCTCCTCGCCCCAGCTGCTGCGGGCGCAGTCCCCGGCCCGGCCCTCCAGGAGCATCTGGATGTCCCCGCCCCGCTCCTCGTCCACCGACACCTGCCTCGAGAAGTGGGCGACCTTGTTCCTGGCGGCGGGCGCGGGCGGCGGGGTGGCCGCGGGGCTGGTGGGGAAGCTCTGCAGGGGGCTGTCGTCGGGGGTCAGGTCGGAGGGAGTGGTGCCCTTGCGGTACAGCTCGGGGCTCTCCTGCTGCAGGGGTGTCCCGGTGGACAGCACCTCGATGTCGTCACAGGAGGTCTGACGCTTCGGCCTCTGGTACTCCAGCCCTGTATGGGGACACAAGACGACGCCAGACGGCGTTACCCAGCACATTCCACAGCGAGGCCGCGGTCCCCGGGCCAGGGCGCCAGAGGGAACCTCAGGGCAGCAGAGGCGCTTCCCACTCACCGAAAGGCTGCAGGCAAGGGAGGGGAGTGGGGACCGTGGCTCCCAAAGCCCTCTGTGGGACCCCCGTGGTCCCCACCCCACAGACACTTGGAGGGAGACTGGCTAGGCCCAGGCACCACAGGAAGGGCGGACAGCAGCTCCCAGGCTACAAGGGAGACCCAAGGCTCGGAAAGTGCGTGAGGACGCTGGGGTGTGGACTCAGGTCCCACCAACCCTGACTCGCCTGTCCTGAGGGTAAGAGGAAGCCCCTCACCCTAGCTGACCACCTGTCTGGGGAGGCCGAGCTGTCACAGCAAGGCCGCCAACACCCCTACCCGCCTGGGACTGTGTCTCAGGGTGCTGGGACAGTCTTGCTGAGAAACAGCCAGTGCCGGGGCCAGCGTGAGAGCCCAGGAGCCGACTTCCCTCCCCACCTTTCGAGGCTGCTGGGGCTTCAAGTCCTAGGGCGGGGCTCCCCGGAAGGGGAGGTCACCACAGGACCCAGGGGCCAGCTCTGCAGCCAGCAGAGTCCCTGTCGTCTGCCGGTGGCTCAGTCCCCATCAGCCCCCACCCGGAGGCCTGGATAGGGAGGGGCAGCATTGTAGGACTAGCCCCGAGACTTCTCCGGAGCTCCGTGAGCCCCCAGCAGGAGGTGAGAACCAAGAACATTGACTGGGATCTCATTTCCTGCCAACGCAGGGACACGGGAGCCATGCCCGACTTTATTCCATTAGGAGAAACCCAAGAACGCGGCGCTTCTTACCCTCCGGGGAACAGTTACACGTTCATCTCAAGTAGCGTCCTAGGCTCAGCACAGAACAGTGGGACCCCCGCCCCCAGCATCCCCGTCCTGCCCGAGCCAAAATGGTGCAGAGCTCTGTGGGAATTTGGGGAGTCTTCCCTCTGAGGACGGAGGTCTCAGAGCTCTACCCGGGGCGGCCACCTCATGAGACCAGCTCGGACACCAAGAGCCACTGCCCATCTTAGAGTCTCTCACGCTCGGACATTCTCCTGGCCTGTACCCCAGTCTGACCTTTTGGCAGGAGAAGGTCTGGGAGACGCCTGTACCCCAGTCTGACCTTTTGGCAGGAGAAGGTCTGGGAGACATGGCTACCCTCGGTGTGGCACCAGATAGTCCCTCCGTTTGTAAAGAGACGTTAGCAAGCAGATTCGGGGCACGCTGCGACGCCACCAGGCTGGGCTGCTGTGTCCTCCTCCTTGCTGGTCTAAGAGGCAGTGCTGAGCAGAGCGAGGCCATGGCCCTGGCCTGGGGCTTGGGGCACAGCTGGGTAGCTCTGGGTGGGTGGCCAGCCCTCCCAAGTCTGAGTTCCTGTCACACGGGGGTGTGGGTGGGCCACTCTGAGGTCTCAATGACTGCTTCTCTGTGGTCACTCCCCAGAAACAGGGCTGGGCTGGTTGGGTGTCCCCCGAGCAGAGCAGGGAATGGGCCAGAGAAGGTCTGTGTAGAACTGTGCTGACATCCACGTACCCACCTGACGCCCAGCCCCACCACCTCTCTCCCCGTGAGGGTCCTGTGTGGAGGGCAGCCCTGGCCCCATCAGAGGCCCCCAATCATGCCCACGGATCACCCACATCGTACCTCCTCCTTGGCCAGGATGGGACTTCCAAGGGGCTGGCATTCCTGTGCCTTAGACGCTATGGACCTAGCAGGCTGGGATCAAGGCCCCCCCCATCCCCCGATGGCGCCCCGGCCTTTCCCACCAGGTCGTCCACCCACTGCTGCCGAGATCAGGCCTGGCTGGCCCAGGAGACCCCACGCTAGAGGGGCCCCGACTCCCAGCACCACCAGCAGGAGGGCACCCTCAGCTAGAATGAGCTGCTGAGCAGGTAACGTTCCTAGAAGCCTCGTGGTGAGGATGCAGGGCGGGTCCTCGTGAAGCCCCTGCAGCTTCTTCCTGTGCCTTCAAGCCACCTGCGTCCTGCAGCCTCCGACGCTCAGTCCTCCTGCCTCTGGGGCGGGGGCGGATGGCACCGGAAGTGGCCTGGGCACTGGACACCGCATGGCCAGGCTCCTTCATGGTCCTGCCTTCACGTGGCCTTGGGCAGAACCCTGACGGTCAGAGTTCTCGGGCTGGGAGGCTGCCAGGGACCTCCCAGACAGGCAGCAAGAGGCTGGCGCCAGCCACTCTCTGCAGCCGAAGCGCTGGATGGTTTGCTTCTCTAGAAGCCGGCATGGCCCAGGCTTCAGAGCCTCGTTTTAAATCCTGATTCCACCACATCCTGCCTGAGCGCTCTGGCAACCCTGTTCCCCTCTTGGAGGCTCTGTTCTGTCATCTGTCATTGGTGACCTCAGCTCCTGGCTGTGAGGACGACTGAGGAAGGACCTGGACAGCTTCCCCCAGCCCCACCCCTCCCCAGCAGCCGAGAAGGCCCCGGGGTGCCTGGTCTGGGAACACTGATCCTGAATGCATCCAAGGCGGAAACAAGAAATGCTTGGATCAAATCTCATGCCAGTCCCAGCGCTTGTAAAAAACACACGGTCCCAACGCCCCCTCCAGGGAAGATGCTGCTCAGAGAAGGCTCCGGGGCGCCACCCAAAGAGGTGGCAGATCGGACCGAGGTGCTCAGAGTGAGCCAGGCTCCAAGGTGCAGCAGCAGGAGGTGAGGCCAACTTGGCCAGACCCTCGAGGACTGGACTCCCACCAGTGAGGCAGCAGCGGCCCCGTCTCTCCATCACAGCGGCCCCCACAGGGGCCCGCATCTGTATCATGAAGACAAGAACTGTCGGAGGAGGCAGCTTCAGGACTTAAAAGGTCAGCCCAAGGCCCCTCCTGCAGGGACCTGAGCCCTCCAGGAAGCATCTCCTCTGAATCCAGGACTGAGCCCTCCAGGAAGCATCTCTGACTCCAGGACTGAGCCCTCTGGGAAGCATCTCCTCTGAATCCAGGACTGAGCCCTCCAGGAAGTATCTCCAAGTCCAGGACTGAGCCCTCCAGGAAGCATCTCTGACTCCAGGACTGAGCCCTCGAGGAAGCATCTCTGACTCCAGGACTGAGCCCTCCGGGAAACATCTCTGACTCCAGGATTGAGCCCTCCAGGAAGCATCTCTGACTCCAGGACTGAGCCCTCTGGGAAGCATCTCCTCTGAATCCAGAACTGAGCCCTCCAGGAAGCATCTCTGACTCCAGGACTGAGCCCTCTGGGAAGCATCTCCTCTGAATCCAGAACTGAGCCCTCCAGGAAGTATCTCTGACTCCAGGACTGAGCCCTCCAGGAAGCATCTCCTCTGACTCCAGGACTGAGCCCTCCAGGAAGCATCTCCGACTCCAGAGTCTTAACTGGAATTCTCAGGGTGGGGGAGCCTGCACCCATTTCTTGGGACTGGAGCAGTAAAGCACCACGCGGGGGTGGGGGTAGAAACACCCAAAAGGCAAACTCGTGTTTCTGGAAGTTAGAAGCCGTGATCCAGGTGTCGGGAGTGCTGCTTCCTTCCAGGGTCTCCGCTCCAGCCACCCTCCAGCCACGGAGTCTCCAGTGATCTCTGACATCACTCCATCCGCCCCTGTCTCCTCCTCTTCTGTCTCTTCTAAGGACGCCGCGTGGATCTAGGACTCACCCCAATCCAGGCTGATCTTGTCTCAAAGTCTGTTCCATAATGACACCTGCACAGACCCTCCTCCCAAATAAGTCACGTTGGGAGCTTCCGGTGGATGCGTCTCTTGGGGGATTTGGCACAGGATGGAGGCTTCAATGTTCCCTGTCTGGTCCCCTTCCTTTCACACATGGAACTGAGGCTCTGAGAGGAAACAAAACAGGCCGCAGGCAGTGGAATGTGAGTCGCAGGCAGGGCTGGAGCTGAGGCGACCATGGGCCAGGGTTGGTACGTGGAATCCCATGCCGTCCTACGTGCATTCTGCGTGGAGTGGCCCAGCCAGGGTTCTGGCAGGTGCCCCCGACGGCACTGGCTTCCTCTCCAGCATCCCTGTTCCGTTCGTCCATCCCGCAGCACTGCACCCACTCCCCACATGCACGTGCACGCTACACGTGTGCCCCCAAGTGTGCGCCCCACCGCCTCCCAGCCCAGGCAGCTGGTCGTGGGCGAGGCAAGGAGGGGCCCCAGGGAGAAGGAAACTCAGGGCCTGAGGGCGAGACCATGGAGGATGCCAATGGCCACAGGGGCACGTGGCCCATTGCCCTCCCACTTGGACACTTTGGGGTGCGTGTGTCTGGAGGGGCCAGGAGAGTGGAGGGGACGCAGTGGAATAGAAGCTGCCCAAGGCGGTGGGGGTGCGGGGGCTCGTCCTCCTGACCTCCAGGCTGCAGCTGCAGGCTCTGCAGGGCCCGGCACTCGCCCAGTGAAGGCAAGGTCTTGGAGTGGTGGCGGACGGTCACCTCTAGAGATGATGTGGTCTCGCGTTCCAGTCAGGGGAGCGCCCAGCCCCGCAGCCCCCAGGCTGGGCTCCTCATCCTGTCCTGGTGGCCAGAGTGGCAGGCGTTGCGAGCAAGTTCAGGGCTGTGGTGTCAGGTGCGGACCTCCAGCGCGCAGAGCCTCATCCGAATACCGCTCACCGGTCAGAGCTCGGGTTGAGGGGGCGCGCTCCTAACCCCATTCTCTGGGGCCTCCTGGTGCAGAGGAAGCTTCCTCCAAGATGAGGTAGGAGATGGGAGGCAGCTGGCCACGGCCTCTCCGCCACCCACCCCACACCCTCCACGCCCCCGCCACTGTCACTGGGCCGTATCACCCATGATCCCCCCCTCGAAGGGAGGACGAGGTTCCTAAATCAGGCAGCAGCTTCCAGCTCTTTCCGAGGGGCACAGCGGGAGCTGCCATTTGTGACGCTGTCCAACCCAGCAGCCACTGGGTGTGTTTAATGGTAAGTTAGTTCACATCAGAGGCAGGTCAAGAGCCAGGACCGCAGACACACCCAGCTAATGGCTGCCACGCTGGACCCAGCAGATAGTTCCATCATCCCAGAAGGTTCTAGAACAACACTGGGGGAGGGCGGGCAGCAGACAGCACAGGCTGGGCAGGTGGGAATTCACCGTCAGGGACAGCCGGCAAGCAACACGCGGTGCCCCAAGGACTGTGGGAATGGGAGAGACCTGCCAAGACACATGTCCTGTGTCCCGGGGAGCCAGGCCAGGCCTTGGCACAAACAAGCACCTTCGGCGGGAGAGGAAGACACCGGGCAGGGGAGCAGCTGGGGCTGAGCCCATCTAAGCCTACCCGCTCTGGAGGACACATCTGCTGCCAGGACTGCCCAGCCATCCACGCACCCCCTCCCCACGATGCCAGTATCAGGCCCGGCGAGACTCACCGTTTTCCCGGTGCTGGAAGGAAGGGGAGAACTCTTTGGCAGTGATCCTGGCGATCCGCGCCTCCTCCTGGGCTTTCTGAGCTGCTGTGAGGGCTGCCTCGGCCTTTGCCCGAGAGTGGGAGGTCCTGGGGGAGACAGGGAGGAGCGTGAGGGGGGGCAGGGGGCACAGGTGACAGGGGTCTGGGTTGAGGTACTCTGCCAACCCCCCAACAACGGGCTGGGCTAAGACAAGATGCTGGCACCCCATGTTTACCCTCAGACTTCTGGATCTTGTTCGTTCATTCATTCATTCATTCAATAAACATCACTGAGCATCAACCAACCAGGCCCAGTGCACAGGACATGCTTGAAAACACCTCTGGGCAGGGCATGGTGGCTCACGCCTGTAATCCCAGCACTTTGGGAGGCCAAGGCAGGAAGATCGCTTGAGCTCAGGCGTTCACGACCAGCCTGGGCAACATGGCAAAAGCCTGTCTCTGCCAAAAATACAAAATTAGCTGGGTGTGATGGCACGCATCTGTGGTCCCAGCTACTCGGGACACTGAGGCAGGAGGATTGCTTGAATCTGGGAGGTGGAGGTTGCAGTGAGCTGAGATCGCGTCACTGCACTCCAGCTTGGGTAATAGAGCAAGACTCTGTCTCAAGGAAAAAAAAAAGGGGAGGGGCTGGGCACAGTGGCTCACGCCTGTAATCCCAGCACTTTGGGAGGCTGAGGCGGGCAGATCATGAGGTCAGGAGTTCAAGACCAGCCTGCACAACATGGTGAAACTCCGTCTCTACTAAAAATTACAAAAATTAGCCGGGTGTTGTGGCACGTGCCTGTAATCCCAGCTACTCAGGAGGCTGAGGAAGGAGAATTGCTTGAACCTGGGAGGCGGAAGTTGCAGTGAGCGGAGATCACGCCATTGCACTCCAGCCTGGGTGACAGAGCAAGACTCCATCTCAAAAAAAAAAAAAGAAAATGTTTCTGTTCTTATTATCAACAAACATCAGCATGTGCACAGAAAGAGTCCAAGCCCAGACAACCCACCCCGGCGGTGCCGGCCCGCTGTGCTGTGTGTGTCTGTGCTTCCTGCCACTGCCCCGGTGTGGGTTGCGGGACCACCTCCCTGCCCAGTAATCCCAGCAACTCTGACTTGGGAACCCAGGGCTTGGGCAGCTGGGCAGTTCCCTCACCCAGCCGAAAGATGACGCCGACACCCATGTGTGACACGAAGGAGCCATTGTACCTGTGGGCAGCCGGGCACGTCACCCCTCTGGCCGCTCCCTGACTGTGTCTCTCCCTCTGCTGAGTCCTGCAGGGGACCTGCCCACCCTTTGTAAGACAAGGGACTAGACAGACGTCCCGAAGGCAGAATGTGGGGCTCTGTGCATCTCAGCAGCCTGGGGCTTGCATTTCTTCCTACCTGGTGTGCTGGCCCCCGGGGGGGCCTGCCAGTGGCCATGGGCACCACTTCCCCAACAATGGGGAAACTGAGGCACAATGACCAATTCCCCCACGACAAATCCCCCCTCCGAGCAGACTCCCTGGGAGGTCTCCTGTTCACGGTTCCTGACTTAGCCTGTTGGGGCTGCAACAAAGCACCGCAGCTTGGGCGGCTCATCAATAGCAGACATTGCTTTCCCCCAGTTCCGGAGGCTGGAAGTCCAAGATCAAGGTGCCAGCAGATTTGGTGTCTGCAGAGGACCCACTTTCTGGGTCCTGGACAGCACCTTCCTGCTGGGTGCTCACATGGTAGAAGAAGCGAGGGTGCTCTCTGAGGCCTCTTTCATCAGGGCACTAATCCCCACTATGAGGCTCAGTCCTCAGCCCCATCACCTCCCAAAGGCCCCACATCCTAGCACCATCGCCCTGGTGGTGAGGATTAACACCTGCACCTAGGGGGCGCAAACACCTTCTACGCAGCCTGACCCCCCATCTCTGCCATACCTGTCACTCCAACTCCATGGGCTAAGCCTGGAAACCACACACTGTTCATGAAAGATGGCTTTCTTGTTTCAAGATTCCACTGTGCTAACTAGGAACAATTTTACTAGAAGAAAAAAAACCTATGACATTTACATACAGAGAGTAATATAAACCACAGCCAAGAACACGTGTCCAGGAAATGAAGCAAGCTGCTGGGAATGCCCCACCAGGGCTCCAAGAGCCAGAGAGTGCTCCAAACGCTGGCCCAGAGAGCACACCCCCTGTCTTGTGGGGGCTCCGATTCCAGGCCCTTGGGTGGTCCGTGCATCTCCTGAAACTGTACTCAAAGTTTTCTGCATGACCCCCCGCCACAAGCAGAGGGTCCACAGCTTTCATCAGATTCCAGGAGGATTTGCGATGCCCCAAAACTAAAGATGCGCGGCCTGAACACAGCTAGCCCTGGACAGAGAATCCGAGGCTCAGCCATGCTGCAGCACCCAGGACACTGCATCCCAGCACCTGCCCGAAAATCAGCCCAGGACCCAAAGGAAAGCAGGCTCCAAGCTCCCCGGAAGCCAAGGAAAATAGGAAAACATATCCTGCCCCGGGGACACCTTCTGGAACTATGACCACATGCACTTGACCTTCCGGAACAATCACCGCATGCACCTGACCTCCCGGAACTGTCACCACCGCGCGCACCTGACCTCCCGGCACTGTCACGACCGCGCGCACCTGACCTCCCGGCACTGTCATCACCGCGCGCACCTGACCTCCCGGAACTGTCATCACCAGGCGCACCTGACCTCCCGGCACTGTCACGACCGCGCGCACCTGACCTCCCGGCACTGTCACCACCGCGCGCACCTGACCTCCCGGCACTGTCACCACCGCGCGCACCTGACCTCCCGGCACTGTCACCACCGCGCGCACCTGACCTCCCGGCACTGTCACGACCGCGCGCACCTGACCTCCCGGAACTGTCACCACCGCGCGCACCTGACCTCCCGGAACTGTCACGACCGCGCGCACCTGACCTCCCGGAACTGTCATCACCGTGCGCACCTGACCTTCTGGAACTGTCACGACCGCGCGCACGTGACCTTCTGGAACTGTCATCACCGCGCGCACCTGACCTCCCGGAACTGTCATCACCGCGTGCACCTGACCTCCCGGAACTGTCATCACCGCGTGCACCTGACCTTCCGGAACTGTCATCACCGCGCGCACCTGACCTCCCGGAACTATCATCACTGTGTGCACCTGACTCCTGCGATGGGTAATATTTCGTCAATGTCTCTCCCACTCCCGTAAGCTCCCGGAGAGGACGGGGTCTTTCACTTCCCCGGCTGTTCAGACCTCGACCACAATGCCCCCCACCACACACAGCACGAGGGACCAAATGGGAAACTCCCCGGATGGGCCCATTTGGTTCCCACATCTTTGCTTAGTAAAAATACCACCAACATGAACTCACCAACATCATACGTGTGTTTACATATATACGTTCACACGTATATAAAAAGACGACGTGGTGCCTGCACTAAAATAAAACCAATCCAGACAAGCACGTCATGGAGGAGGAGACTCCCAAACGCACTGCAGCGGTTTGTCATAAATGAGACACCAGGTCTCGGCCTGGCACCCAGTTCTCCAAGGGGTAATGGCTCCTGACGCCTATGGCTCCCACCTGTGGAGGGTCAGGCCACGGTGGCACAGGCAGGGAGGGCATCTGAGCTCACCTGGGGCCCCCCACCCCTGCACCATGGCTCCGTAGTGCCTCCACCTAGTCACGTTACAGATCCCGCCTTTCTTGCAACCTTCCCTGGAGGAAAAGGTCGCGATCGTTCTTGCCCTGCCTGGCCCTGCATGCGAGGCTCCCACAAGCCGCTCTGAGTCAGAGGCAAGAGGCAAGAAAAGGCCCGGTTCCTGGGCCAGAGCACAGCCAGGCTGCCCACCAGGGCTCCGCTTCCTTCTGGGTCCACACCGCTTCCTTCCGGGCGCAGCCCCTCCACACGCCGCAGCCCTTCATCCCTGGCCATCGTCACCAGTCCTGAAGCCACACTCGGACCTTCAGCTCCAGCCAGTCTTACCAATGTGGTGGCTCAGGGATCACTGGAGCAAAGCGGGTTCCAAGGCAAAGGAGAGCTGCTGCCTCCCTCCGCCAGAGGAAGCCAGCCTCCTCCCTTACTGAAGACAGGGAAACAGCGCACCCAGGGCAAGCGTCTCCTCCTCAGGTGTCATTGCCAAGGCAACCCTGCCTTTGCAAGGGAGGCAGCTGGGTGGGGAGACCACACCCTGGGCTGGGTGTGTGGCTGCCCTGTCCCCAACGGGTGCCCAGAGGAAGACCCAGGCTTAGAGGCGGGGTCCACAGGCCCCCCAACAGGCTGGTCAGCTGGGTGGGGTTGGGGTGCACCCAAGGCTGGAGCAGAGGGCGGGGGCTGTGCTGAAAGCTGGCCCACACAGGCACCCTCCTCCCAAGACCAGCTGGGGGCCTCTGAAGGGCCATGGGCAGGGAGGGACCAACTATGACATGTGTGCTGAGGGGGCCCCTGGCCAGTGCCTGGAGAACTGGGGTAAGAGAGGACACGGCCGGGCCTCCCAGATGGTGGCCACCCGGACTAAGGCTCTGGTGGGCCCTGGCCCAGGAGCAGGTCAACACCCAGCCCAGACCCACACGTGCACACACGGAGAGCCGGCACGACCCAGCCCGGACAGCGAACACCAGCTTCCCAACCCACTGGATGAATGCGTCCGGGGGACAAGGCAAGGATTGGCAGGGTTTTAAAAACCATAAAGGTCAAAGAAGAGCTCCAACAGCTCAAGGGGAGGAAACTTAGGTAACAGTCTCTCCCTGCAATTATTTTAATGGGCTTTTCTGCCGGTGCCAGGATGGAAGAGGGAAGCTTCTGCAGAGCCCAAACCAGCCCCATTCCCTGGAAAGTGCATTTCATCAGACCTGACCCAGGCTGGGTTGTTAAAGACAGGAGGTCTGCGATCAGAGCAGCCTGGAAAGCCAGAGAACATTCCAGATCCAGGTGACCCCTCTCTTATCTTTAGACCGAGTCTTCCCTCAGCCCCATTTTTCATTTAAAAAATTTTTAAAGAAAGAAAGAGAGAAACCCTAAGCAATAAAGGAAGTGGTGTCCAGGCCACGGGCAGGTCCAGTTTCTCGGACTCCTAAGGGTGGCAGGGACAGGCAGGAGGTCGAGGAGCTCTCAGCTGAGCCTGGCCAGCTGGGGGATGGGCACACGGGGGCCCCACTGCCCAGGTCTGCGCCTGGGGCTGCAAGATGGGGAGGATTTGAGGTCTGAAGTTCACGTAAGTGTCCCGGGCTACGGTAATGAATGACCACTAACTAGGTGGACTTAACACTCACTCCTTTTCTCACGGTCCTGCAGTCCCGGAGTCCAAAATCAAGAAGTCACACCCCTATCGGAAGGCTTTAGAAAATCCTCCCATCCATCCTCTCTCCAGCTGCTGGCGGCTGCTGGCGCCCTCGGCGTTCCCAGGCTCGTGGTGGCCTTACTCCCGCCTCTCGGCCTCTGCCCTCATGTGGCCTTCTCCGGCACGTGTCTCTCTCCTCTTCTGCCTCACGAGGGCACTCTTCGTTGGATTGGGGCCCAGCCTGATCCAGGAGAATCTCATCTGCAGATCCTTAACTAATTCCATTTGCAGAGACCCTTATTCCAAGAAGTTGGAAGTGAGTTGCCAGGCAGACCTAGCTTTTGGGGACACCATTCAGCCCACTACAGAGAGTGTGAGTATGTGAGTGTGTATACACAGACACACACATATATATATATTGTGTGTGTGTGTGTGATGGAGTCTGGCTCTGCTGTCCACACTGGAGTGCAGTGGCATGATCTCGGCTCACTGCAACCTCTTTCTCACAGGTTCAAGAAATTCTCCTTCCTCAGCCTCCCAAGTAGCTGGGACTACAGGTATGTGCCACCAAGCCCGGCTAATTTTTCTACTTTTAGTAGAGACAGGGTTTTGTCATGTTGGCCAGGCTGGTCTCAAAACCCTCAGGTGATCCAACCGCCTCAGCCTCCCAAAGTGCTGGGATTACAGATGTGAGCCACCACGCCTGGCTGGTTTATAATCTTATTTTTTAGAGACAGGGTCTCCCTTTGTCACCCAGGCTGGAGTGCAGTGGCACAATCACTGCTCACCACAGTCTTGAACTCCTGGGCTCAAGCAGTCCTTCCACTTCAGCCACCCAAGTGGGCAGGAAGACACTACGCCTGGCTAATTTTGTTTATTTTTGTAGAGATGGGGTCTCACTATGTTGCCCAGGCTGATTCCGAACTCATGGCCTCAAGCATTCCTCCACCTTGGCCTCCCAAAGTGCTGGGATTACAGTGGGAGCCACCACACCCAGCCTTACATACAGGGTCTTAATGTTCAGTTCCTTCGTGACTTTTCAATCCCAGGCCAAATGTCACTCCTTGGTAAGACAGTCCTGACCTCAATCCCCATCCCCACAATCTCAGGCCTCCGGCTTTACCTCGTTTACACAATTCTGTGATTGTGGTTCGTGGAGACAGGAGCGGGTCTGCCTGGTACACACTCGTAGGTGGGTGTTCAGCTGAACAAATGAATGAGTGAATGGGCAAGCGAGCTCTTCTGTAAGGAGCCTTCCAGCCCAGCCAATTCCTTTGGATCTCTGCTTTCCAGACTCCCTGGACAGCACCGTCAGCTGGCGAGAAGGTATGACGGGGGCCACGCTGTCCACGTTCACCAGCTGCTTTACCTGGGCAGGCTGCATAATCTCTGGGCCTCAGTTTCCTCACCTGTGCAGGGGGTTTAGTAAGGAGGACCCTTGTAGAACCCCTGCAAAGATTCATGGGATGAGGTGCAGACAGCACACAGCCCAGCTGTTCTTATGCTGGATAAGATACCTGATGGGTACCTGGTGGGCGAGTTTTTTTTAGCAGCTTTATTGAGATATCATTTATTTTGTTTGTTTTTTGAGACAGAATTTTGCTCTGTCACCCAGGCTGCAGTACAGTGGCATGATCACGGCTCACTGCAAACTCTGCCTCCCAGGTTCAGGCAATTCTTCTGCCTCAGCCTCCCACGTGGCTGGGATTACAGGCGCCCACCACACCCGGCTAATTTTTTTTTTTGTGTGTGTGTGTGTGTGTGTGTGTGTGTGTGTGTGTGTGTATATATATATAGTGCGTGTGTGTGTGTATAATGGAGTCCCACTCTGTCGCCTAGGCTGGATTGCAGTGGCACGATCTCAGCTCACTGTAAGCTCCACCTCCCGGGTTCACGCCATTCTCCTGCCTCAGCCTCCCGAGTAGCTGGGACTACAGGCGCCCGCCACCACGCCCGGCTAATTTTTTGTATTCTTAGTAGAGACGGGGTTTCACCATGGTTTCGATCTCCTGACCTCGTGATCCGCCCACTTCAGCCTCCCCAAGTGCTGGGATTACAGGCGTGCGCCACCGCGCCTGGCCTAATTTTTGTATTTTTAGTAGAGACGGGGTTTCGCCATGTTGGTCAGGCTGGACTTGAACTCCTGACCTCATGTGATCCACTTGCCTCAGCCTCCCAAAGTGCTGAGATTACAGGTGTGAGCCACTGTGCCTGGCTGAGATAACAATTTTTTTTTTGAGATGGAGTCTTGCTCTGTCACCCAAGCTGGAGTACAGTGGTGTGATCTCAGCTCACTGCGAGCTCCGCCTCCCAGGTTCAAGGGATTCTGCTGCCTCAGGCACCCATGTAGCTGGGATTACAGGCGCGCACCACCATGCCTGACTAATTTTTGTATTTTTAGGAGAGACGGGGTTTCACCACGTTGGCCAAGATGATCTCGATCTCTTGACCTCGTGATCCACCTGCGTCTGCCTCCCAAGGTGCTGAGATTACAGGTGTGAACCACTGCACCCCGGCTAAAATATCACCTATATACCATAAATGAAGGTACCGTAAATGATATATTTATATACCGTAAACCTGAAGAAGAGTCTGAAGTCACAGAGCCACTTAATGCATTTATGGATCCACTCGTTCAAAAAGATGTTGTTAAATTGAGTGTCTGCTACAAGCTAAACACACTGTTGTATATTAGGACATAGAGGAAAAGGGAGACACAAACAAGGTCCTTGCTCTGATAGGGATTCTGGTCTCATTGAGAAGACGGCTGATACAAAGGTAAACACATAAAAAGAGCACATTTCCATGGCCACACGTTCTAAGAAGACAGCAATTACACTCCTGTTGAGAGTATAATTCACTGGTTTTTAGCACATTTACTGAGGCGGGTCACCACCATCGTGATCTAACTTTACAGCACTTTCGTCGCCTGCGACAGAAACCCCATATCCATCAGCTGCCCTCCCCATCCCTCCTCCCAGCTCCTGCCAACAGCTGATCTGCTTTCTTCTTGCTGTTGTTGTTTCATGGAAAACATTTCTTTCAGAAAGGAATTACAGAGCGAAAGGCCAGCAGGGCAGAGGTGCAGGCAGCCTGGAGGAAGGGGTGCGAAATAGGATGGGAGTGGGTGTATGAAAGGTGAGGAATAGTGGTCCTCTCCCCAGCCCCTCCTGGGTCAGAAGCAGTGCTGGGGAACAGGGCCTGGGCAGCAGGCACCCCACACCTGCTTCCTGCTGCAGCTGGGACCACCTTTAAACCTTCACTGTGGAGTCCCTTTTTGAGTTAACAGAAACTCTGCTATAAAATCAGACAAAACTCTAGAAAGCCACACTCCCGGAGCAAAACAGTAAAAGCCAGAGGGGGAGTGTGGAAAACACAGCCCCAGACACAGAAAGGCCCTCCCACAGCACGGCTGTGCCACTGCGGGCTGCCGGCAGCCTCCGGCTGCAGCAGTGTCTGCTGGGCTCA
This sequence comes from Homo sapiens, assembly GCF_000001405.40. NCBI lineage: Eukaryota > Metazoa > Chordata > Mammalia > Primates > Hominidae > Homo > Homo sapiens. The sequence goes on along the minus strand of NC_000016.10, from coordinate 87,675,502 downwards.
TCTGCCCGCTTACCTGGTACACACAGACAGGGCACACCCACATGCTGGATATGTGCAGGCCCCAGGGCCTCAAAGCACAGGGCAGGTCCTGCCCAGGAGCAAGAGGAAGGCTGGACGGGGAGGCTGGTCTGGACGGGGTCACTGGAGCAATGAGCAGCACCGACACTCTGGGTTGGTGCTCAGCATCAGCCCAAAGGAAGCAGGCGTGGCTGAGGCCTGGGAGGCAGGAGGAGTTGGCAAGGGGAAGAGAGCTCCAGGATGCAAAAGGCCCAGGGGCAGAGGAGGGGTCAGCGAGTCGGGGAAACGGCGGGGGAGGGGCGGGGGGTGAAAGCTTCTGCCAGCTGGGGGGTGGGGCATGGGGTGGTAGAAATCATCCTTCCACTGCCTAGCTATTCTCAGGGATTGTGGCTGGATATTTTATTTTTAAAATATACAAAAGTTGGCCAGGCGCTGTGGCTCACACGTGTAATCCCAGCACTTTGGGAGGCCGAGGCTGGTGGATCACCTGAGGTCAGGAGTTCAAGACCAGCCTGGCCAACATGGTGAAACCCCCATCTCTACTAAAAATACAAAAATTAGCCGGGCATGGTGGCAGGCGCCTGTAGTCCCAGCTACTCAGGAGGCTGAGGCAGGAGAATGGCTTGAACCCAAGAGGCAGAGGTTGCAGCGAGACAAGATCGCGCCACTGCATTCCAGCCTGGGCGACAGAGCAAGACTCCATCTCAAAATAAATAAATAAATAAAAATATACAAAAGTAAAACACAAGTTCTTTAGAAAAAATTTTACAATGTACAGAATGAAAGTAAAACTCCTCCTTCAAACCCTTCCACATGTGTCCAGCTTCCCACAGAAAATGACTCTTCATTCTGAGTGGTTCTCTTTCGCTTCCTCTCCCATGCAGTGATCGACATACACACCTTATTTTTGCCGCACAAATGGGGTTATGCTCTACATATTTTTTCCTGTGACTTGTTTCTGCTTTTACTCTGTCATGGGTGTCCCTGTTTGGGAGCTCACTAGGATATCTCTTGTTTTTCATGTCTGCACAAGACTCCGTCACAGGACAGGCTCCAGTTTTCAAACACTCTCACATGCTAGAAACCTGGACACAAGTGTTGGCCCACCACACACAGTTCTGCCCCTGCTTTTTTTTGTTTTTGTTTTTTTTTGAGACGGAGTCTCGCTCTGTCGTCCAGGCTGGAGTCAGTGGCGCGATCTCGGCTCACTGCAAGCTCCACCTCCCGGGTTCACGCCATTCTCCTGCCTCACACTCCCGAGTAGCTGGGACTACAGGCGCCCGCCACCACGCCTGGCTAATTTTTTGTATTTTTAGTAGAGACGGGGTTTCACCGTGTTAGCCAGGATGGTCTCGATCTCCTGACCTCGTGATCCACCTGCCTCGGCCTCCGAAAGTGTTGGGATTACAGGCGTGAGCCACTGCGCCTGGCCTGTTTTTGTTTTTTTTTTTAACTTAACACTGTATCTTGGAGATTGTTCCATATCAGCAAACACAGCTTTCTTATTCTATTTATTTATTAAATAATTTTTAAATTATTTATTTATATTTTATTTTTTTGAGACAGAGTCTCGCTGTGTCACCCAGACTGGAGTACAGTGGCACAATCTCAGCTCACTGCAACCTCTGCCTCCCAGGTTCAAGCGATTCTTCTGCCTCAGCCTCCCAAGTAGCTGGGATTACAGGTGCCCGCCATCACACCCAGCTCATTTTTATATTTTTAGTAGAGACAGGGTTTCGCCATGTTGGTCAGGCTGGTCTCGAACTCCTGACCTCAGGTGATCCTCTCGCCTCAGCCTCCCAAAGTACTGGGATTACAGGTGTGAGCCACCGTGCCCAGCCTCTTGTTTTAATGACCGTTCCAGAACACATGAAGTCCGCCCATGCTGATGGACATGAAGGCTGTCTTCCATGTTCTCCTATTAGAATTCACAGTCTAATAACAACCTTGTATATTTGATATTTCACACACAAATCCATCTTCAGAAGATACTTCCAGAAGTGCCGCTGTTGAATTAAAGCTGCAGTTTAAATGTTCCTGGGGTCTGAACTTTGCTAGAGATTCACAATTTTCTCTCCAGGGAGGACATTTACACCCCCACGAGCAAAGCACGAGGGGGTCTGTTTCCTCGCATCTTCTGTAATTCAGTAGATCAGTTTTTTTTTTTAAATCTCTCCCAAGACAAGTGAAACCCAGCATTATCTCCTTGTAGTTTTAATTTACATTTCTGTTATTAAGAGTGCGGTTGATTTTTTTTTCTTGTCGATTTGTAGAAGTGTTTTATGCAGTAAGGAAACCAGCTTTTATTATGTTTTACATTTAAACTTTTTTTTTTTTTAATGACAGAGTCGCACTGTGTCGCCCAGTCTGGAGTGCAACGGTGCGATCTCGGCCCACTGCAACCTCCGCCTCCTGGGTTTAAGCGATTCTCCTGCCTCAACCTCCCAAGTAGCCGGGATTACGTGCACGTGCTACCACGCAAAGGTAATTTTTTGTATTTTTAGTAGAGATGGCATTTCACCATGTTGGCCAAGCTGGTCTTGAACTCCTGACCTTAGGTGATGTGCCCATGTCGGCCTCCCAAAGTGCTGAGATTATAGGCACAAGCCACTGCCTGGCCTACATTTAAACTTTTTATCCACCTAGAATAATTTTGGTATGAGGTAGGGATCCAGCTTTACCTTTCCCCAATGGCCACCTGAGCGGCCCAATACCATTTAATCAACCACCCATTCCGCACCACCACCCATTTATAGATGCCACTTTTATCAACTAAACGTGGCCAGCCACGTGGACACCCTGCTCTGGTGGTCTACGCCTGCTGCGACTGTGTCCTCGTCACCCGCACCAATCAGAGCCTTCACTGGCCCCGTCAATGCCAGCATTACGAATATCCAGGACAGACCTCAAGCAAGCCCCGTTCTCCCCCAATACAGGATGAAAGTGATGGACGGCTGTGGGGCCACAGTCTGTCCACCCCCGTCATGTGCGGCTCTGTGCTGAGGAGGCTCCGCAAAGCTGCCCATCATGCCCACCCTCACAGTGAGAACAGGGAGGCCCCTGGGACGGAACCCCTGCCAAGGGCGCGGCTGGGGTGTTTACCACCCTCAGCGGGGGTCTGGGAGCAGGGCCAGGCCAGAGAGAAGCCCGTTAGCCTGGGACCATCTTGTTTCTGGGAGTAGGGAGGGATGGAGAGGGACTCTTGCCAGTTTCCATGACAAAGCGCAGGGCTCCCGGCGTGTTAGAAACGGAGTCTCTTCAGGAGTTGATCTCCCCCTCCTTGCTGCCGCCTCCCCTCACCTACAGGCCACAGCCTATGTTTAGACTCAGTGCCCCACTCTTCTCCCTCACCCCACACCCCCGCCCCCACACACTGGGGATAGCAGGTGAACCCCGCCCGGCGAGGAGCCTAGACCCCGGTTGAGCGAGGGCACCGCATCTCCACCTGCCCAGCCCTACACCTGCCTGGGACTGAACGCAGCACGTACCCCGTCAGGCACCTGAAGCGAGGCTGGGTGCGGCCACCCCCCACAGACGAAGGTGCATTTATCTAAAAACTGGTTTTAGAAGCTGCTGCATGAACAATCTCCCAGTTCGCCTTTTTACTGTCCTGCTGAAAACCGATCTTCAAAATAACTCTGCTCTACTCAGTTAAGAAGGAAGCAGGTGTGTCCCCTGTGCCTGGAGTGGGCTCAGGACCAGCCCAGTCTCCATGCCTCAGGGAGGAAGGGGGTTCTCCAGCTCCAGGAATCTTGGGCCCAGGGAGGATGCGGCAACACCAAGGGGTGGGGGACCCCAGCACTGGGAGCCCGGGTGCAGGGCTGAGCCGGTGCAGGTGGCCTGGACCCCAGAGCTGGGAGCTCAGGCGCAGAACTGAGCCGGTGCAGGCGGCCTGGACCCCAGGGCTGGGTACAAGGGTTGTGTGGGTGACTCCTGCTATTAGGGCCTGGTGGTCACCTCTCTTCCCAGCCAGTGCCCAACCATGGTGGATAGGAGCAGGCACAGCGGCCGCCACCCAGGACATACCAGGTGGCGCTGGTGAGTGGCCCTGGCTGAGTCACCTGGCACATGAGCCTGGTGCTGTCATCCGGGGTGGGTGGAGTGCCCAGCCCTGACCAACCAGGCCCTCGGGGCCCCTGACGGGTCAGAGGGCAGTGGTGGCGTGTGGGCCTCCCTCCTTCAGCACAACCCAGTCGCCACCTCGGGGTGACGAAGGGGCCAGGTGGGGCTTGGTCTCTGGGGCAGGCAGGTGAGAGCATGCTAGGAGTCGAGGAACAGAGAGACGTGTCTGTGCATGGGCTGAAGCTCCAAAGACCCCGCACATACCCCATTGTCTCGCTGGACTCCCTAACACAAGTTACAAAGACTCAATGATTAGGAATTTCAAGGTGGGGACCTCAGTGTTAAACTCCGGGTGCAGGGCCCTGCTGGGCATGGGTCCCGGGCGACTGTACGGGCCACAGCCCCAGGATTCCAGCCCCAGGCACCTTGCTACCCTCACCTTGGCGGGAGGGGTCACACCACACTGATTCAGGGAGGGCCAGGATCAATTCCCGCTCTTGGGCCTCTGACCAAATGTCACTTCTCTCGAGAAGCCCATTCCTGACCCCCCTCCCGTCCCCATTCCCCCATACAAGCTGCCAGAGCCCCTGGATCTCTACCACGTCCACACCATAGGAACAGGGTCTTCACCCCACAAACCAACGACAGGGCCTGGCACAGGGCAGGCCCCTGCGTAGGCCCCTGTTGAAGTGACACATCAATGTACTTCCGTGGTTTTTCACCAGTGCTGTCCCCGCCGGGTCCCTGAGGACCGGGGCTGTGCGGTACCCTGCGTCCCATCCGCAGTGTGTGGCACCCAGTGGGTGCTCCAGAGATTTGCCTGAAGAGTGCCTGGAGGAAAGGTGGATCGCACAGCCCAGGCATGGGCTTGGAAGGATAACCAACAGGAGGCTGGGCCTGGGGAGAGGGACAGGCCGCTCACAGGGACAGGTCCTGTCCCGCAGTCCACTGCTTGGATCCTGGTGCCCAGTGCAGTGCCATTGATAGAATAATCGGTGGCAAGTCCAGGCTGGACCACAGGGAGCAGCAGGGGCGTCAGTCAGGCCTGGCCGGGAGAACCTCCCCACCCACCCTGCAGAGGCCACACGTGGGTTTGCTTCTCCCAGGACCCTGGTGACAGGATGAACAGAGGCTAAGGTTGTTTGCAGGAGGCACCACCATTCTGACACATTCCAGCAATGCTGGTGGCTGCGGCTGACTCCCCACAGACCCCCACCCTCGCTGCTGGGCTCCGAGGGTGCAACAGTTGCCCACATCGGCCGGTGCAGACCCCGCCTCACCCTCTGCTCCTGAGGGGTGGGGGAGTCTCCGTCAGGGCCTTGGGGGTCTAGGAAACAGCTGCCTCAAGGGCACCGTGGAATCCCCACGCCTGTGTCCCTACCTGTGAATGGAAGGATGAAGGCAGAGCTCCCACAGCCTCGGGACGCAGCCTCGGATTACCCCCGCCCCCACGGCTGGAGCTGACACAGGCGGGCAGGCACACCCACGGCCTCTGAGCCCCATGTGCAGTCCGGCCCTCACCGAGAGAGGCCGGCCGGCTGCTGCAACCTCTCTGCTCCTCCGGTCCCCTAACACACAACGGAGGGCCTGAGAGTCCATCCACACTGGCTGCCTGCAGGCCGCACTCACGTCAGCAGTGACTGCTCTTGGACTTCCTGTCCTTCGTTCCTCTTTTTCTGCCTGGGTCCAGCTTGGCTTTCATCTCCCTACGGGGTCCTGCCTCCCGCTCTGACCAGGCGGCCCTCACACTGTCCCGGCCTCCACCCCACACGCCAGGCCTCTCTCACTGCTGTGGAAACTCACCATGGGGCAGACAGGGAGCTCTCACCGCGGGCCACTGACCCACGTCTGCACTCCCATGCTTTCTGTCGTGAGCACCGTGCTAGGGTCACCCCAATTCACAGAAGCACACTGAGGCTCAGAGGCTGCCAGGCAACGTGTCCAAGGTGACAGACAAGTGGCCAGAGGGGACGGAACCCCAGGCGTGTGTTGCAGAGACCTGCTCTTCCCTCCTGTGAGACAGCACTAGGCTTTTAGCCTAAAGATGGCCAAGTCTCCTTCCTTTTCTCACCCCTCCCAAGTCAGGCATGGAGGAGCCCAGACATCCCATCTGGGATTTCAGCCTCACTCAGCAACCCCATCCTACCCAGCAGGCAAGCATCCTGAACCCCAAATCCCACTAACATGCAGATTCCTGCAGGACTCGGGGCTGACCAGGGACTTTTTAGACCACCTGGCCCTAGAGCAGACCAATGCCTGCACCTCCCCTGCAGAGAACACTGCTGTGAGGACCCAGGATCCAAAGTGGTGCAAGAGGGAAGGCCCGCCACGCCTCCACGCCCCTGTGCCACCGGGAGATGCAGCGGCGATTTCCTTACTAATTCTCAGTGCTCCAAGGGCAGGGCTACCACAGGCCTCGCCTCGCAGGACCTCCGAGAAGATTAACGAGATGTTTGTAATGCGTGTGCAGCTACCTGGAGCCCACGTGGAGGCGAGGGAGAGGAGATCCACGGAGCACGGCCTCCGGGACAGCCGGAGGGGGTGGGAGCTGGGGGTAGGGCTGTCTGGGTCCCAGTTAGGGCTCCACAGGGACATCCCTCCCCATTTTCACTGTGGGGACAGTGGAGGAGGCAGTGTCTGGAATCCAGTTCTTTGGCCTGTGATGGTGTGAGCACCAGGGCTGGGAGCTGGGCAGGAAAGGCCCCATTTAGAGACTGACAGCAATGGAACCAGATGAGGTATCTGGCCAGACTCCGCCAAGAAGAGCAGGCACACGACCTAACACTCAGCAAGCTCCACCCGTGCCCTGGCTCAGCTCATTTAATTCCCACCGGACCCTTGGCAAGGACAGGTGATTTTCTCCCATTTATAGAAGAGGAAACTGCATTTGGTGTAACAGATGCAGGATGAGTGTGACGGGCCACGCCATGCCGAGTGAAGCTTCTCCTTAACAGGGAGGCATGAAGGCTCAGTGAAGGGAACTGACTCACCCAAGTTCCCGTGAGTAGGGCCAGGATTTGAACAGGATCTGGAAAGGGCGTCTGCGGAGAGGTGAGGGACACAAGCCTGGGAACTGCCTTCAGGCTACACAGAGAAGGGACAGGCCCAGATGTAACCCCCAAACATGGACCACGAAAAACAAGAGACAGCAGCGCTGCTGTCAGACGCATGTGCCGGCTCCGGCCTCCAGATCCAGCAGCCGCGCAGGGCTGGTGAAGAGGCCAGAGCTTCCCAGAGGACCCGGAGCGGCTGGAGGGGCAGGGAGAGGAAGGAGGAACAGGCTCAGGCAGGGCAAGACACCAAAAGTTGGCCCACGGAGCCGGGCGCTGCGCTCTGCTCATCACGGTAGTCAGAGGATGCGGGATCCCCAGGGCAAACCAGCCAGATCGACGAAGCCAGAAGATAAGTTTCTGAAGCCACAGAGCCTGTTCAGAGCCGGTGTGCGCTCAGGATTTGCAGGTGGAATCAGAGTGTCCACCAAGGGCAGGGGCCTGTGCACGCGCCACAGGCTCAACACAGCCCAATGGCAGCCATGGCCTGGAGCTAGGAACGGGTTTTGCATTTTAAAGGGGTTGTAGGAAAAACAAAAACAAAACAAAACAAAACAAAACAAACAAAAACAGACAGAGAAGAGTATGTGACTTAGACTACAGGGCCAGCAAAGCCTAAAATACTCTCTAGTCCTTGACAGAAAAAGTGTGTTGATCCTACACCAGGGGAAGCTCCGGGAGGCCAGGATCTAACCCCTTCATCTTCAAGGCCCAGAGAGGGGTGGGACGTTGCCCAAGACCCCCCGCTGTCACAGGTGAGGACTAAGACCCAGGTGTCCCAATGCCAGGCCCTGCCTGTCATGCTGTCCTGTGCCCGTGAACCCACCTGGCCCCCAAAGACCAGATAAAGGGTCCTCACGCTCCCGACTTCAGCTTAGGGTGGGGCAGGAGTTCCTTCTGTCTTTCTGAACAGGGCTGGGGAAGTCGGGCGGCAGACAGAAGGACGATTGTTCGGATCAGAGCATGACACAGTCTCCACTGCCTGTGCTTGGCAAAGACAGTCAGCTGAATGGTGGCCCCTAACAAGGTAGGTCCACGTCCTAATCCTCAGAATATTCCATTCACGTCGGGAAAAGCATCTCTGCAGATGAGATCAAGGTACGGCTCTTGAGAAGAGGGCATCCTCGGTTATACAGGTGGGCCCTAATGCAATCACAGCTGTGCTCAGGACGGGGCAGAGGGAGCTAAGAGACAGAGAAGGAGAGGCCACGTGACGAGGGAGACAGCAGCAACAAGTGACGTGGCCACTCCAGGGAGGCCGGCAGCCCCCAGAAGCCGGAAGGGACCCTCCCCAGAGGCTGCAGAGGGGGCACGGCCCTGCCACACCCTCGTCTCGAGCTTCTGCCCGGAGCTGGGGGACTGCGTTTCTGTGTTTAAGCCTCCGGTTTTGTGGTGCTTTGTCATGGAAGCTGTAGGAAGCTGATATGGTCATGGAGGGGGCACACAGGCCCAGGAGCCGACGGCCTGGGTTCAGATCCCAGCCCTGCCAAGCTCCCACTCGGTGACGAGGCAGGCTGCTAGGCCTCTGTGGCCTCTGTTTCCCCATCTATAGAATGTAGGCAACAATACTGCTCACCTCACAAGGGTACAGGGACAGCTAAATTAGGGGTTCTCTTATATTAGACATTATCCATCAGGTGGCCATGCACCGTGGCTCATCCTGTAATCCCAGCACTGTGGGAGACCAAGGCAGGAGGGGGTCTGGAGAACCCAGAGCACCAGGCCAGCCCCTCTCTGGCTTGAGCCCAGGAGTTTGAGACCAGCCTGACCAACATAGGGAGACCCCTATCTCTACAAAAAAATTTTAAAGAAAATTAGTAAGGCATGGTGGTGCACACCTGTAGTTGCAGCTGCTTAGGAGGCTAAGGTGAGAGGCTCACTTGAGCCCAGGAATTTGAGGCTGAAGTGAGCCATGACTGCGCCACTGTACTCCAGCCTGGGCAAAAGAGCAAGACCCTGTTGCCAAGGGAAAAAAAAAAAAATAGGCCAGGCGCGGTGGCTCATGCCTGTAATATAAGCACTTTGAGAGGTCGAGGGGAGCGGATCACCTGAGGTCAGGAGTTCTAGACCAGCCTGACCAACATGATGAAACCCTGTCTCTACTAAAAATATAAAAATTAGCTGGGCATGGTGGCAGGTGCCTGTAATCCCAGATACTTGGGAGCCTGAGGCAGGAGAACTGCTTAAATCAGGGAGGCAGAGGCTACAGTGAACCAAGACCATGCCGCTGCACTCCAGCCTGGGCAATGAGCGAAACTCTGTCTCAAAAAAAAAAAAAAGAGAAAAAAAGAAGTACCTGTTATTTACCTGATATTCACATATGATGGGGCATCCTGCACTACCATTTGCTGATCTGCCCCATGGATCGAGCGGGCCTCTGCACACCCTGGTTTAGTACCTGGTGAGGAGGTGCCAGCTGCGACCAGGCTGAGGTTGGCAGAAGCCAGCCAGCTACCTGGGGGGCAGCGATGGGAACTGACTTCAAAGCTGAGGACAGGGCTGTGTCCCAGGGACCAGTGTTCCAACCAGGGACAGAACATTCTGGGAAGCAAAGGTCTTTGCCCCATCGGCCTCATCAAAGAGGGAGAGGGATGGGCTGGGGAAGGAGGCTGGGTCTGACGGAAGCCAGACTCGGGGCAGCCGGGAGGAAGAGGGGGCAGTTCTAGACCATGCTGAGCCGTGGTTGTTGAGTGCCTCTCCTAGGCCTGCTCCCACCCCCAGCTTCCTAGGACCCTCACCTGCAAGTGAGGCCAGGCCTTAGAGCTATGTGGGGCATGGGGCTGGGAGCGCCACGCCTCTAGGCCTGTCTCAGCATCTGTGAGGTGGGGCTCACCCCACAATGTTGGGGGGCCTTGGGAGGCTCAGAGGAGGTTGTTCCCTCAGAGCTCGGGTCCCAGAATCACGATTCTCCAAAGATTACTCCTACAGACCTAAAGCACTAAGCAAAGTGCGGGGTCCGGGGTCAGCAGGTCACAGCGGGGCTGGGCCGGTGCTGTCGGTTCTCCAGGGTGACCTGGCTCAGACCCTACCCCAAGACCCTGCACAATGGGGAGAAACCAAACCCGGGGAAGCCAGCCCACGCAGGGGCTTTGCAATGGGAGCCCCCGATATAACAGCAGGTCCCGGGCAGCCAATCGGCTCAGGGGTCCCGGATGGGAAAAGCCTGTGAGCTCACCCTGGGGAGAAGGTTCTAGTTTGGCTTCTCCGCCCAGGGGCAGGCCAGTGATCTCCCCCATAAAGACTGTGGTGCTCATGACCTCCCTCCCTGGAGTCAAAGGGATGAGCTCCGGCAAGGAAGAGGGCCGGATGGTTCCTGTTTATCCGTTCAAGGAGCACCGACCATTTGTCAAACGGGAGCAAACAGATGGTGGAGACGCCTCCTGCTCTGAAGATGCACATGGTTTTGTGTGGTGGCGGTTTCAGGGGACAGGCAAATGCGCTGGGCAGGGGCCAGGTTCACCCTGGAGATGCACTGGTGACCTGGGTCCTCATGACGCTTCCTTGGGCCTCTGCATACAGGTCTTGCTCTGCCACCTGCTAGCTGGGACCCTGGGCAAGTCACACAGGCCCCGGGGCCTCCATGTTTCCACATGTGAGCTGTGGGTCATACACCCACACCCCCACACCGCAGCAAGGATAAGGAGGGCCAGTGGCCTTCACTCCGGGGTGGCTCACCGTGGAGCTCCTGTTCCACCCTGGCCCCAGCCTCCACTCGCCGAGGAGACGGACGAATTATTACTATTTTTTGCGACGGAGTTTCACTCTTGTTGCCCAGGCTGGAGTGCAATGGCGCGATCTCGGCTCACTGCAACCTCCGCCTCCCAGGTTCAAGCAATTCTCCTGCCTCAGTCTCCTCAGTAGCTGGGATTACAGGCGCATGCCACCACGCCCGGCTAATTTTTGTATCTTTAGTAGAGACAGGGTTTCACCATGTTGGCCAGGCTGGTCTCGAACTCCTGACCTCAAGTGATCCACCCACCTCAGCCTCCCAAACTGCGTGAGCCACCGCGCCTGACGGGCCATATGATTTTTTTTTTTTTTCAGACAGAGTCTCATTCTGTCGCCCAGGCTGGAGGTGCAGTGGCGCAATCTCGGCTCACTGCAAGCTCCGCCTCCCGGGTTCACGCCATTCTCCTGCCTCAGCCTCCCATGTAGCTGGGACTACAGGCGCCTTCCACCACGCCCAGCTAATTTTTTATATTTTTAGTAGAGACGAGGTTTCACCGTGTTAGCCAGGATGCTATCAATCTGCTGACCTCGTGATCCACCCGCCTCGGCCTCCCAAAGTGCTGGGATTACAGGCGTGAGCCACCGCGCCCAGCTGGCCATATGATTTTTAACCCCTGAGTACTTCAGCGCATATTTCCTCAAAACAAGGCCATTCCCTCACATGAGCACAGAAGAGTCGATTCCACCACAACTCGACGTCTGCATTCCTAGAAATCACTGCATGCAAAACCGCACAGTCAAAACCACAGGGCTTGTTGGGGAATGGGGTTAGGGAAAGGGCACTCAAAACAGACAGAAACCCTAATAAAAACGGCAGCACAGCTTCACATGTCAAGGGGTTCAGAGACACATTAACACGGCACTTGGGCTTGAAAACGCTGTAAGTTTACCGAGGGAGGTGGGCTGGAGAGCTGGTGCAGAGTGGCAGAGACGGGGCAGTGGAGACGGGGAAGTTGTGCCCTGACGAGGATGGGGTCCCTGGGGCGGCTGGGGCTGTGTGAGGTGCGTATGCATCCTATGTGTTCCTATGTGAACACAGGTGCATCAGGCCAGCTGGGGGCAGTGGCTGTGTTCACCCAGTGCTTCTGGTGGGTGAAATCTCACAAAGGAAAACGGGAAACTTGTGTTATCTTGAAACTGTTCCCTGATATATCAATCATGCTGGAACCAACTCTCATTTTCAAAACAAGCTTTGTAGCAAAACCGACTGTCCAACTCTATCAAGAAATTAACCTTGGCCAGGCACAGTGGCACATGCCTATAATCCCAGTAGTTTGGGAGGCCAAGGCAGGTGGAGCACTTGAGGTCAGGAGTTTGAGACCAGCCTGACCAACGTGGTGAAGCCTTGTCTCTACTAAAGATACAAAAATTAGCTGGACACGTGGCACAGGCCTGTAGTCCCAACTA